>NC_000002.12:223739618-224364618 GCF_000001405.40 Homo sapiens | reverse complement strand
ATAGCTCTGTAGTTTCTGTTTAGTTACCCCTGAGTCAGAGTTGCACAAAGACCCAGTGAGGTCACCTGCTGTCGGGTGGATGACTTGGGAGCTGGGAGTGACTGCATGGTACAAGTCTGTTCCATGAGAAACACTGAAAGAAAAAAGGAGTATGTGTCTCTGGATGGTGATTGTATGATGCAGAGGAGAGGAGAAGGAAGGCTTGAGCCTGATGGGAGAGAAATCACATCACGGTAGCAAGATGGGAAAAAAGGAATTGGTCCAAGATCTCACTCTTAGCTGCCAAATGGCCATGGCAACAGGACCTTTTGCTTAGTGTGACAGGAGCTGAAACAAGGTCCCTGGCACTCAGTGAGGGGTTGCCATAGGGAGAATTGGAGGGTTCTGGGCATGCTAAGCACCGGGCTTGGAAAACACAGAGGAGAGCCAGCACCCATTGGCTGTGGGCCTGGAACCAAGGTAAGAAAAATAAAAAGACAAAATGAGCCTGGGTTGTGTGTGTCTGTGTCTGTCTTTGGGATGTGCAATTCTTTGGGATGTGCAATTCTTTGGTAGAATAATAATGATCATGATGGGCACTTAGTATGTCTGAGGAAACAAGATTTTTTAAAGCGTACAATTCAGAGTCTAAGATTTTTACATTTATTAACTCATTTAATTCTTACAACCCTACCACGGAGGTACCATTATAATATTCCTCATTGGTTAAATGAGGAAACTGAAGCAAAAAGAGTATAAATCATGTACAACTAGTAAGTGGAGCCCTGGCTGTCTGACTCACTGATTCCTGCCTCTTCATGACGTTGCCACGTGTGGATAGCTGAGCACCGGCACCAAAGAATACCTAGTTCCTAATCCCCAGATCTGTGAATGTTACTTTACATGGCAGAAGGGATTTTGCAGATGTGATCAGTTAAAGGTATTGAGATGGGGAGATCATTCTGGATTATCCTGTAGCGTAAATGAATTTATAGAGGGAGGCAGAGGGAGATTTGACTACCGAAGAGGAAGAGGGTGGTGGGATGTGAGGATGGAATCATGAACCAAGGAATGCAGGTGGCTTCTAGAAGGCAGAAAAGCCAAGGAAGCACATTCTTCCTTAGAGCCTCTAGGAAGAGCTAGGCTGGCCAACATCCTGATTTTTGCCTTGTCAGATCCATGTTGGACTCTGGCCTCCAGAACTGTAAGATAATAAATTGTTGTTGTTTTAAGTCACTCGATTTGTAGTAATTTTTTATAGCAGCCATGGGAAACTCATACACTGTAATTCTCAAATCTTTTCACAGAAACACATGGAGACAATGTTCCCAGGGTGAACTTATGTTCATGGGCATACCCACACGTTGACACCCTTGACTTCTACCCAATTAAATAGTGTGTAGTGTTTGTGGATAAGCATGTGTGTGTGTGTATTTGATGAGGGCGAGGCATGATAAACACATGTTGTAAGTATGTGATTTAGTAGTATAAAAGATCTGAAAATTCATTTTTTAAGAGAATGTGAATATTAATCTAATACATCATTTTAAACCTTATTATTTTGACTCCACAAAAAATATTAAAAAATATACCTATTTGTACTTACCATACCTAATGCCATGGTTTGAATATGGTTTATTCCCAACAAAACTCATGTTAAGGCCTGGTCTCAATGTGGCAGTGTTGGTAGGTGGTGCCTTTAAGTGGGAATTGGGTCATTAAGATGGATTAATGTCTTTCTCATGAGACTGGGTTAGTTCTCAAGGGAATACATTAGTTCCTTCAAGAGTGAGTTGTCATAAAATAAGTTTGCTTCTTGTGTTTTTCCCTATTTTCACATACCCAGTTCCCCTTTCATTTCTCCGCCATCTTTTGATATAGCATGAGGCCCTCACCAGAAGCCATCAGATGCTGTCTCCCATTATTGAACTTCTCAGGCTGTAGAACCATGAGCTAAATAAACCTCTTTTCTTTATAAGTGACCTAGTCTCAGGTATTCTGTTATAGCAACACAAAACGGACTAAGACAAGGTAGCATTGAAGAATAAACTCATGTATAGCTTACTTGATTTTTTGTAGTAATATACATTATTATTTACTTTATTAGTTTGATGTGGTGATAATTAACTTCCACTGAAACCCACAGAAATGTTCTCAGCATTATTTTTCACTCCAAAAAATGTAAAAATGTAAATGTAGATGGTCTACTCTACTTTATCTTTCCACGTCTTTCTTTCTTCTTTCTTTCTTTCTTTCTTTCTTTCCTCTTTCTTTCTCTTTCTTTCTCTCTTTCTTCCCTCCTTCCCTTCCTTCCCACCTTTCCTCCTTTCCTCCTCCTCCTCCTCCTTTTTCTTCTTCTTCTTCTCCTTCTTCTCCTCCTCTTTCTTTCTTTCTTTCTTTCTCTCTTTCTTTCTTCTTTCTTTCTCTCCTTCCTTCCTTCCTTTCATTTTTGAGGCAGGGTCTCACTTTATGAGCCAGGATGGAGTGCAGTGGTGCAACCTCTGGGCTCAATTGATCCTCCTACCTCAGTCCCCTGAGTAGCTGGGACTATAGGTGTGGACCCCCATGCCTGGCTAATTTTTGTATTAGTAGAGATGTGGTTTTGCCATGTTGGCCAGGCTGGTCTCAAATTCCTGGACTCAAGCAATCCACCCACCTTGGCCACCCAAAGTGCTGGGATTATAAGTGTGAGCCACTGCACCTGGTCTCTTGTCCTTTTCTTAATAAAGATGTATCCACAGTTAGAAGGATAAGGAAAAGGGACAGAAAAACAAAATTCACAATTCTGTACATCAATCCCAGGTCACCATTAGAGATTGGGGTCCAGGGATGTTTTCATTCTGCCGGCATAAACTGTATCCTTTAGCTCTAATTCAGAGCTAAGATGATCAGAATGCAAGTGATGGGAAGTGGGGTTATGATTGGAATAACCTGGAATATTAATTGATAAAAACTGTAAACTTGGGTTCTATATTAATTGTAAAACACAAGCATTTTGTCAAACAGCCATGGACACAGACATCCAGTGTTCACTGGGATAGACAGGAAGGTACATTTCCCTTTTGCACAGCAACCAGGGTCCTATCATACTGCACAGGTTGGGTGTGCACACTTGAGGAACTACCTTCATTATTTTTGCATTTTTGGACTCATGTTAGTTAAGATAACTTTTCAGAGGGGACAGCTGAGGGTTGCAAAGAAAGTTTTCCTTTTTCCAATTTACACAAGGATGCCGTATAGGCTAACAAGAGGCCATGAGGGCATTTGCCCAGACATGGTGGGAAAGGGCCAGTGGCAGAAAGCAATGGCCTTATCAAGGCCATTTTTACCCAGAAGAGGTAAAGACAGCAACTGAGAAAAGGCAAAAAAGACACCTGTCATTGCATATGAGCCTCACAGGTCCCAGTCTTAGTGGGACTACCTAGAATTCCTTTGTTAAAAATCACTGCAGTCATTTTTATGTAAGATGACTCATGTACATCACAGGGACATGCTGATGCCTAACTGATATTAGTGTTAAGTGGATTCTTGTTTGCGTAATACTTTATTGATCATAAAAATTATCTTTAAGTGGAAAAACAATAATCCACAGAAGCAGTTAAACTATATAATAGAAGGATAAAAAATTTCTAAATACTTTTGCTAATTTTCATTCCTAGTTAAACTTTATGCCAAGCAAACTTGCAACCTACTAGATTGTCACGAGGCCAAGTTAGTTGGCAACAAAATGTAAGTTGCCCACGTATATAATTGAGCTCTCCAACTATAACAAGTTCTCATGTTTCATTTCACTCTTAGAAGGAATTGTGTGCAGTATTGACTCATAATTTGTTCTACTGGAGGCTAAAAAGCTTGTCAGGTGGCAATGATTTACTTGAATTAATCAAGAATGTACTAGTTTAAAAAAGTGATTTTTAAGTCTTTATAAATCTCCAAATTAACACTGAATAAAGAAATGTAGAACATATAAAAGGAAATAAAAATGTTGGATTCTTTTCTTTTTCTTTCCTTTTTTTTTTGAGACAGAGTTTTGCTCTTGTTGCCCGGGCTGGAGTGCAATGGCACCATCTTGGCTCACTTCATCCCCTTCCTCCCAGGTTCAAGGGATTCTCTTACTTCAGCCTCCCAAAGTAGCTGGGATTACAGGCATGCACCAACATGCCCGGCTAATTTTTGTATTTTTAGTAGAGACAGTGTTTCACCATGTTGGCTAGGCTGGTCTCAAACTCCTGACCTCAAGTGATCTGCCCTCCTTGGCCTCCCAAAGTGCTGGGATTACAGGTGTGAGCTACTGCGCCCAGCCTAAAAATGTTGGATTCTATCCACAATGGAAATCTCTTCCCAGAATTAATCTCTCCTTTTCCTACCCTCCCATATTTCCTTGTATCTCTGTAATGGCAATGATCACAGTTTGTCTTATAATCTATGC
Source organism: Homo sapiens (assembly GCF_000001405.40). Classification (NCBI taxonomy): domain Eukaryota; kingdom Metazoa; phylum Chordata; class Mammalia; order Primates; family Hominidae; genus Homo; species Homo sapiens. The sequence continues at coordinate 224,360,210 of NC_000002.12, read as the reverse complement.
TATGTTGCACATGTACCTGATTCCTCTAAGGAGTAATGAGGGGTGATGAAGACTAAAGATTATTTTAAAAATTATTATATTCTCTAAATTACACAGTAGAATGTTTAGTTCATAAGAGATGTTACATAATAATTCTATGCATTATAGTTGGCCATCATGTCTATGGGTATAAATTTATTCTAATCATGTTGAAAATATCAATATTTCAAAACTGTCTTGAACCTTATTAAAATGTTTTAAAATGTAGATTTCATTATTATTCAATTGTGAATATTATTCATACTTATATTATGATTCAATTGTATATAATTTAATTATGGTGAGGCCAACAGATCAGGAGACAACTGCCAGACTGCCATTGTAAAGATAGCTATTGCTCACAGCTCCTGGTGGAGGGGGCATGCCACACCATTCACGGCCACATGGGAGAGCACTAGGGCAAGTCAGGAGGCAGAATTGGTGAGGGGAATAGTGGGCGAGGACCTTTATCCTGGTTTCCCTGGTGGGGTGGGCTAAGCAGGCTTAGGATTGGCTAGTTTGAATAATTCCAGTGAGCTCTGGGGTGGAGGGACTGCGTCTGGTTGTCTAGTATTTGGCCCTGGGGTGATTAGGGCAGGGGAATATTGGCCTGAGTCTGAGGGCCCTATGACAGATGCTAAAGGAGGTGGCTGGGTGTGGGCTCTGGGGTCGTTGCTTGGCATCTGAAAGGTGCACTTGCAGGTGAGTCCTTTACTATCTCTAGAAATTGGCTGGCCTGATTCAGGCAGTCTGTCTAGAGTCAGCAAGGTCCTAGATGTCAAAGCATCAGAATAAAAAGACACACTTAATACAAGTGCGGAAACTGCTGCCCAACATATAGAACAATCAGAATAGGAACGGCTAACACGCCCAGAACATGTGATTTGTGCCTGGCCTCGTGCCATGTGCTGTGCACCTGTGAACCCAGTTCATTCCCCACGACCCTCGGAGTTGTGCTGTTTTAACTTGCCCAGCAGTATTCTGCTGGTAAGTTTCTAAATTAGAAATTTAGAAATTTCTAGACAGTCTGTCTCTCAAGAACCAAAAGGAAACAGATCTTTTTTTTTTGAGACCAAGTCTGGTTCTGTCACCCAGGCTGGAGTGTAGTGGTGTGATCTTGGCTCACTGCAACCTCTGCCTCCCGGGTTCAAGCAATTCTCCTGCCTCAGCCTCCCAAGTAGCTGGGACTACAGGTGTGTGCCACCACGTCTGGCTAATTTTTTGTATTTTTAGTAGAGACGTGGTTTCACCATGTTGGCCAGGCTGGTCTCGAACTCCTGACCTCAGGTGATCTGCCCGCCTTGGCCTCCCAAAGTGCTGGGATTACAGGCGTGAGCCACTGTGCCCGGCCAGGAAACATTTTTAATGCAGGTGGCATGGGGCGGTTCAAAGAACATAGCATCATAGAGAGGATGAGCTTAGCGAGAAGGTGAGTGCAGAGTGGACTATGCATTCATCCGAATGGAGAGAAGAATGAAAGAATATGTTTCTAATGAATGAAATGTATGTACACACAAAATTTCATTAAGCTAAAAGAAGTGTATACTCTTAATGATACTCCATTCTGATGTTTGTTCTCCATTTGTCCAAATGAACTCAAATTAATTGCCTTACATTAAAATGTACTTTTCATTTATTTATTTTTAATTTTTAAAATTTTTTTATTTTACTTTTTGAGACAGAGTCTTCCTCTGTCACTCAGGCTAGAGCACAGTGGCACAGTCTCGGCTCACTGCAACTTCCACCTCCAAGATTCAAGTGATTCTCCTGCCTCAGCCTCCTGAGTAGCTGAGATTGCAGACACGCACCACCACGCCTGACTAATTTTTTTGTGTTTTTAGTAGAGACGGGGTTTTGCCATATTGGCCAGGCTGATCTCAAACACTTGACCTCGTGATCCGCCTGCCTCGGTCTCCCAAAGTGTTATGATTACAGGCATGAGCCACCGCGCCCGGCCAAAATGTACTTTTTCTTAAAGAAAAATGGAAGGGGGTTGGCTTCAGCAGTGGATGGGTTTTGCCGGTTTCCCCAGCCAAAAGTCTCAAAGTGTTATGGCCACTTGCAGGTCAGAGAGGATATCCCTTCTGAGGGGTCAGAGTAGGGACAGGATGCGTGGAGGTGATGTGATGGTGGGAGGTCCACTTTAAGCCAGGCCACCTGCAATTCTGTCATTGGGAGCACAAAGATGGAGAAAATGAGGCTGGCACCCAGGCCACTGCAACTGGCCTTAAAGAATCCCTACCATTTGTGGTAATTTGTCACAAGGAAGCCAATTTTAGACCATCTGCATCTTGGAAAATTTCAAGACCATGTCTTATTGGAGCTATATCCAAGCCAGTGTAGTCTGAGACCATGCCAGGAACCCACTCAAGAGTCCATCTTGTTCTAGAAGACTAAAACACGTGTCGAAGTAACCCCGCAAGGTCTATATCAAAACCAAGAATCCTTGGGCTTCCTGTAGCATAGCATTCAGTAAATATTTACCCAATTAATTCCGTTTCATTGAAGAAATCTTGACCTGCACAGGGAAAAGGTGTCACACATCCACAATGTACACTCTCACTGTTTTAATGAGTATTTGCAAGTTCCCAGGGCCTTGGGTGCATCTGTAGTAAATGAGCGGGGTACTATCGCCACCTTGCGATGAGAAATGGAAGTATTTTCATTCTGAGAGTTGATTATGCAATGCTTCATTTAAATATGGATTAGTTTCTGTCACTTGCTTTTGATCAGTCCTTTCATTTTCATGTTTTGTTGCCTTACATATATTTACAAGAATTTGCACTAAATTAAAAAAAATCTGCACTAACCTAAAGTTGGTGAAAAACACCCTCAAACCTTTTGAAGCAAGGAAGGGGCCACTGTCGCTGTCTCTACAAGTCCCTAGCCTATGTTTATTCTCAGATGGGCTGAACATAGCAGATTTGGGGCCAAATACCCAAAATACCAGGACATCTGTTGTAATTCCTAGGAACTTCTGACCATTTTAAGCATTCCTTCATAGGTAATTATTACAAATTTCTCTGTGTTTGTCAAAGATGATTGGTGCTACCTCCTATATTGATTTTACTCCTTTTTTTTTTTTTTTTTTTTTTTTTTGACGGAGTCTTGCTCTGTCGCCAGGCTGATCTTGGTTCACTGCAATCTCCACCTCCCGGGCTCACGCCATTCCCCTGCCTCAGCCTCCCGAGTAGCAGGGACTACAGGCGTGTGCCACCATGCCCATCTAATTTTTTGTGTTTTCAGTAGAGACGGGGTTTCACCATGTTGGCCAGGATGGTCTCGATCTCCAGACCTCCTGATCGCCCACCTCGGCCTCCCCAAGTGCTGGGATCACAGGCGTGAGCCACCGCACCCGGCTTCTTCTTTTTTTTTTTTTTTTAAATGAATGAGAGGATTATCTGTTATAAAATCGGGCTACATATTTTGTAAACCTTATCTACAGAGAACATTTCCAACCACTGGAAATTAAAATAAGCAAAATATTACTAACAGGGAAAACTTCACATTGATTCTAAACTAACATAAACCTTTTTAAAATGTATCAGAAACTAGCTTGTTTTACCCCCCAAAATAGGACGTTCATAGATTTTAAGGGTGATCCATCTCCCATGCAATATTCAATCATTTTATTCTCATGAATTGCTGCACGGGCTCTGTAATTTGTCTGCCTCTTGAAGGCGCTCCATGTGGCTGTGACACTATTTTGGAGAGAGGTTGCTGTTCTCATAATATTTCCTCCTGGTCTTTTATTATTCCTATTTCACTCTTCTCATCACCCTCTCACCCCGTCCTTGCTAGCACCCATAACTTTTAAGTGTTATTTAATATTGAGCAGGAAATATGCTTTGTTGAACATGGAAAGAGTGTGTATTTGTAGGGGGCAAAAACAGGCCTTTTTGCTTTTTGCTTAAAAATAAGAATCTAGGTCTTGTTTGCGGCAATAATTTAGATAAATAAAAAAATTAATCAGGATCCTAAAATATGGAAGGTACCTGGTATTTAAAAGGAAGAGTTGCCTGACAATATCTTAAACAGCTCTATAGTCTTAATCTTCTGGGGAGAAACACGAAGGAAATCAATCAAGAAATTATATCCTGAGTCGTGTTAAAACCACTCCCTCCTATTCTAATATGGCTCATTGGAACCCGAGTGGAAACAGGACTGGGAAAGAGGGCTCATTTCGCTACTCCAGAACAATACTTGGCTGATGGAGTCCTTTGGGTTTCCTGAGGGTATGAATTCAGGGCCCTGCTCACCCTGTACATCCCTCTGTCAGAGCGAGGTGGATATCCTGAGTATGATCATTGATTTCTGGACCTGTGCAAAGACAGCATGTCTTAGGCCCTCCTTAGAATCATGTCCTCCTATGCCTTAACACGATAGCATCCCTTTTGGGTTCTAGCTCTGAAAAAGTACGAGCAATTGAGAGGCCAATGAGGGCAGAATTCTCACATCATTAAAAACCCCCAATACCACCCTGACCTTTGAAGATTTAACCTTTGTACAGCCCCAGCTGAGTTCTTGCTGGTTAGGAGGTGCTAAGTGGACACATTTCTCCCAGGCTGTTTGAGGAGGCTCTGAATGCCCTGGGGAGTTAGTACACAGCTCCCACTGCACACCCACAGGCTCAACGGGTGCTCTTCAACTTCCCATGTGGTTTCTTATTGTCCCAACTAAATGAGAAGCTCTTTCATGGGCAGGGAAGTTGTCAAGTCTCTTTAACTCTCAGGGAAGCTCAAGAAATTTATGGGAACTCAATACATGGTTGGGACTGATAATCAGATACAGAATGAAGAATGAGGAGGATGGAGGAGGAAGAAAAAGAGGAGGAGGAGAACAAGAGGAAGAGGAGAACAAGAGGAGGAGGAGGAGGGAAGAAGGAGGAGGATGAGGAGATTTGAGGGATAGTTCTCAATAAAACCCGGGGCATCAGAAGAGTGAAACAGGGAGTCAATGTTCAAAAGCCCTGAATTGGAGCAGAACGATCGCACCTACTGTGATCTTGTCATCTTAGGTTTGGGGTCTTGGATTATCCACCAGCAGACAACAAAAAGTGAGGCAGCATTGTTCGTAGGCTAGGAAAAAAGTCAAACCAATTGTTCCAAAGCTGGTAATAGAGGAGTTTCTCAGCACATCCCTCCTGCTCTCCCCGCACCCCACCCCGGGCTCCCACAGCCCCCGGGGAATCATCAGCCCAGGGCGTCCACATGGAAGAACCGGGTCAGAGGCCACTAATAGACTAAGAGGCATTGCTGATGGCAGAGTTCCAGATTTCCGCCTTTTCCAGATTTAGGCATTTTTATTTTGCAAGAATATCCCCACAGAATGGTGATCAGGCACATCTTAAATTTCTGACATAAAGAAGCCCAGGGGCCAAGAATGCCTGGGAGGCCCTACATCAGGGCGGTGATGGTTGCAGTAGAAATAGCAGCAGCACCAGACAGCACCATTCCAGCCAAGGCAGCCGTGGCCTGAGCTCCTGGGTGGAGGCTGCTGCTGCTGCTCCTCTGTTCCTACGTTCAGAGTTTCATCCCCAGATGGAGGCGATCTGCTCCACCGTCGACAGAGAAGGATGAAAATGACCAATGGTTCCAACAAAAGCTTGACTGTTTTAGTAATGATAGTGGGCAAGTCTGGCAACAGGTAAAAAACAATGACCACGGTAGGTGGTAACAGGTAAGGGATGGTGCCAGCTCTGAGGTCTCGTTGGTGGAGCTCTGGAGGGGATGGGAGAGAAGAGGAACCAGGGTGTTCTGCAGACCTCCTCTGGGCCGGGTTCTGAGACGGCCATTTAGCATCTTTCTTTTTTTTTTTGAGATTGGGTCTTACTCTGTCGCCCAGGCTGGAGGGCAGTGGCACGATCTCAGCTCACTGCAACCTCCACCTCCTGGACTCAAGTGATCCTCCTGCCTCAGCCTCCCAAGTAGCTGAACTACAGGCATGTGCCACCACGCCCAGCTAATGTTTGTACTTTTTTTTTTTGGTAGAGATGGGGTTTCACCATGTTGGCTGGGCTGGTCTCGAACTCCTGACCTCAGGTGATCCACCTGCTGACCTCAAGTGATCCACCCGCCTCAGCCTCTCGAAGTGATGGGATTACAGGAGTGAGCCACCGCTCCTGGCCCCATTTTGCATCTTATTACACTAATTTATATTTACTTTTAATTATGAAATCTTTCAAATATGCAAAAGAGTACAGAAAATAATATCACAGCCTCATGTAATGACACCTAACAGAACAACTGTAAACATTTTGTCAATTTTCCTCACATCTCTTCTGAGGTCTTTTTCAGCTTCTGGGTTTTGAAGGGGTTGCTTTGGGGGCATGCGGTAGAGCCCAGCTGCTATAATTTTAAAAACAAATAAACAAGGAAGCCATAGCCAACATTTGGCTGCTAAGAAGGGCAATCGTGATGCGATTCTTGTGTCAATTCATATATTCTGTTTATTCCTTATTTTCAAAAGTACTTTATAATTTTCGGGTTTTTTTTTTTTTTTTTTTTTTTTTTTGAGACAGGGTCCTGCTCTGTCGTCCAGGCTGGAATGCAGTGGCGCGTTTATGGCTCACTGCAGTCTCGACCTCCAGGACTCAAGTGAGCCTCTTGCAACAGCATTCCAAGTAGCTCTCAAGTAGCATCCCAAGTAGCTCAGCATCCCAGCTAATTTGGATGCTGAGGCAAGAGGATCGCTTGAGTCCTCGAGGTTGAGGCTATTTTTGTGTATTTATTTTTTGTAGAGATGGGTTCTCATTATGCTTTCCAAGCTCTTCTGGAACTCCTGGCTCAAGCAATCCTCCTACCTTGGCCTCCCAGAGTGCTGGGATAATAGGTGTAAGCCACTGTGCCCGACTTGATTTTCTGTTAAAGAAAATTTGTGATTCCTCTTCCTTACACGTGCTTCTGTTTCCCTGTGTTCTTATGCGTTTTTATCCTTTTGATGTAGTTGCAACCATGGTTTCCATGTAATTCTGTGTTCTACTTTCCCTCTGCTATGGCCACAGACTATTATTTCATAAATGTCCATTTCACTACACAGTTAGCATCTATGGTAAATTGTAGTAGCTGCAGGCGATACTGTTGAGCTTATAAGCCCAGATTTCCTTTGGGGGAAATTTAAGTTATTTATCTTGTTTTTTTTTTCCTTTCTGTTCCACAGTATGATCCTGAAGATTGTTTAGCGGCATTGAACTGAGCTGATTTGTGCTCCTAATTTCATGGCACTTCATCACCATCATTTTATGCTGCAGCCCCTCTTTTATTTTAATTTTACTTTCTTCTCTTTTCACTCCTGGTTCCCAATTTCATTCCCCTCCTCACATCTTGTATATTTACTATGTGCCCTTCCAAGCGACTTTCAGCAAGTTTCTTTAGATGTGTGTCCAATGAAAAACATACTGTATTGCTTTTGCTTTAAAAAATGTACTGAAATGGTATTATGCCCTAGATCCACTCTGTTCCTTTTTTTTTTTTTTTTATTTGAGACAGAGTCTTGCTCTGTTGCCTAGGCTGGAGTGCAATGGCGCGATCTCAGCTCACTGCAACCTCCACCTCCTGGGTTCAAGCGATTCTCCTGCCTCAGCCTCCTGAGTAGCTGGGATTACAGGCGCCTACCAACACACCCAGCTAATTTTTGTATTTTTAGTAGAGACGGGGTTTCACCATGTTGGCCAGGCTGGTCTTGAACTCCTGGCCTCAAGTGATTCGCCCTCCTCATCCTCCCAAAGTGCTAGGATTACAGGGGTGAGCTTTTTTTTTTTTTTTTAGTGTTATGGTTTGGAGATCCATTCATGTTGCTGTATGTGCAGCTAGTTCCCTCCTTCCTCTCTTCTTCCTCCTGTACAGTGTTATAGTATATATGTGGTGAACATTTTACTTATCTGTTTCATTTCGATGAGCATCTTTATTGTCTCTGACTCCTGGAAACCGCAATGCTGTATTCATCCCACTAGTACTTGGTACCTTGGGCATCTGTGAGATAACTTTTCTGGCCTATAGACTCAGGAGTAGAAAAGCTGCGTGTGAGGATATTGGTGTGCTCAATTTTACAAAATCTTGCCAGACTGTTCTCCAAATGAACACATAAACTATGGTCCCACTAACAGTGCATAATTCTTGTTTTTTCACGTCTTTGTCAAGAAATGATTTTATCAAAATTCTAAATTTTTGGCAATCTGATGGGTGAAAATAGAATCTCAGGGTTGTTTTAACTTACATTCTTCTGACCCTAGAGAAGGCTCCGTTTTCTTCTCTGAACTGCATTTTAATATTCCTTGTCCAGTTTCCTATTGAGTATCCCATTTTTCTTCCTCTCTGATTTGCAGGCGTTCCACTGATAGAGCAAAAGTGCTGTAACTTGTCTGATTACTTTCTAGTCACTTTACAGATGGACTATGAACCATTTATGTCTAAGTAAATTGAGACAATTTGTTGCCCTACCATGACCATTAATTTAAATGCTGGGGGAGAAGATCACAAGGAGGAAGACGTTCAGTTAGAATGCTTTCATTTGCAAGTGAGAAAATCACAACTCAGAATAATGTAGACACAAAGGAGGACTGTATTGGCTCACCAAAGTTCAGGGTAGGTCAGATTTCAGGCATGGTGGGATACGGAGGTTTAAAAGAGGCCATCTCTTCATCTCTTGGTTCTGCCTTCTGCATTGGCCTTGCTCCTGGGCAGGCTTCTCCCTATAGCACTAAGATGGCCCCAGGCTCTCCAGACTAACGGGTGCTTGTGATTTCCAAGTAAAAGTCAGGGTTTTAGTGTTATTGAGGGAGGAGTTTGTGCTTAAATAAGATTACTCAGGTTCTAATCCAGGTTTGCCAAAATTAAAATTTGATTTTATTAAGTAAAAATTTGGCTTTATTAAAATGTATAACTTTAATAAATTATAAATTTAGAAACCCAGTTCTTCCTTAAGCTTTGAAAATTAAATTATGAATCTTGTCATCTATTTATAACTCTAGCAAGTTTCAAAAATCACTTTTAAGGGTGCTTTTTATAACCTAATAAAATTCCCTTAAACATTTAAACTGTGTTTATAAATGTAATGTATTTTATTTTCTTTGAAATACTTTAAATGCCTGATTAACGCACAAATCTTCTCAAATCTTAGTCTGATAAATCAGATGCATTAAAACTGTACATATGGAGAATCTTAACTTCTCTTCAATGTTTTTATGCCTTTTATGACCTTAGTCAATTTCTCTTATTCCTTTCATTTTAAAGATTCAAGCCTAAATTAATTACTCAAATGCCCTTTTACATTGGAATGACTAGACTAATCTGTTAAGTAAGCAAATTCTCTTAAGCATTAACAGTGTTTATACTACTCAATGTGCACAGATTGTTTTTACTTCTATACTTAATGAGGCTGCATACAACCAGCAGTCTTGGTTGGGGCATAGATCTGGAGTAACATAATGGGAGGGTATTTTTTGCACCATTCACAGGGACAAATAGAACCTTTTTTCATGGCCATTAAGCCAAGAGGGACTTCAAGTCCATGCCTCTCAAATGGAGTGGTCTTAAAGGCCTCTTAAAATTATACATTATCTAATTCTGAAATCAGATTTGATCTCAACACTTGGTTGGGTTCAACTCAACCAACAATTAACTCATTAATTCTAATTCTGAATTCTTTTCATATCCCTCCTATTTCGTAAGACCAGGACTCTAATAATTTTGTAAACAAATTTCACTGGATTCTCTACATCTCTAAAGGCTCGGTCAGGCTTTGCAATCACAAATCCAAAGTCATACTAAAGACTAACACTCCGTTGCATAAAAAGCCACTTTCCAGGCATAGCTCCCAGTTCTAGGTGAGAGAACTCACTTGGTTTTATTTGTGTCATGGGCTCATTTCTGAAATAATCTCTATATTCTTGGCTATGAAATATTTGGAATGGCCTATCTCAGGAAAAAGTCTTTCTCTTCTTCATGATGGCATTGGGAAAAAAACACATATTTAACATGCACTTTTATATTTAACTAAACATAATTACATATAAATATATGTGTGTATATCCTGTAGATAGTTATAAAGGGCATAAACTCATGACACAAAGATATGTATCTATTCTGTTTTTAAGGGACAGATGTTGAATTTTATCAAATGCCTTTCAAAAATAATAAAAATGGTCATATTAATTTTTTATAATTTATTAAAGTGGTAAGTTATATGAAATTTCCTAAGGTGAAACTTCCATTCCTAATATGAATACCACCAGGTCATCATGTATTATTGCTTTCAAGTGCTGATAGAATCGTCCGACTAATATTTCATTACATTAACATTCAGAATTGAAATTGCACTGTAATTTCCTTTTGCATTGACTCTCTGTGTCACGTTTTGGTATCATATGTAACTTCAACTTTTAAAAAGGACCGTTTTCTCTCTACTCTATGCTCTGAAACAATTTAAAAAACACTGAAATCTGTTCCTTAAAATGTTGACAGAACTATTTTTCTCCCTCATTCTCTCTCTGTCTTCTCTTGCAATTTTCACTATGTTCTCTATCATAATTTGTTTAGAAGTCTTGTCTTTTCTGCAGCCTCTTTTGGTAATCCATATTTTCTGAGAAGATTATTAAGTAAGCAAACTCTCTTAAGCATTCACAGTGTTTACATTACTGTCATTTGCTTGAAGTTGAGTGAAGTCATTTGCTTAGATTTGAGTAAAAAGTGTTTTACAGTTTAAAAAAAAGATGTCCTTGAGTTAGGCTATTTCTCTATCCTCATTCTCATTTTATTTATGTGTACTTTCTACCCTTTTCTCTTGATTAGATTAAATCAGAGTTCCTCAATCTTGGCAGAACTGACATATTGGGCCAAATAATTCTTTGTTGCAGGGTACTGTCCTGGCATCATAGGGTGTTTAGCAGTGTCTTTCATTTCTACCCCAGATGCCAGTGGCAACCTCTTCCCCACCCCTGTGACAACCAAAAATATCTCCAGACACTGCCCAATGGCCCCTGGGGTGGGGTCTGGGCAAAATCACCCATGTTGAGAACCAATTGACCAGGTAATGATTTACTTGTGTGTGTGTGTGTGGTTTTTTTTTTTTTTTTTGGAGATGGAGTCTCGCTCTGTCGCCTGCCTCAGCCTCCCGAGTAGCTGGGACAACAGGCACATGCCACCACGCCCGGCTAATTTTTTGTACTTTTAGTAGAGATGGGTTTCCACCGTGTTAGCCAGGATGGTCTCGATCTCCTGACCTCATGATCCACCTGCCTTGGCCTCCCAAAGTGTCAGGATTACAGGCGTGAGCCACTGTGTCCGGCCCGTGTGTGTGTGTGTTTTAAATTTTCATTTTGTTTTCGAAGAACCAGCTCTTGGATTTATTTTTATTCCGTTATTTTTCACTCTCCTGATTTGTTTATTTTTCCTTTTATCTTTTTTTATTTTTTTCAGGCCTTCTATGGATCCATTTTCTTTGTGTTTGTGTTTGTCTAAATGCCTGGGTTGGAGCCTCATTTATTTATTACCATTCTTACCTGTCCCCTGTGGTGTCAAGAGAGATGCAGGGGGCTTCTGCATCCCCTGACCCATAAAGATCTTTCTGTATCATACAAGAGGTCACTGACTTGTCCCACGAATGTTTCCGCACTTCGCAGAAGCTTATGGTTTGCCAGCTCTTCCCGAGGTTCCCAGCTCTTTCCATCATATAATCCATCATAGAGTCCCAAATCCAAATTGTGTAATTGTGTTGGGTCTGATTTAGGACAACCACATTGTTGGCTGGTAATTTTCTTTCTCTTTTTTATTCTACAGATGGGCTCTCACTAAGTTGCTCAGGCTGGTCTCAAACTCCTGGGCTCAAGCGATTCTGACACCTCAGCCCTCCCAGTAGCTGGGACTATAGACGCAATCCACTGCGCCTAGCTGGTTGGCTGGTAATTTTCAATATGTGCACTTTGCAGAAAAGTGACTTGCAGTGTCACTTGCTTAGGTCAGATCACAGATCATCACCCTGTTCTTTATTTTTACCAACTAAATAGTACGACCATTAGTTGTACCATTAGTTGAAGTATTATTTCTAATAATAGAAAAAAGCAAACAACAGATCCTAATTAATGATTTGAAATGATGCTTTTCTTTCCACAGAGGTCTTTCATGACTGATGAGTTCCACCAGCCTGGAGGCCCCGTGTTTCTAATTGTTGGAGGTGAAAGCACTGCTGAGAGAGCTTGGCTGTCCAGGAGAGTTCCCTGATGGAGAATGCTAAGAAACTGGGGGGCCCTCTGCTTCTTTGTGGAACACAGATTTTACAGAAAAAGCAGGCCAACCTTGTACGTTTATGAGTTTTTGTACTCCTTCTTTAAATGAAATAACGCTGACTGTTCATGTTCTTAAACATAATCTCACGTTCAAAGTCTAAACTTGAAAAGACATTTACAGTGTCAGTGTCAAAATTCTCTCCTATTAGCACTGAAAGGACTTGAAATGAATGAAATTTAAACTCTGAAAATAACCCACCACTCAGAGGCAGTAGTGACCATTTTATTAAAAACTGTTTGTCATAGTTAAGTGTAATGTCAAAGTTTTGACTCACAGCAACACAGGAGCAGGATAAAGAGTCTAGTTGTTCAGGATTTTACTCTTCCATTCTGGTATTTTTGTGTATTGTATAGTGGGAAAATTTGATTTTTAAAAGAACTTACTTATAATTAATATCATTAAATAAAATCAAACAAAACCAATTATAAAGGGCTTCTAAAAGTTGTAAATATATCAAACTTTAGTGCACTGTCTTTAAATCTCATTTTAACAAGAAAGCATGCATTGCTTTTCATAACCTCAAGAATGCTATTAATGTCAGTAAAATGGTATCTTTATTGTATGAGTCACAATTCTTGGGACAGTTTAGCAGTGAAAAACTATTAATAATTTATGTTAATAGTATAGGTCTCTTTGTAGCTTCAAAAAGAATGAGATTTTGGAATTCTAAGTCACTAACTTTTGAATGATATGGTAATGTCCAGTAATCTCACTAGTTCTACATTTTTCCTTAGAAACTTTGATTTGTGTATGGCTGTGGGTGTTACTGGAATTTTGATAGTCTATAGAAAGTTTCAACAGTAGATATTCTATATTATTCTGGAACAAACTTGTATTGACCAAATTTACAACTTGTATGGATAAGGTCAGAAACAACAGCTGATTCAAACTGTTCATCTAATGAATCTGGAAAATATCTAAGGGATACAGTAGATGGTTTGGGGTGGAGGTGATCTTGAAACTATTAAAAAGAATATCAAAATTCCAATAACACACACACACACAAATCAAAGTTCCTAAGGAAAAAGGTTGAACTAATGAAATTATTGGACTGTTACCACATCATTAAAAAGTGAGGGACTTAGAATTCCAAAATCACATTCTTTATTTGATGAGGCAACACTTACAAGCCCTGAGATGTTTACAGCACTCTTTCCTTCCTCATTTGCTGTAGACAATCCTTTATGTTCCAGGTCCCTTCCTCTCTCATGCCAGCCCTTCCCTCCAATACCCAAAGAGGAGAACTTCATGTTATCTGGGAAAGAGATTAGGTTGATCCAAATAAAGAACAAATTCTGTGGAGAGAGGGGGAAAAACATCCTTGAGTTGGGGCCAAGGAACAAGCATGAGGATTTGCCTTCTGCCATGAGTAAAAGCACCCTGAGGCCTCCCCAGAAGCAGATGCTGCCAGGCTTCCTGTCCAGTCGGCCAAACTGTGAGCCAATTAAGCCTCTTTTTAAAAAAAATAAATTATGCAGTCTCAGGTATTTCTTTGTAGCAATGCAACAACAGCCAAATACAGAAAGTTGGTACCACAAAGTGAGGCATTGCTGTAAAAATACAATGAAATGTGAAAGCAACTTTGGAACTGGGTAATGGGCAGTGGTTGGAAGAATTTGGAGGGCTCAGAAGAAGACAGGAAGAAGAAGGAAAGTTTGGAACTTCCTAGAGACTTGTTGAATAGTTTTGACCAAAATACTGATAGAGATATGGACAGTGAAGTCCATGCCGAGGAGGTCTCAGATGGAGATGAAGAACTTATTAGAAACTATAGTAAAGGTCACTTTTGTTATGCCTTAGCACACAACTTGGCTGTGTTGTGCTCCTACACTAGGAATCTGTGGAACTTTGAATTTGAGAGTGATGGTTTAGGGTATCCGGTGGAAGAAATTTCTAAGCAACAAAGTGTTCAATGTATGGTCTGGCTGCTACTAACAGCATATGCTCATATGTGTGAGCAAAGAAATGATCTAAAACTGACATATTTCAAAGGGAAGCGGAGCATAAAAGTTTGGAAAAGTGGCACTCTGGCCATGCAGCAGAAAAGAAAAGCCCATTTTCAAGGGAGGAATTCAATAAGGTTGCAGAAATTTACATAATTAAAAAGGAACCAAGTGCTAATAGCCAAGACAGCAGAGAAAAGGCCTTGAAGGCTTTTCAGAGACCTTCATGGCAGCCCCTCCCATCACAGGCCTGGACGCCTAGGAGGGAAAAATGGTTTCATGGGCCAGGCCCAGGACCCTGACTGTGCAGCCTTGGGACACAGCTCCCTGCATCCCTGCCACTCCAGCTCCAGCTGTGGCTCAAAGGGGCCAGGTACAGCTTGGGCTGCTCCAGAGGGTGCAAGCCATAAGCCTTGGTGGCTTCCGCAAGGTTTTAAGCCTGCAGGTGTACAGAGTGCAAGAGTTAAGGCTCAGGATCCTCTACCTAGATTTCAGAGGATGTATGGAAAAGCCTGGGAGTCCAGGAAAAAGCCTGATGCAGGGTAAGAGCCCTCATGGAGAACATCTACTAGGGCAGTGCAGAGGGGAAATATGGGAGCCCTCATAGAATCCCCACTGGGGCACTGCCTGTAAGAAGAGGGCAACTGTCCTCCAGACTCCAGATTGGTCGATCCACTGACAGCTTGCACCATATGCCTGGAAAAGCTGCAGGCACTCGACACCAGCCCATGAGAGCAGCTGCGAGGACTGAACTCTTCAAAGCCACTGGGGCGGAGCTGCCCAAAACCTTGGGAGTGCACTCCTCACACCAGTGTGCCCTGGATGTGCAACATAGAGTCCAAGGAAATTATTTTGGAGCTTTAAGATTTAATGACTGCCTTGCTGGGTTTCAAACTTCCCTGGGGCCTATAGCCCCTTTCTTTTGGCTGATTTCTCTCTTTTGGGACATGTGTATTTACCCAATGCCTGTACCTCCATTGTATCTTGGAAGTAACTAACTTGTTTTTGATTTTACAGGCTCACAGGGAGAAGGGACTTGCTTTGTCTCAGATGAGAGAGACTTTGGACTGTGGATTTTTGAGTTAATGCTGGAATGAGTTAAAACTTTGAAGGACTGTTGGGAAGGCATGATTTTATTTTGAAATGTGAGAAGGACATGAGATTTGGGAGGGACCAGGGGTGGAATGATATGGTTTATATCTGGGTCCTCCCACAAATCTTACGTCAAATTGTAATTCCCAATGTTGGAGGTAAGGCCTGGTGGGAGGTGGTTGGATCACAGGGACAGTTTCTCATGAATGGCCTAGCACCATCCCCTTGGTATTGTCTCCACGATAGTGAGGGAGTGCTTGTGAGATCTGATTGTTTAAAAGTATGTGGTACCTCCCCTGTCACTCTCTCTTGCTCTTGCTCCTGCTCCTGGCAAGTGAGATGCCTGCCCTCTCTTTGCCTTTGCCATCAATTAAAGCTCTCTGAGGTCTCCCTAGAAGCAGATGCCACCATGCTTTCTGTGCAGCCTGCAGAACCATGAGCCAATTAAATATCTTTTTTTAAAAAATAAATTACCCAGTCTCAGGTATTTCTTTATAGCAATGTGAGGACAGCCTATAATACAGGGAGTAAATATAGAAGATTATAAAAACAGAAAGAAATGTTACTCATAATCTGACCTACAGAGATAATTGTTGCTAAAAGCTTCATAGACATTTGTTTGCTCTTTTTCTATGGCTAAATGTGTAGATTTTTTTTCCCAAAACAGAGTCAAACTGTGTTTAAAGTTTAGATCTTTTTTCCCCTAATGACATTGTTGTAAGTTTTTTCCCATAACATTAAATAGCTTTCAAAACCATGGTTTACAAAGGTGTCATAGAAAATATATTCTCTTCAACAGATGAGTTAAATTCATATAACCATTCCAATGATTATTGGATATTTATATTCTTTCTTCTTTTCACGATTGTGAATAACCCTGCAGAGAACATCCTAGTGCATGAATCGTTTTGTGCATTTCTGTTTGTTTGTTTTAAAGGGTATAATTTGTTTCATTTAGAATAAATTTTGGTTGTAATAAGACCCTAAATAGCAGACAGAATTTTTTTTGTCCCCTCACGTAAAAATTCAGAAATAGGCAATCCAGGCATGTACAGACCTCAGGCTGCTTCTAGCATTTTTATGATTATTAGTAGTACTACATTTTTTTCACATGCTCATTGGCTATCTGCATTTCTTCTTTGTGAATTGTCTTTTTATATCCTTAGCCCGTTTTTTTGAGATATGCATTCAGCAGCTTGGAGCATTACACTGTTTGAAATTATTAGGTCTAGCAAGGAGAGGGGAGGGTGAATTGGTTTTTTGGGTGTTGAGGATTAAAGACAGACTTCACACAAATAACACAAACAACAGGCTTCCGTAGGATTATAGGAAGCCCCACTGAACAACAGCTCAATGGTAAATTGCTCTTTCATTCCTTCATACCTTAGGAAACCCAAGCTCGTATTGGCTTAGTCTGGATATTAACAGGCAAACCAGAAAGACTGTGAAATACTCTCTACACAATTAACCATGGATTCTCTGAATTCTTGGAAAACAATGAAGCAGTGTCAATTTATTTCTTTTAAGTATGAGCTACCCTTGGAGTGAAGCTGCTAAGTTCATTACCTCATTTCAGTTTGCACAGGGCAAGACGAAAGAATGTCTTGTGATAGGCGACCCTCTGGAGTTTCTAACCTGTGCTGAGGATGGGAAGTCCATACTGAAAATGAGACTTGAGAAACGATAGCTCCTTCTGCTTTCTCCTGCCTGCATTTAGGTGTCACTGTTAACCAGAATGCTCTTCTGGACATCTTTATTAAAATATTCAAAGTTGGGGGAATAGATCTCAATGTGCCTTCCACACTTGCATTTTGGCCTCATTAAGCATGTGTCAAGTAGTCTGTCATTCCTCTCTATCTGTTGTCATAAACAAAGAGTCTTGTAGAGACCTGAGTATTTCTAGCCTCCACTATCTCAGCAGCAGGCAAGCCTTGGCCAATCTTGCCAACTTCTGAACCACCATGGCAGAGAAAATGGGACTTGCTGACAACCTGTGGGTTGTGTTTGGTGGTTCTTGCGCAGGATCCCTTGAAGTGTGGTTGAGAATAAAATACTCCAAGTTGTTTGCTGCAGTCGTGGACAGCAGTGCATCACTCTTAGCAAAAGTTGATTTTTATGGTGAGTACACATTTAATATAGAAAGATAGTTCTGGAAGGGGATGACTCACTTGATAAGTTCATTGATCACCCTCATGGTCATCCAATAGCACCTGTGCCTACCTCCAACCTCATTATGTGATAATAGCTCCATGAGAGACACCCAGGCCACACATTGTTATTTAATGGACAGTTATTTATCCATTTCTAAGAGTAACTGATTGGGTTGCCTTTAAAGTGGGTTAGCTCAGTTGTAACTTGAATAGTGAAGTAAATAATAATCCAGAATTTCCAGGTAAATGAAAGAAAAGTTCTTGTTTTTGATAGGTATATTTTTCTAATTTCAGAATTTTCTTTTAATTCTTCTCCTTTCTATAACCTACAATAATTAACTATTTTATGGAAAATTATATACAATTAACATCTTGGATTTTGGGAGGTGTATATGGCTAAATACCTATCATTTACATTCAACTGGGAAAGGCATAAAACTTTTAATCGGAGAGACACTTCTGAGACAGGTAATTTCAGATGCACTTTAGCTAGCATTTGCTTTAATGGTAAATGTTTCCATGGTGAACAAGCATTAAATGGCATACAATTTCCAGTTTCTATAGCCTCACTATAAGCTTATTATCTTCTGAGTCTATAAGGTCCCCAAATAGAGTCTTTGTTTGCTCTTTCTTTTCTTTTCTTTTTTTTTTTTTTTTTGACAGGGTCTTGCTTTGTTGTCCAGGCTGGAATGCAGTAGTGTAATCATAGCTCAGTATAACCTTAAACTCCTGGGCCCAAGGGATCCTCCTGCCTCAGTCTTCTGATGGCTGGGACTTCAGGCATGTCCCACCACACCTGACTAATTTTTTTTCTTTTCTTTTTTTTGTAGAGACAGGATCCTGCTCTGTTGCCTAGGCTGATCTTGAACTCCTGACCTCAAGCAATCCTCCTGCTTTGGCCTCCTAAAGTACTGGGATTACAGGTGTGAGCCACTATGCTGGGCCTCTTTGTTTTCTTGCATGTTTTAGAAATCACTGTGTCCCAGTTGATTGATTAATTAGGACTTGCAGAACATAGCTTTGCTTCTCTGCTCTCATATTGACTTTTTGTTCCATCCTGAAAAAATAATTAAATTCATCAATTCCTAGATCTCTATATTAAGGAAAGTTCAAAGAAAACTTAAAAGAAATTAAATTGTTCTGGTGCTTGAATTATCAAAATTAAGTCATATTAAATGACCATGTTTAATTTTTTTTCTGTATTCTATACTACCTTGAAGTTGTGCAAAATTCTCTGGCTGCACATAATAGTGAATGCCCAGAAATTGTGGCAGGCTTCTGACATCATGGTGGAGATGCTGAAAAGCTCAGCAAACCATGATGAGCTGACGAAAGATTTCAAGTAAGTGAAAGTTTGTGCATGAGAACACAGAGATTGTGGGCCCTGAAAACCTGACATGGACTTGGATTTTCCACCATTGTTAACATTTCCTTAAGTTAAGGCCTGCTGCTTTGAGGTAACTTACAGAGGTTTATCACTATCAAAGAATTTTGATAGTTCATCATTATCATGTAGTAGATATTGAATAGATATATTTTTTGGTTGGGTGTGGGGTGAGCTCAGAGAAAGAGATGTTGGATTTCACAGAAGGAAGCTCAAGGGAGGTACACAAGAGTAGGTGCCATCAAGGGACACCTTGAAGTCCCCAAGAGAGGAAGGAAGGACCCTGGACCCCAGCCCATGCAATATTCTTCTTAGCTGATAATGTAAGTGTTTTGGATAATGTGAGGTCTTTGGGCTGTTGAAACCATGACACGTTTAAAGGAGTCTCTTTTACACCAAGCACAAGTATCTTTTACACTTGGGGTAGGTTTTCCTCCAGCACAAGAAGGTCTTGTGTTTGGTTGATTGCTTTGTGGAGTTTAAATGAGAGTAAAGGAGTTTCTTATCAGAAAATAGGAGAGTTCTACAGAAGAAAAGAATGTGAGAGATGAAAATAAGATATAATTAAAGGATATAAAACAATGGTTCTCACTGCCTTCTTGAAGACTGATCAGATACTGTTTTGGGAGATAGTCCCTCAAAGGCCATTCATAGTTGTATATTTTAATGGGTCTTAGGGTAAAGAAAAAAAAGGAGGGGTTAAGAAACAGTTTCTTACTAGGCCAAATATGAAAGAAGGGTCAAGAAGACACTTCTGGGACTGTCTGAGGACCTGCTTTGTTAAATGAGAATTTTGCTAGTTACGAAGGGACCTGAGGCACAGAAAACTTACATTCAGATTTTTTCAACCAATAGTCACACTTTTGTCCCTCTCTTGGTTTCCCAAGTATTAATTTTGATAATAAAATTCATCAGTGTGGCAGGGAGCAGAGGGAGAGACAAAGGGAGGTCATTTTCTTAAATTACCCTTTCTAGATGGTCAAGGTCACCAGGGGGCAAATTGGAGGTTCTATATCTTGGCAGAAAAGAGGGCTGTGATTTTTGAGGGAGGCTTATCAAATAACCTGGGTGTTGTGATCAGCTAGATTGTACATCAAATTAGAAATCACTTAAAAACACAGAAGATTTAGGTACAGAAAGTCTACAACAGGAAAAAACGAAACAAAACAAAACTTCAGTGCATTAGAAGCTCATTCTCAAAGTACTTCATGACTGTTCTAGAGAACCACTCTGGTACCTAATACAACAGGATCATTATGGGTAAGCGTTTCTTTTATTTACTTATTTATTTATTTCTTGAGATAGAGTTTCGCTCTTGTTGCCCAGGCTGGAGCGTAATGGCGCGATCTCGGCTCACCGCAACTTCTGCCTCCTGGGTTCAAGCGATTCTCCTGCCTCAGCCTCCTGAGTGGCTGGAATTACAGGCATGCACCAACATACCCAGCTAATTTTGTGTTTTTAGTAGAGATGGGGTTTCTTCATGTCGGTCAGGCTGGTCTTGAATTCTCGACCTCGGGTGATCCACCTGCCTTGGCCTCCCAAAGGGCTGTGATTACAGGCGTGAGCCACCACACCCGTTCAAGCGTTTCTTTTAATCAGATGAAGTTAAGTTTTACAATCTCTTTAAAACAGTGTCATGACAAATTAAACCTCTCCAAGTGAGAGCAGTTTTTAACATATGCTAGCATTTAAGGCATAGTTTCTGGCTACTTCTTTTGGAATTCCTTAACACCTGACTTCATGTATTGCAAATCCAAGAGTCCTATTGATCCTTTCCTTAGAGGCTCTGGATTCTAATAAGATCCAGAATATAGGTTTCATCCCTATGTGCTCTGCTTGTGCCATGAAAGAACCTCTAACCCTATCAACTATGAAGGGATTTATGAAAATCTAGCAGCTCTAATAAGAAACCTGCTGAAAATACACAGTCAGCCAGTGGTGAGTCAACAGCATACCTCAACTAAACACTGTGCAGGATGAAGTGTTTTTGCATAAGCTGTACCAGGTCTTTCAGGCATGGAGACGCTATCTTGAATCATGATGGTTGTGCCCTGAAGGTTATAACACCCCCCTACCAGCACCTCCCTTGTCTCTTCTAGCCTACCCAGTGTCTATTGTTCCATGGAATTCTAGAAGCTGGACCTCACAGGGGTCTTAGAGGACACACTGTCCAGTTCAGAGGTAAGAAAACTGGAGCCCAGAGATGTTTGGTCATAAGATTTCAAGATGGCTAATTGGGGTTATGAATGAGGCCGGGTGTGGTGGGTCACACCTGTAATCCCACACTTTGGGAGGCCGAGGCGAGCGGATCACCTGAGGTCAGGAGTTCAAGAACAGCCTGGCCAACATGGTAAAACCCAGTCTCTACTAAAAATACAAAAATTAGCTGGGTGTGGTGGCAGGCATCTGTAATCCCAGCTACTCAGGAGGCTGAGGCAGGAGAATGGCTTGAACCTGGGAGGTGGAAGTTGCATTGAGCCGAGATTGCGCCACTGCACTCCAGCCTGGGCGACAAGAGCAAGACTTTGTCTCTAAATAAATAAATAAATAAATAGAAAAAAAGAATGCAATCTGTGACCAGGAGACAGTTTGTCCCCACATGTGAAGGACACAATATTAAGCTGTGACTATGTCATGAGTGCCCTGACCAAGCCTGTCTATTGCAAATCCACGGGGAATTTAGAAACTTGTGGTAGGGAATCCAACTTCTAAAAGCTGATGCTGCTTTCTAGGAGTAAATTCTATTCTGGGGAAATCTGAAATCTCCTAGTGTGAAGTACGCCTGAACATGGAATAAGATTTCAGCTTAGGGGGAGGGGACAGCATCAGGTAGTTCAAACTTTGAAAAGTCGAGAAGCATCCAACACCACCAGCCACTTCCAAACACAAAGTCCTCTGGGATAAAGGTGGGATCTGGGTCAGAATGATGAAACCATGTGTTCTAGGCCAGACTAGGTGGGAATCTCAGGGAAGCAGTGGGGAACAAGACATAGTGAGCACAGGGTTAGAATGGTATAAGGGCTATGGGCAGAAGACAGAGCTTTTCCTTCCTCCCAGTAATCTAGGCATCATTATTACATGACATTTGGGCTCTGTAATATTTGTACACACGTGTACACACACATGCAAACAGTAGTGCTTGTCTTTACAGAAAATTTGCATTGTGTTGACCAAGGTAATTGGAAAGATAATTATCTTTTAACATTTTCATTGTTTGCATGATTATAAAAAGGTCTAAACTATTGAAACATTAATTTTTTTTTTTTTGAGACAGAGTCTCACTCTGTCACCCAGGCTGGAATGCAGTGGTGCAATCTCAGCTCACTGCGGCATCCACCTCCTGGGTTCAAGCGATTCTTCTGCCTCAGGTTCCCAAGTAGCTGGGACTATAAGCACACGCCACCACGCCCAGCGAATTTTGTATTTTTAGTAGAGATGGGTTTCACCATGTTGGCTGGGCTCTTCTCGAACTCTTGACCTCAAATGATCTACCCGCTTTGGCCTCCCAAAGTGCTGGGATTACAGGTGTGAGCCACCACGCCCGACCTGAAACACTAAAATTTAAACAAAACTACATTACTTCAGAAATAAAGATAAATTTCCTCTAATCTCATCCCTAGAGACAATCATTGTTAAGAATCTAGTGTCCATTCTTCTTTCCAGAATTTTTTCTATGCATCTGCTATGATAAAATGAATGTATATACACATAAATGCCATAAATGCACGTATCATTTTGTACAGGAATGAGAAAAGGACATAATATTGCTTTAAATTTTCCAAAACACCAGTACTGAATGCCTACAAGAATAGAAGTTTATTTCCTTTGGTATGTTTTCTTTTCACATTTCTTTTAATGGAAGCAAAGTAAAATATTAAAGGAAGCTCAGAAATAAAAACTAAAAGCCTAACTCTAGAATAAGCCTAATAAAAAATCACATTTCTACAAAACCTTAATGAGGAAGGCAAATGAGTCTCATTCGTAGTAATGATGAAAATAGTTAAGAGGTAACTTACTGAATTTTAATTTTGTGTCCGACCCCTTTCTGAGCAATCTTCCCACCTCAGTCTCCCAGATAACTGGAACTACAGATGCAAGCCACCACACTAGGCATAAATTAATTTAATTAGTGTATTAGTTTGTTTCACTTTGCTATAAAGGGATACTGGGTAATTTATACAGAAAGGAGATTTATTTGGCGCATGGTTCTGCAGGCTGTACAGGCATGGCACCAGCATCTGCTCAGCTTCTAGTGAGGCCTCAGGGAGCTTATAGTCATGGCAGAAGGCAAAGGGGGAGCCAGAGTATCACATGGTGAGAAGAGCGAGAGAGAGAGAGGGAGGAGGTATTACACTTTTTTAAACAACCAGATCTTGCCTGAACTCATTACCGCTCATTACCTTAGGAAGGGCACCAAGACATTCATGACGGTTCCAGTCTCATGGCCAACACTTCCCGCTAGGCCCTACCTCCAACATTGGGTGTCACATTTCAACTTGAGATTTGAGGGGACAAATATCCAAACCACATCAATTAGTGATCAGGAAATCTAAAAAGTAGAGAGCAAACAGACATTTATAGCAATTTGAGATTACTGATAGAGTAAGTAGTTGACAATGTCCCAAAGTCCAAGAGACCATGATGATTGGCAGTAGCAGAGCATTTAGAAAAGCATCATTTTAAGGCCAGGTGTCATAAGTTGCATAAACATAATTTGTTCAGTGATAAATATATCACTAAATGAGTGATGGTAGCTTAGATGTGTCACTTCACATTAATCATAAAAACACCAAATTTTTTTAACTTCTCATTTTTAGGGTGATGTTATTTACAATGATATAAAAACACTTTAACAAACATCATTATTTTTATATAATACTTTAATTAAAATCACTTTGAAAGCTTCAGTGGTACATAAAATGAATTGGAGTTATATTTACAAATCATTCTCAGTGAAAATTAAAAATATTGGCTAGAACTGATCACATGACCCATATAAACCTATTAGAAACAATATAAATTATTCAAAATCCAGCATTGATTCTAGCATTGGCTCATTTTGTTTCTACATTTGGGATTTCTAACTTCAGTGGAATGGAAATTATATGCATGCTTTTCTTTTCCTCTGAGTATGCAAAACTCTCCAAATTAACTCAGAAATGGATCCAGCCTATTTGCTGGAAAGTCTGGCAGCCACTTTTATAGAGGCCATTCGGTTTATAAAGACAACATGTCTTTTGAGCAAGCAAAATAGAGAAAGAAAGAAAAGGACTGAGAGGAAGAACAGAAAGAACAGAAACTAAGTGGGTATTCTCTTCCTGAGAGCTGTCAAAATTAGGAGTAGGTTAAAGAAATCAGACTGAGGACTGGGCATGGTGGCTCATGCCTGTAATCCCAGCACTTTGGGAGGCCGAGGCAGGTGGATCACCTGAGGTCAGGAGTTTGAGACCAGCCTGACCAACGTGGTGAAACCTTGTCTCTACTAAAAATACAAAAATTAGGGCGGCATGGTGGCAGGTGCCTGTAACGCCAGCTACTTGGGAGGCTGAGGCAGGAGAATCACTTGAACCTGGGAGGCAGAGGTTGCAGTGAGCCGAGATCGCACCGTTACACTCCAGCCTGGCCGACAAGAGCAAAACTGCGTCTCAAAAAACAAAAAGCAAAAACAGAAAACAAAAAATCACACTGGAGAGTTAACATTGCGGACTTCTTTTTAGGCACTAAAATGTGCATCTCTAGTCTTGAGGACCAGGAATTGGTTGGGGGCTGTTGGCACAAATTCAACGATGAGCACAACTTTTACCACATTATTTTAAAATTCACATTTTACCCATCTTTTATATTAAAATATTTAGAAGCTATTTCAAAACATAAAATAATGATGACTATATGCTAGAATGTAGCCACTTTTTGTAATCTTTGATTTAAAAAACCTTAGATGCTAGATGGGCTGGCTCATGCCTGTAATCCCAGCACTTTGGGAGGCCAAGGTGGGTGGATTCCTTGAGCTCAGGAGTTCAAGACCAGCCTGGGCAACCTAGAGAGACCTCATCTTTAATTTTAAATTAAAAAATTAAAAAATTTTAGAAAGTGATCTCTATTGAATGTGAAACCATAAACTTAACTATATATATATTTTAACCCTACAAGCCTCTCTCTTATTCTGTATTTTAAATAACTCCTGTGTTTAGGTTCTTTACAGAAGGAAGTTCATAGGAATAGTTAGACATAGCCAATGGAAAATAATGGCCATCAAGAGGCTACTGCTCTGTAGCAGACCCTCTCAACAATTTCTCTCCAAAAGTACAGATTTGGCACATGCTGTGTAATTTGCATATTCTTCACTTAGTTTGCATGTTTGGCATAAATCTTTCTATCACTTTAAGTAACTGAGTTGACTGAATATGCATTCTTATGTTTTTGTGGATATGCAAGATCCACATTTTTGCAGCAGTGCTGTCCCCTGTAATTTATACAGCGAGGAATTCTTGGCTTCTTTTATCCATAAATCACTGATTTTATGCCCACCTGTCTTGCCTCTGATTAAAGGAAGAGTGGTTGCTTGCTTTATCAGTGGGGCATTAGGTCTCTCATTCCTTGCACAGGAACTCTCCGCAAAGATGACAATAGGTCCAGGACATACTGGCTGGTCTCCAGTGATCTGGTAAATCATTCAGAGGTTACTTTCCAATGCTGATAGAATCATTCCATCTATCTATAGAAGGCCAAGAGCATGCATCCTCTATAGAAGGCCATCTTTGGCTTATTTATTGGTCTTGTGAAAACAGCAAATTTGCCCAGAAATGAACATTGAAGCTCTCTGAATAGTTCCATATAGTTAATGAACAATACTGATAGCACCTTCCATAAACCAAGGCTTAGCTGGCCTCAGCCCGATACTAACTAGTCTCTGTTCTTTCTCTTTTATAATCCTCACAACATCCCCGTGTTACTTTAATTTTACAGATGAGGAACTGACTTAAGCAGTTTCCGTGGCTTATCCAAAGTGTTGTGAACTATAGGCCAGGTCACGATTTGAACTTGCCTGACCCCCAAGGTCCTGGCTTACTTGTCCTGCTGTTACAGACCATGTTCTTATCTGGACATGTGGCTTATTGATCAATTCCACACATCACTGGATTGGAGCAAAGACTCTATGTCAATCCAATGAGTTCATCCTCCTGTCTTTTCCTTAATTAAATGTTCACACTGTCATGGGGATAGTATGGATTTACTGAATACTAATTCTGTGCCAGACACTCTGCTGGGCATTTTCACAAACTTTATGTCATTCCCTTGAAAGAATAGCTCTGGAGGGGAGCATTTTTATCTCTATGCTTCCAGTTAAGAACATTGAAGCACAGGGAGGTAATCACATGGCTAACTGGGCACAGCAGACTGCTCGCATCCACCCCTACTGATGCTACACTGTCTTCCTGGAGCTGATGGTGTTATCTGATGAGAGCCAGTGCTCCAATTCACACTCACGCTTTGTTCTTGACCAATCCAAACCAGATCCTTTCCTTCAGCACATGTTGGCTTGGCTTTTTATCAAACCACACCCAATAATTCTGGGTGGAGTTCTATGGAAAGTGACTAAAAGACAGATGTGGAAGGACTTGACTTTTCTCTTTGATCCCTAATTGTTTTTTTTTTTTTTTTTTTGACAGAGTCTCACTCTGTTGCCAAGGTTGGAGTGCAGTGGTACAATCTTTGCTCACTGCAATCTCTGCTTCCTGGGTTCAAGTGAGTCTCCCACCTCAGCCTTCCGAGTAGCTGGGACTACAAGCATGTGCCACCATACCCAGCTAATTATTGTATTTTTAGTAGGATGGGGTTTTGTCATATTGGCCAGGCTAGTCTTGAACTCCTGACTTCAAGTGATCCTCCCACCTCGGCCTCCCAAAGTGCTGGGATTACAGGTGATCCCTAAATTTTTAAGGTGCCAAATATACTTGTTTTTGTTGTTGTTGTTGTGTGTGTATTTTAATTTTAATTTTATTTTTATATATTTTTTGAAACTAGGTCTCATTCCTGTTGGCCAGGCTGGAGTGTCATGGCATGATCACGGCTCACGGCAGCCTCGACTTCCCGGGCTCAGGTGATTCTCCCACTTCAGCCTCCCAAGTAGCTGGGACTATAGGTGCATGTCACCACACTTGGCTAATTTTTTGTTTTGTATTTTTTGTAGAGACGGGGTTTCATCATGTTTCCCAGGCTGGTTTCAAACTCCTGGGCTCAAGTGATCCACCAGCCTTCCCAAGTGCTGAGATTACAGACCAGCCTTGGCCTTCCCAAGTGCTGGGATTACAGGCATGAGCCACCATGCCTGGCTGTGGGGTGTGTGTGTGTGTGTGTGTGTGTGTGTGTGTTTGTTTAAGGGAATTAGGCCAGAGAATTTCAGAACAGCCTTGGATCTGTGTGGGTCAGTAACTGCAAATTTTAAATCTTCTGGCCTGTCATTTAAAAAAATTAATCTTTTATTCTGAGAGCACACTAAAATTAAATATGAAGGTTCCTTTTGCATTAAGTGGTAGAACACAGTCTGAAAATCTTGTGGGTTTCCTTATCCTGACCTGAATGTATAGTTCTATTGTGAAGTTTGACATTTGTCCCTAGAAAGAGTCAGAGAAATGAGGAAAAAAGTCACTTATTCCATGACAATACATTATGCACTCAGCAAAATACGTTATTGAAGCCTCTTCCCTTGGTTCAACCAAAAACACTGAATCCATGCTTTATTATAATATAGCTTCATTATAATGTAGCGTCAGACATACTTTGTCAACCAGTTCCCTATAGGCCTCTGGATATGTAGTAAGCTACGTGGTAAATGTTGACCTGGCTGAAATTGGGTTTGGCCGCTGAATCCTCCTGAAAGGAGGGAAGCTGAGCTTTAGGCTTCAGGGTTTGCCAGACCCATCCAAGCCTGGATTTACTGCTTGGCTGAAAAGACACTACCCTGCTGTCAAGGTGACAGATGATTTTAGTGCCAGGTCATTTCTTTTTTTATTTTTTATTTATCTTTATTTTTTTTATTTTTTTGAGACGGAGTCTCACTCTGTCGCCCAGGCTGGAGTGCAGTGGTGCGATCTCAGCTCAGTACAAGCTCTGACTCCCGGGTTCACGCCATTCTCCTGCCTCAGCCTCCTGAGTAGCTGGGACTACGGGTGCCGGCCACCACTCCCGGCTAATTTTTTGTATTTTTAGTAGAGACAGGGTTTCCTGTGTTAGCCAGGATGGTCTTGATCTCCTGACCTCGTGATCTGCCCGCCTCGACCTCCTAAAGTGCTGGGATTACAGGAGTGAGCCACCGTGCCTGGCCTGTGCCAGGTCATTTCTGTGTTTTCCTGTTTGCACTGTCCTTACTCGCTGATCATTCCTGCTGCCAGAAGGCACTGTCTTACCGTCTCTATACAACTTTCCAGATTTATCTCAATTCCTATCTTTCCCAGAAGCCACCAGTAACTACTCAAGCCCATATTGTTCCCCTATCTGCAAAGTCCATCAGCAGCTTATTTACCTGTGTTTTTTCGGCTTTCTGTCTTGTCTTTTCATCTAGATTGTCTTCCCCAGGGACAGGCATGCTGCCTTATATGTCTGCTGTGCACAAGCTGTCCTGAGAATACGGCAAATGTACAGGCAAAGTTTTATAACTTTAGGAAGTTGTGAAAATGCAGTATTTATTCACAGGCCAACAACCCCAGGGATTGCTTGCCATTGCTAAAGTAAATGAGCAGTTGTAAGAAATGTGTCTCACACGGGAGATTTTCAACTGTCTGGTTTTTTTTGTTTGTTTTTTGCTTTTTTTTAAGTTATCCCTGCAACCAGTTAGGAGAGTTGAGCATTTTTTTTTTCATCTTTTACAAGGAGAAAAACCAAACAAGCAGAAGCTTCGTGCAATCATCTTCCAGGCTAAGTAACCTGGAGTCTCATCCTGTAGGAATTTATATTTATTTCATTTGTATCTTCTTTGAATAAAAGCAATCACTTTAGACATTTAAAATAAGTTGCAAATGTAAATTTCATTTAGACTTGAAAGCTAGTTCCATGTATATTCTTTTCTAAAAATTTCTTAAAAATTGAGGCATAATTGACATACAGTGAATTTTACTTTCTTTAGTGTGTGGTTTTGAGTTTGACAAACATAAGCAGTCAAGCAACCACTGTCACAGCTAAGATGTAGAACACTTCCATCATCACCCACCAAATTCTCCCAGCCCTTTATTGTCAATCCCTTCTGCCACCTCCACACACCATCAGTCTATAGATATGCAATGGTTTCGTGTCTCATGACTGAGAAGCACAGAGTTCTGTGCCATGACCCAAATTACAAGACATACATGGAGGAGCTGGCTAACTCTTCTTGGGAAGGCCTAGGTGCAGGAGGAGGTAAAGTGTTGCCTGGTGACATCTGGAGTTTGCATTTGGGGGTTGAGAAATGTGAGCATAGACCACCAGCATTAAACATTCTTGGTAGCCAAATTACAAAAATTGAATTCAGCACAGGGAGGAATTACCAAGGAACTAGGAACTAAATGTCCTTGAACAAGTAGTAAGGGGGTGCTGGACATCACAAACAACTCTCTTTACATGGGAAAGAGGGCAATTCTCACACGCCCATAGTTTAAAGAGCAGAATCAAGAAAGATACTCCACAGTGCTTTTCAGAAGCATGCTGTTATCTTTTAACCACCTGAAAGAAGAGCTGTCAGTAGCAAGAAAGTGCTCTACCTGCAGTTCCTTGTGGGGTTCCTCATCCTTGGCTGGACCTGAGAATCACCCAAAGAGCTTTTGAACAGCACCAATGCCCTGGCCCCATGCCTGAGGGTTAGTATTTATCCGAATTTAACATCTCCCTAGGAGGAGGTATTTATGCTTTCTTCTGTGCTTTTTTCATTTTTATTTTTTATTTTTGCCCAGGGACCCCCAGGGGTGAACTAGAGCCCAAATAGACTAGAAGAGTCCTTTGCCTAAAATGCTGCAGCAAAGGTGTGGATAGTGCCTCTTGCTAGCAAGCTTAAATTTTTTTTTTAAAATTTTTAAGAGAAAGGGTCTCAACTGTTGCCAAGTCTGGAGTGCAGTGGTGTGATCATAGCTCACTGCAGCCTCAAACTCCTGGGCTCAAGCAATCTTCCCACCTCAGCCTCCGGAGATGAGTGGCTTGGACTACAGGCGTGTGCCACCACATCTGGTTAATTTTTAAATTTTCGTAGACATTGGGTCTGGCTATGTTACTCAGGCTGGTCTTGAACTCCTGGCTTCAAGTGATCCTCTGAGTTGCTGGGATTACAGGCATGAGCCACTGCATCCAGCTCCTCTGTTAGCAAGTTTTAAATTTGCTTCCAGGGGTGCTGTAGGCAGAACCCGAGAGGGTGTTCAGCCAGAGTGTGAGGGCTACAACTGCTGCCAGTTTGCAGAAGGAGTAGGCTTAAGTGCAAGATGTCTTAGAGAGGGTGAAGTTAAAGCTGTGCTGTATGTTTGCCTCTTCTACTAGACTGTCAGCGATTTGAAGCCAAAGACGACTGTGGCTTGTTCATTTTTGTTTCTCTAGTGTTTTGGATAATGCTTGGTGCGAATAAGGGCTCACAAATGTTGATGGAGTTATGGAAGGATTGATAGCCTTGGGAAAAGCATTGCCTATTAAAATTAACTTTCAGTATCTGATTACTGATGCATTGATTTGTCCATAACTCATATTTTCAAGAAGTTAGATACACCTGCAGGTGTAATTATGTGTAATACAGGCATAGTTCAGGTATATATGTGCAAAACTCCACCTGTAGGAGGGGAAATAGTCTTAAGAACTGCATTATAATAGTCTGATTGCACTTCCCTATCAAATGTCCATATGTAAATATAAAAAGATAATTATGGAGAATGAGATTGACAGGAAAATAAGAGAAACTTTAGTCTTCCTGTTATACTTGACACACAGCAAATCTTCCAAATGTCTTGGGTAGGTCAGTGCTAGAAATTTTCTTGAGATTATGACTCCAGAATATGTACTTGGAAAAATTCCAAGTCTATTTCCAAGACTGTTTTTAAGTTTTTGGGCCTAGATTTCTCCAGAATCCAACTCCTCTGGCTCTGCTTCCCTGGCTGCCACCTCCTCTCCGCTGGATTATTAGAACAGCTTCCTAACCTGTTTCTGCATCTCTGTGCTGGCCCCTACACTTATTCTAATTCAGCAGCTGTAGTGATCCCTAATGAACAAATTGAATCCTTTGCTCAAAATGGTGCAATGATGGCCATTTCTCTTAGAGGAAAAGCCATTGTCCTTACAGTGCCATGCAGAATCCCATCCAGTCTGACACCATTCCTACTCCCCTCACCCTGCTTGCTCTGGGACAGCCACACTGGCTCTGCAACATTCCAGGACGTCATCTTCTCCACTCCCTCGTCTCCTTAGAATCTTTGCTCAAACTGCCTTCTCAGTGGCACCCACCCTGTTCTCTCCATCTAAAATTGTAAACTGTCCCTCACCCCCCTTCCAGGCACTCTGGGTCGCTTTTTATTATATTATTTCCCTATCTGCTAAGAGCTACAAACTCTTAGGATGATGCCCAGGTTCTTGACATGACTGCTAGACTTTACATGAATGACATTTCCAGATGGTTACTCATAATTCTAATTCCTGGGTTTAGTTTCCAGCCAGGCACTGTGTTAGATGCTGAGGATGGGTACTTTCATAGGAACATGTGCAAGAAGGTCGGAGAAGATCTGGAAATGAAACAGGAAGACAGTATGAAGAAAGGGTAAGGGAAAAATTCAGAAGCAGTAACCTCTGAGTTCAGGCGGCAGGATGGGCAGAAGTTTTCAAATCAGAAGACAAAGCATGTTTTTTTATGTAGGCAGGAGTAGAAGTAGAAAAGGCACACAGATGTGGAGCAAACCTGGGTCTAGACCACAGAAGTGGGGTACAGCTTGAGAAATGGGAGTGTGGGAGGTGGTGGTGTGGTGGCAAGACATGAGGTTGGACCAGTGGGCGGGGCCAGATCAGAAAGAGTTTTACATCCCATTAAGAAGCCTGAACTTGATCATATAGTCCATACAAATCAATAAGAGGGGAGGGAGGGGAAGAGCATGTATGAGGTTTAGAAATATTTTCCCAAGGGCTTGCAGGGTGGACGGGACAAGAGATAACGAGGCAGGGAATGCAGTTGAGAGTCCTTCGTGACAGTTGACCTATGAAACGATGAGGACCCAGCATTTGACAAGGGCAGTGACTGCGGAGACAAGAACGCTGGCAAATAATATTGGCAGGACTCAGTGAACCATCTATGTAAGGAGGTGAGAGATAAGAAGGACCTCAAGATGGAGTTCATTTTTTTTCTGGCCCAGGTGGATGGAAGAGAGGATGTACAAGTGGAGAAGATGTCTGAGTAAGGAGTCTGGTAAGGGTGATATTTGGCTCTGTTTTAAGCATCTAGTTTTTGAGGCTCCAGTGAAGGTGTCTGGAGGGTATGGTGTGCAAGCGAGAGAGAGGCTGGGCTAGAGGAGCGATTTGGGAGTTAGCAGCTAGGATTTGGGTCCTAGAGAGAGGAGGATGAAGAGAACACCAAGATGTAAACAATGGGCAGAAGAAGGAGCTGAGCCTGGGCAAGGCAGGAGGGAATCTGAGAGGGAGGTGTCCCAGAAGCCAAGCGCAAAGCTCAGAAGATGTGCTTGGGGGGTAAGGTCAGCTATAGAAGCAGGAGGCGGGTGTAAAGTTTCTTTGTTGCACTTGAGAGGTCCTGGACACCTGGGGAGGACGGCATCCTGTCACAGTGTGACTGAGGTATGGAGAAGGGGATGAACAAATGGATCAAGTGTGCATCACTCATTCAAGAAAGAAACTTTGCTGTGAAACAATGGAGATCTTGAGGGGAAGTCAGCTAGGGAGGGATGCAGAGGGCGTGGAGCATGACCTAGAAAGATTGGGAATAGAGGAAGGGGAGTGGACAGACCCCAGGTGCTGAGAGGAAGGGAAGGGGCTCCTTCAAGAGCATGTGGGCGCCATGATAGCATGCCCGATCACAGGATACAGTTTCAGCACCTTGCTGTGGTTATGTATGGACATGACTAAAAAATGTCGAGGAAAATGGAGATCCAAATTGTTCTTCTAGGGTGTGACAGTGTTGTAAAATGGAATCCTTTAAAGTTTTTAGGTCTTTTTCTGGTCACCAGCGAAATAGTATCATTCTTAAGATAATTGACGTTTTGCTTTCTAGCCAGGCAATGGTTTTATCAGACTTGCACTGAATTTGGCTTCTAGCAGAGCACGAGTTCGAAGAACCAGCCCTTCTCTGGATTCCCTGTAAGAATTTGAGTTCTGTTTGCCACTAGAATCCACAACTGCAAATTGTTTCTATGTTTAAAGGAATAATTATATTCATCAGATTGGCCATGCCTAAATCAATGAAAAATTAATGGAGAAATTTTCCAGATGGAAGTTTGAGAAGTCACAATACAAAATTAAAATTCAGTTTCTCTAACTCACTCTATTTTGATATCAAACTCCAGAGAATCAGAAACATTAATGGCTCTCTGTGACACAAGAGAGGGTATACACTAGCATTCTCTGTCCTAAC
Source organism: Homo sapiens (assembly GCF_000001405.40). NCBI lineage: Eukaryota > Metazoa > Chordata > Mammalia > Primates > Hominidae > Homo > Homo sapiens. The sequence goes on along the minus strand of NC_000002.12, from coordinate 224,326,770 downwards.
GGCTGGCATTACTGAGATACTTCATTTAAAACTTGTTTCCCCAAAATATTTGATGTGTTGATTTAAAAAAATCCAAATTAGGATCATAAGCTACACCAAAGACGTAAGTAAAATACACATTCTTATCAAAGAATGCAAGATATCTATATATTTTACCTTTATAGATTAGGCAAGATTTGCTGGAGAAATGACACCAGGCCTCCAACTTGCACTTCATCTGTTAGTGTTTTTTTGTTCTTATTTATTGGTTTGGTTCAGCCAAGGATAACCCCTGCTCTTGGAAGTTCACATTATAAATTGAGGTTGCTAGACATGGAGAATGATTTCCTATTTCCTCCTCTTACCTTTCCTTTTTTCTTTCTTTCTTTTTGATATGAGGAGCAGAAGGATTTTCTGTGTGTGTGTGTGGTGCACATGTACCTCCATTTTTTATGTCTGTCTCTCTCTCAAATTTTGAGGATAAAATAACACAAAATTACCAAATGTCCAAGTGAAGCACATAGTTTGTCTTTTCTGGCTCCACAACCCTCTCAGCTCCCCAGTGAGGAGGAATGCAGCCCTGGTTTAGAAAGGCAAAAGATCCACACCAGGCCACCTGTTTTGGAGTGGTGCCTCGGTGGAGGCATGAAGAGCCTGGACAGGGGCCAGCACCTCTGTGTGTCTCTTCATTCTGGGCTGCTGGGTGTGAGGAGCCCAGGCCTCTTTTTCTCCTTTTGTTTTGTTTGGATTCACTGCCCATCCAGCTCCAGCCCAGGATTCAGGAGGGAAGTTTCTCTCCTCCTTCCTTTCTCTTTCTTCAATTTTTCATTGTTATGACAAATTCTTGCAACTAACCATTGTTATCTTGCTTTTACACCTTACTTGCTTTCTTTTAACTTTTTTTCCATTTCTTGTATCCAAACTCTGGCTAATTGTATCTTAAAAAAAAAAAAAAGTCAAAGAAGCCAGAAGTTCACTTTTGACTTAGAGGTATACTGCATAAGATTATTACCTCTCTTCACCCTTTTTCTTTTAAAGGAGGGTCACTATCACAACTGAATTTAGAAAGAAAGTAGTACTACCTTTTTCCAATACGAACTCATTCAGTATTAGGGATTTATCTTGAGTTGTGTATGAGTTCTTTGATTAAGAAATGCATACTTTTCTCTAAGTATGAAGCCAGCATTTCTTATGTACATAGGAAGTTAAGGTTTAGAGAATAGGATCTCAGCACATGCTTTCATCTGAGTAAGAAAGAATATCATGTTTATAAACATTCTCATGGAAATATATGCATGGGTCAAATGAAAAGCTACCTTGCTGTATCACAGTATCTTTAGGTGTTTGGCAAGAAACTAATAATTTAGCATGTGGAAGAGATGTCTCCATGAGAAATAATGAACCTGAGATCATTGGGTTTTCAATAATTTATTCTTATTATTATCTTTTAGAGAGGCAGGTTCTTGCTCTGTTGCTTAGGCTGAATTGCAGTGGCATGATCATAACTCACTGTAACCTCAAACGCACAACCACACCTGGCTAATTTTTTCTTTTTAAAGAATTTTTTGTAGATATGATCTCGCTATGTGGCCCAGGCTGGTCTCGAACTCCTGGCCTCAAGAGATCCCCCCCACCTCAGCTTCTCAGAGCACTGACATTACAAGCATGAACCACTGTACCCATCCAATAACTTTTTTTTTTAGTTACAGAAGTTTCTTTAGTAATTCCAGTAAATCCAGATTATCAGAAGAAAACAAAGCACAAAAATTAATCTCCACCATCTTTCTCTTTATACCCTTCTTGAACTCCTCATTCCTGCTTGATCAAAACTATAATTTTTTTTTTTTTGCAGATTTTTTTTCTTCAGCAATGTTCAGATATCTTGGGCCCTGACTTCAATAATGTTTCAGTGGCTTAGGCTGTTCAGGCCACACTTAGTTCTACGGTGGCCTGAATGTGACAGGAAGCAAAACTGTCTTTGCCAAAGGTTTCATTGACCCTTGGCATGCTTTGGGAGTCATAAAAGATATCAGTAAAGATTTGCCTGCTGTTTACATTGAGGGTAACACAGTTGTTAGTATTTGTAGGGATACAAAATGAACGACTTTGTCAACTGTTGGGCTTAAAGGTTTTTCGATAAGTGGTTTACGCAGTTTCAGATAATGTGACGTAAGGTCACATTCTTTCAGGACTCTTGTTACTCGTTAAATTGAGCTATTTTGTCTACATAAATTTGATTTGAAGGCAAATGATGTACCCAATGATGTATCTACCTAGTTTTTAGTGCAATAAATTCATGAGAGATGCAAGGAACCTGTGACTGAAAATTAAGTTTTCTTTGTTGGAAATTATTGAAGTAAGCTTTAAAATAATTCAAAATAATCCATTTTTAGTATTGAGATGTTCACGTGTTATGCCACTTGCAAAATGAAAATCTTCAGTTTATTATGTTAATGTATTTGCAAAGCTATCACCTCGATTTCAAGCCCAAAGTCCTCCCAAATCCTTGGAAATCAAAGAAAAGTCAGGTATATGTGCATGGAGGAGGCTTCCATATGTATTTCTAGATCACTGTTAAGTCAGGACAGGTAAAATACATGTCCCAGTGACCTGGCTTCATCAACACGTGACTTTACAAGTCACGTAAACTATCTGAGCTTCAGTTTTGTTTTGTTTTCTTTAACCTGAAAAAGAAAGGAAACAAAAATATTTATTAAACGTAGCTTAAAGTTCTACAAAACTATAAATCGTGCTTTTGTTCTTATTTTAGTAGCTGTTAACTTTCTATTTGTAACTTCCAGGGAATAAACTCATATCCTGGGAGCTTAATTTATGTCATACTTTTGAGTTGAAGGATGAGATTATTAAAAACATGAATCTCTAAATTGACAAGATTAGGCAATTTCCTGTAGTGTTCATTCATTTGTATCACTTGATAATTGATAACAAGCAATACGTGTTTTAAATAAATATTGGACCGATTAATTGAGAATTTCTGGGAATTGTCCTGGACATAGGTATTTTTAAAAGCTCCCCAGATGTGTTGATGTGCAACCAGAGTTAAGAATACTTGCTGTAGAGGTATTCTGACCTTTCCTTTTCACATTTTAGGTGAAGCTCACTGTGCAAATTTGTATCCAGCCCAAACTACCGATTCAGCTGAACTAACTTGTGACGAGAAAAAATCTTTTGAGTTTCTGCAAAAGTGGCTAACTAACCCAAGTGATCGATGAGAAAGGAAAGCTCAATGGAATGCAAAGTCTGCCCTCCATTTTCTCACCAAAACACAAAACCTCAGCAAGGATGAAGTTAAAGGAGATGGAAGGACAGTACTTTTAGATTTAAATGGTGTGTGTGTGTTTTATATTTTAAATAGTTTTTTAAATCAAGTTCTTCCTTTGTGATGTTTAGAAGCATCAAACCATTCCAACACTTAGAAATTAATTGTACTAGAGGATCATGTGCATGCTAATTATTGGTTGCTACAGAAACAGACTGGATTTCCTAGAACTATGTCAATTTCATGTAATCTTGTTGTTTTCAAAAAAGCCCATTTATGAAATGCACATATGTGATTTGATTAAATCATTTTGTAAGCCATCTGTGTGTGTGTGTGTGTGTGTGTGTGTGTGTGTGTGTTTCGTTAGGAAAACTTTCTGGGCCCAGGTGTCTCCTTATGAATTTTTTATACCGGGGAATTTTGCCATCAACGTCCCGTGCCTACATCAGCCAGTCAGAAAGGAACTTGTAAAGCATACTAGAATCCCTAGGAAACATTGGTTCCTAATCCTCTTGGAACTTGGAGTCTGTCATCTACTCACAATAATACTAATGGGAACATTTCATTAAAATTCTGTCCAGACTAGTTTATTTTCGTTCTGAAAATAGACTCGGTTAGCAAAATTCCATGAATTAAAAATTTTTTAAGTTGGATTTTTATAGCACATATTTTTCTACAGAGAGCAATTCTGTCATTGTTAGTCATATTTATTCAAAATTCAAGATTCAAGAGAAAGCCTTCTGAAACAAAATGCATAAGCACATTATTGGATTACTCTGCAGCTTTCCTTAAAGATGCATTTTGTCCAAGTACATTTTTATCCTGAAAATGAATTGCTTTTAACCTCCATTTGAGCTGCGAGAGTCATTCAATGGCTTGCCATTGCTTTCAAGGTGAAGATGGACTTGGTTCATCCGGTTTCCAGGGCTCTGAGTAAGTCATCCCATTACCAGCTTCTCTACCCTCGTTTTAGACCAACTTTTCTCCGTTTCTCCCTTCCAGCCACACTGTCTTCTTCAGTCCCTCACATTCTTCATGCTTTGCTGGCCTCAGGACTTTTGCCTATGCCATTTTTACCACCTGGATGGTTTCTCTTGGTTTTTGTGACCTCATTATCTCCCATTCACCTTTGAGATCCCACCTCAAACATCTCTTGTTCAGGGAGGGCTTACCCGACTTTCCTTCCAAGATAAAATCTCCTCTCAGATAAGTCAGGATCCTTAATTCCATTTTCAGCCTTAATTGTCTTTTGCCATGTAACCTGATATATTCACAGGTTGCAGGAATCTTTGAAGGGACCATTATTCTGCCACAGGTTCCTCGTAAGTATGGGCCTCTGCTCACAGAAGCATCGTAACCAGGGTCTTTTCTCCTCCAGATGTGCCTTCCAGACATCAATTTCTATGTCTTTCACCTTATTGCCAACAACTGACAACAGGACTGCTTACAAACCTATCTAATTTATTACATGCCAACAGATATTCTGAGAAAAAAAATATTAGAAGGACAGTGAAAGGGAAGAATATAACTTTATTTAAGCTAATTGACTCTTTGGAGCCCAGTTCCTTTCCTTTCCCTCCCTTCCTTCCTTCCTTCCTTCCTTCTTTTCTCTCTCTCTCTCACACTCTCTCTTTCTCTCTTCTTTCTCTTGCTTGCTTGCTTTTTTTTGAGACAAAGTCTCGCTCTGTTGCCCAGGCTGGAGTGCAATGGCACAATCTTGGCTCACTGCAACCTCCGCCTCCCAGGTTCAAGCTATTCTCATGCCTCAGCCTTCTGGGTAGCTGAATTACAGGCACGCACCACTAAGCTCACCTAATTTTTGTATTTATGGTAGAGACGGGGTTTCACCATGTTGGCCAGGCTGTTCTCGAACTCCTGACCTCAAGTGATCTGCCCACCTTAGCCTCTCAAAATGTTGGGATTACAGGCGTGAGCCACTGAGCTCAGCCAGGTTTTATTATTTCTAAATGTAAGGATGGAATTAGGTATTCTATAAAGTATGTTGAGGTCTAAATCTAGGAATCTTTAAGCATAATGTAAGAATAAGACTTTATAAAGATTATGATTTAGTCACCTTGAGAGTTTTAAATTGCATTGTTTCAGAGAACTAGAAACTTAAAAAATGCTAATCATCTTGATGACTTCTGTTTTAGTCTCACGTACTCTGCAAACTGATTCATAGAGAAGTTTGGTAAAATAAATGAGCATAGTTGGAATCTAATTTTAAAAAGTGCTTTGATAAGCTTCTAATTAGCTAAGAAAAAATTTGTAAAACTTGTGATACACAAGATGCTGAGTTTTTAAGTATTTATATGATTGTTTTAAGGCTAATATTAACTGATACCTTGACATAAAAAAAACATTGATTCTTGGCTCAGCTCACAGACCCTCCCTCCACTAAACCTCAGCTAAAAGGGATTCTATCCCAGCTAGACTCCCACTGCACTAATTCAGTACCTCTCTTAGTATTTATCACATCTCAAGGTTAAGTGCCTTTTTCCCACTGCTAGGTTAGATTCCAAAGAATCTGGAGGTTTTATTCCTCAATGTTTCTCCTACCGAGCCTTTGAGCATAAGAGGTGCTTAAGCAAGATTTGTTGAATGAGCACATTTATTCTAAATGGTATTTTAGGGAAAGCTGGAGGTAATAAAGAGGCACTTAGTATCAACTCATGGTAGTAAATGGAGGTCACAGCTAATGTTCAACAGCTCATCAATATTCTCCAATGGCAAATGGTAATATCCATCAGCAGTTGGTCAAGCCTGTAACTTAGTGGATTAAACATTGATAGTTCCTACTTTAAGGTCAAAAGAGAGGAGACATTCCTTCAGTTGATATCATGGGTTATGGTCATTATTTTAAAAATTATTTCTGCACAAATCACTGGTAAAGCACTGGTAAACCACTGCTAATCAGGCTTTTTCCACCTCGGGGCTTTGTTCCTTCCATCTGAAATATTCCTCCCCACACTCTTTCAGGCTGGCTTCAGATTAGATGTCACTGCAGGTTCAGATCAAATGTTACTTTTTAAAAGACATTGACCCTTCACATCTTATATAAGCAGCTCCAGTTCCCAGCTGAGTACATGGCATGCCGTAATTGCCTTTTCTTTCTTTCTTTTTTTTTTTTTGTTTTTAGATGGAGTTTTGCTCTTCTCACCCAGGCTGGAGTGCAGAGGTGCGAACTCTGCTCACTGCAAGCTCTGCCTCCCGAGTTCAAGCGATTCTCCTGCCTCAGCCTCCTGAGTAGCTAGGATTACAGATACCCGCCACCATACCTGGCTATTTTTTGTATTTTTAATAGGGACAGGGTTTCACCATGTTGGTCAGGCTGGTCTCAAACTCCTGACCTCAAGCAATCCACCTACCTTGGTCTCCCAAAGTGCTGGGATTACAGGCATGAGCCACTGAACTGGCCTGCAATTGCTTTTTAAATATTTTGTTTCCTTCATGCACAGCTAAGGTGGGGCAAAAACGAGGCTTTGCACCCTGGATGCCAAAGGCGAACCGGGAACCATGTCCACAGCTGCCTGGGCTCTGGAGCTCTGTCAGCCCTCCCCCTCCCTCACTTGCACCTGCTCCTTCTCCATTCCCAAGGCTGCACTTTTCTTGCTTTCCTATTAGCTTTGTGCAGAGCTGGATGCCCAGTTTGCCTGATCCAGGACGAAGTGAAAATGTAGGGCTCTTTGTTAAAAAATCAGAACACTTTTTTCTGATTTAAAAAGAGAATACTTTTTTCCCTGGTCTCTCTTGAGCTGCCGTGTTGTGTTTTATTCACTAGTTAGTGTTGCAATTCCTCTACACTGGGCTACTCTTGAAGGAAGTGTGTGTCCACCCTAGGCCCCACCCGTGAGCATGCTCAAGCCTCCATCTGGAGGTGGGCGGTTGGGGACAACTCCAGGCCTCTCTCGGGAGGTGGGGAGGGAGCCGGAGGTGGGGAGGGGGCAGGACGTGGGATACACGTGAGTAGAGGTTACAGCCCTTGTGTAGCTCATAGGACTGTAGAGAAATTCAAAGATAAAATTATTAAGCATTTCAAGACAGTGACCCCAGAGCATTACACCCTTAGCTCAGGGTCCCTCTTTCTGAGTGTGGCACCTTGGGTGACAGCCCTAGTCCCTGGTCCATGAAGCCACCCTTGTTTTGTACTTAGCTCTCAAAGTCTCCCTCCCTTCCCGTCCCCTCCCCTCCCCTCTCCTCTGCTCTCTTCCCCTCCCCTCCTCTCCTCTCCTTTCCATTTGATTCGATGTGAACAGTGAAGTCACACACTTGAAAATCACTTTCAGTGTTTTGGGTTCCTCATTTCTTCAAGTCACACCTCCTGACTCTAAGAAGCTGGCAGCCTGGCAGGGAAGGAGGGCAGCGCCACTATCCTCAGACTGTGATGCTCACAGTGCAAGGCTGCCTGGGACAGGGGGTTGCAGAGAGGCAGGTTTTCTCTGGTCAGGAGATGCAACCATACTCTGTCATTGCAACAGCCAACCATACTCTGTCATTGCAACAGCAAAGCAGCTGTTTGAATTCCTGGGGACCCCTGTGGTAGTTGATTCCAGTCTGCAGATCCACTGGAAGCTATCGTGCATTTTATATTCACAGATAATTTTGAGTTTTATTTCCTTTTGGCTTATGCAGTCATTTGTCAGACTCCAAAAGACTATTTTCAGCAGGACGTTTTATAGACCATATAAATGTCCGCCTTGTTTTCCCCTCTACCATAAAATTGTCACTGTTGGTGGCATCTAGGCAAGGGAAGCCAAGGCAAATTCTTCCTGATGGCTCTTCACTGCAGAGGGTGAGTTAGGTCTCTTTTATTCTTTTCTCCTGGACCTTGTCTTATCTCCTTTCTCATGTGCGGGGAAGTAACTCCCCCACCCCTATGAGTATATTGGGGCGGGTGTGGGGAGGGAGGTTGAGAGGTTGTGCGGGGATAGGAGGAGGCAGGGGGCCGCTTCCCACTGTGCAAGTTGAAACTCCAGATGTTTGCCTCCCTTCTCTGGCAGTGAGGGCTGGGGACAGGAGACACCCTTGGCAAAACAGATCTATCCATTGGAACTGTAGCTGTGGAGCCAATCATGGAAGACTTAGAGTGAGGGGATAGCCCTCCAGCAGCTGGTAGCAGCGGTGTGAGTGCCAGTGTGCTGAGCCCAGGCCCAGGCAAGCTCCAGTATGCAGCCAGGATGATGCCCCTTAGGCCTGATATTGTCTCTGGTTCTGGCTGTGTCTCCTCGCTTTGTTTCTGTGCCTTATCAGTCTTGTTTTCCAGCCTTATCAGCTGTTCCATGAGCTCCTCAATATCTTAACAAAAAAAGTTTTTCAGGTTCTACCTACAGCAGGCTTCTCACTATTCTGTAAACATGTATAGCATTCTTAGGGTCTCTCTCCTGGTGCTTCCTTCCTCCTGGATGGCTCTCTCCCCCCAAAATCCAGATGGCCCTCGCTTTCTTTTTTTCTTTTTTTATTATTATAATTAAGCTCTAGGGTACATGTGCACAATGTGCAGGTTTGTTACATATGTATACATGTGCCATGTTGGTGTGCTGCACCCATTAACTCGTCATTTACTTTAGGTATATCTCCTAATGCTATCCCTGCCCCCTCCCCCGACCTCATGACAGGCCCCTGTGTGTGATGTTCCCCTTCCTGTGTCCAAGTGTTCTCATTGTTCAGTTCCCACCTATGAGTGAGGACATGGATGAAACTGGAAACCATCATTCTCAGCAAACTATCGCAAGGACAAAAAACCAGATGGCCCTCCCTTTCACACCTTCACGTCTTTGCTCCATGTCACGGTCTCAATGAGACCTACCCCAGTCACATTACACCCTCTTTAAAATTCGCAAACTGTGCCTCCACCTGGAAATCCTGATTGCCCTACCAGGCTTGACTTCTCATTTACCCATAGCACTTACCAACTTCTACCATACGATAACATTTATTAGTTGGAGTCATACGACATTCATATTTGTTCATTTTTTTGCCCACAAGAAATGGCAATTTCATATCATTCAACTTAATAAAATATACTTATCTTTAAAATAATTTTTTAAGAGATGGGATCTCACTCCGTAGCCCAGGTTGGAAGGCAGAGGCATGATTATGGCTCACTGCAGCCTTGAATTCCTGGGTTCAAGCGATTCTCCCACCTCAGCTTCATGAGTAGCTGGGACTACATGTGTGCATCATGCCTGGCTAACTTTTTTTCAGGTTTTTAAAGATAAGATCTCTCTATATTGTCCAGGTTAGTCTCGAACTCCTGGACTCAAAAATATAGTTATCTTTCACTGTTCCCATTCCCATGTGAGCGGCAGAAGAGCAAAGATCTGTATCTATTTTATTTTAACAACTTTATTGAGGTGTAACTGACATAGCATAAATAACCAGTGTTTGTTGACTTAAGCTCAACAACAAGCTGCATATAGTTAAAAGGTATCATCTGACAAGTTTCAACATATGAAACCACCATTGCAATCAAGATAAAGAATGTGCTGATAATGAACGTGAACCCCCTGAAGGTTTTCTTGGGCTCTTTTGTAATTCCTCTCTCCTGCCTTTCTTCATATCACTACCCCTCCTGTCCCCAGGCATCCACTCATTTGCTTTTACTGTAGATTAGCTTGCATTTTCTAAAATTTTACATAAATGGGATCATTTAGTATATATACTTTTTTGGTCTGCATTATTTTATTTTGAGACTTATCCATGATGTTGCATGTATCAGCAGTTCATTGCTTTTTTTTTTTTTTTTTTTTTTGAGATGGAGTTTTGCTCTTGTTGCTGAGGCTGGAGTGCAGTGGTGCGATCTCGGCTCACTGCAACCTCTGCCTCCCGGGTTCAAGCAATTCTCCTGCCTCAGCCTCCTGAGTGGTTGGGATTACAGGCATGCACCACCACGCTCGGCTAATTTTTTTATTTTTAGTACAGACAGGATTTCACCATGTTGGCCGGGCTGGTCTTGAACACTTGACCTCAAGCAATCTGCCTGCCTCAGCCTCCCAAAGTGCTGGGATTACAGGTGTGGGATTACACTGTGCCCGGCCTCATTGCTTTTAATCAGTGAGTAGTATTCTGTTATATGGATATACCACAATTTGCTAGGAACATTTCTGTAAAAGTCTTTGTATAGATATATGCGTTCATTTGTCTTGGGAAAGTATCTAGAAGTGGAATAGCTGGGCCATATGGTAGTTTCTTTGTTTGACTTTTAAAGAAATTGACAAACTGTTTTCCAATATTGTTGTACCATTTTACATTCTTATCAGCAGCAAATGAGAGTTTCAGTTGCTCATCTTTACCACTGCTTGATATGGTGAGTCTATTTTGTAAGTAGTGGTATTTCTAGTTTGTATGTAGTAGTGTCTCCTTGTGGTTTTCTTATAACTTGCACATCCTTGATGACTGGTGATACTAAGTGCTTGTAATGTGCTCATTTGCCATCCATATATTTTCTGTAGTATCTCTTCAAATCTTGTGCCCATCTGTTTATTAGGTTTGCTTTCTCATTAGAGTTTATTAGTTTTGGTATATTTGACATTGAATTCCTTTATCAGGTAGGAGATTTGCAGATATTTTCTCCCAGACTGTGGCATGCTTTTCATTTTATTAACAGTATCTTTCAAAGAGCAGAAGTTACTCATTTTGATGAAGTCCAAATTTTTCCTTTATGGATTATCATTTTGATCATATCTAAGAATTCTTTGCCTAACCCAAGGTCATAAAAATTCTTTTATGTTTCTTCTAGAAGTTTTATAATATTACATTTTACATTAAGGTCTATGATCCATTTTGAGTTTAGTTTTATATAGTATAAAGCATATGTTGAAGTTCTATAGGAAACAAAGCATGCTGGAAATGGTAACTGTGCATACAAATATAATTTTTTATTATTTAAATTTCTTGTTTGAAGCAAAAACATCAAATATAGTATGGTGTTTAAAATATAGGTAGAAGTAAAATTTATAACAACAATGCCATAAAGACAGACAGGAGAAATGAAAGTTCTTACACAACACGTGAAACTTTAAATTGCTTTAAAGTTCTTATGCAATACATGAAATCTACTTGAATGTAGACTGTGATGAGTTAAAGAGTATGCGATGAACCCTAAAGCAACCATCACATAGCCATGCAGAGTTATAGCTGCTAAGTCAGCAAAGGATCCAAAAGTATGTGGAAAACAAGGAAAAAGTGAACAAAGAACAGATGGGACAAGATGGTAGATGTCAACCCAACTACAACAGTAATTACATTAAACCTTAATGGTCTAAAGGCACTGTGAGAGTTTTCTGTTCTCCTCAACAAAGAACTCACAAAGAAAAGCAGCTTAACTCAACAATCATTGATTATATTGTACAGTTTCTGAAAACCAAGAATCAGGGAGCAGCTTAGCTGGGTCATTCTGGCTTAGGATGTCTCACCAGGTTGAAGGTCAAGCTGTCAGCCTGGAATACAGGCAATCTGAAGACTTGACTGGGCTGGAGGATTTGCTTCCAAGCTTTCTCACATGGCTGTAGGCAAGAGGCCTCAGTTCCCTCTATATGGACCTCCATAGGACTGCTCCAGAGAGACACAGAGTGAGAGAGAGTGGGAGAATGAGAGGGACAGAGACAGAAAGAAACTAAGACAGAAGTCTCAATGCCTTTTATAATGTAATCTCAATTATTTATCCTAACAGGAGGGATGTAGGCACAACGGTAGATATGGGCTGTTGGAGTCTGTAGAAATTTTCTTTGATTATTTAAGTTTTAAAAGGTTGAATGTAAAATCTTTAGCTGAGAAACTGTCATCAAAGTTTGCTCTCTGCTTTCAAGCCAGTCATCATCCTGAATTTATTTTCATTTTCTTAATTTTGGCCTCGAATAGGTGAGGCATAAAAAAATAAATTCCAGATAAACACTAAACTGCCTCTAATTAAAACGGAAAAGTAGGGAGTTAAAATTTGTTTTTCACTGCCCTAAATCAAGAAATTAAAAAAAAAAAGAATAATTAACACATAGCTAGGAATCTGCTACCGGTGCAGCTGCCTCATCCATCTAGAATGCTTACTGGGGATTGATATTAATGTGATAGTTTCCATTTAGACTTCTACAGCTGCAAAGACAATTAAATCACAGCAGCAGTCCCCCAGAAGTTTTGAGAGCTTGCGTGTGTCCATCCTCATGCTGCAATGTTTAGGTTCCAACTAGCCTATCAAGGAATGTTTCTTGAGCTCCTATCAGGCAAGCAGTACAGTGCCACACACTTGAAATATTCCTCTATTCAGGACTAAGGAGTGTTAAATTAAATTCTGTGACTTCCTCCTAAGAGAAGATGTCTCATAAATTCAGAAAAAAAGGGACATTTTTCCTGGAACTCTCCAAAACAGGGTTCCTGGGGAACTCTGTTTTGATGGCTTTGGATATCATGCTAAAGGAGCAGAGTTTTAAACGGCCCCATAGACACCATGGAAATGATCGCCACGTGCAAAACCACGTCTGTTTCTGTACACCTCACTTAAGAAGTCCTAACATAATGATCTTAAAGAATAAAATGTAGCACAGGATCAGGACTCTGGGGAAGGTTGTACATTTGTGAGCAAAGCCCCTACTTGAGTTGATTCTCATCAGTTGTGATGGGCCAAATTTGGTTTTCAGTTACACCTGTGAAGGCGTCGGTATGTCTGGAGCAAAAGCAATTTAACGCATAATTTAGCTACGCGAATATTTACAGTTTGCAAATGGAAAGGGGACATTCCAATGCGACAGATAAAGTTTGCTTCCGAAGACATTTCCCTTACTTATGATCCTATCACTTAGAAAAGATGCTTAAGTATTGTTGTCATCTGAATCATCTCTATTAATTTAAAAAATGCTACACCTACCTCCTTTTGATATAAATAGAGAGGACACCATGTTGTTGTCCTAAAAACTGCATAGCTCTATCATACCACATACTAAAATTGAGTTTATAACTGTCTTAGATTTTAGGCAGTGGTTGTGTCTGTATCTTTGTATCTATGTGTGTGCATGTGTTCACACCTACAGAACTGACCCCTGGTTGTTTTGTTAGAGAAAACCAGCATGACAGATTTAATAAATTAGTGTTTCCTCTCTACTGACACATACGACTGTGATTATAAGATCGCTGCTACTAATGGAGATTGTGAAGGGGAACAAGCTCAGAGATACGGGAGAGCTGGGGAAGGTGTTTAAAAATGTGTCACAGTGGCTCAGTTTCCATCCTGTTCGGTGTTTGCTTCCTAGTTCGTGCTTCATTATAGTTGTAAGAAGGTCTGGAGAGGTCCACTGTGCCAGGATGAATGATGGAGAGGTGGCAGCAATGCCCTTTGGTTCAGTTCTCTCTATGTGGGAGATGTCAGGACAAAGAAGCATTCAGTCTCTGGCCTGGCGATTTTCTTAGGTGGGTGAGGTGATGCACTGAGGGAGAAAGGATGAGTGATCCTGTATTCCATGTTCCCGGGGGATAAAGTTATGGAGGAAGGAAAAAGTACCTAGTCAGACTGCTAATCTCTGTGACCAATAGCCACAGCAGCTGTCTCCTTTATAGATGGCAAATCACCCAACCAATGTTCCCTGAAGCTCAGTGGCAGAATTGTCTGGCATGAGACTCGAAGCCTGAGGCTGTGTAAATTTCCAGTGCAGTAATAGTCATACCTAACATTTATTGTGCATCTGCTATGCACTAGGCTGTGTCCTAGACCTTACATGCATTCACTTGTTTAGTCTTTACACCAAACCTGTGAAGTAGGGACTATTTTGACTCTCTCTTTTCAGATGCAGAGCTGAGGCCCAGAGAGGTTAATTAGCTTGCACAAGGTCACAGAGCTGCTAAGGGGTGAAGCCACAATTTGAGCACAGGACACATGACAGATGGCATTCACATGAGGAACCCCAGAGATCTGTGGACATATCTGAAATTGATACTACTCACTCCCCAACACACACATATTGAATGAAGTATACAGTGTTGCATATTTTTGGGGGGAAGTCAAGGAGTACATTAATATAGTTCATTTGTGTGTGTGTGTGTATCCACAATCTCAAAGGTAATTTCATGGAAAAAACAAAAAAAATTACCCATTTAATTACAGTGGGAAGAAACTCTGCAACGTCCTGCCTTCAATAATGCAAATTTAGATACAATAAAATTGGTGATTGGCCTCCCTTCTCCAAGGCAGGCTCACACCAATCATTTTCTTATTCACGAGGATTTTCACAGCATAATTATTGTACTTCTAACATGGAGAGGTATATGCACTGTCCATAGTTTGTTCTATCCCTGATCTTCTTACTTAATGTAAATTTATCCATGGTTAGAGTGATTAGAAAAAAGACAGACAACTGCAATGTCACACCTCAGTAAATGAGAACTAGTCTATCTCTTGAAACATCAGAAAATAAGTGCATTTAAATGATGTTGTCATAGGGGTGACTTTGAATCTTACTAATAGAAAACAGATTATTCACAGGATTGTATCACGTTATTAATCACAAAACACATTACTTGCACAACTTATTTTCATGCTATTTTAGATGATATCTTCTAAAACCTCATTTCTAAATTGTATGTTGTAAGAAGATAGAATATATAATAAATGATTTTTTTTTTGAGACGGAGTTTCACTCTTGTTGCCCAGGCTGGAGTGCAATGGTGCAATCTTGGCTCATTGAGACCTCTACCTCCCCGGTTCAAGCGATTCTCTTGCCCTCAGCCTCCCAAGTAGCTGGGATTATAGGCACCCGCCACCACACCTGGCTAATTTTTGTTTTTTTTGTATTTTTAGTAGAGACAGGTTTTCACCATGTTGGCCAGGCTTGTCTTGAACTCCTGACCTCAGGTGATCCACCCACCTTGGCCTCCCAAAGTGGTAGGATTACAGGTGTGAGCCACCATGCCCAGCCAGAATATATAATAATTGATTTTTTTGTAAGCGAATCTCCGTATCCTGCAAATTTGCTGACTTCTCCTATCAATAGCAGAGGGAACAGCCCATGCAAAGAGTCTTAGTTGGGAATAAATTCTGAGTGTTCCGCAGATTGAACGAAGTTTGTGTGTAGCTGGGGTGTGGCTGGCAAGGGACATGTGAGAAGTTGGTGAGTCAGAGTGAGGAAATGGCTTTTATTTATGGTGCTTCTGAGGGACTAATTGGATGGTTTTCTTCAAAGGAGCACCACAATCTGATCTGCAATAAACAAGCAAATACAGAAATAAGCAAGATACTTTCAGACCATGACACAAATTATTTAGCAAGTAAATAAATGAGATAAACAAGGTATAAAGGATGATACAAATCCCTTACTAAGTAAAATATGTAAATAAACAAGACGCTTTTGGAAAACCACCCAAAACCAGTCCGTTAATGGAATACACCCTCAACACTGTGTGTGTATCTTTCTCTCCTCCCTTTTAAAAATACTTCCACGTCTAACTTCCTTTCTCAGATCTCTGCTTTATTTATAGACAAAACACTTCCAAATACAAGGTGCCACCCTTCTGTCCTTTCTGAAGGATGGCATTTTGCATCAGGTATAGTTTTTTTAACTCGCTAGCCATGAATCTCACTTATCAAATTTTGTAATATCTTTGAGGGTTTTATTGGTTTATTTATTTCACTGTACAAAAATTCTAAGTACTTGCTCTACTAGCTACATTTGTGTGTGGCTAATATAAGCAGGTGGAGAAGAGAGGAGGGCGAATGGGGTGATGTTCTGAAGGTCAAGTATTCCAGGAGAGCAAAGAACACAGTTTGGATGCTTGGTGTGGTGCATTTGGGGAAGGAGAAAGGCCTTGGCCTTGATTGATGGGCAAGGAAAGTGGCCTACAAAGAGGCTGCAGAGACAGTCAGGCACCCAGAGCATGAAGGTCCTGGCAGGCACTGAAAAGGGATTTAAATGTGGTTCCTGGAGAAAATGAATGTATTGAGAAAGCAGATCTAGAAAACATCACGTATTCTTTTTTTTTTTTTTTTTTTTGAGATAGAGTCTTGCTGTGTTGCCCAGGCTGGAGCGCAATGGTGCGATCTCGGCTCACTGTAACCACCGCCTGCCAGTTTCAAGCGATTCTCCTGCCTTAGCCTCCTGAGTAGCTGGGATTACAGGCGTGTGCCACCACGCCCACTGACTTTTGTATTTTTAGTAGAGATGAGGTTTCACCGTGTTACCCAGATTGGTCTTGACCTCCTGACCTCAGGTGATCCGCCAGCCTCGGCCTCCCAAAATGCTGGGATTACAGGCATGATCCAAAATATCATGACGTATTCTTCATTGTCAAAAGGAAAATGAAACAGTGTATTTAAGGGAAATATAGATAGCACAAAACTTTTATCTAGACAAAAAAAGATACCTCCTTCTATTTTGGTACTTATTCAACTGGACTCCAATTAATGACTTTCCTTTAGATCCATTTCTTGAAGGAAGATGGCATGAGAGTCTGGAATCAGCAGAGGCTTGCTGTGCTGCCCCAGTCCGAGAGCATGCCGTGAGGAAGGAGGGAGGGAGCAGGCTCGGGAGAAAACTGGAGGCTACAGAGACATATCAAGGGCTGGGACCCAGGAGGACGCAAATGAGTGGAAAGGGGCTGGCAACCCCAACCCAAATCCCTGTGGAGGCACAACCCCTATTCCAAGATAGAGCCTCCTAAGTCTGAGAGAGAGAAAAGGTGCTGAAGATCACACTTGGGCACTGCACGGGGAAGTGAGTGAACTGAGCCTTGGCCAGGCTGAGAACTAGGACAGATGGTATTGTCCAATATAAATATAATACAAGGCACACAGGTAGTTTAAAATGTTCTAATATCCACATTTAAAAATACAAAAAAGAAACAAATGAGATTATTTTTAGTAATATATTTTATTCAACCCACTGCATTCAAAATAGGATCATTTCAACATACAATCAATATAATGAGACATTTTTCATTCTTTTTTTTTTCTGCTAAGGCATCCAAATCCAGTGTATTTATAGCATCACTCTAGCCATATTTCAAGTTCTCAAGAGCTGCCTGTGGCTGGTGGCTACCGCATTGGACAGCGCAGGCTGAGGAATTAGGGGTCGGTTTAACCAGCTGGATGCAGTATGAGGCCAGACCACTCCCTGGAGAACACTACAGCAGAAATGTTCCTGACCACACTGTGGTTTGCAATAGTAGCTTGTTGGGAAAAAGAAGGGAACTTTTAGATGACATTCATCAGAAAAATTCCCAGACCACACCTACTGTGGAACTTCAAGCCACTTCAGCCATAAACCATCCCAGGTGCTTTCTGTAGGTTTGACCTTGTTCTTGAAGCTATGAGCCTGTGTCAGTTGGGTCGAGGGCCAGTCTGAAAGGACCACATCAAACCAAGCCTCACTGAGCCTCCCTTAGACTTCTAACCAAAATGCATTCCATTAACTTGATTACATTGAAAAATGTAAAGTTCAATGAGAAAAATGTGTCATATATGTTTAACACTCTATTCTCACTATAATCAGTACTCTCAACTCAATTTTGTAGTATTTAACCTTTACAAATTCCCTTCGGATTGGGTTCATCCATTTTAAGAGAGAACTGCACCATTATAAGCCAAGGATAGGTCATTGTATAATACCTGCCTAAAATACATATTATCCTGTCTCCTTAGCTGTCCTTTATTCATTTTCTTGTTTTAGTTCTCTGCAAGAATTTACAAGCCTTTAGGTTAAGAACTCAAGGACTTTATTGTCCTTAAAGGGTCAACCAACCAAACAAACCTTGAGCAGGTCAGACGTGTACAGAAAATAGAGTTCATGGACTACCTGTCCACTTTGTTCCTCTCACAGATCAGGGTTCACCTGCTCACCCTTTGACAGGCCACTTCTGATTTGATAAGTCTCAGGCAAACTGTCAAGCCCTCAAGATGTTAAAAAAAAATCCATTGTAAAGTTCTTTAACAAGCACATCTTTCAAATATCCTTTTGGGAAATCACCAGAATTTTATTTGCAGCTTCCTTCTTTCTCTTAAGTAAGAAAACCAAAAACTCGGCATAGCAGTTCTTTTGTGAGTCAGGTTTATGCCAAAGCTCAGCTACTAATTTGCAAAGGTCATCTGAAGTTAACCCTCCCTCACCAGCTGAAAGTGAAACAAACATGCAAATATGCCTTTCACAGGAATAATGTCACCTTAATCCTAAAAGCAGTATAAATGTTTTATATATTGAGGAAAGTATCTGGGCCAGGGATTTATCATGTAATAAAAGACTAAATATTATTTATGTCATGGGCCCCTATTCAAGGCATGCTAAATTCTTCTTGTCTGTTGCTGACATTGCCTCTGACATTGTGATGTGTAAGGCAGAGGTCTCCAACCTTTTTGGCACTGGGGACTGGTTTTGTGGAAGACAATTTTTCCATGCATAGGATAGGAGGATGATTTCGGGATGAAACTGTTCCACCTCAGATTATCAGGCATTAGATTCTCATAAGGAGCATGCAACCTAGATCCCTTGCATGCACAGTTCACAATAAGGTCGCACTTCTATTAGAATCTAATGCTGCCACTGATCTGACAAAAGGCAGAACTCAGGTCATAATGCTCCTTCGCCTGCCGCACACCTCCTGCTATGCAGCCTGGTTCTTAACAGGCCACGTGGTAATGGTCCGTGGCCCAGGGGATTGCGGACCCCTGGTGTAAGGCCTGACTCACAGTGAACTTTCCTCCGTGGTGGTCACAATTTTTGTGGCAGCAGTTGCTGACTTTATAAGTATTCTTCCTGCTCTTTCTCTTTTTCCAAATTTGACCCTTTTTATTATACTTTTCTCTCCTTAATGCACTACAGAAGCATTTAATACAGGCACAAAAATCTACTAAACATCATAGCTTAGCTTAGCTATGATGTGCTTAAACATGCTCACAATGCTTACTTTAGCTTACAGTTGGGCAAAATCATCTAGCATAAACCTATTTCATAATAACGTGTTGAATATCTCATGTAATTTACTGCTGTTTTACTGAATGCATATTGCTTTCACACCATCATAAAGTTGAAAAATTCTAAGTTGAACCATTGTTAAGTTGGGGATGGAGTGAGTGTAGACTTTGCATCTGTAAATTTTTTTTGGTAGTCGATGATTTGTGATTTGTATATTAACTTCACTGAGCTATAATTTATATCCAATCAAATGCTTACATTTTAAGAACAATTTTCTATGAGTTTTTAAAAATCAACTTTATTGTGGAATAATTTACATATAATAAAATAGCCATTTTAAGTGCACAATTCTGTATGTTTTGACAAATGGTTACAGTTGTGTAACTACCACCATAATCAAGACCTAGAACATTCTCTCTACCCCAAGATTGCCCTTATAGCACCCATAACTTTTTAAACAATAACTTCTAGTATTGACAAGAAATATTATTTGCCAAGCATGAAAGGGGTAGGTGGGAGACACTGAGTCATTCTATTTTTAACAGTAAAATATCGGATAATAGACTTTTTCAGATATTCTTAGCATTATTGGAAGGAGTAAAAAAATTACTGAGAACTCTAATATCATTGCTTATTTTCTAGCATCATTATTATGATTTGAGACAGGGCCTCACTCTGTCAGCCAGGCTGGAGTGGCCACATCACAGCTCCCTGCAGTCCTAACTTCCCAGGTTCAAGCCATCCTCCCATTTCAGGCCCCACTCACTGCCCTGAGTAGCCAGGACTGGAGGCACACGTCATCATGCCAGGCTAATTTTTAATTTTTTTTGTAGAGATGGGGTCTCACTGTGTTGGCCCAGCTGGTCTTGAACTCCTGGGCTCAAGCAATTGGCCTCCCAAAGTGCTGAGATTAGAGGCGTGGGCCACCATGTCTGGCCCCAGCATTATTATTGGGGGAAAAATAAGAGCTATTTGGTTTTCAGAAGGAAGAATTCCCTGATCCGATGATTGTAAAAGTCAGAAATTTTAGGCTGAACTCTCTTCAAACAGCTATGTAACGTTGAACTTCAGGGGGAAAAAATTTAAAAGACTAGGATGAGAAACTTTGCTGAGATCAATTCTCAAATCCTTATCCCAGCTTCTGTGAGTATCTGAGCCTGTGTGGAAACGAGGAAGATGCAAATTATTTCACTGCTCCACAATAAAAACCAAATAATAGAAGAGTCAGAGTTCCTCAAGGAGAAAGCATTTATTTCTGCTCTTGAGTTACATTTATCTCCAGGGAAGGCTTGATATCTGAATATATATTTCAGAAGATCTAGATTCACTGTCAAGGGAACATGTCTGAAACTTCAAGTATAAGCACTAGTCTTCTATGTAAGTAAAATAGTAGGAACATTATACCATATAAGACTTATTATGTGCCCAGCGCTGTCTTAAATCCTTTTGCTATATTAACATTATATATATGTGTATATATATATATATATATATATTTATTTATTTATTTATTTTGAGATGAAGTCTTGCTCTGTCACCCAGGCTGGAGTGCAGTGGTGTGACCTCGGCTCACTGCAACCTCCACCTCCTGGGTTCAAGCGATTCTCCTGCCTCAGCATCCCAAGTAGCTGGGATTACAGGCACCCGCCACCACACCCAGCTGATTTTGTATTTTTATTAGAGACAGGGTTTCACCATGTTGGCCAGGCTGATCTCGAACTTCTGGCCTCAGGTGATCCACCCACCTCAGACTCCCAAAGTGCTGGGAGTACAGGCATGAGCCACCACACCCGGACTTAAACTGTTAGTTTTAATAGATCAACTTTACAACAAAAAGAGAGATAACCAGACATTTTGTGTCCCTGCCTTGATGAAATAGGAAATCCACAACTTCACTTGTGAAGTATTCTTGCCAAAAAAAAAAAAAAAAGGCCAGGTGCAGTGGCTCATGCCTGTAATCCCAGCACTTTGGGAGGCTGAGGCAGGTGGATCACAAGGTCAGGAGATGGAGACCATCCTGGCTAACACGGCGAAACTCCGTCTCTACTAAAAATACAAAAAATTAGCTGGGAGTGGTGGCACTTGCCTGTGGTCCTAGCTGCTTGGGAGACTGAGGCAGGAGAATCACTTGAACCCTGGAGGTGGAGGTTGCAGTGAGCAGAGATCCCGCCATGCACTCCAGCCTGGGTGACAGGGCAAGACTCTGTCTCAAAAAAAAAAAAAAAAAAAAAAAGAAAGAAAAAGGAAAAGTATGATATCAAACCCGTAGATATAACTACTACAATTTACAAAAAAGCACAAGGGATAGAGAAATATGTTAAATGACATCAAGGAAATACTCTACGCAAAATTCAGACCATAGGAGATTTTATTGGGCCAAAAAAGTGAGGAAAGACAGAAAACCAGAGACAAAGAAAAAAGGAAAGAAGTAAAGAAAAAGAGAGAGAAAAAAAACAAGGGAGAATCTATCAAACATTCTGAGATGATGGAAATATTCCATATGTCTGTCTGTTCACTAAGGTCGCTATGAGCCACATGTTAGTATTGCAATGTGGCTAATGAGCTCCAGGAGCTGAATAGCTGATTTTTAAATTCTGTTCAATTTATATTGATTTATGTAAATAGCCACATATGACTAGTGACTACCATATTGGATAGCATAGCAAAAACCACAAATCCAATAATTAGGAGATAAATCAACTAATTGCAATGTGTAGACCTTGCTTGAATCCTGATTTAAACAAACTAACATGATGTTTAAATATAAAAAACAATGATGGGAGCATTTGGAAGTTTGAAACACAAAGGGATATTTGATATTAATAACTTTTTATTAATTATTTTTATTTGTGTTATTGTGGCCATGCTTATTTACTTGTTTGAGCCCATATTGTTTCATAAAACAAAATGAAGTATTTATGGATAAAGTATTATTGTGCATGTGATGTGCTTCAAATAATACAATAGGGTGTCTGTTGGGGCGTGAGTGTGTGTGTGTGTGTGTGTGTGACACCAAAATTTGGTAATAGTTGAAACTGGAGTATTAGTTGCCTATGACTGCTGCAATAGTTACCACAAACTTGGTGACTTAAGTCAACACTTATTTATTCTCCAACAGTTCTGGAGGTCAAGGGCAAAATCAGTTTCACTGGTCTGCAGTTGTGGTGCCTGCAAGGACTGATCCCGCTAGAGGCTGTAGTTGAGAATCCATTTCTTTGACTTTTCCTGCATCCTGAGCTGTATTCCTTGCATCCTTAGCTCATGGCCCGTTGCTCCATCTTTAAAGCCAGCAACGTAATATCTTCCGACTCTGCTTCCCATTGCTTCCATCAAACGGCTTCTTCTCTTTTGTCTGAAGTTAAGTTTCCCTCTGCCTCCCTCTTAAAAGGATACTTGTGATTACATAAAAGGACCCACTTGGATAACCCAGGCTACTCACTCCATTTCAAGATCCTTAATGTAATCACATCTGAAAAGAACATTTTTCCATATAAAGAAACATTCAACGGTTGCATGGATTAGGGCGTGGATATCTTTGGGAGCTATTTTTCAACCTGCCATACTGGGTGATGAGCACATGGAGATTCATTATTTTGGTTTTTGTACTGTAGTGTTGTCAGAGGTGTTTGAACCAGACCAACTCCATCTTGAACAGGATCTGGGTAAAATGAGGTTGAGACCTACTGGACTGCATTCCCAGATGGTTAGGGATTCTAAGTCATAGGATGAGATAGGAGGTCAGCACAAGATACAGGTTATAAAGACCTTGCTGATAAAACAGGTTGCAGTAAACAAGCCAGCTAAAACCTACCAAAACCAAGATGGCAATGAGAGTGACCTCCGGTCATCCTCACTGCTACACTCCCACCAGCACCATGACAGTTTATGGGTGCCATGGCAATGTCAGGTAGTTATCCTGTATGGTCTAAAAAGAGGATGTGTGAATAATCCACCCATTGTTTAGCATATAATCAAGAAATAACTATAAAAATGGGCAACCAGTGGCCCTCAGAGCTGTTCTGTTTATGGAGTAGCCACTCTTTTATTCCTTTACTTTCCAAATAAACTTGCTTTCACTTCACTCTGTGGACGCACCCTGAATTCTTTCTTGCAGGAGATCTGAGAACCCTCTCTTGGTGTCTGGATCAGGACCCCGTTCTGATAACAGTATCTGTTGGAAAATTTTTAAATTAAAAAGCAAAAAATAAATGTGCCCAATGTATACGCATAGTAGCTTGTGCAGTGTCATTGATTTAGGGGGCTCTCAGGACCCATAATCTAAGGACATTTCTCCAGGTGGCTTTGGACTGACCCGGTTCTCCCCACTTTCTTACTTGAAGTTCTCGAGAATAACTGTAGAATATGCAGGGAATGTAACATTCTGAGATAGGGAAGGAACAGGCCAGGACAGCCTGAGCTCTGTTCGTCTCTCCCTTAGAGACAGGATGGCCTTCAGCCCTTTAGCCCAGCAGGACACGGGCTCGGAAGTATGCAACTTTCACAGTTCCTGAGCTGCTGTGCAAATGAGGCGACACAAATGAGCAGCTTTCCTGAGTTTGAGGGGCCAGCTCAGAATGACTCCTAGCCTTCTGCTATCCCTAATTGTCTACCTGTAAGTAAAGACCTGCTTCATGTAACTTGTACGTTGGGTGTTCCACCTCGCTGGACTCAGACACATTGGTCATCAGTGCACAGTGAACCTGCTTCATCCAAATCTTTGCTCTGACAAACCAAATTATGCTGCCACCCAGTTATCACAAATCACAAACAAATCTCAGGGCATGGCAAATTAATGACCTAAAAGCATGTTTTTCTTTCTACAGAGATATTTCATTAACAGTGACTTTTTTTGAGACAGTCTTGCTCTGTCACCCAGGCTGGAGTTCAGTGGTGTGATCTCAGCTCACTGCAACCTCCACCTCCCGGGTTCAAGCGATTCTCTTGCCTCAGCCTCCTGAGTGGCTGGGATTACAGGTGCGCACCACCACGCCCGGCTAATTTTTTGTATTTTTAGTAGACACAGAGTTTCGCCATGTTAGCCAGGCTGGTCTCAAACTCCTGGCCTCAAGTAATCCACCTGCCTCGGCCTCCCAAAGTGTTTCTAATGATTGAAGGGTGACAGTTGCCAGTAGAAACTCAATGTCCTGACTGTCCCCTGCGTTACTTATACCCAGAGAACTCGAGGCCTTCTGCTTACTTCCAGAACACAGAATTAAAGGGCACAGCCAACCAGCAGGGTAACCTGAAGGCTTTTCTTTTCATGACTTTCATGTGCATCCGTGTGAAGAGACCACCAAACAGGCTTTGTGTGAGCAATAAAGCTGTTTGTTTCACGTGGGTGCAGGTGGGCTGAGTCCGAAAAGAGAGTCAGCAAAGGGAGATAGGGGTGGGGCCATTTTATAGGATTTGGGTAGGTAAAGGAAAATTACAGTCAAAGGGGGGTTGTTCTCTGGCTGGCAGAGTGGGGGTCGCAAGGTACTCAGTGGGGGAGCTTTTGAGCCAGGATGAGCCAGGAGAAGGAATTTCACAAGACAATGTCATCAGTTAAGGCAGGAACAGGCCATTTTCACTTCTTTTGTGGTGGAATATCATCAGTTAAGGCAGGAACCGGCCATCTGGATGTGTATGTGCAGGTCACAGGGGATATGATGGCTTAGCTTGGGCTCAGAGGCCTGACATTCCTGTCTTCTTATATTAATAAGAAAAATAAAATGAAATAGTGGTAAAGTGTTGGGACAGTGAAAATTTTGGGGGATGGTATGGAGAGATAATGGGCGATGTTTCTCAGGGCTACTTTGAGCGGGATTAGGGGTGGCATGGGAACCTAGAGTGGGAGAGATTAAGCTGAAGGAAGATTTTGTGGTAAGGGGTGATATTGTGGGGTTGTTAGAAGGAACATTTGTCATTTAGAATTATTGGTGATGGCCTGGATACAGTTTTGTATGAATTGAAAAACTAAACGGAATAAGATAAGGAGAAAAACAGGTATTAAAGGACTAAGAATTGGGAGGACCTAGGACATCTAATTAGAGAGTGCCTAAGGAGGCTCAGCATAGCCTTGCCAGTAAAGATTATTTATTTACTTTAAGAGTTAAGAGTGGCAGTTTAGGGATAGCACGAGGAGATACCAGCTGTGATGGCTTGGAGAAACAGTGTAAACTGGCAGGGTAAACAAGAGCAGGGTATGTATGAGTAGTTGAGAACGGTGAATAGGAGTATGACTAGACAGAAGATAGTAGGGATGACAAGTTTTTTGGGGCACAGTCTAAGTTGGTCTGGTGTCTGGAATGAGACTGGGGCCTAATAAAAAGGAGCTCAAATGGGCTGTACCTTGTAGCATTCTGAGGACAGGCCTGAATGCTGAGAAGCAAAAGTGGTAAAAGTATTGTCCAGTCCTTTTTAAGTTGGTGGCTGAGCTTGGTGAGGTGTGTTTTTAAAAGACCTTTAGTCCGTTCTACTTTTCCTGAAGATGGAGGACCATAAGGGATATAAAGATTTCACTGAATACTAAGAGCCTGAAAAACTGCTTGGCTGATTTGACTAATAAAGGCTGGTCTGTTATCAGACTGTATAGAGGTGGGAAGGCTAAACTGAGGAATTGTGTCTGACAGAAGGGAAGAAATGACTGCGGTGGCCTCTTAGACTCTGTAGGAAAGGGCTGTACCTATCCAGTGAAAGTGTCTACCTAGATTAAGAGGTATTTTAGTTATCTGACTCGGGGCATGTTGAGTAAAGCTCATTTGCCAGTCCTGGGTGGGGGCAAATCCTCGAGCTTGATGTGTAGGGAAGAGAGGGGGCCTGAATAATCCCTGAGCAGTAGTAGAATAGCAGATGGAACACTGAGAAGTTATTTCCTTGAGGATAGATTTCCACGATGGAAAGGAAATGAGAGGTTCTAAGAGGCAGGCTAGTGGCTTGTACTATAGCATAGCCTGCCTTTGCTGGTGTGTGGCGATTAGGCCTGGTGGAACCGCCATCAATAAATCAAGCATGATCAGGGTGAGGAACAGGAAAGAAGGAAATATGGGGTAATGGGGTGAATGTCAGGTGGATCAGAGAGATACAGTCATGGGGGTCAGGTGTGGTATCAGGAATAATGTGGGAGGCCGGATTGAAGTCCGGGCCAGGAACAGTGGTAATTGTGGGACTTAACAAAGAGTGAGTACAGCTGAAGGAGCCAGGGCACAGAAAGTGTATGCTTCAGGTATGAGGAAGAAAACAGATTTTGGAAGTCATGAGAAATGTAGAGAGTAAGTTGAGCATAGTTTGTGATTTTGAGGGCCTCTAAAAGTATTAGGGCGGCAGCAGCCGCTGCATGGAGACATGAGAGCTAGGCTAAAACAGTAAGGTCAAGTTGTTTGGACAGAAAGGCTACAGGGTGTGGTCCTGGCTCTTGTGTAAGAATTCTGACCGCACTAACCATGCCTAGGAAGGAAAGGAGTTGTTGTTTTGTAAGGGATTGAGGTTTGGGAGATTAATCGGACATGATCAGCAGGGAGAGCGTGTGTGTTTTTATGAGAATTATGCTGAGATAGGTAACAGATAAGGAAGAAATTTGGGCTTGACTGAAGTAATGGGGGCTGTCTGTGAAGCTTTGCGGCAGTACAGCCCAGGTAATTTGCTGAGCCTGAAGGGTGTCAGGGTCAGTCCAAGTGAAAGCGAAGAGAGGCTGGGATGAAGGGTACAAAGGAATAGTAAAGAAAGCACGTTTGAGATCCAGAACAGAATAATGGATTGTGGAGGGAGGTATTGAGGATAGGAGAGTATATGGGTTTGGCACCACGGGGTGGATAGGCAAAACAATTTGGTTGATAAGGCGCAGATCCTGAACTAACCTGTAAATCTTCTCTGGTTCTAGGACAGGTAAAATGGGGGAATTGTAAGGAGAGTTTATAGGCTTTAAAAGGCCATGCTGTAGCAGGCGAGTGATAGCAGGCTTTAATCCTTTCAAAGCATGCTGTGGGATGGGATATTGGCATTGAGCAGGGTAAGGGTGATTAGGTTTTAATGAGATGGTAAGGGGTGCATGATCGGTCGCCAAGGAGGGAGTAGAGATATACTTGAGGGTTAAGGTGGGGGAATACAAGAGGAGAACACAAAGGAGGCTTTGGATTGGGAAGAAGGGCAGCAATGAGATGTAGCTGTAATCCAGGAATAGTCAGGGAAGCAGATAATTTAGTTAAAGTGTTTCGGCCTAATAAGGGAACTGGGCAGGTGGGGATAATTAAAAGGAGTGCTTAAAAGAGTATTGTCTAAGTTGGCACCAGAGTTGGGGAGTTTTAAGAGGTTTAGAAGCCTGGCTGTCAATACCCACAACAGTTATGGAGGCAAGGGAAACAGGCCCTTGAAAAGAAGGTAATGTGGAGAGGGTAGCCTCCGTATTGACTAAGAAGGGGACGGACTTACCTTCCACTGTAAGAGTTACCTGAAGCTCGGCGTCCGTGACGGTCTAGGGGGCTTCCGAGGTGATCGGGCAGCGTCAGTCTTCAGCTGCTAAGCCAAGAAGATCTTGGAAGGAGTCAGAGAGCCTTGGGCCAGAGTTCCAGGGGCTCTGGGAGTGGCTGCCAGGTGAGTTGGACAGTCCGATTTCCAGTGGGGTCCCGCACAGATGGGACGCGGCTTAGGAGAACTCCTGGGCTGCAGGCATTCCTTGGCCTGGTGGCCAGATTTCTGGCACTTGTAGCAAGCTCCTGGGGGAGGAGGTTCTGGAGGAATACCTGGCCACTGCAGTTCAGGCGTTTGGAAGTTCTCATGTGCTGGAGATGTGGCTGGGGTTTGTCTCACAGTGGAGGCAAGGAATTGCAACTTTTTTCTATTATTGTACACCTTGAAAGCGAGGTTAATTAAATCCTGTTGTGGGGTTTGAGGGCCGGAATTTAATTTTTGGAGTTTTATTTAATGTCGGGAGCAGATTGGGTAATAAAATGTATTTTGAGGATAAGACGCCCTTTTGACCTTTTAGGGTCTAGGGCTGTAAAGCATCATCTCAGGGTTGCTGCCAAAGGAGTCATGAATTTGGCTGGATTTTTATATTTGGTGAAAAAGAGCCTAAACGCTATCTGACTTGGGATAAAGAAAAAGGAGCATTAACCTTGACTATGCCTTTAGCTTCAGCCACCCTTTTAAGAGTAAATTGCTGGGCAGGTGGGGGAGGGCTAGACATGGAACGAAACTGTAAGCCAGACCAGGTGTTAGGAGGGGAGGTGATAAAATGATTATAGGGTGCAGGAGCGGAGGCTAAGGAAGAATTGGGACCTAGCTCAGCCTGGCCAGGAGGGGAGAGGTCAGATAAGTCTGTAGAAAAGGAAGATTAGAAAGACTCAGTGACTCTTGGGGTTGGGACTGAGGGGACAGGCAGGAGGGAAAGAAGGAAGATTTGGGACGAGTTGCATTGGGCACAGAGACTAGGAAGGGACCGATGTGTAAAAGAATGCCTGGACGTCAGGCTCCTCAGACTGTTTGCCTATTTTACGACAAGAATTATTTAGATCTTGCAGGATGGAAAAATTGAAAGTGCCATTTTCTGGCTATTTGGAACTACTGTAGAGTTTGTATTGGGGTCAAGCGGCATTGCAGAAGAAAATAAGATGCTTAGATTTTGGTCAGGTGAGAGTTGAAGAGGTTTTAAGTTCTTAAGAACACAGGCTAAGGGAGAAGAAGGAGGAATGGAGGGTGGAAGGTTGCCCATAGTGAAGGAGGCAAGCCCAGAGAAAAGAGAGGGTAGAGACACAGAGGGAAGGGGTTTGGGGGTTTTTACCCTCCAGAAAAGTGGGAAAGGGGTCGGGGCACAGAGATATGAGGTTGGGGCGTGGAAATAAGGGATTGGGGCACAGAGATATAAGAGGTTGGGGTACAGAAATAAGGGATCAGGGCGCAGAGATATAAGAGGTTGGGGAAGGGAAATAAGGGATTAGGGTGCAGAGATATAAGGGTTCGGGGTGCGGAAAGAAGGGATGGGGCACAGAGATATGAGGTTGGGGTACTTGCCCCTCCCCTAGAAAAGTGAGACTTGCTGCTAAGGGTGAAGGAGAAGGGGTTGGGGGTTTCTTGCCCCCCAGAAAGGCGGAGAAGAGGTAGAGACATGGAGAGAAGGGGTTGGGGTACTTGACCCTCCCCCAGAAAAGCGGGACTTGCCATTAAGGGTGAAGGACCAAGGCAGGCGTCCCTGCGTGGTCTGACACCTCTGAAACCTGGGTGAATAATCAGAGAGGTGTCCCTGCAATGATTAAACACCAAGGGAAGGCTGCCTTCTCAGTCCGTGACTGGTGCCGGAGTTTTGGGTCCACAGATAAAACGTGTCTCCTTTGTCTCTACCAGAAAATGAAAGGAATTGAAATTAAAAGAAAGGAGAGATTGAAGTGTGGTGCCAAGATTGAAAGGAGAAAGAAGTTGAGGGATAGTGAGGGAGGTTGGAGAAGAGAGTAAAAAGAGGCCGCTTACTGGATTTGAAATTGGTGAGATGTTTCTTGGGCTGGTCGGTCTGAGGACCAAGGTCGTAGGTGGATCTTTCTCTTGGAACAAAGAACAGGAGGACAGGGGATTGATCTCCCAAGGGTGGTCCCCCGATCCGAGTCACAGCACCAAATTTCATGCGTGTCTGTGTGAAGAGACCACCAAACAGGCTTTGTGTGAGCAATAAAGCTGTTTATTTCACCTGGGTGCAGGTGGGCTGAGTCCGAAAAGAGAGTCAGTGAAGGGAGATAGGGGTGGGGCCATTTTATAGGATTTGGGTAAGTAAAGGAAAATTACAGTCAAAGGGGGGTTGTCCTCCGGCGGGCAAAGTGGAGGTCACAATGTTCTCAGTGGGGGAGCTTTTGAGCCAGGATGAGCCAGGAAAAGGAATTTCACAAGACAATGTCATCAGTTAAGGCAGGAACAGGCCATTTTCACTTCTTTTGTGGTGGAATGTCATCAGTTAAGGCAGGAACCAGCCATCTGGATGTGTACGTGCAGGTCACAGGGGATATGATGGCTTAGCTTGGGCTCAGAGGCCTGACAGTGACCGTTCTTGTTGCTGTTGCTATACTCTCTCTGTCTCTTTTTCATGCACTTTTAATTCTTAATATACCTCTCTTTCAGAAAGCTGAATATTTGAAAATTCCAACTATCACAAAGAAAAACTGTAGGTAGGCTGGGCGTGGTGGCTCACGCCTGTAATCCCAGCACTTTGGGCAGCCAAGGCAGGCAGATCACAAGGTCAGGAGATCAAGACCATCCTGGATAACATGGTAAGACCCCGTCTCCACTAAAAAAAAAATACAAAAAATTAGCTGGCTGTGGTGGCAGGTGCCTGTAGTCCCAGCTACTCAGGAGGCTGAGGCAGGAAAATGGCATGAACCCACGAGGCAGAGCTTGCAGTGAGCCAGTGAGCCAAGATTGCGCCACTGCACTCCAGCCTGGGTGACAGAGCGAGTCTCCATCTCAAAAAAAAAAAAAAAAAAAGGAAAAAGAAAAGAAAAACTGTAGGTAGAGGATGGGGATGGGGCAACTTTCTTGATGAAAAGATTCACATGAAGTTTCTTTCGAATAAAATGTAGTCCTTCTGTACAACAATTCCATGGATTTTACTGAACATATTTAGCAACATGATATACCTAGTAATATTTTTTCCCCCAATGGAATTTTAAATCATGAAAATTGCTCTCACCAAGGAAGCAGGGGTGACTTTTTGTTAAAGCAACTCATCAGTGGTAACCAGATGCCCTACTAAAGTGCAGATTGCAGTGGGAGATTGAGAAGCAAGAAAATGAGGACTATTGTTGCCTTGATAGTTTATTCTTGCTCCCTACATTGTTGGCTTTGTCAGTTGAAAGATGTATACTTAGTTTTCTTTTTGTTATTGTTGTTAGTTCATGTTTTTTATTAACTCATACACAATCACTTGTCTTCTGGTTTGTTGAAGCGATAAGTCAGACACCCTGTGCCACAATAATGTGTCAAAGTGGCTGGCCATAAAAACTCTAGGACCACATTCATCTGAAGGACACTCCTGACGGAGGCTACTAATTTTGCCATTGTCATCCATCCTATAGTATTTCAGGACAGTCAGCTTCACCTTCTTATTGTTTTTGGGAGGGGTGTAAGACTTCTTCCTTTTCTTAGAGCCACTACAAAGTCTCAGCATGAGACAAAGAGTAGACTCCTTGTGAATGTTGTAGTTAGACAAAGGATGCCCATTTTTATTAGTGTGTTTTCATGCTGCTGATAAAGATATACCCAAGACTGGGTAATTTGTAAAGAAAAAGAGGTGTAATGAACTCACAGTTCCACATGGCTGGGGAGGCCTCACAATCATGGTGGAAGGTGAAAGGCACATCTTACATGGTGGCAGGCAAGAGAGAATGAGAGCCAAACGAAAGTGGAAACCCCTTATAAAACCATCAGATCTCATGAGACTTACTCACTACCATGAGCACAGTATGAGGGAAAACACCCCCATGATTCAGTTATCTCCCACCAGGTCCCTCCTACAGCAAATGGGAATTATGGGAGCTACAATTCAAGATGAGATTTGGGTGGGGACACAGAGCCAAACCATACCATCCATCTTCCAGTTGCTTACCAGCAAAGATAAGTCTTTGCTAACCAGGCAGATTTCCTTCCTTATCCTGGATCTTGGCCTTTACATTTTCTATTGTATCTGAAGTTTCAACCTCCAGGGTGATGGTCTTCTCTGTAAGAGTTTTTGTAAAAATCTGCATTTTGATGGTGGTTCCACTGCAGATGGTGTATCGAAAAGCTTGTTTTCTTGTTTATAAACTGTTCATTCCATAAAGTCAAGCAAATCAAATGAAGTTTAAAAAGTACCCCTGAAGGTTATGAAAAATCCAATGTAATGTCAAAGTCTTTTATTCCCATTTAAGTAAGAAGTAAGGATTGCTTTTTACAACCCTGAGAATGTGATTAGTGTCAGTGAAGTGATACCTTTATTATATGAGTCATAATTCTTGGTACTGTTTATCATGACAGTCCAATAATTACTTAAAATTCCACCAACCTCTTTCTAGCTGTGACTCCACAAATGTGATTTTGGATTCTAAGTCATTTAACTTTTGATGGGGAGGTGACATTCTAGTAATGTCATCATGGCTACATTTCTTCATTTGAAACTTAGGTTTGTGTGTGGGTGTTAACAATAATTGATATCCTATAAATAGTTTTAAATCTGGGTTTTCTTAATCTCTCTAAGGAAACAAAATAATTTTCAAATATGGGATAACTTATGTTGAGTGAAATTAAAGCAGTTTGCCATACAGATCATCTTCATGAGGTTGAAAACTCTTGCCAGACTTAATTTCTTGATTTCATTATCCTTCAATCAGTTGTTTAGGGAGGGGGAAAAGAGGATTAACTTCTGAATGTTCTGCACATCCCCCTTTTCCCCCGAATGCTAATGGAAATTCTTCATTGGCCTGGCTCCTTTTTCCTGACCCTTTTGAGACCAATGCGGAAGAGGCTAAGCTGATTTACATAATAAAAGGCTGGGAGCAGAAGGAGAAGAAGCCCTCGTGTTTGGGTTGTAGAAGAGAGTCTAGGATTTGTCTTATACAAGATTTCCAAGCAGGAGCGCAGGGGAATGGAAGCAGAGGCTTTTGAGAAGTTTTTAATTTAGGTTAGGCTCGAATCGCTTTAATCTTTTTTGAGAGGAGTCAATAAAGAATGAAATTTCTTACCACTGACTGTTAAATGATGTGTCTGTAAATTTGACTTAGCCACGAGCATGGAGCCTTCAAAATTGTCCTGTGGCTCACCACCCCACCACTGATCTATTTACAAGTCTTTATTCATTGATCTAGCTTTGAAATCGCGATAGGGTTTTCTATGAGTTATGCTGGTCATGAAACAAACAGTTTTGTTTTAGAAAAATCAATTTGTTTGGCAAAACAAATTTGACATTACCTATGTGAATGTACTTCAGCAAAAGACTACCAGGAATATACCTGTAGTTAAATAAATAAAATTTATTACTCATTGCAGCCAAGGGAACATACATCATAGGGGTAATGGGGCATCTCAGTAAAAAGGTGTTAGAATCTACAATGGAATTTGCACCTTGATGGAGTAATTTGGGGGGAGTCTAAGGAAGTGGGGAGACTTGGGTATCTCAGTAAACCTTATCCACATGGTGGGGAGAAACAGCAGTTATTCATTTTGATTCAAAGGGAGTAGGCTTGGTATTTTGTAGGTGACATGATGACCTTGTTTTTCTCTGTGGTTAGACAAAATTAAGAAATTATGAAGTGGCCTTTCTTGGTCCCTTTTTATCATGGTTTCAGGGTAACCTTGTCTGAGATTGAATTTCTGTGAGATTATTTAGGAGATTATTTACCCAGGAGAAAACATGGAATAGTTGTAAGTGCCAGGCCAGCTTCTAAATGTCAGAGGCAGTTTTTTGTTTTGTTTTGTTTTGTTTTGTTTTGTTTTTGTTTGTTTTTAATTTCTCCATTCCTCTTTTGGCCAAGGACAGATGAAGTCACAGTATAACACATTGACCTATGATATCCAGATTTTCAGCATTGCCAAGTTTTGTTAATTAGCATTAGAATAGTGCTCACTGAACATAATCTAGTGATCCAGGATCAATCTTTCATAGTGCTGTGGGATGAGTTGTTGACATATTGAAGAGACAACGGCTGTATAGTAGCATTTAAAGCTCTGCAGCAGATATATTGGTTAAATGTAGCATAGTCAATTTTAGAAACAAAATATTATTAGTCTTTGTAATAGATCTTGAAACTATGCCCTACCTTATAATAGCAAGGCAAGAAAACATATCCCAGAATCTAGCTGGGTCTGTTTTAGAGAGACAGGTGATTTTTTAAAGAAAGCTCTGTGATAGACTGTTCTGTTTGCTCTGTAGTATTTATATAGGTGGGATAATAGTATTTGCTCTAGTACAAATTCCCCATTGGCCGGCTAAGAGAAAATCAAAGACTTTATGATGGTCTTTGACAATTGTGGTTAATTGATTTAGACCAGAGAGTTGGGCTTTCAGAGCAGAAGTGGTGTCATTTCGTGTCTTCTGACAAGATTAGAGACAAGATCTGGGTCACTTTTTATAATTGTGTTATACCTACTGTGTGAACTGTAGCTATAGAGTACACATGAAGCGTGAATCTGTTATCCTTCTTGGAAGTTGTTTCAAATAACCTGTGCTTGCTGTATTTTGGAAGCTTCTGGTATTATTTTTAAGGAAATATGATTTCCTGGAGGGATGGTAGTTTTAAATATCTGAAAATCTCTAACAATGACTACAAAATAGACAGGGTACATTGTATGTGGTAGTCAGGTATACGGACCAATATCCTAGTGGAGCATGGATTGTGTGGGGAGTATAAGTATTATTTATTACAAGAGATGGGCGCCAATTTTGTGTCCCTTGAGTTAGACAAATCCTAGAGTGTGGTTGAACAGTTCCTGCAAGACAGGCTGAAGTGTCTCTGAAGAAAACAAACTGACTATTGCAGTCAGAATGGCCCCCATATTCGTGCTTATTCTTGATTGACTGGGTCTTGCTGATAGGATTGTGTCAATGTCAGCAGAAGCAATTTGTCAATGTGAGTTCAAGGTCTATTATCTGCAAGACTGAAAATTGGGATTGATGATATTGGGGAAATGTATATACTAGAAAGGCCCTATTAAAGGGAATTTGCCTTCTGAAGTATGTAAAGGATTAGTTACTAAATTTTGTCAGGCACGTCAGGTAAACAGTGATCGATCCAGCACCCGTTTGACTCAGTGGTTAACTATAGTCGAGGAAAAATGTGTAAGAGAGTTTTATTTTTCCTTAAGTGGTAGGAGACCATCAGGGGTCAGAAATAAGTGGATTAAAATAAGGAAAATCCTACTAGTGTTTTAGAGGGCACCAACATGGAACAATAGGCTGGAAAAGGTGTTGAAGAATCAAAAGTTAATCTTGTTCCACCTTGGGCAGAAGGTGTTCAATTTTGAGGTTTGCTACTCGTTCTAGTTATCCTGGGCAAAAGCTGTCCACCTCAGAAATCAGCATCTTCTAGAAGATTCCTGAGAATCCTCAGTTTACAATTTCCAGAAGGAATCGATGTCAAGTAGTCAAGGGAAAGGTATATGTCTTTTTTGAGCTGGGAAACATGAGAGTGAGGAGGAATATTTTGGGGTTTTACTCTTGTGTCAGTTGATAATAGTCCCTGATAAGGTCATCTTCATCAGGACCCAAGGGCAGTTTTTCAGTAGTGTCTTTTTTTGGAGACTAAATCTCCAAAATGTAGATTACACAGAGACTTTAGGTGGGTAGTTAGAAAAGGTAGTTCATACCTGTTGCTTAAAGAGCTGAGTGTATCGTATGACTCCCCTGTAGTAATTAATCATATTTCATTGTAATTTGGTAGAATTTAAGTTTGGGGGTGAAATATCTATATTTCTTGAGGTAATCTGTTATTAATTAATAGAAGTAGAATCTGTGGGGTTGTGAAGGGATTGACCTTATAAATATTAAAACTAATGGCAATGCTTTAGGACATGGGAGTTCAAGGATTTCTGAGAATTTTGCTAATTTTGGTTTTGAATTCCATTAGTTCTGCTTTCCCTCCCCCCCACTGAAGAGTATAAGTGATAAGAAGAGTAAAGTTTCTGTAAGAAAAGGCAAACCTTTATCGAGTTTCTTAATAAAAGCACCAGTAAGACAAGTGTCTCTGTCACAAAAGAAATAAATGGGAATTCCTTAGGGTAGAAAAACAAAATCAAGTATCTTTTATTTCTTCAGTAAGGGCTTATAGGCTTAAACCCATACTGAGAATAAGCATACAATAGCCATACATAAACACACAATAGTCATTCTGACCTACCAGAGGCTAGGCTGTTATTAAAAATATTTGTTTACTTTCTTAAAGTCTTTTTTAACGTTTAGCAGATGGATATCAAGTAGGTGGCTAGGTGACTTATAATTTCCTGGGATAATGGGCTATATTATTTGGATAAATCTTTCCTCTGAATGCAGAAGAAAAGATTTAAAAACATCTCCTTAAAAACATCAAAGAGATTAGAAAGTAGTAAGAAATTGCAAGGCTAAAATTGAAGGGGAAATGGGAAAAGGGGAAGAGAGGAAAGATGGCAACTGCTTTTTCCTTGAGGGCACTTTTGGTGCTGAGCAATTTGAACTTCTGTTTTGATAGCCTCATGGGCAAGCAAGACAATTCAAAACTCAGGGCTTGCATAAAGATGGAATGTGTAAGGAAAGACTTCCTCACTATAAGCGAGGAAGAATGAATGAATCCCAAGCAAACAAGCTCTCACGTATGCCGTTTCTTCCGATGATTACGGGAATCTGGAGCTATGGACTTGTTTGAGGTCATCCTAGATTACTGGTACCTCAGGTAACTGGAAGAAGCAAACACACTCATCTCTGGAACAAAGTATCTGTATCCTTGACTTTAAATTATTTCTACAAATTATTTTTAAAGTAAATGACCACTACACAATTAAAAATAGCAACTCATGCAAAGTCAAGACCTTGTGAGTGAAAACCACCAAAAAACCAAAGAGAAACAGAGCCACAAAGATTTCATAGGTTGGAATTATCAACACAAATTATGTATCAGTTATGATTACCATGTTTAAAAACATAAAACACATCTAGGGCTGGGAGCAGTGGCTCACGCTTGTAATCCCAACACTTTGGGAGGCCGAGGTGGGCAGATCACGAGGTCAGGAGATCGAGACCATCCTGGCCAACATGGTAAAACCCCATCTGTACTAAACATACAAAATTTAGCTGGGCATGGTGGCACGTGCCTGTAGTCCTAGCTACTCGGGAGGCTGAGGCAGGAGAATTGCTTGAACCTGGGAGGTGAAGGTTGCAGTGAGCCGAGATCGCCACTGCACTCCAGCCTAGTGATAGAGCAAGACTCTGTCCCCCACCCCCAAAAAAAAGAAAGAAAAAAAAAACACATCTAAAATACCTGTGACTAGAATAGAAAAGTAAAAATAAAAAGTGACAGCAGATTTGAATGAGAAACATAATTTTAGAAATAAGATAAATGTAACAAGCAAAATTATAATCCCCGTAGAAATAATCCACAATACAACTTGGAGGAAAATAAAAGGAAAATCAATTCTAATGAGAGATTAAAGATATATGTTTCATATTTTTCTTGAGTTTCAGAAGGAGATATAAGAGAATGAGCTCCACACCTAGACATATCATAAACGTCTCTTCAGAAAATCAAAGAAAAAGAGAAAAAGGATAATCTTCAAAGGGCCAATATTTAGAGAGTCATAGCTAACTTCCCAACATCAACAATGAAAATCAAAAAAATGTTATCTTGTATATATTTTTGAATGAAGTCATTTTAAACAAATGAAAGAGTTTTTCTATAAGTGGACCCTCATTAAAAAATTACAGGCTGGGCACAGTGGCTCACACCTGTAATTCCAACACTTTGGCAGACTGAGGTGGGAGGATCCCTTGAGCTCAAGAGACCAGCCTGAGTAACATAGTGAGAACCGTCTCTATTAAAAAGAAAAGTAACAGATGGTTTATTTCAATCAGGATAAAACTGATTCTACATGGAAGAGTTGAGATGTAATAATAAACAAAGAATTAAAAAGCAAACTAAAATAATTGTGGAATGTAATAATAATAATAGTAATGAATTATAATACACCCCATAATAATATATAAGTTGGAAGGGGATAAGTTGAATTGAAAAGTTTTCTTCAAGGTCCTTATATTTTGCAGAAAATAAAGGTGCTAACTGTAGACATTGATACGTTAATACACAAGTTGTAACTTTGGGTAATAATTAAACGAATAAAAGAACAACGTATAATTTCTAAATTACCAGAGAAAAACAACAGAATGATTAAAAAATTGATTTATTCAAAAGAAGTCAAGAAAGAAAAGGATAAAAATAGGTAAGATAAAATGCATTGGTTACATATTGCTACATAACGAATTATCCCCAATCTAGCAGCTGAAAACTACAGGCTGGATACGAAAGTGGAAATATCTAGAATTTGTTTACAAAATAGATATGTGAATGAACATGAATAAGTACTAATACATTAGTTTTAGTTAAAATGAAGATGTGTGTGCTTGTGAAAGACTGTATTATTCTCCATTCCCCTAATTAGCATATGTCATGAGCTGTCAATAAATATCCTCAAAACTAAGATTCTCATGACTGCATGACTGCATTGTAAAGTATGTTGCATCAAATGAACATAATTTATATAATTGTTCTTTTATTATTGAACATACAGATATTTATCTGCTCTTCACAATAGTGAACATAAACATTCATGAACATGAAATTTTGGTGAATTTTTAGCATATATTTCATGTTGGTTGTGAGCAACAGAGAACCAAAATAACAACAGTGGCATAATGACAGGTGCTTTTTATTTCTTTGTAACACGAAATTCTACATTTAAACATCCCATAGAACCATGAGTGGCACTGCATCTCCTTGGTCATCTGGGACCCAAGCCACTTCCAGTTTTCTCATCTAACACTAATGGAGTGAGGATCTCATCTTTGCGATCCAAGATGTAGCCTCACCATCCATTTACATTCCAAGTGGCACAAAACAGGAGAAAAGACTTACTGCAGCTGCCTTTTAATGACATTTCTCGGGAGCTTATACATAATACTTTCAGTTATATCCCATTGGCTAGAATTTAGTCAGTTTCTGTCTAACTGTAAGGATGGCTGGGATATGTAATGTTTATTCTGGGCAGCCACATGCCCAGCTAAAATTCAGAATTTAATTACCTAAAAATTAAAGAGACAATGGATATTAGGGGAAAATTAGCAAGTTCAGCTATGGGTTCTCAGCAGTGGAATTCCTGAGCCAAGCTATAATTTTGCTGTTTGAAGCCCTTGTTATATATGAGGACACACTGGTGCCAGAACGTCTCTACTGCTTAATCCTCCTTAAGCTGTGCATGAGAGAGTCTGCACACTTGTCACGTCCTTGCCAACACCCAATACTATCATCCAAAATAAGTCTCTGCCAGTTTGATAGGAGGGAAAAATATCCTGTTTATATTTGCATTACTTTGACAATAAAAAGAGCTAAACTTTTCCATGTATTTGCTGGTCATTCATATTTCTTTTTGTGAATATCCTATGTCCTTTGTCTACCATTAAATTAATATTTAGCTAGCTATAGTATTATATGGTTTGAGTGTGTCAGGAGGAAATTTTTCTTTGCAGTAATTAGGATTTTATAAAATCCTACTTTTATAGGAAACCTTTTTATGGAATAAACAACTGTTGAAAAGTAACTAGCAAATTTTTATGTAGTTTTCTTATGACTGAGAAAACTCAGACTCAAATATGGCTTTGTCTGATGTCACAGGCAAACCAGGAAGACGGGAAAATAACATCAAGTACAATCAACTATGAGTTTTCTTAATTCTTTGGAAAGAGTTAAATCACTGACATTTTAGCCCTTTCAAAAACAGGCTCTTCTCTCAGTCGGGTTGATCATTTGATGGTTGTGGTTCAGTTCAGTGTATGAGAAAAGTCATCCTGTGGGTAGGGACAGGCACTTGAATTGCCTTCCCAGTGGTGACAAAAGGAAATGCCATCATCCAAATGAGACTGCAAAAATGCTAGTGATTATTGCTAGCTCCTGCATTCAGTTTCCCTGTCATCCAGATTATCCTAATGAAATTTTCAAGTTGAACCTGGTATAAACATACTTTTAAAATACACATTTTTATTGGATAGTCAAGCTGATTGCACTGTTTTCATAAACAGAGTTTGTTTATGCTTTACTTCGGGCGATCTGAGCATGCCCGCCTTTACTGCCTCAGCACAGGTAGCCTTGGCAGATGCTGTCCCCTTCCAAGTGGCAATAGCGAGGATGTGGAGCTCACCACCATATGTGGGTCATGTTGGTGGTTCTTATGCAGGATCCCTTGCAGAGTGGTTGAGGATAAAAATTCCCACCTATTTCCTGCAGCCTTGGACAGCAATCATCACTCCATACAAAAGTTGACATGTATGTTGAGTGTATATGTAATCTAAAAAAAGTTTCTGTAAGTGAGTAAATTATCTTAACAAGTGGACCTATAACACACAGTTCACCCTACTTGAGCTGGGTTTATGGATCCCTGCTCGCCCGCACCACCATGATACCATTTCATAAGGGAATCCTAAAATGCCCCCCGTTAGTAGCTGTTATCCATATCTGCAGATACTTTGTTAGTAATAGCTCCTTAATGGGTAGAAATGGTAGGGTAAGTCTTAGCTGTTGATTTGATAGTGAAATTAATCCTTGAGTTAGCTATTTTCAAAGAAATGAGGAAAAGCCCTTGTTTTTAAGGAATAACATTTCCTGTTTCAAATTTGCCTTTCAATTCTCCTTCCTGCTATTTGAGTGGATGATAAATCATTTATAATTAATGTCCTTAGGATTTTTCCATGTGGATAAATACTGGTGATTGGCAATTTGGGCCTCTGCATACATGCTCCTGTTAAAATGAGTAAGAGATAAAACTACTACTCAATTAAGTTTTCCTTGTCTAAAAAAACACAAACAAACAAACCAAACCACACACATGAGAAAACAACCACAAAAATCCAGAGACACATTCTGGGTAAAATTTGTTTTAATATTTCAACTTTTCAGAGGGGAACAAGTATTTGGTTATCCTACTAGTTCAGGTTTATATAACTTTAATATAACCTTATCTAGTCTATTGACTCTGAAAGTTGGAAAATTGAAGAACTTCTCTCTCTGTCACTTTTAAAGAGTGAAGCCATGTCCCAGTTGATCTATTGATCAGGATTTGCCAAACATGTAAGTCTCTGATTGCTACTGACTTTTCTTGCCATCCTGGCAAAATTGTTTAATTGTGCAGTTTCTTAGATGTGCCATTTTATAAGAGAGAGGTAACTGCAAACTTAAAAGAGTTGCATTGTATAAATGAATACAATTAAACAATGTTAAATGCACTGGCTTATTATTATTATTTTTTTATAGTCTCAGGATACCTCCAAGTAGTTCAAAGGTCTCTGGCCACTCATAACCAACAAATGTCCAAAAGTAGTGAAAGATACCTCAGATATCATTGTGGAGAGGCTGAAATATCCAGAAGGCTTTGCAAAGCTCACAGTCAATTTCAAGTAAGTAGACTGGTTTCTGTGTGAGAGGGTCTATGCCAAAATGGTCTAGGTTTACTTGAGTTTTACAGCATTAACATCCTTCCCTTAAGTAGGTCTTGTGTCTACTTACCTGGGAAGGAAGGAAGATTTTGAACAGTTTGATTCTTTTTGGATATTGTGTATGTTACATTTTTTATATCATATAGGAAAGGGACTAATATCACTGCAGATGTTTTAAAATATGATGGGAGTGGATATTAAAGGAAAAAACTGTGGGAACAACATCTTAACAACAGTGAGATGGAGGCTCGCAGGGAAAAAAAAAAGGATGAGTGTCACCACTGGGATTTTTAGGCAGCCAAGGGGCACCACAAAAGCATTTATTCCTGGAGAAGGAGGGTTAACCAAAGAGAAGGGACCCTGAAAAGAAAGCGTGCCATTTCCACAAACCAAATCATGTTGATGTTGTCCACAGGGTTTGGACTACTAAGACACGATGTGACACTGGAGCCCTTCAAGCACTGAACGAAAGTAGATTTAGATTTAGATTCCCCCTCATGCTGTTGAATAAGGAAGTTTATGTTGTTCTAATATCTAGACTAGAAATTTCCATGTTAATGGTGGAAGCTCTTTTTTCCAAAGTAGGAGAGTTCCTTGCAACTGAATTTGGCAAAATAAGATAACCTAAAATGACAGATAAGAAATGATGGTGTTTGTCTTTACCTTGAAGAATGGAAGAAAATATGCTTTGGGAGACAGGCATCCAAAGGCATTACACAGTTTTACTGTAGTGGTGCTCAGGTTAGAGCAAAGAAAGGAGGTGGTAATAGCCTCAGGATTAACCATATATAAAGCCAAATATCAATGAAGGATGAAGTGAAGCTCTGGAACTGACAGAAGACCTGCTGGCAGGAATCACAATCTTGCCTGAATGTCTCATAATAGCCATGCTTACCTTTCTTAGCTCTCAGATATTATAATAATTAAATTCTGATGATGATAAAATTTACCAGCAGGGGGTGCCATCTCCTCAAATTTCCTTTCTTGGACAATAAAGGTCATTCTTAAAGGTTTTAATGTCTTTGCAGACAAGCCAAGGCTAATTGTAAGTTCATCAAATAATTGAGGTCTCTCAGTCATGGCATTGTCTAGATTGGGTATTATCCAGATGAGATGGGAGCATAACTGTCATCTTCACCTACATTAGGCAACTGGCTTCTAAACATTCACCTTTGGCCACAAGGTGACAGGAGGAGACTGTGTGAATGGGTTAAACACCTTTTGTGAGGCTGAGGCAGGTGCATTACCTGAGGTCAGGAGTTCGAGACCAGTCTGGGCAACACAGTGAAACCCCATCTCTCCTAAAATACAAAAAAATTAGCCAGGAATGGTGGCAGGTGCCTGTAATCCCAGCTACTCGGGAGGCTGAGGCAGGGGAATTGCTTGAACTAGGGAGGTTGAGGTTGCAGTGAGCCAAGATCGCGCCACTGCACTCCAGCCTGGGCAACAGAGTGAGACTTCGTCTAAAACAACAACAACAACAATGAAACCACTTTTCATGGGAAACTGTCTCAACCTACACTGTCTGCCAATGCAAAGTCAAGGCATGTGTTGCCTTCAGGTCAACATCATTTAGATTTTTGTTTATAGATTTTAAATGCTATTGGGGAAGAAGGTCTGCAAACTTTCACTCACAAATCACGTTTTACATTTAGACTGCAGAATTAGGTTGAGGCATGTTATTACATATTTTAATATTAAGTTAACTTTTCCTCCGATAATTTTTTCAAGCTTTTCAGTTTGCTTCACGTTCCCGTTCATGTTCTTCAAGATCTCAGCTGTCCCCCGTAGGGATCTCCTGGGACACTAAGCCAGTTTGCTCCAGGCTAGTCCAGGCAGCAGTCCCTGCGTGAGCTGAGACT
Source organism: Homo sapiens (assembly GCF_000001405.40). Taxonomy (NCBI): domain Eukaryota; kingdom Metazoa; phylum Chordata; class Mammalia; order Primates; family Hominidae; genus Homo; species Homo sapiens. Next base: position 224,283,615 of record NC_000002.12, on the reverse strand, counting down.
TGCAGGGAAGATTCCATTTGCTGTGGTCTTGAGGCTTGCGTGATGTGACTGCTCACACTAGGGGCATGGCTGCCATGACCCCATTTGCTCATGACCCTGCTGGCTGAGCAGATTCTCCTCCCCAAAGAGCTGTGGGTGGTCGGCTTCAACCCCCGCAGCAGGGGTGGAACAGGAGAGACCAGAACTCTTGGGGATTCCTGAACCCAAGCTCCCAAATTAGAGCCACTTGCCACTAGTCCTTGCCCTGCTAAGCTCTGGACCTGGAATCTAACTTGAGCTTGGTTTACCCTTCAAAGACCTCAAGGTTCAAAAGCAGTGGATTAGGGTTCAGAAGAGCCAGGCTATGCTTGCAGGAGTTAAACAAGATGCTGCCCAGGCCTCACTCATGCCAAAGCGCTTTGCTTTTCTAAATTCTACTAGGACTCTAAACGAAACCGTCTTGTCTTTTCTCCTCGTTTATTATTTTCCTCTAATACCATTTATGCTCTCTCCTTTTTCTTTCTGTTCTGCCAGCTTTTCCTTTGTTCTGGCTGGAATAAAATATTCCAGAGACCCTTGAGGTACTAAGGCAGCAATTCTCAGCCCTAGATAGGGATTGGACTGTGGGATGCTTTTTAAAAATACAGAGCTCTATACCACTCCTCCCACCACAGACCTACTGGATTAGACATCATTCCAGAAAGCTCACCAAGACATTCGAGGGCACAGCTGAGGTTAAGAATTACAGAAAGGTAGGGATAGATTCAAGAGAAATGTAGTCCCTGGAAAAGGAAGGCTTAAATATTAAGTAACCATAGTAAAGGAAAAAGTAATTCCGCCAAGGAAAAAAAAAAGCTGGTAACAGGATGAATTCAAGCTTTCCTCTCCACCGATAAAAACTGGCATAGATATATCTTTCTCTTTTATATTCTTACTCTTTGATGTTTTTCTTCCTTTTCCCCCTTTTCATTCTCCTCCTGGATGGAGTAAGGAAGGGAATCAATGTCAGGTTGAAGAAGACTGGGCTGGGTTGAGATGGGCTGGAGAACTCCGTTGAAATGGAAGGCTGAGCGTTTGCAGGCATAATGACAAATTCTGACATCCCAGCTTGGGCATTGGCAACCCAGGCTGGTAGCAGAGGGGAGATTTTCAGGGGCACAACATCTATTCCCAGGGCATGGGCAATACAGCGAAGTAAAAGTTCTCAGCAACTCTCATTTCTTCTGACATTCCAAAATCCTGAGCTTTTAAAACTCTACCTTTGCCCAATGTCCCCTCTCTCCAATACTACCTCTTCCTTCTTCTACTTCCCAAAGGACAACTCACTGGGATCTCATTACTGCCAAGACATAAGAATCTTGACCTGACAGTTGGTCATTAGTTGTCTTTGACGTCTAGGAGGTAAGATGTACCATGGTGTTGGCAGCATCGGTGTTCCCAAACTTTATTATCTTACTAGATGTGAATACATTAAACTAGCTTAAAAGGTGGATTACATACATTTTATTGGTTAAAGTAATCACAATATATGCTTATTAATAAATGTTTCATAGAGCTGGATATTTTAAGAGAAAATTCATAATAATCAGTAAATTCATAGAATCCTGGAAGCTACTCAGAGAATCCCCTGGCTATGCCTCTGTTTTTATAGATGATGCCAGAAAACGGAGAGTTTGGGTGATTTTGCCCAAAATCACAGACCCAGGAACTAACTGTGGTCTCTGGTTTTCAATTCAATAATATTTTTAATCAAAATCATCTTATCATAGGCATTGAATTATACCAAAGTTAATTCTCAATTAATTGCATTTTTTGTGGAACTTCACTATTTAAGTGGACACTGATTAACCATTATTATTCTCGATATTAAGCAGAATGACTTGTTGGAAAAGCACGCTACTTGGAGATGCCTTTTTTTTTTTTTTATACACAGAACTCGCCAATACCCAGTTTCATTTTCCTTCCTTCTCTTTTTGATCCATTTGTTCATCCATTTACCCATCCATCCATCAACCATCCACCCAACCCATCTATCTACATCTATCTATCTATCTATCTATCTATCTATCTATCTATCTATCTATCTATCTATCTATTTATCTATCCATCTATCTATCCATCTATCCATCCATTCACCCTAGACACCATGCTAGGCACTGGAGATACAACAGGAAGAAAAAAATGAACAAAGTCTCTGGCTTTCATGAAATTGATAGACATGTAAATGGACACAAATAAGATATCAACAAAAAGAATTAAAATTACAAGTACAACCTAAGGTAAACCTTCTAAGAAAAGAATGAATAAGATTCTATAAAAATCTAGGTAGGGCATGGCGGCTCACCCCTGTAATCCCAGCATTTTGGGAGGGCGAGGCAGGAGGATTGCTTGAGCCCAGGAGTTTGAGACCAGCCTGGGCAACATAGTGAGACCTCACCTCTACCAAAAAAAAAAAAAAATTAGCCAGGTGTGGTGGCGCATGCCTGTAGTCCCAGCTACTCAGGAGGCTGAGGCAGGAGGATCACTTGAGCCCAGGAGGTGGAGGCTGCAGTGATCCATGATTGTGCCACTGCACTCCTGCCTGGATGATAGAGTGAGACCGTGTCTCAAAAAATATATATATATATTATAAATTTTGAACAAAGGAAAGAAATTATCCTAGCTTGAAGGCAGGATAGTAGACTTCCTCAAGGATGTGACCCTTGACCCGCCTTCTAATGTATGGGATCTATATAAAGGTGAAGGGAGGTAGGCAGAGATTATTACAGAGAGAGCAGCGAGGACAAAAGCCCTGTAATTCAAAGAACTGAATGGAAGCCAGTGGCTGGAGAGCAGAGAGCAAGAGGCAGCGTTTCCGTTGGAGGCAGGACTCTGCCGAACCTTGCTGAATATGAGATGGGAAGTGGCTGGCTGATTTTAAGCGGGGAGGTTAGGGGTGTCATAATTATATTTTCATTTTAAAAAGACAATTGGTCTGGGCACAGTGGCTCACTTTGGGAGGCCAAGGAGGAAGGAGGGTGGATCACTTGAGGTCAGGAGGTCAAGACCAGCCTAGCCAACATGGTGAAATCCCATCTCTACTAAAAATACAAAAAATTAGCCAGGCATGGTGGCAGGCTCCTGTAATCCCAGCTATTTAAAAGGCTGAGGCAGGAGAATTGCTTGAACCCAGGAGGTGTAGGTTGCAGTGAGCTGAGATTGCGCCACTGCACTCCAGCCTGGGTGACAGAGCAAGACTCTGTCAAAAAAAAAAAAAAGGAAAAAGAAAAGAAAAGATGATTGGCTGTTGGGCTGAGATGGACTGGAGAGGAGTTGGTATGGAGAAAGACAAATGAAGGGACAGACTTTCATAGAAATTATGGTGACTTGGACTAGGATACTGCTCTGGAGATGGCAAGAGATTTTAGAAAGATTTAGGGGATAAATATCAGTGATGAATTGGACATACAGTATGAGAAATAAGTAGATGTCAAGAATAATTCCCGAAATTTTGGCTTATATAACTAGAATGAATTTGTCCAAATTTTGACAAAAAGTACAATTCAATTACATTTAATCAATCTTTACTTTTCCTAAGCACTACAGGGGTTACAAAGATGAGTGAGACATGACCCAAGTCTAGTAGGGTCACCATACCCTCAAAAACAGGGCAACATTCAGAACACCATAGTAAGTAGTCCCTTTACATGGACACATTCTAGAAATGAAGCAGCTAATAGAAAAATTCCTATTTTAGAGTTATAAATCAAAAGTGGGTAGAGACAGAGTTGTTTAAGCTTTAGGATATATATAAGACACTTGCATTTGTAATCAAATTCCTACACTGGATGAGCAAATGTTCCAAGCAAAATCAGACTAAATATAAATGCCTAAAGCAAACTTGCCTTATGGGATGCACTGTTCAGCGTTAAGAAAGTTTGGGTTCACGTAGATGTACAGAATTGCTGAAGTCCCTTTTTGTACTTTTGGGAGGGCAAAATTTTATGCCCAGTAAATAAAATTTTGCCCAATTTCAACTTGGCGGGGGGAGTTGGTGAAATCACAGATTCGTTCTCACAATGGACTAAGGTTGCAGATGTCCCTGTATCTCAGGTGGATGCCAAAGCCACCCGTTTGTCCACTGAGACTCAACTCCTTTTCTGCACCTTTTATACACCTTTGGTTGAGTCCAAAGGAAATCAATTTCTGTCTGCTTTATTAGATTTCTGAACTCTGCCTATGCTGCCTAATGAAAAAGGCCCACCTTTTAGTAAGTCTGCAGGCTCAAGGCTTTCCAATTGAATAGCTTACCTACCTACCACCACGGAGCAATATTTAATTCCTTAAATTGCTTATGCAAAATGAAAGACTAGCTTTTTCTTGCCCAAGGCCTTGATATCATAGGCACTATATAGTGACAATGATAACAGGGCACTTAATTCCTTTGGTCTGAATTTTATCACATGTAAAATAAAGGGGTATTATCTAATATCACTACCTCCAAATTCTGGGATTCTCTCTGCTTTCCACCTACTGCTCCAAATTCTGTCTCCAGCATGTACCTCCCTGAATTATTTTTAAAAATGTTTTTATATCAACCTCTAACAATTTATGTTAAAATATGTTTTCATAAATCATGGAGTAGCTAGAGTGTTAGAGTGCTATGAGTACATAAATAACACTCTGTCAAAAAAATGAACATAAGTTCATTGGCTTACTGTACCCAAAAATTGATAAATATATTCACATGTGATATGTTTTGATATACAGATTCCTGGGTCTCCATAAACCTACTGACTCAGAATCTCCAGGGAAACAGGAGTAGAAACTGCATTCTTTCTCTGGTTACATAGACAAAATATTCATTATATGAGACTATGTGTCTTCCTAGTATAAGTTGGTATAAAGCTTGAAAATTTCAGTAACGTTTGTCTCCACACTGTGTCATCATTTCTGCCTCTGGGTTTGTACACATGTTGCTCCCTGTTCTGGAATGTTCTTTCCCTTCGTCTTAGCAAAATTCTATCCATCAGTCAGAACTTTGATCAAGTCCTACCTCCTGACTAAATAATAGCTTGTAACTACATGCCAGACACTGTGCTAAGCATCACTCAGACAAGCCTCGTGATAGCCCACAAGGGAGGTGCTGTTCTTATCCCCATTATACAGCCAAGGGCACAAAGGCTTAGAGAAACCCAAGGTCAGGTTGCTAGCCTAACCATCTCTCCATGAGTAGAGACTGTGGGGTCTGACCATGCTCTGCCTCACCAAGGACCTCTGTCACCCTCTGCATAGACCACCTTCCTTGCTCACTGCACAGTACAGCACCCAAGCATCTCTCTTGTCTCTTAACTCCCCCAGAACATGCAGTCTGAGCCCACATGAGCACCTATTTGCAGGCTTCGCTATTCTTTCCTTGCATCTTCTGTCTTCCGAACTAGACCACAAATCCAGCAAAGGCAAGGGCAACATGGTAGGCTTGACCAATATTTCTCAATTGATTAAACATGAACTGTGAAAATGTGCAAGATTGTTATCATGTTTTAACCACAGAAGAGTATCAAGTAGCAAGAGAAAATATCAAGTGCAGCGTCAATCTTTGTTTTAGAAATACATTTTTTTTCTCTACATAAGTTTAGGAGTTGAGAGGAGATTGAATGATAAAAATCACAATGGAAAGAAATCCATTTCCCAATGCCCATATTTAGCCTCTTGGAGACCTTGCCCGCACCTCTAGGACCACTCTATTGTATGGATTGTGCTGACCCAGAAAATATGAGAATTGTGGTCTTGTAAAATCTTTTTTGGCTTAAATCAATTCCATATGAGCAGAGCAATATAAGCTCCCTTGTAGATGTTACACCCTGCAATGCATGCCCCTAATCTCTTAATAGACAATTGGGTAGAAGAATTTGTTAATGGAGTTACAATTTTGAGTTGGGTCACTTTATGAAATGAATGAATTAAAATGTGCTTTCCTTTGTCTTAGGGAAAATAATTTTTCATATTGATTGGCACTTTCCATATTTGACTTAAGACTAATGTTGGCTTCAACATTAGTAACTAAAGTTAAGTTATATTTAGAGAAACATTTTTAGATAACTTCTGACCTAATGTGAATTCTATTTGAGGGCCTTTAAATTCTCCTAAGTGGAAATTAAAGATATTTGCCGGAGTAAATGTGTGCAATGCGTTACTGAGAGACTTCTGTTAAAGGTAAAATGTAATCACCTGTACTGTTCTCTTTTGTCTTCTCCTGCTTTTAAAATATTTTTCTCTAATTCGCCTCAGTACACACAAAGATTCAAAAAAGAAAAACTTGTAATGTATATTAGCAGTTTTATTTCCCTAAGCTTTTAAGCATCTAAAATCATTCAGGAAGCTTTTTGTTCACCTTGTGTATTTTTGAGTATTTCTCAAGTTGGGAAAGCTAGGATACTAAAATAGATTATTTTTATCGTATTTTAAAAAATTGACAACTAACAGTTCCTTTGAATGTTTATAATAACTTAGGTTAACAAAGTAGTTTTTCTCCCAAGGGTAAAAATAGATTGTGAGAGATTTGAACATTAATTTAAGTGTAAAGAGTTATAATTAGTGGCAGTAAACATGTAGAAAGATAAACATCTAAATTTCTTAAATGTCTATAGAGCTTTTATTTTGGCTTTAGAGGTATTAATAAGTGGCAAATTATTCAAGATGTTACTCCAAATATAATTTAGAAAACTTTTCTTGTCTCTTAATCATGGAACTAATATATTTAGATAGATTCCATTAATTTTTCAAAACATTGTTCAGAAATTAAGTTTTATTTCTTAAAAGCCCTGTCACCATACTCTGGAATTTTCAGCCTGCTGTCACTGTCTATTACCAAAGCATTTCTTTTTGAGGCCCTACAATAACAATTTAAACTCAAGGACTGGCTCCACTTTTTATTTGCTTCTGTCTTGCTTTATTAGTAGTAATTGTCTTTATTCTTTGTGTGCCTGTTATACGCAGGGTATGGCTCATGATGGAGGCTTTAAAACATTTTGAAATGATGAATTTCACAGAGAATTATAGTCATGGAGAAGGTCTTAGTCTGTTTTTGCTGCCTTAACAAAATAACTGAGGTAGCTTACAAACAATAGAAACTTGTTTCTCACAGTTCTGGAGGCTGGGAAGTCCAAGATCCAGGTGACAGTGGACTTGGGTGTCTGGTGAGGGCTTCCTCTCTGCTTCCACAATGGCTCCTTGTTGCTGCATCCTCACATGGCAGAAGGGATGGAGAAGGGACAACCTCACTCCCTCAAGCCCTTTTGGTAAGAGTATTAATCTCATTCATGAGGGTGAACCCTCATGGCTTAATTACCTCCCAAAGGTAATCCCATCACCTTGAGGGTTAGCTTCCAACATATGAATTTTGGAAGGATGCATACATTCAAACCATAGCAGAGGGGCCCCCAGTTTTAATTCCACATATATTTAATTTGGTATTGTAGGTGTTAAAAAATTATCTACACGTGGACACATCGGGGGATCAACACACACTGGGGCCTGTTGTGGGGATGTGGGGGGAGGGGGAGCATCAGGAAGAATAGCTAATAGATGCTGGGCTTAATACCTAGGTGATGAGTTGATCTGTGCAGCAAACCACCATGGCACATGTTTACCTGTGGAGCAAACCTGCAGATCCTGCACATGTACCCTGGAATTTAAAACAAAAGTTGAAGAAGAAAAAAGAAAATGAAAAAAGTATTATCTATGTGTCAGTCAGCCTAGAGTGTGTACTTGAGTAATCATCCTAGCAGGTGACATACTTATTCTTATAATATTGTCATTATTCAAAACATTTACTTTCCTTAGATCTTATTTGGAACTGCCCTAGAGTCAGTTTGCACACTGGAGAACAAAGCTCACCGTTTCACGTTTTGGATCAAAGTGGAATTCTACGGCTCAGTTGCCCACTTTAACTCATCTGACTTGGAGCTAAGTGACTTTTCTTTGTTTTAAAAAAATCATACAAAGGAAAAATTTTATCACTATTAAGGGCAGTGAGCAATGTCTCTAATGGCAATTCAAAAAAGCAGTTTCCAAAAATAACTTGTATATGGCTGAGGCACACTTCTGGGATGAGGGAGCCATCTCTCAAGGATGCTTCTTTGAAAAGACCATACCCACTTGTTATGTGTGCTTTGAAACTAGACAGATTATGTTATATCATACCTCATTCATTTAATTTATCAATCCAGATACACTTCTGTTAGGAGCTTTGGGAGTGTGGTTTGATTTTTTAAAGCATCACACTGTGCCCATGTTCTACATTCCGCAATGCGAAACATGGACTTCAGCTTCTATCTTTCTTTAAGAATTAAGTTCTGTAGATAGGTTACAATGCTACAAGTGGAGAATAAGCAATATAAAGGGCTTAGTGAAATATGAACTTGGGAAAGTGAGCTGTTAGTGTCTGAATGATATTTTAATATGTCAAAATTAAGTTTTGACAAATCAGACTGGAGACATGTCATAGAATTTCATTAGTGCAAGGGCTTTTAGAGATCCTCTAGTTACAATCCCATCATCTTTTGGATTTAAAATATTGATGGCTCAAGCTTACATGACTAAGACTAGAGAAGTAATTTTCAGCCCTCAGAACTAATGCATCAACCTTTGAGCAGAATACCATCCTCCCATCCAAACTGACCCCGTACTGTTAGTTCCCCCATGGTACCCATCGCTGAAATACTTTTTGAAATTGTGCATTCATGAAGACATCTACATTTCTTTAGCTATTTTTTAATATATGATTTTTTATTCTATAAAGAAATTAATATATCTCATATTTGATTAATCTATAGGTGCATTGATTTCTATGTAATGTGTGTATTTGACTTTGCATTTTTTGTATGGCCTGTTTTATTAGTGAGCTAAAAATTGCCCTTTTAAAAATATGGAGTAAGGATTTTGTCCACAGGTTTTGTATGTATGCAAGAATTTTGCTTTTTCAATGTCATCTGTTTAAACTAGATGAACTTCTTTTCATCCTTTAAGTCTCATAAGTGTCAGTTTCTTGGAGAAGTCTTCCCTCATTTTTCAAACCTAGTGAGATGCACCTGTGCTTAAACCTTGGCATTGGAAACCTATACTCCTTCCTTGTAACTCTCAACACATTTGTAGTTAATTGTTCATGGCAGTCTTCCTTGGTAGACTCTGGACTCCATAAAGGCAGGGACCCCAACTGTTGCGGACCCCCATATCTCTCCATCATGTAGCATGCACATAGCAAGCATTTCTTCTCGTCAGGACTCTGGGTTACAAGGTTACAACTCACACCAACTTATGCAGGAAGAAGGAACCAGTGGCTCATGGAGCTAAAACGTCTGGAGATAAAAGTGGGTTGTTTCATCACAGCTGTGTTCCTGGACTTAAGTTTTGTCCTTAGGATGATTTTTCCTCTTGTTGCTCTTACTCTTAGATATATTCTGTCTTTGTAGTGGCCAAGATGACTCTGGTTGTTCCAGGCTTACCTGATCCTTGGTACCCCATGTCTCACAGGGGTATCGATTCAGCAAATATTCCAACGAGAGTTTTCATTGTTCTGCTTGGGTTGTGGTCTCATCCATAAGCCCCCCATGGCTGAAGAGCCTGGTGTTCTGACTACCTTAGTCAGGATTGGGAGACATTCCAAAAACTTGGAGCAGAGGTCAATGCCACCTGACCCATACAGATTGACAATGATTTCTAAAGGGAGAAAAGGAATTCTCTTATCAGAACAGGGGGAATGAATACTGGGCAAGCAGAAACATTAATAACAATATTGATGACTTATATTTATGCAGTGATCTATGTGGATTTACTATTTGTTTTTAGACAGTGTCTTGCTTTGTCACCCACGCTGGAGTGTAGTGGCGTAATCATAGCTCATTGCTGCCTTGAGTTCCTGGACTTAAGCAGTCCTCCCGTCTCAGCCTTCCAAGTGTCTGAGGCTACAGGCATGCACCACCATGCCTGGCTAATTTTTGTATTTTTTGTAGAGATGGGGTCTCACTATGTTGCTCAGGCTAGTCTTATACTCCTGGTGTCAAGCAATCCTCCCACCTTGGCCTTCCAAAGTGCTGGGATTAGAGGTGTGAGCCACTGCACCCGGCTTTTACTCATTTAAGATGTGCACTAAAATGCTCAGAAAACTGTTGTTGAGGGAATGAAGGAATAATACAAAGTTTTATGACTAAGGCTGGCCTATATTTCATACCTATGGTATATTGGTAATATTATGATTATATGATTATTACTATTACTATTTATTGACTGCCAGAAACTTTGCAACTGGATCCCTGTACAGTGATAAGTTAAGAGATTTTTCTATCGTTTATTACAAAGCAATCTGAAAGGCCAACATCTCTCTATTGTTTCTCATCCCATATGTATTTGAAGAACTTTGTACTTGTCTTTGTTTGTGGCTTGCAATTTGCATCTAATTTCTGGCGTTTATTTTTTTCATTTTAGCACAATTACCTGCTATCTCATTGTGTTCTCTTGGGTAAGCTGACCAAGTTTTTTCTTATAATTTTAATTTGTATTTAGAATGTTTACATAATTAATTTGGCTTCTTCCCACTCCTTCTTCACTTTTTCATATAGGATAGCTTCCCATCTCCCACCTCTAACTCTTGGGATCTTTTTATTGTTCTTTTGAGAAACACTGAGCTTCACTAGATGAGTTTTCTGTTAAAAGTCTAGTCCAAAGAGATTTTGCTATTTTACTAAGCCTATTAATTTTGGCATTTGCTTTGTTATTAATTTTTTTCTAACTTCATTTCCCCCATAGTTTTCTTAAGTATTCTAAATTCCACACTAAGACCTTCCTGTTTTTCCACTGAGTTTTAACCTTCTTTGAGGAAATGTAGCAAAGTTCTTAAAATGCATTCTTGAAATCCCTGAGACTGCGAAAACTTCTGCATGAGCATTCCCAGACACAATTTCCAGGGGAAAGGATGATATCTCTCATCAGAGTTCAAGTTTATGAAGCATGAATCTTTCAGAGCTGAGGTCCTCTCACCGCAATCCCGCTGGTAATTGATGAACTGATCTTCAGCTTCTCGCATAAAGGGTGAGGGCCAGGGTTTTTGTCATGATTGTGTCTTGGACTTTGGCCCTGTTCTCTATATAGGGAGGGTTTCAAAAGAAGAGGGCTCAGACTGTCAACAAACTTATCTTCTGTCCTGGGTCAGTGACTTCAGAGGGTCAACTTCTCAGTATGACACGGTCTTTGAAGACTTCTGTGACCCTGCTACTTTGTGGCACCCTCTCCAGATGCAGCACTGCCCACCCCCTGCCCAGCCGTGATTTATCTGCAAAGGTAGAACCCTCTCCTTTTCCACACATGCCTATTTAGGAGATTAGTGACTCATCATGTATGTTGTCTTTCTCTTTCCTGTATTCCTGGAGAGTTCTGGGTCTCCCTTTACTTCTTAGACTTGAATACATGTGTATGGGAGCTGGATGTACAAAAACCACATCAGGCAGCAAGCTCCTATCTTCTTTATGTCCTTATTGATGTTACTGTGCTCTGGTTATGCTCTGCCCAAGTATAACCATGTTCAGTCCCTGCTGCATGTTTTCCAGGCTGCTGGCACCTAGGCTCCTCTCTCCCTCACAATTCACCTGCAGTGCTAAGCAGGGCATTCTTTGCCCCAGCCATCACTAGCAGAACAGAGGAACACAGGGATCAGGTTGAAGCTGAGAGGAAGGACTCCCACAGAAGACTCTGTGCCATAGGAGTAACCAAGTTAAGGTTCAGACACAACAGACTACTTGTAAACACCACATTCTCTACATTAGAGGTGAGATGGAGGCCAATGCTGTAAACCCAAGGGTTCTGAGGCTGCCAAAAAAAGCGGGGGGGTTAAAGAATTTGGAACAGGATATAGTGATTTAGCTGGATTGAGATGTACAGCTACAGTTAGGCTGGATTAAAATGCAAGAGGTAAAGAAACAAAAGAAAATAATACCTGGGATTCTTCCCTATAATCTAAGACTTCCTCAGCATCATTACTGCAGGGTTAGTGATCTGCTAATAGACACTGTGTATGTGCTTGTTTGTGTAGTGATAGAAGAATGAGGTGGACACATGCTGATTGTTGACCAGTATGATTGGGAAGGGCATCAAATATCACTTTGGTCTTTATTGACTAAATATTTTGGAAATATACGTATTCCTTAGAGAATGAGTCTCCTGCAATTTCAATCTTCCAGTAGTAATCATTGTTAACAGTGTGATGTCTATTCTTCCTATTCATATATTAAAATAAATGCACATGTACCCACACATAGATATTTCATACACCAATGGGATCATCCATAATCCTGTTCTGTAGCTTGGTTATTCTGCTACCAATGTATTTTAAGTACCACCATTTAAAAAATGAATTTGGAAACAAAATATATGAATATTTCCTGAAAATTTTCCTGAAGAGCATCAGATTTGATTACATCTCTAAAGAAGCACCAGGGAGAAGTTTAAAAGATACTAATGATTAAGTCTGGAACACTTCTTAGAATCAATGATTACATTTCATAAACTCATTTTTTTTAAGTGAAAATCATGCTGGTACAGAATTAGATAATCTCAATGTGAAAATTGCAGCAGTCACCAGCTGACAACCAATGAAACACAGATGTAACTTTGGAGTGTGTTAGCTATTTAACAGGTTCAAATCAGATCAGAAATTATGAGAGTCAGATTAATAACTGAAATTCTAACATGTTCCACGGTGCATGCTTAACATTTTGCTCTCTTTGCCCTTGACATCCATTTTTAAAAACTGGCTGTGATTATTAAAGTATCACATTCTGAACTATAGTGTTAAGTTAACAAGCGATTACACCAGGGCCATCAAGGTCAAAGGTTGAAACCACATAAATAGTAGAAATTAATGAACTAAGACCTCTAGCTTCTAGGTTCCAGCCAACCTTTCTTTTTGATAAAACACTTTCTATTTTGAGAGAATTACAGACTCACAAGAAATTGCAAAAATATTACCAGGAGACACTGCGTACCCATCCCCCAGCTTCCTCCAGTTGTAACTAACATCTTACTTAACAACAGTACGTTATTAAGCCTAGGAAATTGACATTAGAACAGTACAATTAACTAGACTACAGATATTACTTGGATGTCACCAGATTTTGAATACACTCTTTTTTTTTACATGCTCTGTGCATAGTTGTATGATTTTACCCCACGTATAGATTTGTGTAACACCAGAGCTAACAAGACACGGAACTGCTCCGTTACCATGAGGGAGTTCCTTAGCACTACTCTTTTATGCTCAGATCCTTCTCTCCCTCTCTAAGTCCTGGCAACCACTGATCTATTCTCCATTTCTATAATTTTGTCATCTCTGTATTTTTGGCTTTATGACATTCTTTACTACCTCACAATCAATATTTCTGGTGCAGATCTTCTCTGAAATGTCCATCTGGTCCCATTCAGTCTTCCATATTTTGAGGCCTGGAGTTCCTTGATTCAATCAGCCATAAAGGTCACAGATGATCAGTGGTTGATACTGCAGTGAAGAAAGCAAGATCCGTAGAATCTAACGCCAGTGACAATGAGAACTGGACTCAGCCTAATTTCACCAATGTATTTCTGGGGCTATTGTAACAAAGTACTGCACGCTGGGTGGCTTAAACAACAGAAATGTATTGTCTGATGGTTTGGGGGCTGGAAGTCTGAGGTCAGGCTGTTGGCAGGGCCATGCTTTCCCTGAAAGTACCAGGGAAGGATCGGTCTTATGTGTCCCTCTTACCTTCTGGTAGTCTCCTGACTCATGGCAGCACAACCTGTCTTCATAGGATGTTCTGCCGTGTGCATGTCTTTACATCATGCTCTGTCAATACATCTCTCTCTCTGCCTCTCTGTGTCCACATTTTCTCTCTTATAGGGACACCAGTCATATCGGATTAGGGCCCACTCTAATAACCTTATTTTAACTTGATTACCTCTGTAAAGATCCTATCTCCAAATAAGGTCACACTTTAAGGTACTAAGGGCTAGAACTCCAGTATACTATATTTTTTGGGAGGACACAATTTAACCCTGTGAAGAAGTTCCCTGAAAAGAGATTTAGAAAAAAGAGGTTTTATTCCAGTGAAAAGTTGCAAACTGCAGAGATGTAGCTTCAGTATTAACTGGAAGTGCATTCCAGATAATAAGAAAAGGGTTTATTTTTTATAGAGAGTGTGCCCACCTAGGTTCCCTCTCAGGTCCTCTTATGTGAATGAAGGATTCAAACTTGCTTAGTTTTGATTGCTTGATCTTTGATGAGTTCTGATTGGTTATTTAGGTCACAGCCTATTAGGTGGTTTAGGTGGCATAAATAGGAACAGTGAAAGTCCCAAAGTTAAGCTGACCTGCAGGTTTTCCAAAAACTCAGGGCGTATCTGTGACCTTTAGTTAACAAATGGCCTAAACTGAACTATTGGAAACTACTGTCTACATGGTGAAATCCAAGAAAGATGGCCAGGCGCGGTGGCTCAGGCCTGTAACCCCAGCACTTTGGGAGGTCGAGGTGGGTGGATCACCTGAGGTCAGGAGTTTGAGACCAGCCTGGCCAACATGGTGAAACCCCATCTCTACTAAAAATACAAAAAAATAGCTGGATGTGGTGGTGGATGCTTGTAATCCCAGCTACAGGGGAGGCTGAGGCAGGACAATTGCTTGAACAAGGGAGGCAGAGGTTGAAGTGAGCTGAGATCACACCACTGCACTCCAGCCTGGACAACAAGAGCAAAACTCCATCTCAAAAGCAAACAAAAACAAAAGCAAACCAACAAAAAACCCAAGAAAGATCCTTTCTGCGGCTCACTTGGGCTCCGTCTAAGTTCTTGTTTCCCTTACAAGAGACTCACTTCTCTCCCAGTTAACTTCAGAAATGACCTCATCATCCCAGAGAGTTACCTCCTCTTCTGAAATGTTCCAAGAAAATGAACGTTCTTTAACTCTACAGTAAACATAATCTCTAGGCAACAGGGCTTCAATGCCAAAAATAAAAATGGAAGGCTTGGTTTTCTTATAGAGTGACTCAGCTTTTTGTTTGTGTAAGCTAATTTTCTCTGAACTAGAACTGCTGAACTATATAGTGTACATAGCCTGATAGATTGCAGACTAATAATGAGAGGTACACCACATCTTTCCGGCAGTTAGATAGAGGCAGTAGGCAATGAAGGTTGGAGAATTTTTAAAATGCTTTTTTCTCAAAACCAGTTTTGAACATGGGGGATTGCTCAGTATTTTCTCTGTTTTCTAGTGTTCTTTGTCTTTGCACATATTCCTTATGGTAGATTTACAAACAAAGCAAAATATTAAATAATGCCAAAAAATAAAAATTAAAAGTCTCAGCTAAAGAATTTTTAAAATCGTGCTTCTAAAAGGCATAAAGCAGAGGTAGCAAATATAACTTATTGATAATAATTATATCTATAATTTATTAAATACTGATTGTGAGCCAGGCACTGTTCTAAGCATTTTATATGCATACATTTATTTTAGCATATAATTAAGGAAACTTAAAAGCGGGTAGTAATTAGGAATTAACAGCATTCTGAGTTTTTAAGAAACATGGATTTTGTGTGGCAAAGTAGATGGTTGAAATGATCACACAGATGTAAAAAAAAAAATCGGGGAGGAATAATGGCACACAGAAAAGAGTAATGTATTATGATCTGTTTAAGACCATAGTATCGGCTGGGTGCGGTGGCTCACGCCTGTAATCCCAGCACTTTGGGAGGCCGAGATGGGCAGATCATGAGGTCAGGAGATCGAGACCATCCTGGCTAACACGGTGAAACCCCATCTCCACTAAAAATACAAAAAATTAGCCGAGCGTGGTGGTGGGCACCTGTAGTCCCAGCTACTTGGGAGGCTGAGGCAGGAGAATGGCATGAACCCGGGAGGCAGAGCTTGCAGTGAGCCGAGATTGCGCCACTGCACTCCAGCCTGGGCAACAGGGTGAGACTCAGTCTCAAAAAAAAGAAAAGAAAAAAAAAGACCATAGTATCATAAAACGTCAACTTATATAACTTATTCAGTTAAAAAAATGAACTTCAGAAAAAATTCATGAATATTGATCAATGATCAATGGCACTCCAAACTTTTTAACTCATACTGTTTGAGTGATAATGTATAAAAACGTTTTAGATCCTAATATACCTTTTTAATATTTAAAGATGGTCATATGACATTTTTAACCAAATGAGTTGGTTTAAATGAAGCATTTGGAAAACAGTAGCGTTACACAAATGCTGAACAGAATTATATTCATAAGATATTTAGAAAACTTAAGAGTAGTGACCATAACTCCTTCCATAGTAACAACTTTTTGAAGAAACCTGGAGTCTATTTATTTAGAGATGTTTTCTACATTTAGGTTTTGAAGCTCAAGTGACATGAAAGCTCAATGTGTTTTCTTTCCTACAGGTTATATGTGCCTCTTGAAATTAAGAAACAGACAAGCCTATTTCCTAGAAAATGTGGCAGGTTTTTTATTGGAAGTTGTCCAGTATAATATGGATGACACATTCTCTAAGATAAGAAAATGAAGGAAGAAGGGGGAAAAAGAGATGGAGAAAGGTGGAGAAAGGAAAGCTCTACTAGGTGTTTACTGTATGTCTAGATGCTGTAAATTTATTATAGAGGAAGACACATGGTGTACCATCTCCTTATAGTTAAATAATATTCAAACTTCCAGTCTTTGAGTAGCACTTGTTTAGTGTATAGTTCTTCCAAACTCAGTGATGAAAAATGTCTGTTGCCCACAATTTCCTCTTCTTTCTCATCTTTTATTCTAAATATACTTGGAGCTATTTCAGAGTAATAGATTCACTGTAGGACAGAATTTAACTATTTCATTATAATCATTTACTTTAAAAATTTTAAAAAGCTTTTTCATTAAGTATGAGTACTTCAAGCTCGACCTATTTCATGGTAACAATTAAAAGTAAATAGAAAAAAATTGAATTATGTCTTATGTAGACTGAAGAGTAAGACATGGGGAATTTTAATAATTTGAACAATTCCGAGTTGCAGGAAATATAAAAGAAAGTTTTAATAGAAAGACAATAACATTTTTAAAGCTCTTTTAATGTATTGGATCACGGAATAAGAAAGGTTTTGAAGTGGAAAACTTGTAAACTTTGATACCTCCAGAAAAAACAGCAACTCTTTTGGGAGATTAAGGCAATGTTTTTGAAGAGTATCAGAGATTCAGGGGCATGTCACTGAGTCTGAGGTGCCTAACAGAGGCCATCTCACCCATCCGGTTATCCTGTCCTGCCTTAGCCTGGGAAGCTGCCAAAGACAGGAAGCAAGAACAAGGACAGCCGTCTGATAGAACAAGGCAATGAAAGTGTTTTGCAACTTATGTTGACTTACAATTAACATTTCTTTTTGTTTGGAACTAATTATGAACGCACAAGAAGCTGCCAAAAGTGTACAGAGAAGTCTTATGTCCCCTGCATCCAACTTTCCTCAATGTTAGCATCTTACATACATAGCACATTATCAGAACGAGGAAACTGACACTGACAGAATACAATGAACTAGACAACAGATCTCACTCAGATTTTACCAGTTTTTATATGCACTCTTTTTTTTTTTGGATTGACATTTACAAGTTGAGAATATTTAACTCAAGTTCCCAAAGTCCTAGTCAGCAATGTCTCTAATACTTTCCCTCGCTCTATTCCTCCTCCTTCCTTGGTTCACTCACCTGCTCACTCTTTTCCTGCCTGGTTTCCATCCATTCCACATTGGTACTCATTTAGTACCGGGTGATGTGCTATGTGCTGGAAATATTAGTGAAGACAGAGAGTGGTCGTGGGGCCCTCACCCACCACCCAGCCATCTCTCCCACCTTCTCTGCCATCCTCATCAGATCCTAAACAAGCCATCTGATGAATCTTCCAGCCTACCATCTCCTCCAACCCACTCCTTCCTATACACAGCTCTAGGGTAATCTTCCTCAGGCACAGTTCTTAGGTCACCGTTTCTCTTGATAAAGAGCTTTTAGAAATCTCTTATTCACGTTGGTGTGCTGCACCCATTAACTCATCATTTACATTAGGTATATCTCCTAATGCTATCCCTCCCCCCTCCCCCCACCCCACGTCAGGCCCCGGTGTGTGATGTTCCCCTTCCTGTGTCCAAGTGTTCTCATTGTTCAATTCCCACCTATGAGTGAGAACATTCGGTGTTTGGTATTTTTGTCCTTGCGATAGTTTGCTGAGAATGATGATTTCCAGCTTCATCCATGTCCCTAACAAACCTGCACGTTGTGCACATGTACCCTAGAACTTAAAGTATAATTAAAAAAAAAAAGAAAGAAAGAAAAAGAAATCTCTTATTTACCAACAGAATTAACTAGCACAACATGTGTTTAGTAACTACTATAAAAAGTCCTATCCTTCCAATGTCCAAAACTCACGTTCTGGCCAAAGTCTACTATTTGTGGTTCAGGAACTCCTCTGCATGTTTTTACCTCTTGTTGCTCTATTCTCTGGAATGTCTCCCATCTCCCCCTGCAACAGATACATTAAGCGCAGTTCACGTACCACCTCCTCCATGAAATCTCTTCTGATGGCTCCAAGTAGATGCAATTTTCCTTTCTTTAATTGCCCCACCCCCAGTATTTCATTGGCAGTGTTTATTTTCTCCATCTCATTTGGCGTCAGACGGGTCTATTTCCGCTGCTAGATAATGCCTGCCTCTGTAGAGGGCGGAACTCTGCATCATTCTCTTGTAGTTTTTCGTTAATGTTTGGAGAACGAACATGGGTTTGGAGTCAAGAGAGAGATTCATAGTCTCCCTACTCCTGCAGGTCTCTTAGGGCTCATGTGCCTAAGTCTTGGACATTCAGTAAAATACTGCATGCGGAGTGCTTCCCATAGGGCCTGGCACAGGAAACATGTATGAAATAAAGTTTTCAAGCATGGGTAGAAAATGGTCTTTCCAAAAAAAGAGAAAACAAGTTTTGTAAATATGGCTATTTTCCAAGGAATTAGAGGTTCTTGGACTAGTGAACACCTCAGAATATCTAAAACAAGTGTTGAGTTCAGAACCCTCTGAAAGCTAGAGTCATTCTGAGAAACGAGCTGCCACTAACTCTTGACAACATGTGCTTGGAATAACACGGTCTGGCTGGGAGCAGAAACTCCCAGCTCCTCTCCCCAAACACACTTTCCAAGGATCTGAAACGGCAGAATCATCCACATCCTTTTTCTCCCCTCCCCCTCCTCCATACGCCTGGATATTTTACCTGCATGTTACCAGATGACAGTTATACTTTCCTCCTAATTCTCTTCAGAAATACTTGGTAGAGACAATTCTTGATTGTTTAATTCACAGAAAGACTTGGCTTATGATTTGCGTATGTGTTACCTAATTTGCATATCATTTATAAGTCTTTCTTTTATTAGCCTGAATGATTGAATTGAATCTGTATACATTTTTATCCCTCTAAGGGTACGCAAGGCCCACATTTTATCAGAATTCAATGGATTCTTAGGGATATAGGCATTTTTTTGTGATTTAAACTGTAAAGATTAAATCACTTTCTTATTTAAAGGGTTAGAAGATTCACTGACTTTGTAACCAGCATGCCTGGTCTCCAATTCAGCTGGCAGGAGCTCTCTGCAAAATGACAATCATTCCAAGACTTAGAAGCCAAATATTATGTGGGCAGCCTCCAGTTATCTGGAAAAAAGAGTTTAGAGGTTACTTTTGAGACTGATAAAGTTGTTCTGCCAGAAGGCCAAGATCATGTAATTTGATCTTTTGCAAACTTATGGGACGTGCACCAAAATAAGTTTGCAAGGAAAGGAACATTCAAGGATCTCCATCTATCCTTTATTGTTAATGAGTAATAATGAAACAATGATATGAATAAGGACTATCACAGAGCAAGGGCTTATCTTCTCCCAGACCTTAGACTAAGCAGTTTATACTCTTTCTCCTAGAAATTCTCAACAGTATTTCTATCTTAGTCACATTTTTAAGATGAGAAGCCCAGGCTTAAAGATTTTAAATCACTTGCCCAAAGCCACAGGGTTACTAAGGGACTGGATCAGGATTTAAAACTGAGTTTCTTTGACTAAAAGCTGTGTCTTAACCACTGTGATCTCATATATTGCATTTTCTGAACTACTTTTAAAAAAAGACTTTAAATTTATTAAATTACTTCATCCCCCTTGCTTTCTTTTCTTTTCTTTCTTTCTGAATTAAATGTTCACACTATCATGGGGAAAATATTGGATTTAGTAACCATCCACTCTCTCTCTTATTTACTTTTTTTGTTGTTGTTTTTGAGACAGAGTCTCGCTCTGTTGCCCAGGCTGGAGTGCAGTGGTGTGATCTTAGCTCACTGCAAGCTCCGCCTCCCGGGTTCAGGCCATTCTCCTGTCTCAGCCTCCCGAGTAGCTGGGACTATAGGCACCCGCCACCATGTCCAGCTAATTTTTTGTATTTTTAGTAGAGACGGGGTTTCACTGTGTTAGCCAGGATGGTCTTGATCGCCTGACCTCGTGATCAACCCGCCTCGGCCTCCCAAAGTGCTGGGATTACAGGTGTGAGCCACCACACCCAGCCATCTTATTTATTCTTAATAACCACACTTGTAGGACATTATCAGCTTCACATTTAAAGATCTGGAAACTGATGTTCAGAGAGGCCATCTCACCTGCCCTAAGTCACACAGCTCATATGAGGCAGAGCGCAGATGTGAGCCTGTTCTGAACATGACGGCACAAAAGTGTCTTCCTGGAGGAACGTTTAAAGGAAGCTTATGATGAAGCTCATTAAAATTCAAACCTTACTCTTCACACTCCAGATTCTTTCCCTTAGCACCTGTTGGCTTGTTGATTTTAGTGTATCATCCCCAATAATTTCTTGGGGTGTGCTTTGGAGTTAGGGAGCAGTAACAAGAGGCATGGTCAAGGATAGATTTTTCTCATTGATGCCTATTTTTTTTAAGTTTCCAAGGTTGTTGTTATTTATAAGAGATCTTATTATACCTTTTGCTTCATGACTGAAATCTCGTAACATTCTTAGAAATATGTGGGTTGGTAACTACAAATTTAAAATCTTTACAGCATGGAATTTTCTTAGGTAAAAAATCTTTTATTCTGAGAAGCGATCAAAAATAGATTTGCGGGATTTTGATGTGCCCTACGGGAAGGCAAGTGGTTATGTAGCTCTAGTTGAAAATTAATGTTTGTCCTTTGAAGAGCCAGGTAGGTGTGAAGAATGTGTATTAATTCCCTGATACCTAATATGATGTCATGTAACACCCAGCACTTGACAAATTATGGATTTTTTTGAGGCTTTTTCCCTCACTCAAGCAAATACTGCTAATCCATGCCTTGTCATAATGAGGCCTCAGCTACGCTGAATCCCCTGAAATGCCGCAATATAGGCCATGTGCTGGGAGGTGGTCTTGTCTTTCAAAACCAGCATCTAAAGTGATTTAACTCCACCAGAATTTCTCAAAGTGTGGATCAAGGACAATTTGCATCAGCAATATGTGGGATGGGCCTGGCACAGTGGCTCACGCCTGTGATCCCGGCACTTTGGGAGGCAGAGGCGGGTGGATCACTTAAGGTCAAGAGTTCGAGACCAGCCTGGCCAACATGACAAAACCCTGTCTCTACTAAAAATACAAAAAAATTTACCTGGGCATGGTGGTGCATGCCTGTAATCCCAGCTACTCAGGAGGCTGAGGCAGGAGAATCATTTGAACCAAGGAGGCGGAGGTTGCAGTGAGCCGAGATTGTGCCACTGTACTCCAGCCTGGGTGACAGAGAGAGACTCAGTCTCAAAAAAAACCCCAAAAACCAAAAAACAAAATTACTTGGGACTTATGTTGAAAATGCAGATTCCTTTTCACCTCAGAATCTCTGATTGGGATCCAGAAATTGGGTTCCCCAGCCAATACTTTTGCAGAGTGGAGTTTAAGACCTTATCTTCTGTATTAACTACTCCTGTCTATCCTTATCTTGTCTTTAATCCCACAATAAGAAAGTCTTACTGGATGTAAGAACACAGACTCATAAAGGATGAATACATTTCCTTTCATAATGTTATGTTTCTCTAGTAACCCTTAACGTATTAGGAGTCAGCTGCAGTTTCTCTCTGCAAAGTTAGCATTAGGGATGCCCAAGTTCACAGATGATTCAACCAGTAGAATTCAAAAAACATAATTTAGCAAATGCATTTGACCTCCATCCACACTAAAACTTTCAAAGATTTTAATAAAGCAGGAAATTTGAAATATTGGGTTTTTTACTCCTTTAAAAACATTTCTACAAAGGCCATTTATTCCTCTTATGCTGACTATCAACAAAAGTGTACACTTTAGGCATTCAGATGAGACAGGAAAAATGTGAGGATTCTTGGTGTATGTGTGTGTGTTCTGCCTCCGTGGCTTCCGTTAGGAATATTGCATTACCTATAACTGGGCAGGAACCCAGTCTGCACTCCTCTGTCCAGGATAATTTTTTTTTTTTCTATACAAAAGTAGTATAGGAAATTGGTTTAGGGTACTTTGTAATTTCTGAGACTCTTTCCCCTGGAGATGAGAGATGTTGATCTGAGTGCCTTTCTGCTGGATGAATTGAAATGATGGGGGTAGAGAGAATTATTAAGCCGGAAAGTAATACAGAGCCTTTCCCAGTCTCCCTGGGGGTCAGTTCTATTTTTCTGCATTTGCTGGTGGAAGTAGGGTGGAGTGTGATTGGAAAGCCAAGCTGTACTCTGCAGTTTAGTCTGCAGTTAATGTGAAGACTAGCAGCTGACTTCTCTGCAACGTGGGGAGGCTAAGCTTCAGTTGTCAGAGCCGACTGGGCCCCACAAAGCCCTGATTTACTGCTAAGCTGAAGAGACACTATGCTCCTCCCTAATTAAAACCACGTGGTCTATTTCTGTCATGAAAGTGTATTTTACCGTCAAGTCACTCCCTGTTTCCCTCCTCAAAAACCAAAACCAAACCAAATCCAAAACAAAAACCCCTCAAAAACTCTAGAAATAGATATATCAGCATGTCATAATACTGTAACTTCCTTGCTAAAACGGGTGTTCAGGGAAGGCACTGTCAGTTCCTAATGAGTATGTTGTTAGCAAATGTATTTTTCTTTCTAAGAATAACTCAGAAGGGACTTTTATGACTTTTAACACGTGAGGTGAGAAAAGTCATGGATTTCTGCCCAAATCCCTTTCTGGGTGCATGATGGCATTGCAGTTGGTGATGCCTTCATGAAAGGGTGAATTTACGTGAATGACTTGGTCAGTAACAGAATGTCAGAATATCCCTTCCTGTCCCATAATACAGCCCAAACATACTGCCAGGGCTGATCCTCCTTGACTATTCCATTTCATTAACCTGCCCCTCTGTTCAAAAACTTATCATTACTATTCCTTACGATTTCATCTTCTCAAATTTATAACATTCTATAATCTAGCCACATTCTACAGTCAATGGTTATTTCCACTTTTTTCTTGGATACTTATCTTGGATACACACTGTTCTTTTTTTTTTTTTTTTGAGACAGTCTTCCTCTGTCACGTAGGCTGGAGTACAGTGGCGCAATCTCAGCTCACTGAAATCTCCACTTCCAGGCACAAGCGATTATCCTGCCTCAGCCTCCCGAGAAGCTGGGACTAAAGGCACGCACCACAATGCCCAGCTAATTTTTTTGTATTTTTAGTAGAGATGGGGTTTCACCCTGTTGGCCAGGTTGGTCTTGGATTCCTGACCTCAGATGATCTGCCTGCCTTGGCCTCCCAAAGTGCTGGAATTACAGGCATAAGCCAACGTGCCTGGCCCCTGTTTTACACACTATTCTGAGAGTCTTGCTCTGTCACCCAGGCTGGAATGTAGTGGCACAATCTTGGCTCACTGCAACCTCAGCCTCCCCAGTTCAAGCGATTCTCCTGCCTCAGCCTCTTGAGTAGCTGGGATTACAGGTATGTGCCACCACGCCCAGCTAATTTTTATATTTTTAGTAGAGACGGGGTTTCACCACGTTGGTCAGGCTGGTCTGGAACTCCTGACCTCGTGATCCGCCTGCTTGGGCCTCCCAAAGTGCTGGGATTACAGGCGTGAGCCACTGCGCCCAGCCGGCTTATTCTTATTGTCTCCATCAAACACATGATCAGACAGGATCAGAGTGGTTATGTAATGAGCTCAGGGTCACACAGAGGCCTGCTTCATCATTCTTGTGGGCCCCACACATCCTTGCCACTACTTCTGCAGACACAGGATTCCTCTTGCCTAAGATGCACTGTTTTTAATCTTTATTTCCCTAAATCTTATACAACCTTCTAGACCTACCTCAATTCCTACCTCCTTCAAGAAGGCTTTCCTCATAATTCCTGTTCTCATTAACCTCCTCCCTCTCTTCAGAATTCCCCCAGAAACTTATAACTGTTTTCATACCATATGTGTTTTGTCTTCTTCGACCGGTGCTTCCCAAAGGGTTGATCTTTTGCACCTCCCAAAGGTTCTAGCACTGTCCTGACAGCATAGTAGATGTTCAGTTAAGGCTTTCTTACTTGTAAACCCTTCCAAATCAAACATCTAACTGAATGCCAGAAATCTCTTGAGAAAACAGATGCTTTCATGAACTCTGTGCCATGTACAAGGGATATCAACTCACTCCGAATAGACCTTGCGACCCACTTGGATGAGCTGACAGTTTTTATGCATTGATCTCCAGGGAAGTCACCAAAGGATTTGCACTGCACTTTATAACAGCAATCAGTTTAGGCATTTAAAATAATTTTTTGAGATGAATTTCATTAGAAATCAAAAGTCATCCTATGTATATTATTTTAAGGATAATTGGAGTCTTGTTTCTTATAGAGAATACTGAGGTCTCTGGTCAACATTGATTTTTGCGCAGTAGTAACTAACACCTCACTAGGTTTGCCGCATGAAAGATATGTAACGGTTATAAATAAAATACTCCAATGGATAATGTATCTTGCCTTTCTGTAAATTACCATCAATTCATGGAATCCTCATTTGATACTTCTGGGACCAGCAAAAATTGGGAGCAGGAAAAATGTCACTTGGCAAAACTGAATTTTCCTTTTGTGAAATGTGAATATAGGAAATCAGCGATATGCATTAAACACTGCAAACTGTGTGGCTGCATTAAGCATGATAAAGCATTATAAGAGGATCACTAGGTAAGGGTTTTACACAAGAATGGGAAGAGAGAGTGAATGAGTCAAGGAGCTTACCATGTACAAATTAAATCACTTTGATAAAAGGGACAGAAGTATCGAGTTCTCAGGGTTTCAAGAAGCAGAGTAAAGAAAGATGAGCCTTCAGTACACTTCGACATCAATCAAGCATTATTGAGGCTAAGAAAACATCTCACCCTACTCAAATTCTGTATAGAGCAGTTCTCAAACCTGGCTGTACCCTAGAATGGCCTAGAGAGATTTAAAAAGTTGTAAAACCACACCACCACCACCACTGAAGTCATTTTCAGGTAGGCTGAACTGGAATGTCTGAGAGTGGAACTTGGAGATCTGGAGTTTTAAAACTTTTTCTTGAGATTCTGCTACATGGTAAGTGTTGAAAGCCTCTTTTGTATAATTATCAGAATTCAGATGCCTTAGGAGGTTGATGCTTAAGGCTTCTTTCCTGCTAACTTCTGACATGTGGTATCACAATATAGCTTTGAGGATTTAGGATTAAGCCCAACTCTACTGGAAAAGCTCACTTAGCTTTTGGGTGTGAAGGAGCCCTCTATAGCCAAAATCTCAAAAGGGGTTTCATGTTAGTTGGTTCTTGGAATATTCAATTCAAAGTAATTTTTGAAGGCAGTGAGAGTGTAGTATACCTCAAAAGAGATCTAGTTAGGGAGATTGGAGTTGACAACCAGTGCCAGTGGAATAAGGGACCGGCGTTAATGTTAATATATGATTTAAGTTAAAAAAGGCTTATTGGAAGAGGTCAGGTTCAGGCCCTGCATTTCTGTTTGTCTTTCTGTATTCTGTAAGCTTATTGAGAGCAGAGATAATGTGTAGTTTGTCTTAAAATCTCGACAATGACCAACACAGAACAGGCAGTAGATAAATGTTTGGCGAAGTGATTCAGGCCCTGAGAAAAGTTGGAGGCTAAATCCTGGATTTCAGACCTCTTTGATTAGACCAGTCAGATAGAGCACATGTTTTTACCATGGTCAAGGGGAATTTGACAATTCCCAAGACAACAGACACCTGTTATAATGCAATGTATGCTTTCATAGACTAGGAGCTATTGTGGTTATGAGTTTATGTGTAGTAAATGCAAGATGTCCCTATCGTCAGACTGTAGAAAAGTTCTTGTTCACTAGCTCAGTGACTAAATGTTTTGATTGTACATTCCTATTATGTATTAAAAAGATGAATAGAGAGAAAAAAATTATGCTAGAGAAACAAAATTTTAGCTTCCTTAATTTATTTGGATCATATGAAATCTTCCAAATTGTCCAGCCTAGGCAAAATGTAGAATTTTTTTTTTAGATCATTTCTCAATTCTGTGTGCTCTTAACACCATAATTCTATTCCCAAGTATGTTTTTAACTTTTGGGGCCATTACCTTCACACCTATACAATGTCAGAGGGTTAAGGTGATCACTATTGCTTCTCTTAGCTCTACAGCTTACCTATGGCTCTGTAATCTGACTTGTGACTTCTCTACTAGAGAAGTAATTTTACTATTTAGGAGTAGTTTTGACCAAAGGAAGGCCCCTAACATTCCTATCCTAAATGTCCTTGTTATCTTCCACTAGCCTGCTTGAAATTCAATATAACTAGCAACTTCAAGCTATTTATGATATGGGTTTGGGCAATAATCCTAAAAAACAAAAATCCTAAACTCTATAATCCTGAATGTTGAAATCCCCAAAGATCAAAATCCCTAAAGCCTAAAACCCTGAAAATCACAATCCCAAAAGATCAAAATCCTGAAAACATAATTCTAAAAAAAATTAAAAAAAATTTTTAAAGATCTTGTTTACATTTTTAAAAGAGGATTTATTGAAAAACGTAGAAAAGCATGACAGGACACTTCAAAGGCCACTTTCCACAATAAAATAGGCAATAATAACACATAGTTTTATAAGTAGATAACTCAGGCATACTAATGACAGTCACAGTTATGGGCAGATGAACTCTATTAATAGTGAAATAGCTTATATAATTGTGGTCTTCTGAAATATCATGATGTACAACCCAAGTCTTTTGATGAGATTGATTGAAAACCTTGATGGGTTACCACCGCATATGCAGTTGCTCAAAGAACTGAGATTTTGGAGAAGTTTTACCTTTCACAAATGCAGATGTACAAAAAAGAAACCTCTTCATGTATTGAGGAAGTTTCGATATTTTTAAATACATGCACAAGGCTTACATACCAAGTCAAAGTTGGATAATGCACATTCATGGAGTCAAATCTGCAAAATAAAAATGCATAAAAAGAATTAGATCTCTCTAAAAATTTTTACACAATTTATTTGGAAATGATGTGAAGATGAAACACCTAGCACAGCAAATTGTAAAAAGTAATGCTGATAATTTAAAACAGTGGGGAAAAGAGCTAAAAACAAACAAACCCCAAAATAGACAAACAGAAAAACTAAAAAGAAAAGTTGACATGTGAAAAAGTATATTACAGGGATAGATTGTGGGTAATTGCATGGAGATAGCACAGAAGAGCTGGTCAACTTTCACCATCATTAACCACATTTTGAAGTCTTGCATCACAATGAATAGCTGCTTTTTGTTTTTTAGGACATGGCTTTTCTCAAAATATATTCACATTCATTTTCTAGGTAGCACTGCTCTTTTTGAAGTTATTCTATGATTCAGTATACCTTGACATGAACATTTCCTGTTAAATTTTTCCATCTTCTGTGCCATATTTCTATGTTGTTTTGGGTACACAGGACTCCATTCTGCATGCAGTCATACACAGACCACAAATTTGGCAGGAACAATCCTGGTAATGGAACCCAACACCGTTGTGTCAGTGTCTTCTTATCCTACCATGCTCATGATTATTTTGGAACCAGACAGTATCTTTGCTGGCTTCTTCAAGAAAATCTGGCTTTAATTCATTAAAAGCTCCTGAAGCTGATGAAATAATCTATACACCAAACACCTGTGACAAGAGTTTAGCTACGTAATAAGCCTCTACGTGTACCCCTGAACCTAAAATAAAAGTTAAAAAAAAAAAGCTCCTGGATTTATGTCAGCTGGAAGGAATGCCAATGCAGACAAATGACACATTTTTAAACTGAAGTTTTCGTCATTGCCATATTACGTGGCCAATCCACTCATCTGGATTTTTCCACTGAATGCATTGGGCTGAATGGAAAAACCCAACTTTATTGGTAACACCTTGAGATTCACTTTTAGAAGCCTTGATCGCACCTAATTTTAAATCTATCATCGTGGTTGGGAAATTCGACTAGATGTTATGGATTTTGGACTTTAGGGATTTAGATTTTAGGAATCTCAACATTCAGGATTATGGTGTTTGAGGCTGTGTCTTTTGGGATTATGATCGGCGCTGTTATGAAATGAATGGTTCTTAAAATTTTTAACTAAATTGCATGATAATGTGTAAATTTTTTGATATAGCTGATAGACTTTCAATGAACCAAACTTCTAAATTATTATTCATAATTTGATTAATTGATTTAGTCATCCAACCAATATTGGTGACCTCTAGAAGAGAGGTTCTGTTACAAAGTAGCTGAGGGTTTAGCAATGGTGAAGAGCAGAGACACTGAGTTTGTGTCCTTCCTACAGGAAGCTTTGCTGTGAAAGACCTTGGAGATCCTGAGAAGTTAACTAAATAAAGAAGGGTGCAGAGAGAATGAACATATTCCAGCAGACTGTGAATAGAGGGGGAAGAATTGGATGGATCCAAGTGCTGAGAGGAAGGAGTGGGGGTTCCTTCAAGAGCACGTGGTGGCCTTGACAGTGCCTGATCATAGGACATAGTTTCAGTACTTTTGTGTAGCAATAGCTTGGACATGACTAAAAATAACACTAAGATAACACAGAGATCAAATTTGTTCTAGAAGGGTATGGGTAACATGTAAATTAGAGTACTTAAAATTTTTTAAAGCATCTTATTTGATCACCAACAAAAATTTCATTTCTGGCTGTGTTAGTCTGGAGTCTCCAGAGAAACAGAACATCTCTCTCTCTCTCTCTCTCTCTCTCTCTCTCTCTCTCTCTCTCTCAATCTCTCATTCTCTCAATCTCTCTCTGTCTCTTTCTGTCTCTCTGTCTCTCTCCCTATTTGGCTTCTTTCCAAACATGAATTAGAAAAACTGTATCTGGGGAGAGAGAGAGAGAATTGTTCACTGTAAGCAGAATCTAATAAATATGAAGAACTTTAAAGGTAGTCTCCTACTCACAATTGGGAAAAGAGGATTACTCATGAGAGACAAAGGGAAAGAGAAAGAGAGAGTGTGTGTGTGTGCCTGTGCACGCACGAAGGTATATTGTACGTAAAGATACAAAGAACTCTGTCTCTCTGTCTCTCTGTCTCTCTCTCTCTCTGTCTCTCTCTCTCTCTCTCTCTCTCTCTCTCTCTCTCTATATATATATATATATATATATATATATATATATATATATATATATAAAGAGATTTATTATAAGGAACTAACTCATGTGATTATGGAGGCTGAGAAATTTCAAGATTGCAGTTGGCAAGCTGGAGACCCACCAGAGCTGCTAGTATATTTCCAATCCAAGTCTGAGGACCTGAGACCAGGAGAGCTGATGGCATAAGTTCCCATCTGAATTCAAGTCTGAAGACAGAAGAAGACAGATATTCCAGCTCAAATACAGGCAGAGAGAGAGAGAGAGAAAGAGAGAGAGAGATAAAGAGAGAGAGAGAGAAAGAGAGAGAGAGATAAAGAGAGAGAGAGAAAGAGAGAGAGAGATAAAGAGAGAGAGAGAAAGTGAGGGAATTCTCCCTTACGCAGTCTTTGGTTCTATTCAGGCCTTCAACAGATTGGATCAGGCCCACCCACAATGGGAAGGCAATCTTCCTTTCTCTGTCCATCTATTCAAATGTGAATCTCATCCAGAAACACCCTCACAGACACACCCAGAATAATGTTTAAGCAAATACCTGGGCACCCTGTGCCCTGTCAAGTTAACACACAGTAGTAACTATCATACTGGCCACATTGATTGATGTTTTGCTTTATAGCCAGAAAATGGATTTATCAGACTTGCATAGAATTTGGCTTTTTTCCAAACACAAATTCCAAAAAACAGCCCTTCTCTGGATTCCCTGTGAGGTAAAGGATCTGCCTTGGGTTCTGTTTGTGGCTAGAATTCGTGATTGTAAGTTGTTTCTGTTTTTAAGGGGGGATTATAGTCACCAGATTGGCCACCCCTAAACTGGTGAAAAATTAAGGGAGAAATCTTCTGGATGGAAGTTTGAGAATTCAAAATATTCCAATAATATATGTAGGATAAAAACCTTAGATTGCTGGGACTACCTCATTTAGCATCTGCCAGGAAATACTTATTGTTCTAGAGAATATATAAAAATAAATACACTAGTAGCCTCCTTCTTACATTTTGGCATTACTAGGTTACTTTATTTAATACTTTTTTCCAAAGAAGGTACTTGATATGTTTTTTGAAAAATTTAATTAAGGAATATAGTTGGAAAAATGGACATAGTTGGAAACATGGAAACAAGGAATGTAGCAAAGATAGAAAAAAGAAAGAATTTCAGTTGTCCATCTGTTTTGAATTTTAGATTAGCCAAGATTTGCTGGATATATGAAGCAGGACAGATCACCCTGAGTCAACTTCATTCTTATTGGTTCATAATCCTTTGTGCATATTTACTGGGTTGGTAGTGCAAGATATGGTTTCTAACCTCAATGTTCACTGTAAGCAGAAGCTAATAAATTTGAATAACTTTAAAGGTAGTTTCCTACCCAAAACTGGGGGAGGAGGATTATTCATCTGTGTGTGTGTGTGTGTGTGTGTGTACACAGGTATATCGTACATGAAGATGCAAAGTTATTACATGTAGTATGTAAAAATACCTTTTAGAGTAAAATTGTGACAAAAATTTAGATTTGAAGTCCATAGTTTTTCCTATCAAAGTCCTTAAACCCTCAAATATCCTAATGAGAAATGTGGCTATGACTTAGTCAAAGTCTAGGATTTATTTTTTATTTTTAGTTTTTTTAGAGACAGAATCTTGCTGTCACCCAGGCTGGAGTGTAGTGGTGAGGTCATAGCTCAGTGCAACCTTGAACTCCTAGTAGGCTCAAGTGATCCTCCTGCCTTAGCCTCCCAAGTAGCTGGGACTACAGGTGCATGCCACCACACCTGGCTTATTTTTAAATTTTCTGTAGAGTCAGGGTCTCACTATGTTGCCCAGGCTGGTCTCAAACTCCTGGCCTCAAGTGATCCTCCTGTCTCAGCCTCCCAAAGTGTTGAGATTACAGTCATGAGCCACCACACCAGGCCAAAAGTCTAGGATATTAATTGGGCCACATTTTTTTAAGGTGGTGTCTATGGTGAAGACACAGTATTGGGACTAACGCCCACTGTAGTCACACTTCTTTCTGTGTCTCTTCCACCAGAGTTGGGAGAAGGCCAATCTGTTTCTTCCACTCTTCGTTTCCTGTGGCTATATTTTTGCTCCTAGGATAGAGGAAGGAGAAATCTTGCTTCTTCCTCAGCTCCCTTCTTCAGTGTTTTATGGGGCTTTCAGATCTTCTGGGTTAGACCAACCTGGACTGGGTAGATTTGAATAGCTCTGGGTGGGCATCTCCGGACACTGGAGGCAGCCTCTCTCATTGCTCCCACTACTCTCTTCCTCCTTGCGGAGGCTGGCATGCTCTGCACTGAGGTTTCGTCCTCCCACTGTGTCTACAGGCAAGTTGCAAGTGTGGGCTTGGTAGGAAGGCAAGAATAGGCCTCTCCAATTTCCTTATTTTGAGGCCATAGGTAGCTGTCAGACAAAGGCAACTGATGATTGTCTATTGCCTCTCTCATTAATACTCTTCTTTGAGGTTTACGCCCCAGGGTCCACTAGGAAAGATATTTTGCTGGCTCCATTCCTCCCTGCTTACCTACTTACCATAGGATCTCATCGGAAGAGTAGCTGGGCTAGGATGAGTGTGGGTATTCCTGGGACCTCTGCCCAAAGCTCCCCATAATACATCTCTAACAATTTCCAATGCGTGGGAGAATCTAAGTTTTAAAAACAGATGAATAACTTTGAGTTAAGCCCAACAGAATGGGATATTATAGGAAATATTGTGGGCAAGAATACATTAGTTTGACACATATTTACAAACCAAGCCAAAAGTTTTATTTTTCTTGCACGTAAACTTTATTATTCTACTTGAAAACCTGCTGCAATACAGCTTGTTATTTTGTCTTGAAAATATTTGGAATTTTACTTGTCTTAAATAACGCAATACTGTTCAAATAGTTGTATTTTTAAGAAAAATATCAAATAAGCTAAAATTACTGTTAATATTGAGGGGTATAATGGGAAAGGTTAGGAAGCCCATTTTAATTTTTTAAGTAAAGAAGTGAGATAGAGAAAGAAGAAATGGCTGAAATGAGATAGTACTGTGCTTCTTATTCAGTATTAATGATTCACACATTTGGAAACTGACATTTTTGATTCAGGAAAGGATTTCTTTCTTTTCTCTGCTTACATTCTATTCAAGATTTTTTACAAATTTATTTTTAATTGACCAATAATAATTGCATATATTTATAGAATACAATGTGATGTTTTGATCTATTTATGTATTGTAGAGAGATTTAGTCAAACTAAGTAATTTATATCCATCACCTCAGCAACTTATCTTTTTTGTGGTGAAAACATTGAAAATCTATTCTTTATGCAATTTTGATTATGTTCATTGGAGGCTAGTTCTAGAGAACACGCATTTGTTTAGCTAAGTTAGGAAGTCTATCATGTACAGAGACCAAATGAAGATGCTATTTTGCTGTGTCAGAAAAAAATTAGGTCTATGTCAAGGAACTGAAAACTTCAGCAGATCAAATAGATTTGCATGAAAATTAATTTCTTAGAAATATGGTATGTGAATAATGTTTTCAATAATTCCCTTGTTAGACTGGAGACATTCTTTTAGCTATTTTAAGGAATTCAGATTCTCAGGGGAAAACAAAGCAAGTTTAAAGACACCACCAACAACCACTATATTTCTTTTTTTTTTTTTTTGAGGCAGAGTCTTGCTTTGTCACCCAGGCTGGAGTGCAGTGGCATGATCTCGGCTCACTGCAGCCTCCACCTCCCAGGTTCAAGTGATTCTCCTGCCTCAGCCTCCTGAGTAGCTGGGATTACAGGTGTCCACCACGACGCCCAGCTAATTTTTGTATTTTTAGTAGTGATGGGGTTTCACCATGTTGGCCGGGGTGGTCTTGAACTCCTGACCTCAAGTGATCTGCCTGCTTCGGCCTCCCCAGGTGCTGAGATTACAGGCATGAGCCACTGTGCCCTGCCCACAATCTTTCTTTTAATATCTTTCCTACACTTCTCAGTCCTGCTCTCGATCACCTACACTTTTATCTCATTTTCTTTGCAGTATTTTTCTTCGGCAATGTTCAGATATCTTGGCTCTGAGTTCAATGCCACTTCAGTAGCCCAAGCTGTTCAGGCCACCTGTTCAGTGGCCTGAATGTGACAAGAGGCAAATGCTTCCATTGATCCTTGGCAAATTCTGAGAATCACAAAAAATATTACAAATAAGATTTGTCTGCTGTTTTCATTGAAGGTAACACAGTTGTGACTTGTCCAAGACCCAAGACCTACAAAAAAAAAGAGAAAAACAAACTAATAAACTGCTTTTGATATTGTTACTGACAAGAAACACAAAATACCACTAAGCAGGTGATAGGTAAGCAACTTAATCTTCACTAGTATTCAATCATTGGTGCTTTCCCCTAAAACAGAACACCTTAAAAAGGTACTTGTCAGCACAGAAAAAATAAATGATGCATATAAAATGTACCATTTGTTTACTGTTGTCATTATTGGTTTTTTTCCAAGAAGTTTATGTTGTTTCAGCTAATCAAGTGAGATGACATTATTTTCTTTTGTGGATTTTTTTATTCATTAAAAAAAGCTCTTTTATGTAGGGGATCTGAATACTAGTCAAATGAGGTGTCCAACAGTACACTGGCTTGGTTCTTAGAACAGTAAACAACTTTGGAACACAAGATCTTTCCAAAAGATCCATTTTATAGATTGCGATTACTGAAGTTAGTTTCCATATAATCTCAATAATCTATTTTAGTAATGGATAAAATGTATAATCTCACCACAAAATCAAAATCTGCTGCTTATCATGCTAATGTGACATTTATGAGTCATCACCATGGTTTCCAGTTCAAAGTCCCTCAAAGCCTTAAGACTTGGTCAATGAAAAGTGAGACTCATAAGCATGCAACTCTTAATTTTTGAAAAGACTTCCTTAAAAAATAAAAGAAAACCCCAAGGAGAAATATTTTTGGCAGTGGAAATGTAGCAAATGTATCACTTGCAGAGAGAGACTCAAATGATAACTATGTTTGATTTCTATATATTTAGTAATTTGATCATTGGTGAGTAATAGAGTGTTTTACATGGAAAAGTATATTTACTTAAAATGTTTGATATGTCCTCCATAGTTTATTTTATAACTAACACCAAGCTAAGCAAAAACTTTCCACTACTTTCTACCCAGAAATTCTTTTCTTTGTGATATTATTATTGTATTCTCAAGATTGCTTTTGTTCAATAACAGTCTAGGCTGTCTAAAGTTTGCAGTCATTTGGGGATCCTATATAGAACAATTGGTTCTGGACAAAATGCTGTCCCTGAAAGCAAAAGGGTTGAGCCACAGTGCCCAAATGGAGCAGAGTAGAACTGTAACGAGAGGTAATTTACTCCATAGCACAGGCCAGTTAACCAGAGCCCAATATCCAGCAGTGAGAGGGTAGCAAACACAGGGTCTTCATTTCAGTCATCTGACAGTCATTTTAAAGGTGCCTATTAATTTGTTGATTATGCATTGTTATCTTAAAATAATCGGTCTAGTTCATACATTGTCAGCAGGGACAATATCACCTTCAATTTGTCCTTGGGGACAAATTTGTCCTTGGGGAATGAATTTGTCCTTGGGGAATGAAAAATTTTCAATTTTTAAATGTGTAAAGCACAGATATACAATATATCTGTGGTATAAGAATTTCATGGGAGGGGCAGTGGGTAGGAAAATGTCTAAAAATGTCTCTTTAAGTGGGCAATAATGAAAAAAAACACAGCTCCAGTTTCATTCAAAGGGATTGATTGACAATATCTATATTTGTACCCCTCAGGAAGATAACCATAATTGCAAAGTTGTCAATAGTGTTTCAGTGTGGCAACTGCTTCTATTATTGGGTTTCTTTAATTCTTTCTTTGGTCCCTATTCTGCTAGGTTGGCTTCCACTGCTTAGCGTCATGTGATAGATAGCAATAGGTCAAATTAGCTTGCTGTAAACTTACATAATCATGAATTGACTTCAGAGATACTTTAATCACTCAACTTTTAAAGTCAAATATTTGTAACTTTATTTAAACTCATTTTAACAGATAATAAAACATGTAGTATTATAGAAATATATTTAATAAAATTCTCATATTCTCCCTATGCCATCTGGATGTTAGTTATTTAACAGGTATTTCTTAGGCAATGATTACATGCAATGTACAGAGGTTCAGCAGTTTCCCCCCTGCCCTCATGAAGAGGTGAAATGAGCTTTAAAGTGCTAATTACTAAAATTAGTAATTTAATTACAATTCTTATAATGCTTATAACGATGCAAGAGTGAAAACTCAAATACGTTATATGGAAGAGCATTGTTAAAGCAAACTAAATATGGCCTGAGAAGGACTCCGTACTTCTATATCTGAGTCCTTGTGGACAAACTGCCACCTAACTTAATAGGCAGACAAAACTGAAAATCTAATTTAGGAGTATGCACCTGTAACAATAGCTGAGTCTTGGCCAGTCCTAGCGGCCGTACTTCAACCATTCATACAGTGCTGAGTGTTCAAACTGTGTTCAAATAAGGCATATGCCAAGCTGTAATCAATCCAGCTGTTCTGTACCTCACTTCCGATTTCTGTGTGTCATTTTCTTTTCTTTCTTTTTTTTTTTAGTCTATAAATCTTCTTCCACCACATCGCTGCGTTGGAGTCTCTTTGAATCTGCTGTGATTCTGGGGGCTGCCTGATTGGCGAATCATTCATTGCTCAATTAAACTCCTTTAAATTTAATTCGGCTGAAGTTTTTCTTTTATCAGCATGTATCATTCGGAACCAGCATTGCTGGAGGACAAGGAGAACCTACTTTATGGAGAAAAAATCCTGCTGAGATCTAAAGGGTGCAAAGGCATGGGGAGGAAGATGGGAGGACAGAGGAGGAAACATGAGTGGGGATTCTGAGCAGGAATGACCTTGTGTCTGTGGAGGATCTAACAGGACTGGTGTGGTTGGAGAGAGAGGAACTGGGGGTGATCTGGGTGGGAATGAGGCTGGATGACGGCAGGCCAGATAACATAGGATTTTTGTGGGCTGTCCTAAGGATTTGGGGAAATATTCAGACAGAAATAGAAGGTGATTTTAGAGCTTGAAGTAACAGTGAATTAATGTGACGAGCATGTTGATATGCCTTCTGACTGCATCGTGGAATTTCATTTGGAGGAAAGTGAGTATGGGTGTGGGAAGCAGTAAGGCTTTTGCAGGAACCCAGTAGGGTGGCTGCAGTAGAGATGAAATAATAATTAGAAACTGGTGATTGACTAGATAGAGGAGCGAGGAAGAAAGAAGTACAAAATAAGAGGCTTGGGTTCCTAC
The DNA here is from genome assembly GCF_000001405.40 of Homo sapiens. Lineage (NCBI taxonomy): Eukaryota > Metazoa > Chordata > Mammalia > Primates > Hominidae > Homo > Homo sapiens. The sequence continues at coordinate 224,246,711 of NC_000002.12, read as the reverse complement.
TTGCGCAGCCAGCTGGGTGGATAGTGCCGCCATTGTCCTGGGATGGCGTACACTGGAAGAAAACCAGATTTAGGAAGGCCAAGATCAGGGCTGTGATGGGGAGCAGGGCAGGGGAGAGAGCTTAGGAACCCAGTTCTGAATACATTGAGCCTGAGGTGCCTGTGAGATATTCCGGTGGAAGAGCTGGGTTGGCAATCGGGTAGATCATTTGCCTAGATTTAGAAGAGAGACAAGACCTAAGATGGGGATAAAATTTGAGGTGTCTAATTGGACAATTGGATGCCCAGGCATGGATGAGATAGTCTTGGAAATGGTTATCAAAGAAGAAGACAATTGGGCCTAGCAGTGAGCCTTGTATTACTCCAACATTAAAAGTCCAGCATAACAGACTGAGGGTGGGCGGGGAGTTTGCTGGAGAGCCAAGACAGTGCTGTGTCACCAGGAAAGAGAATATTACAGGACGGTGGGAATGGATTGAGTGGAAGGTTACTGGGATTCCAAATGACATGAGAATGGCAAAACAGCCGTTGGATTTGCTGACCCGGTCCTTCTCAGTGAGAATGATTCAGGTGGAGTCAGTGGAAATGTGGTTAAGTACACTGAGATGTAGAAGTTGAGGAAACAGAAACAGCTTTCATAGACACCTCAACCATGAGGGGTAGAGAGGGGAAGAACAACTATTGGAGAAGGAAGTTGAGTTAAGGAGGAAGACCCCGCTGTAGAGGATGTGCCTGCACATGGGACACCAGAGTCTTCGTGGTTGGAGAGACACATTCCTATTATACAGAAGGGGAGAATGAGGATGAGGATGAGGGAAAATGAAGCAGGTGTATAGACTTGGCCACAGAAATTTGAGAAAGTTTCTAGGTTGGAAATATCATTCTTACAAATATGCAGCCAAAATGCAAAACTCTCTCAAATTCCTGTTACATAGTCCTTAAACTTGCCTATATCTTATCTTTGGACAATGCACAGACAGCTAACCAGTATCCCTCACCCACTCTTACCTCTTACTGCACCTGACTCAACAAGTTCTCTCCCTCTCACTTTTATAAAAAGGAAGAAGTCATTTGGTTGCCTAATGAAAAGAAAAAGAGGCAGTATCATGCTTGTATCTTCCACAGACGAGGTCCTAACATAAATTCTTGGTGGGGAAGGTTAAGGCCTTATCCAAAGCTCATAATGGTTTTCCTCCTTTTGGCTCAGGGACTACAAGTCAGTGCCAAGAAAAATCTCATGCCCCTTCTTGTTTTTGCAGAGCACACAACATAAATGTAAACCCAACAGTAACAAGACTGACACTTTGTTCTCCCTTTTTCTTTCCTCTTCATAGATGCCAAGGATTAGATCACTTCATAATGGAAAATTACAATTCCTTTAGGGATTAATTCAATTGAAATGTCAAAGAGCTGGGTGGGGAGGGTTTTTTCAGCACCTCAACTCAAAAGAGAAGAAATGTTATTTAAATAGGTTCATATTTCATGTCTGGAGGGCAGGAAGCTTTAAGGTTTAAAGGGGTTACTGGGGCTTCCTGGAAATTCCAGGCTTGAATAGATTTTCCAGTTGTCTGCTCTCTCTTCTTCTTGCACTTTTCCCACCAAGATGCGTTATATAATGTTCAGATGTGCGTCACACTCTTAGGGACATACCCTGGTCAGGTGTATTCACTATGGCTGTGACGTGGACTCATGTAAGTCCTGCACCTTTGCTGTGACTACCATTTCTGTCTCACTCCAGAAAGATTATCATAGTTCAAGAGCAAGTGATGCATATTAACATAATAGAAGTCTTGATGTCAGCTCAAAATAGCGCACATTATGTATTATAAATTGTATATGTTATTCACAAACTATAGGATTATGTTAAAATGGTGAGTGCACAATACTTAGTATGAAGCCTGGCTCATAGTAAGTGCTCACTAAATGGTGATCCTGAAGAAGGAAAGTCAAATGGCTTGAAGAGCCATCAAGGTGAACCAACAACACTATGGAACTTTTAATATCCTGCTTCAGAATCAGTGTCTAACACTCAGTTTTAATGACTGCACATATTTTTAGATGGAGGTAATTTTGTATCCAGGCATCATTTATTCCTGCACTGCCAATAAAAGTATAATGTGGGTGCTATATATTTGAATGACATATATAATTTAAATTTTTCTGGTAGTCACACAAAACAGGTGACACACACAAAACAGGTGAAGTTAACTTTAATAATATATTTTCATTGGACCCAATATATTAAAATTGTCCTCATTTTAACATGTAATTAATATAAAAGGCTTATTAACAAGATATTTATATCTTTTTTCATGCTAAGTATCCAAAATCTGGTGCATTTTTACTTACAGCACATCTCAATTTGTAAGAGCCATATTCCAAGTGCTTCATTGCCACTTGGGGCACGTGGTTACCTTATCCAATATGCTGGCTTACAACTTCATGTGTATAATCTCATTTAATCCTCTGCTCAGTCAAGGGTAGTTATACTTTTCCCATTTTACAGATGCAGAAAGTGATCATAAAGTTAATTCTACTGATCTAAGAATCACCATATAGTAAGCGGTAGGATTAAAACCCAAACCCAGATAGTCTCACTGGAAGTCCTGTTCTTTAAACACCATGCCATATGCCTTCAAGTTGTTTAGAGACATGGATTCTTATACTTTCAAAAAGATCTTGAAAATATGAGAAGGCATTCCTTTTCTTTCTTTCTTTTCCTCTTCCTAGCCTCTGGTTGCTGGAATTCTCAGCCTTCCTTGGCTGGCAGCTGCAACACTCGATGCTCGGCCTCTGTCCTCACTGGTCCCCCTTCCCTCTGTGTGAGCCTCTGTGTGTCTACTTATAAAGACATCAGCCATACTGGATTTAAGGCTCACTCTACTCCAGCGTGACCTCATCTTAAATAATTATGTCTGCAAAGACCTCGTTGCCAAATAAATTCACATTCTGAGGTTTCAGGTAGATGTGAAGTTTGGGGGGATGCTATTCAACCCAGTACAAGTGTCTACTTTTATCAGATGCTCTCCTGGGCACTAGGAGTGTACAGGTAATGGAGATGTGCACAGTCCCTGCCCTCCAGGAGCAGTCATGTGTGGAGACAGGAGACAGACATTGATCAAATAACCACACAGACACTTTCCTGGGTAACATATGTCTAAACAGAATTGAGAAGGAGGGGAGCAGGTTAGCCTCGTCCTTTAGGAAGCAAACTCCTTCATCACTGGGACCAAATCTTACTCATTGTTGACTCCCTGGTGCCTGGTACATTGTTGATGTTCAGAGACTGAGTACGAAGGAAAAATGCTAATCAACTCATTATAGAAACAAAGTTAAAAGAACTTGGCAAGAAGGTCAAAGACTTATTTGAGATTATTCATGTTGGCTGAAGACAAAGACGACTTATTTCTAACTAGAGAAAATGTCAAGCCCTCAGCCAACTTTTGTGGATAAATAAGTCTTATTTACATCGCTTCCATTTCAGTCCATCTTTCTTGTTCCATTTGCGATTGGTCTTGCATTCAATTAGTTTTTTGATGCTCATTGAGAATACAGTTATCTGGCTCATTATATTAAACAATAATAAAATTAGAATAATAAACTTCTTCCTCTCTTATGAGTTTATTGTATATTCTTGGATATTCATAATTGCAGTATATTTCAGTATTTTATTTTGGATGTTTAAACTCACCCATTGGACCAATTAGGTGCTATTAGGTGGTAAGGGCAATTCAGTGATTGAGGATCTTAATTTTTGTCTAGGGGCCAAGAGGAACAAAGTGAAGCTGGAGTTGCAATGGTAAAGAAGCAGTAGTTACTCATCAGGGAGAGAAAAATATTTTGTTACTTTTGTGATTGCATGGCTTCCTTGATTCTGTCCATGTTCAGATATGATTAGAGAGTGGTCTTATTTGGGCTTGGTTTTATCACAGTCATGGTATGACCTCATGTGATGTTGAAATTCTGTGAAATTGTTTATGTTTATAGGGAACACTGTGGGTCATTACCAGCTGTCAGTTTTCAGAGCCTTTGTTTATCTTCAGTAGACGCCTCCACCCTGTCAGGGAGTCATTTTCATTAGGTTCTTGTTTATCCTTCCAGTATTTCTTTTTTTTTTTTTTTCAAATACAGTCATGTATGTTCTTATTTCTCCCATTATAAACAAAAGGTAGCATACTACATACAGTGTTCTACAACTTGCTTGTTTTTCTTTAGAATATAAGCTAGAGATCTTTCTGTATCCGTACACAAAATTCTCACCCTACTTTTTTTATGGGTGCATAGTACTCCATTGTCTGGGTGCATCATAGTTATTACAGAATTTTGGCACCTTAACAGCAAATACCTTCTGATTCAGGACAGGCAAGCCCCAGAGTTGATGCTTAGCTGGAGAGAGTTCTTGGCTTTGCCCAGGAAAGAATTCAAGAGAAAACTGGCGGTGTTTGCAACTTTTATTGAAGTAGCAGTGTATAGCAGGAGCAGAGGTATTATTTCCTGCAGTGCAGGGCTACCCCATAGGCAGTGTGCCCAGAGGAACAGCTCAGAGGCAGTTCTGCAGTCATATTTATACCCATTTTTAATTATATGCAAATTAAAGGATAAATTATTAAGAAATTTCTAGAAAAAGGTACATTGTCGTAACTTCTGGGTTATCAGGTCGTTGCCATGGTAAGGGGTGGTAACTTCCAGGTGTTGCCATGACAATGGTAAACTGACAGGGCACACTTGGCGCACATGTCTTAGGAAGAGGTGCTTTTGCCTCTTCCCTGTTTTAGTTAGTCCTCAGTCTGGTGTGGTGTCTGAAGCCTGCCTCTGGAGTTGAGTCCTGCCTCCTACCTCACTTGTACCTCTAAAATAACAGCATGGATAGATTCTTATGTGTAAAATGCTGAGCTTACATTTGACAAGCATTTGCAATGTAGACCGGAGTCAGGACAGATGTGACACTCTAGCAAGCTGGCTTGTATTCTTGGTTCCACCAGCAATTTCCTTGACAAGTTGCTTAAAGTTTCTGAGCCTCAGTTTTACATCTGTAAAAATACAGGGTTGACAAATATTGGAAGCCTAGTCAAATTTCATCCTTTTGATCTTACTCTCATAGCAGGTAGATGTTTAACAACCCACTTTCCAGAAGAAACAAAGACCTGATCTGTAATGTTTGCTGACTTTCATGGTGTGAATACTGTCAGCATGACCAAAATCTCAAGCCACTAACAATTTAATAGTTTTCAAAATTTCCAAAAATTTAACAATTGGAAAAAATGTCCTAAAATGAGGCTCACTGACATTCAGACATTGTAACCTCCTCAGATAAAAGGTATATCCTACACACTTATCACACTTAGAAAAAATAAAAGAAAACTAAAGAACATTATCCTCTAAGTCTACTATCTTAAACATTTCCTGAAGTTTTCATTAATTTGTAGCATAGGAGTCCTTAGGAACAAACAGTAATTCACTTTAATAACTATAATATATTACCCAATCTTTATCTACAAAGAAATTTACTTCATTGGGTCAAAGTTTGTTGTATTAGTATACTATTTAATCCTGAGTCTTAACTATTGCTGTACATTTTAATCAGCTTTTGACACTTACTGCCAGCCAGGCCCCACCCCAGACTAATAAAGCAGAATTTCAGAAGAGTGGGGCTCAGACACTGGTTTGTTTTAAAAGTGTTCCAGGTGATTCTAATGTGCCCCCAGCGTTAAGGACAACTGGCCTTTGGATACTTGGTATATAGGTCTTCTGATACTTGCCTTTCTTTCTCTTTTTAAGTGAAGGACACTGTGCAGATACGTGTTCCCATACAGATACGATTCAGCTAAACTAACTCAAGTGCAACAAAAAATCTTCAAGATTATAAAAACATAGCTAATATGATTGATCTCTCTGAAAAATAAATTCAACGGAACTCAAAATCTGACCTCGCATTTTATTCCTCAAATGTAAAATCTACTGCAAGAGTAAAATGAGAGGAAATCCAAATGTCTAACTCCTCTCTGTGAGATTTAAGTTTGTTTTGTTTTAAAGAAAGGTCATTTTGTTCCTCCTCTTTTTTTTTTTTTTTTTTTTTTTTTTTTTTGCTGGCCTTGGGAAGCAGCCGACCATCCCAGCACACAAGAAATTAATTACCCTGGAGGGCCAGGTGCAACCAGTTAGTTGGTTGCTATGGGGACAGAAGCTATACATCTTGGACTTTTCAGGATAGTTTCTTATTTCATGAAATCTTATTCTTTTCATAAGGGCCATTCATAAAAATATAAATGTAAGTGTGATTTGATTACTCTTACATATGCATTAGTACATAAACAGGAAAAAATACATTGCCAAATAATAAGCCCTCATATTTGTAAAGAAAACTTAAGACTAGATACAACTTGAGTGAATTAGTGGTTTTTTTTTTTTTTTGAGACGGAGTCTTGCTCTGTCACCCAGGCTGGAGTGCAATGATGCAATCTTGGCTCACTGCAAGCTCTGCCTCCCAGCTTCACACCATGCTCCTGCCTCAGCCTCCTGAGTAGCTGGGATTACAGGTGCCCGCCACCATGCCCAGCTAATTTTGTATTTTTAGTAGAGATGGGGTTTCACCGGGTTAGCCAGGATGGTCTCGATCTCCTGACCTTGTGATCCACCCATCTCCCAAAGTGCTGGGATTACAGGCGTGAGCCACCGCACCCGGCCCAAGTGAATTAGTTTTTCAAAGATCTAAGACATTTTGAAATTCTGTCGGAGAAACTAGAAAAATAAACTTTTCTGGAGTCTTCTGGCACTTAAAGCACAGGGCTGCTGTGCCTGATATGAGTTAAAGTTAAGCCCAACATGTGAGATGCATCAGTTCTCATCCAAGAAGATTTCATTATAAATTCCGTTCAACTAAACTTATTTCCAGTTCTCCTGAAGAGACCCAAGGTAGGGCTGCATCTTTAAAACTTAATTAAAAATGGTAGTGTTTTTTTCTTAAGAAGACATGTTAAAACTCATTATTCAAATAGCGTTTGAGTGATTTCATACAATTAAACAACATTGGTACTGTTTTTTAGTTTTGACAAATGTACCATAGTTATTAGTGTTAAGATGTTAGCATTAGGAGAAAGTATGTGAGGAGTAGATGGGAAATGTCTGTATTGCCTTTGCAATTTTTCTGTAAACATAAAATTATTAGGTTGGTGCAAAAGTAATTGAGGTTTTTGCCATTGAAAGTAATGGCAAGAACCGAAATTACTTTTGCACCAACCTAATATTCCAAAGTAGAGTCTATTAGTGAGTAAGGTGTGGTCATTAACTTGTAGTAGATGAATTTATTATAGTGGACACTGATAATTGTTATATCGATTATGTTAAATTGGCAATGGAAATAACGGTGAAATTTTGGGAATCTGACTGCGATTTCATGCTGAATTTTAAGCATATTCTAATGAATAATCCAAACCTACAGTTTTTGAACCATTTTTACCCTCTATGTGCATCATCTATAACTCTAGAAATGTCATAACTTTCATTTTGAACAAACCACTGTAGAGATTTAAATGACAGCATTAGCTATCTGTGATGCACTAAATTTCTTTGAATGTCTGATACACTGATGTTGTACATAATTTACTGGAGGCCAAATATTTTCATATTCTTTTATTAAGTCAATCCCATTTGATATTTGAATGACATGTTTGCAATAAACTCTTATTTGTTGTCATTTAAAAAATTTTTTGCTTTGTTTTTCTTCAACTTCTCTGTGCAAAAAATGGTTAAGAAGATATGTGCTTTAATGGGTTGAAATATCTGCTAGTTCTAACTACCTCTTTGCCAAATATTGTAGAGAAACCTAGGAAGTGTCAGTGCTTTCTCTTCCTTTGGATATGTGTTAAGATTTATTTTATAATTCATATTTAATATCAAATGACATTGTGTCTAGAAAAGCCCTTGGCACATAGTAAATGCTAATATATATTTATTATATGAAGAAATAAATTAAATAGTTACATTTAATGTTTTCATATTTAGCTTCTTTCAAACAAAATTTACTTGAGGATATAGACCTAGTTTATTTACAGGAAAGTTTATTCCTCACTGTATATTTATCAAAGTCCCACAAAGGGCAACCCAATTGAGTACATGTCATATCACCAATATACAACTTCCAAATTATAGAACCAATTTAGCTTGTGTTTAGCTCAGAGTTTGTAACCCTATGAGTTTTGTACTTTTTAAATTCTTTTCCTTTTGACCTGGACTTCAGCACTAACTCCATAGAGACTGAGTTAAACATAGCTTCCAATTTTCAATATATAAGAGAGATGAAAGTTTAAGATTCTTAATATATAAAGTAATTTAAAAATCAATAAAAAGGCACTTCTGGTCAAGATGGAGTGACATAGACTGGATTTACCTTCCAGCCTGAAATAACCAAAATGCCGGAAAAAAATAAATGAAACAAAGCTTTTAAAGACTTTAGACATCAAGCAACAAAGGACAGTGGTCCTTGAAAAACAGGAAACAATTGAGGTGAGACCCATGATAACCCCAGCTTACCGCCTAGATGGAGATTTCAGGAATCAGCACAGGGAGGGGAAACTGAAAGAGAGCCCAGAGGTCTTACCTGGGTCCACCTGAGTTGAGGAATTACAGACAAGAGCCTGGGTAGGTCTTGGCCTGAAATTCCAGGGCAGAGTACCAGAAAAGAGAGAGCAGCACAGGGAGAGAAACTGAACGATCTCCAGAGGGTCTCTCTTCAGAATACAGAGCAGGGCCTATATGTGAGGAAATTACCTGAAATCAGGAAAAGAGCCACCTGACAGGATATAGAGGAAACACTGCCTGTTTTCATACAGCTGGGAATAGTTCATGTTCCAATGACTCAAAGTGGAAATCCTAAGAATTCATGGAGATTTACATAGAGTACTCAGAAGGCTTTTGCTTCAGTAAAATTACTAAATTACTAAATTAAAATTACTAAAAATAGACCTCAGCAGTTGGCAAAAATTAGACCAAGACTACTTGGAACTTTCTGACAAACCTTAAAAGCAAGATCTGAAATGATTAAAAACTGTTTTCAAGTAATTTATGCTTCAGACCAAAGCTCAAGGATATTTATAGGAATACAAAAATATCCAGCACCCAAGAAGTTAAAAATCAAAAAGACTGCTGTTTAATTAAGGCATGCTAAGAAGCAGGAAAACATGACCTGTAATGATAAAAAGAAATCAATTGACACCAGTCTAGAAATGACACACATGATAGAATATAGTAGACAAGGACATTAAAAGTTATTATGACTGTATTTCATATGTTCAAGAAGCAAGAAAAAAGGCTGGTCCTGAAAGATATAAAGACATGGATATGAAAAACATAAAAATCAAACTTCTAGAAATGGAAACTACAATATCTGGGGTAAAAAGCCTACTAGATGGGGTTCATAGCAGATTAGATATTGCCCAAGAAAAGATTACTGCTATAAACTGAATTGTGTCCTTCCACCTCAATTCATATATCAAAACGCTCACCCAGAATGTAATGGTATTTAGAGAAGAGGCCTTTGGAAGATAATTAGAGTTAAATAAAGTCATGAGGATTGGGGCTTCATGATGTGATTAGTACCCTTATGAGAAGAGGAAGAGAGGGCGATTACTTGCTCTTTGCCATGTGTGGATACAGTGAGAAGATAGCTGTTTGCAAGCCAGGAAGAGGGCCTCCATCAGGAACTGAGTTGGCTTCCCAGCCTCCAAAACTGTGAGAAATACATGTCTGTGGTTTAAGCCACCTAGTAACCTGGGCTGACTAAAATAATTAGTAAATTTGAAAACATAGCAAAGAAACTATCCAAATGAAACACAGAGATAAGAAAAAAAAATGTAATGAAAGAGAGTCTAAGTGAACTATGGGACATGTTTAAGTGTGTGTGTATATATATACACATACATACATATATACATATGTATATATATACACACATGTGTATATATACACATATGTATATATACACATGTGTGTATATATATACATATGTGTGTATATATACATATGTGTATACATATATATATACACACACACATACAATTAGAGTCCGTGTGGGAGACAGAGGAGCACAGAAAAAATATTTGAAAAGTAATGGCTGAAAACTTTTCAAATTTGTTATAAACCATAAATATGTATATTTGAGAAGTTCAGCAAACCCCAGGAAAATAACTTGAAGAAAAATGTAAGGTACATCATAACCATATTGCTGAACACTAGTGAGAAAGATAAATCTTAACAGCAGCCAGAGGAAAAAAGATACATAACAGAAACAGAAACAAGGTTAAGGATGATGGCAAATTCTCACCAGAAACAATTCAAACCAGAAGACAGTGCACTTTGTTTAATGTACTGAAAGAAAAAAGTATGTCAACTTAGAATTCTGTACCCAGTGAAATTATCTTCCAAAAATCAAGGCAAAACAAAAACATCTTAAGACACAAAAACTGAAAGAAGTAATCACCAGCAGACCAACAATAAATAAATGTTGAAGCAATCCTTCACGCAGAATAAAAATGATACCAAATGAAAATCTGATCTGAATAAAAAAATGTAAACAAAGAACACTAAAAATGGTAACAAAAGAACACTAAATCCAATATTTATGAGAATGAAGATGAAAGTCATTTTTAAATTATTGAAGACTTTTTAAAAGATAATTGTTGGCTGGGCGCATGGCTCATGCCTATAATCCCAGAGCTTTGGGAGGCCGAGGCGGATGGATCACAAGATCAAGAGATTGAGACCATCCTGGCCAACATGGTGAAACCCCATCTCTACTAAAAATACAAAAATTAGCCAGGCATGGTGGCGCCTGCCTATAATTCCAGCTACTTGAGAGGCTGAGGCAGGAGAATCGCTTGAACCCGGGAGGCGGAGGTTGCAGTGAGACAAGATGGCGCCACTGCACTCCAGCCTGGGGAGGGAGCGAGACTCCATCTCAAAAAATAAAAAATAAATAAAAATAACTGTCTAGAGAAAAAATAATAAAATAATAACAATATATGTGAAGCTGTTATATGTTATATACATAGGAGAAAAATGTATGACAAAGATAGCACAAAGGCCAGGAGGGGAGAAATATTCTAAATTTCTCATACAATATGTGAAGTAAAGGACGTATACTATAAATCTTAAAACAATTACTGTAACAACACAAGAAAGTTACAGCTAATAAGCCAACAAAGGGGATTAAATTGAATCGTTAGAAATAATGAGTGCAATAGAAGAGAGGAAAAAGAGGAAAAATGACAGAAGGAAAAAATAGAAAACAAGTGCAAGATGGTAGATTCAAACCTCAACTATATCAATCATAATATTAAATGTAGGTGGTATAGCACCAGAATGAAGAGGCAGAGATTGTCAGATAGGATTAAAAAGTAAGGCCCAACTTAGTCCAACAAGAACACTTAATGATTCTAAATATATATGTACCCAACATTGCAGCACCCAGATTTATAAAACAAGTTCTTAGAGATTTATGAAGAGATTTAGTCAACCGCACAATAATACTGCAGGACTTTGACACTGCACTGACAGTGTTAGACAGACCATTGAGGCAGAAAACTAACAAAGATATTCTAAGCTTAAAGTTGACATGACCAATTGAACCTAATAGACATCTACAGAGCACTCCACCCCACAACAAAATATACATCCTCCTCATTTGCACACAGCACATACTCTAAGACTGACCACAAGTTTGTTTACAAAGCAAGTCTAAACAAATTCAAAAAAACAGAAATCGTATCAAACACACTCTCAGACCATGGCACAAGAAAAATAGAAATCAATAGCAAGAAGATCCATCAAAACCATACAATAACATGGAAGTTAAACAACTTGCTCCTGAATGACTTTTCAGAATACAATTAAGGCAGAATTTTAAAAAATTCTTTGAATCTAATGAAAACAGACACACAACATACCAGAATCTTTGGGACACGACTAAAATGGTGCTAAGAGGAAAGTTTATAGTGCTAAACACTTACATCAAGAAGTTAGAAAGATCTCAAATTAGCAACCTAACATCACACCTAGAGTAACTAGCAAACCAAGAGCAAACCAATCCCAAAACTAGCAGCAGAAAAAAAAAAATCATAACTAAACTGAATGAAACTGAGATGTAAAAATAGATACAAAAGCTCAACAAAACCAAAAGTTAGCCATTCAAAAGAGTAAACAACATTGATAGACCACTAGCTATATTAATAAAGAAAAAACAGAGGAGATCTACATAAACACTATCAGAAATGGCAAAGACAACTTTACAACTGACCCCCCAAAAATACAAAAGATCCTCAGAGATTATTATAAACACCCCTATGCACACAAACTAGAACACCTAAAAGAAATGGACAAATTTCTGTAAACACACAGTCTCCCAAGATCGAACCAGGAAGAAATTAAAATCCTGAACAGATCAATAGTAAATTTTGAAACTGAATCTGTAATAAAAGGCCTACCAAACAAAAAAGCCCTGAGCCAGACGGATTCACAACTGAATTCTGCCAGACATACAAGGAGCTAGTACCAATCCTACTAAAACTATTCAAAAAAATTGAGGGGGAAGAACTCTTCCCTAACTTATTCTATGAAGCCAGCATCATTCTAATACCAAAGCTTGGTAGAGACATAACGAAAAAAGAAACCTTCAGGCCAATATCTCTGATGAACATAGATGCAAAAATCTTTAACAAAATACTAGCAAACCAAATCCAGCAGCATATCAAATAGTTAATTCACCACAATCAAGTAGGCTTTATCCCTGGGATGCAAGGTTGGTTCGACACACACAAACCAGTGTGATTCACCATATAAAGAGAATTAAAAACAAAGATCACATGATCATCTCAAAAGATGCAAAAAGGCTTTCAATAAAATTCAACATCCATTTATGTTAAAAACCCTCAACAAATTAGGCATCAAAGGAACATACCTCAAAATAGTAAGAGCCATCTATGACAAACCCACAGCTAACATCATACTCAGAGACTATTATGAGATGTAAAATAATACTGGGGGAATGGCAAAAGCTGGAAGCATTCCCTTTGAGAACTGGAACAAGACAAGGATGCCCTTTCTCACCACTCCTATTCAACATAGTACTTGAAAGTCCTAGCCAGAACAGACAAAAGAAAGAAATGAAAGGCATCCAAGTAGGAAGAGAGGAAGTCAAACTATCTTTGCAGATGATATGATTCTATACCTAGAAAACCCTGCAGACTCCACCAGAAAGCTTATAAAACTGATAAACAACTTCAGTAAAATTTCTGGATACACAATCAATATGTAAAAATCAGTAGGATTTCTTTTTTTTCTTTTCTTTTCTTTCTTTTTTGAGATGGAGTTTCACTCTGTTGCCCAGGCTGGAGTGCAATGGCGAGATCTCGGCTCACTGCAACCTCCGCCTCCTGGGTTCAAGGGATTCTTCTGCTTCATCCTCCCAAGTAGGTGGGATTACAGGCATGTGCCACCATGCCTGGCTATTTTTTTTCTGTCTTTTTAGTAGAGACGGGGTTTCTCCATGTTGGTCAGGCTGGTCTCGAACTTCTGACCTCAGGTGATCTGCCCCCTTTGGCCTCCCAAAGTGCTGGGATTATAGGTATGAGCCACTGTGCCCGGCCCAATCAGTAGGATTTCTATACACCAATGACATTCAAGCTCAGAGCCAAATCAAGAATGCTAACCCATTCACAGTAGCCACAAAAATATAAAATACCTAGGAATACAGCTTACCAAGGAGGTGAAAGATCTCTACAATGAGAATTATAAAACATACTGAAAGAAATCTGGGATGACATGAATAAATGGAAAAATATTCCATGTTCATTCATCGAAAAAATCAATGTTGTTAAAATGGCCATACTACTCAAAGCAATTTAAAGATTCAATGCTATTCCCATCAAACTACCAATGACATATTCATAGAATTAGATAAAACTATTCTAAAATTTTAATGGAACCAAAAAAGCCCAAATATCCAAGGCAATCCTAAGCAAAAATAAAAAATTTGGAGCCACCACACTACCTGATTTCAAACTATACTACAAGGCTACAATAACCAAAACATCATGGTACTAGTACAAAAACAGACCAATAGAACAAGACAGAGAAAACAGAAAGTCACACACCTCTAACTGGCTGATCTTTGACAAAGTCAACAATAACAAGCATTGGGGAAAGGATTCAATAAATGGTGCTAGGATAACTGGCTAGTCGTATACAGAAGATTGAAACTGGACCCCTTCCCTACACCGTATAAAAAAATTAACTCAAGATGGATTAAAGACTTAAATGTAAGATGTAAAACAATAAAAACCCTAGAAGAAAACCTAGGAAATACCATTCTGGACATTGGCCTTGGTAAATAATTTATGACTAAGTCCCCAAAAGCAACTGCAACAAAAACAAAAATTGACAAGTGGGACATAATTAAACTAGAGAACTTCTGCATAGAAAAATAAACTATCAAGAGAGCAGACAGACAACCTACAGAATGGGAGTAAATATTTGCAAACTATACATTCATCAAAGATGTAATATCCACAATCTAAAAGAACCTTAAATCAGCAAGCAAAAACCAAATAACTCCATTTAAAAAATGGGCAAAGAGCATAAACAGACATTTCTCAAAGAAGAGATACATGCTGCCAAAAAATATATGAAAAATGCTCATCATCCCTACTTATTAGAGAAATGCAGATAAAAACCACAATGGGATGCCATCTCACATCAATTGAAAGGCTATTATTAAAAATTCAAAAAACAACAAATGCTGGTGAAGCTGCAAAGAAAAGGGAACACGTATACGCTACTGTTGGGAATGTAAATGAGTTTAGCCACTGTGGAAAGCAGAATGGAGATTTCTCAAAGAACTTAGAACTACCACTTGACCTAGCAATCTCACTATTGGTACATACCCAAAGGAAAATTAATACCAGAAAGACACATGCACTTGCATGTTCATTGAACATGAAATCAAGCAAGATGCCCATCAATGGTGGACAGAATAAAGATAATTTGGTACATAAACACCATGGAATACTATGCAGCCATAAAAAAGAATAAAATCATGCCCTTTGCAGCAACTTGGATGCAGCTGGAGGCCATTATCCTAAGCAAACAAATGCAGGAACAGAAAGCCAAATACTGCAATGTTCTCACTTACAAGTGAGAGGTAAATATTGAATACACACGGGCACAAAGATGGGAACAATAGGCATTGAGGACTGCTTGTGGGTGGAGGGTGGGAAGAAGACATGAATTTGAAAACTACCTACCAGGTACTATGCTTACTACATTAGTGATGGGATCATTTGTACATCAAGCCTTAGCGATATGCAATTTACCTATATAGCAAATCTGCAGATGTACCCCCAAACCTAAAATAAAAGTAGAAAAAAAAAGTAAGACCCAACTATGTGCTGCATATGTGAAACATACTTTAAATATAAGGACACAAATAGGTTAAAAGTAAAGAATGGAAAAAGATATATGGTGTTATATATAATTAACCTAAATAATCTAAATACTTAAAAATAGCAGATTGTTTAAATAATTATAGAATATTAATAAAATGGAATATTCTGCAGTTATTAACAATGTTGATGGAGAAGTATATTTATTGAATTTGAGAATAATTATGATCAATTAAGTGAACTGTGTGATATGAGAAATAATTGAGGAAAGTATTCCCAAAATATTGTGGGATTTTCATGCACATCTGTGTGAAGAGACCACCAAACAGGCTTTGTGTGAGCAATAAAGCTTTTAATCACCTGGGTGCAGGCGGGCTGAGTCCGAAAAGAAAGTCAGCGAAGGGAGATGGGGTAGGGCCGTTTTATAGGATTTGGGTAGGTAAAGGAATAAGGGGGGTTGTTCTCTGGCGGGCAGGAGTGGGGGGTCACAAGGTACTCAGTGGGGGAGCTTTTGAGCCAGGATGAGCCAGGAGAAGGAATTTCACAAGACAACATCATCAGTTAAGGCAGGAACAGGCCATTTTCACTTCTTTTGTGGTGGAATGTCATCAGTTAAGGCAGGAACCAGCGATCTGGATGTGTACGTGCAGGTCACAGGGGATATGATGGCTTAGCTTGGGCTCAGAGGCCTGACATTCCTGTCTTCTTATATTAACAACAAAAATAAAATGAAATAGTGGTAAAGTGTTGGGACAGTGAAAATTTTGGGGGATGGGATGGAGAGATAATGGGCGCTGTTTCTCAGGGCTGCTTTGAGCGGGATTAGGGGTGGCATGGCAACCTAGAGTGGGAGAGATTAAGCTGAAGGAAGATTTTGTGGTAAGGGGTGATATTGTGGTGTTGTTAGATGGAACATTTGTCATTTAGAATTATTGGTGATGGCCTGGATGCAGTTTTGTATGAATTGAAAAACTAAATGGAATAAGAGAAGGAGAAAAACAGGTATAAAAGGTCTAAGAATTGGGACGACTCAGGATATCTGATTAGAGAGTGCCTAAGGAGATTCAGCATAGTCCTGCCAGCAAAGATTATTTATTTACTTCAAGAGTTAAGAGTGGCAGTTTGGGGATAGCACCTGGAGATATCAGCTGTGATGGCTTGGAGAAACAGTGTAAACTGGCAGTGTAAACAAGAGCAGGGCTTGTATGAGTAGTTGAGAACGGTGAATAGGAGTATGACTAGATAGAAGATAGTAGGGATGACAAGTTTTTCTGGGGCACAGCCTAAGTTGGTCTGGTGTCTGGAATGAGACTGGGGCCTAATAAAAAGGAGCGTCTATACAGGAGCTCAAATGGGCTGTACCTTGTAGCATTCTGAGGACAGGCCTGAACTCTGAGAAGGGAAAGTGGTAAAAGTATTGCCCAGTCCTTTTTACATTGGTGGCTGAGCTTGGTGAGGTGCGTTTTTAAAAGACCTTTAGTCTGTTCTATTTTTCCTGAAGATGGAGGACCATAAGGGATATAAAGGTTTCACTGAATACTAAGAGCCTGAAAAACTGCTGGCTGATTTGACTAATAAAGGCTGGTCTGTTATCAGACTGTATAGAGGTGGGAAGGCCAAACTGAGGAATTATGTCTGACAGGAGGGAAGAAATGACTGTGGTGGCCTTCTCAGACCCTGTAGGAAAGGCCTGTACCTATCCAGTGAAAGTGTCTACCTAGATTAAGAGGTATTTTAGTTATCTGACTCGGGGCATGTTGAGTAAAGCTCATTTGCCAGTCCTGGGTGGGGGCAAATCCTCGAGTTTGATGCGTAGAGAAGGGAAGGGGCTGAATAATCCCTGAGGAGTAGTAGAATAGCAGATGGAACACTGAGAAGTTATTTCCTTGAGGATAGATTTCCACGATGGAAAGGAAATGAGAGGTTCTAAGAGGCGGGCTAGTGGCTTGTACTATAGCATAGCCTGCCTTTGCTGGTGTGTGGTGATTAGGCCTGGTGGAACCGCCATCAATAAATCAAGCGTGATCAGGGTGAGGAACAGGAAAGAAGGAAATATGGGGAAATGGGGTGAACGTCAGGTGGATCAGAGAGATACAGTCATGGGGGTCAGGTGTGGTATCAGGAATAATGTGGGAGGCCGGATTGAAGTCCGGGCCAGGAACAATGGTAATTGTGGGACTTAACAAAGAGTGAGTACAGCTGAAGGAGCCGGGGCTCAGAATGTATATGCATCAGGTATGAGGAAGAAAATAGATTTTGGAAGTTATGAGAAATGTAGAGAGTAAGTTGAGCATAGTTTGTGAGTTTGAGGGCCTCTAAAAGTATTAGGGCGGCAGCAGCTGCTGCACGGAGACATGAGGGCTAGGCTAAAACAGTAAGGTCAAGTTGTTTGGACAGAAAGGCTACAGGGTGCGGTCCTGGCTCTTGTGTAAAAATTCTGACCGCACTAACCATGCCTAGGAAGGAAAGGAGTTGTTGTTTTGTAAGGGATTGAGGTTTGGGAGAGTAATCGGACATGATCAGCAGGGAAAGCAGGTGTGTTTTTATGAGAATTATGCCAAGATAGGTAACAGATGAGGATGAAATTTGGGCTTGACTGAAGTAATGGGGGCTGTCTGTGAAGCCTTGCAACAGTACAGCCCAGGTAATTTGCTGAGCCTAATGGGTGTCAGGGTCAGTCTAAGTGAAAGCGAAGAGAGGCTGGGATGAAGGGTGCAAAGGAATAGTAAAGAAAGCATGTTTGAGATCCAGAACAGAATAATGGGTTGTAGAGGGAGGTATTGAGGATAGGAGAGTATATGGGTTTGGCACCACGGGGTGGATAGGCAAAACAATTTGGTTGATAAGGCGCAGATCCTGAACTAACCTGTAAATCTTCTCTGGTTCTAGGAAAGGTAAAATGGGGGAATTGTAAGGAGAGTTTATAGGCTTTAAAAGGCCATGCTGTAGCAGGCAAGTGATAGCAGGTTTTAATCCTTTTAAAGCATGCTGTGGAATGGGATCTTGGCATTGGGCGGAGTAAGGGTGATTAGATTTTAATGAGATGGTAAGGGGTGCATTATCGGTCGCCAAGGAGGGAGTAGAGATATCTTATACTTGTGGGTTAAGGTGGGGGGATAGAAGAGGAAGACACAAAGGAGGCTTTGGATTGGGAAGAAGGGCAGCAATGAGATGTAGCTGTAATCCAGGAATAGTCAGGGAAGCAGATAATTTAGTTAAAGTGTCTCAGCCTAATAAGGGAACTGGGCAGGTGGGAATAACTGAAAGGAGTGCTTAAAAGAGTATTGTCTAAGTTGGCACCAGAGTTGGGGAGTTTTAAGAGGTTTAGAAGCCTGGCTGTCAATACCCACAACAGTTATGGAGGCAAGGGAAACAGGCCCTTGAAAAGAAGGTAATGTGGAGTGAGTAGCCTCCGTATTGACTAAGAAGGGGACGGACTTACCTTCCACTGTGAGAGTTACCCAAAGCTCAGCGTCCGTGATGGTCTAGGGGGCTTCCGAGGTGATCGGGCAGCGTCAGTCTTCAGCCGCTAAGCCAAGAAGATCTGGGAAGGAGTCAGAGAGCCTTGGGCCAGAGTTCCAGGGGCTCTGGGAGTGGCTGCCAGGTGAGTTGGACAGTCCGATTTCCAATGGGGTCCTGCACAGATGGGACATGGCTTAGGAGGAATCCTGGGCTGCAGGCATTCCTTGGCCTGGTGGCCAGATTTCTGGCACTTGTAGCAAGCTCCTGGGAGAGGAGGCTCTGGAGGAATACCTGGCCACTGCGGTTCAGGCGTTTGGAAGTTCTTGTGTGCTGGAGATGTGGCTGGGGTTTGTCTCACAGTGGAGGCAAGGAATTGCAACTTTTTTCTATTATTGTACATC
Organism: Homo sapiens; assembly: GCF_000001405.40. Taxonomy (NCBI): domain Eukaryota; kingdom Metazoa; phylum Chordata; class Mammalia; order Primates; family Hominidae; genus Homo; species Homo sapiens. Next base: position 224,227,418 of record NC_000002.12, on the reverse strand, counting down.
TTGAAGGCGAGGTTAATTAAATCCTGTTGTGGGGTTTGAGGGCCGGAATTTAATTTTTGGAGTTTTATTTAATGTCGGGAGCAGATTGGGTAATAAAATGTATTTTGAGAATAAGACACCCTTTTGACCTTTTAGGGTCTAGGGCTGTAAAGCATTGTCTCAGGGTTGCTGCCAAAGGAATCATGAATTGGGCTGGATTTTTATATTTGATGAAAAAGAGCCTAAATGCTATCTGACTTGGGATAAAGAAAAAGGAGCATTAACCTTGACTATGCCTTTAGCTTCAGCCACCCTTTTAAGAGTAAATTGCTGGGCAGGTGGGGGAGGGCTAGTCATGGAATGAAACTGTAAGTGGGACCCGGTGTGAGGAGGGGAGGTGATAAAAGGATTATAGGGTGGAGGAGCGGAGGCTGAGGAAGAATTGGGACCTAGCTCAGCCTGGCGAGGAGCAGCCTGGGGAGGAGGGGAGAGGTCAGATGGGTCTGTAGAAAAGGAAGATTAGAAAGACTCAGCGACTCTTGGGATTGGGACTGAGGGGACAGGCGGGAGGGAAAGAAGGAAGATTTGGGACGAGTTGCACTGGGCACAGAGACTAGGGAGGGACCGATGTGTAAAAGAATGCCTGGACATCAGGCACCTCAGACTGTTTGCCTATTTTACGACAAGAATTATTTAGATCTTGCAGGATGGAAAAATTGAAAGTGCTGTTTTCTGGCTATTTGGAACTACTGTCGCATTTGTACTGGGGTCAAGCGGCATTGCAGAAGAAAATAAGATGCTTAGATTTTAGGTCAGGTGAGAGTTGAAGAGGTTTTAAGTTCTTAAGAACACAGGCTAAGGGAGAAGAAGGAGGAATGGAGGGTGGAAGGTTGCCAGTAGTGAAGGAGGCAAGCCCAGAGAAAAGAGAGTAGAGACACGGAGGGAAGGCGTTTGGGGGTTCTTACCCTCCAGAAAAGCACGAAAGGGGTTGAGACACAGAGATACAAGTTCGGGGCATGGAAATGAGGGATCGGGGCACAGAAATATAAGAGGTTGGGGCATGGAAATAAGGGATGGGGCACAGAGATATAAGGGGTTGGGGTACTTGTCCCTCCACCAGAAAAGTGGGACTTGCCCCTAAGGGTGAAGGAGAAGGGGATGGGGGTTTCTTGCCCCCCAGAAAGGTGGAGAAGGGGTAGAGACACGGAGAGAAGGGGTTGGGGTACTTGCCTCTTCCCCAGAAAAGCAGGACTTGATGCTAATGGTGAAGAACCAAGGCAGGCGTCCCTGCGTGGTCTGACACCACTGAAACCTGGGTGAATAATCAGAGAGGTGTCCCTGTAATGATTAAACACCAAGGGAAGGCTGCCTTCCCCAGTCCGTGACCGGCGCTGGAGTTTTGGGTCCAGGGATAAAACGTGTCTCCTTTGTCTCTACCAGAAAATGAAAGGAATTGAAATTAAGAGAAAGGAGAGGTTGAAGTGTGGTGCCAAGATTGAAAGGAGAAAGAGGTTGAGGGATAGTGAGGGAGGTTGGAGAAGAGAGTAAAAAGAGGCCGCTTACTGGATTTGAAATTGGTGAGATGTTTCTTGGGCTGGTTGGTCTGAGGACCTGAGGTCGTAGGTGGATCTTTCTCACGGAGCAAAGAACAGGAGGACAGGGGATTGATCTCCCAAGGGAGGTCCCCCGATCTGAGTCACGGCACCAAATTTCATGAGCGTCCGTGTGAAGAGACCACCAAACAGGCTTTGTGTGAGCAATAAAGCTGTTTATTTCACCTGGGTGCAGGTGGGCTGAGTCTGAAAAGAGAGTCAGCGAAGGGAGATGGGGTGGAGCCATTTTATAGGATTTGGGTAGGTAAAGGAAAAGGGGTTGTTCTCTGGCGGGCAGGAGTGGGGGTCACAAGGTACTCAGTGGGGGAGCTTTTGAGCCAGGATGAGCCAGGAAAAGGAATTTCACAAGACAATGTCATCAGTTAAGGCAGGAACAGGCCATTTTCACTTCTTTTGTGGTGGAATGTCATCAGTTAAGGCAGGAACCAGCGACCTGGATGTGTACGTGCAGGTCATAGGGGATATGATGGCTTAGCTTGGGCTCAGAGGCCTGACAGGGATTATCTCTGGATAATATAATTTTGAGTGATTTTATTGACTATGTATTGTGTTATTCATTATTAATAATAAATTTTGAAAATTATCTGCCAGACTGACAATTTGGCTCTGGCTTTCCCCTGACTATACCCCAAGTTATATATTTAGAAGGTGGATTATGCTTTTAGTGGTGCCCTTTGCTCTTTGGAAAACTTTTAGTTTTTTAAAAAATAAACTTTGGGATGATCAAAATATTTCTCTTTTACCCATCTGGCATCTTCCTGTCCCCACACTTGGATGATGATTATATCTCCTAAATCAATGTAGACCAATACTTCTCAATCTATTTGTGGTAAAAGACTTAAAAGAAGTCCCGTCTATCTTCAGCTTATTATTTTGGTCTATTTGTAACTGAATGAAACATTCCTATTTAGAGTGGATGCTTAGATATCATAGCAATATTAAATTGCGATAAAAGTTTCTTGATGCCTAGTCTTAGTTTCTTTACTAAGACTGGTAATAAACGGTTTGCCGACCACAACTTAAGTATGAACAACCATCATGGCACAGTGGATTGTTCCCCTAGTGGTTATAACTGATCTCAAGTAATTTACTGATCAATGACTCCTAAATTCAGTGTAAACTGAATTGATAGAGATTAGTAAGTGACACTAAGCTTAAAAACAAACCATAAAGAAGAAACTTGAAGTGGAATAGACTTGAATCTGTAGGAATTATGAGCATATTGTGAAGACTTAGATACTTGGAAATGCCACATATTAAGGCATTATTCCCTTTCACAATGGCTTGACATTTCTATAATTTTCACTTTTGGCATGTGTATTTTTTGTGTTAATATGAGTAACATAGCCAATTTAATTTACTTTAAATGTACGCTATAGAAAAGATGTTGCATTCTTGGGTTCAATTTTTATTTCCATCTGGAAGTCATTTTTGTTTTGAAGCAGTAGAATATATTCCATTTTAAGAAGAAAGTCAGTGGGAAAAAGTTTGCTATATAAAACCTTGCTTCACAGTTAACTTCCATATCTGTTCCACATATTGAGGTGCTTTTTTTTTTTTTGTATTCTTCTTCCAAGCTCTTACTATAGATTTGCAAAATGTTGAGGGTAGAAGAAAAGAAATACACACTCTCTCTGCTGAAGCAATTCAATGTTTTTATTTTTAATTACTTTCATAGGATTTCCTTAAAATAGTTCAATAAGAAATATTGTTGCCAATTCTGTTGTCCAATCTTACTAAGTAATATCAACATAGTTGGGCTAAATCTTATTTTTTTCCACGACACATAACTAATTCTCATTGCTGTTTCTATTGGCAGATGTTTCCCTTCTTAATCTGACTCTACATTTTATCTTCAAAGAATAAACATTCTTCTCTCTACTAAGAACATCAAGAGACAGAAAAGCATTTTTTAAAAAATTTCCTTTCCTTATAGTCAAAGCTAGAACCTCTCAGACTGCCAAAATGGTTTCCTCTTTCCCAAGTCAAATTTGTCAAAAAGTAAGACTTGTAGTTTTTCCTAAAAGTTTAGATAGTTAATTTAGGATTTACAAATCAATCAAATATTAAGTGCCAGGAATATTCATATGTAGCTAAAGGTGTACCGTAATCTTACAGCTGAAAGTGAGGTCAAAGGAAAGACATTGAAGCTAAATAATGGGAAACAAGATATTTCTGAACTTTTGCAAAGCTTCTCCCTCCCCAGTTTCATTAAGGAAAAATATATCTATAAAATCAAAGTCAAAAGATATTTCAAATTCTGAGGTTCAGACTGACAATGTTAGCATGCTTTGCTATGGTGGACTATTGAGAAGATATAAGTTACCTAATTAAGATCAAGTATGTAAATGCATCTCTACGGTATCCTGGCAATGGTTTAGACCATCAAGACTTTTGCAGTTTTCTGGTGCCTGATTAATCTGATGCGTAAGCTTTTTGCAATTTGTTCTTTATTGAAAATTGCACATCTTCCTCTTATTACAAAAATTGTTATAAATTCTATGTTAAAATACTTTTCTCATCTTTTTTCCTGCCTTCTAGTCTAACCAATCTAGTGTAAAGCATTCTGCTAAGTATTCCTTTTGCAAGCTTTCTGTTGATAAGTATTTTTCTCCAGCAAGATTCCTTCCAAAGGCTAATCATAGAATTGCTGACTAAAGGCATTTTTATAAATAATTTGCAGTGGTATTGGACTATGGTTTAGCTGTGGAGGGCGATCATATAATTTGGAGTTTCCACTAACATTGTCTTCCTTGTATGTGCACTCAAGGGTGTATCCTGATGTTTGAAAAATAGAAAATTAACAGAGCTGGGGAGGAGGAAGAAGCTGGAGAAAGAGGAGGAAGTGGAAAAAGTGGTGGGAGTCTTTCTCCCTGGCTGTGTCCAGTGAGTTATGGGATCGAGACAAAGCTACTACATTTCCCATCCCCATCTGCCTTCAAATAACTTTTAGCAACTGAGGACTGACAATAATATATTTAATTAGCTTTCTCTTCTTCATACCCAGAGGCAGTTTACTTCAGGCCCCCGTTATTTTCCCCCTGAATTCCTGCAATAGCCAGCAAACTGCTCTGCTTGCCCTGTGGCTTTGCCAGTCCTGCAACTCATCTCCTACCAGCTACCAGAAGGATTTTACTCATAGTGAATTTGATCATGCCTATCTCCCTGTTTAAGAATTCTTCAGAGAAGGGCCTCAGGATAAAGAACAATCTATTTTTATGCCATGGTAGCCCAAAGTGTGAACATGGTGAAGCTATGACCATATATTACAAATCCTAAGCACAGAAGCAACTCATTACTTCTGATCACACGGCAGTGGCTAGAATTTAATCACACGGTCACATTTATTTGCAAAGGAGGCTGGGAAATGTAGTCTATTACTGTGCCCAAATAAGATGAGAATGTATTTAGGAGGATAGTTAGCCTTCTCTGCCACAGCAGATTGTTTTAAAAAATCGCTAAGCAATCACAATAAATATTCATGAATACGGAATTTTTCTCACTAGCAGAAAAAAGAGAATTGACATTTATTGAATGTCTACCATGTGCTTAGCACAGTTTTTCTAGGAGAAATACTTGGTCTTATTCATCTTTCTACCTCCTGAACTTAGCAGATTGTCTAGCACACAGTAAACACTCCAAAAAAAAAAAAAAAAAAAACTACTAAACTGAACTTTATAAAAATGTGGAATTTTTTAAATATATGAATAACAGCAGGCTTTCATAATCTTGTTCATTTTTCCTTTTTTTCTGCATCTCCCCCTGATACTGCATTATTATTTTTTCTTTTGTTTTTCTTAGTTAAGCCTTAATTGTTAATGCTTTTCTACTGTCACTAATTAAAAGAAGCAGCTGACTTGAAGGTGAGGGTTGCTTACTATTCTTCAACAACTGTCTCAAACTGACTTCTAGTTGATTATTTCCTTACCAGAAAGGTGATTCAGACAAGTTCATGATTTTTATACATGTGATTGCTGATGACTAAGCATGGTTTTTCTGGGTTACTTCCTAAGGAGAGCATTTACCAGGAAAGTGCGAATTGATGCCCAAGTCATCACCCCTCTGGGCAAAGGAATTCCTTTCAAATTCCAAAGGAGCGTGTGCTGGCTCACTCCTTATTGTAAAAACAAATCACTGTTTAGAGTTGAAATGTGGCTCAAAGGCCTGGTTGATCCTGATCCGTTTTCTGTAGGAAGTGGGTGCGGGGAGGTGGGAGGAACGGCCTCATATCCCAGGAGGTTTAGTAACAGAAGTTGTATCTGTTGGGAACAAAGTGTCAAAGAAGAGAGGCTGCTGGTCTAGGAGGGAAAGGGCCTCCTCTGAGCCAGCCATGTGGGTCAGGTCAGTCCTGATGATCAATGAAGAGACTGCTGCCAAAGCCAGATCAACTTCTCATCCACAGTGGGGTGGGATTCTTCTGATGCACACAATCACGGTCACTTGGCAGCTGTAGAGCTAGCCCCAGTTTTACCCAAAATATTGCCAAGATCTCACTCATTGTTCCCCTCCCCAGCTTTTCTTGGGTCTGTGAAATGCTTATGCCATTTATAATCTTGCCCACGTTGTCTAGGTCTGGTCAGGAGAGGGCAGATTCCCAGGTTTCCCAGGCTGGGTGGTCCCAAAGTCTCCAGCAGCCACTCCCTCACTATCCGTGGATAGTGGGGTTTTTCTCTTCCTCCTCATGCTGTTAAGGTTGTAACTGGCATCTCCATGGACTGCTGAGGGCTCTTGAGTCCAGTGAGTGGGCAGAGCCAGCCAGGGTTTCCTTTGAACAAAGCTGGGATTCTCAAACCAGGGACACAGACATCAATTACCAGCCACTCTGGCCAAAGGTGCTAGTCTCTACCTCCTGCTCTTTTGATAGAAGCTCCCAAATTTCTCAGGACCAAAAAGATTCTCTAGAGACTTGTCTTTCTCAATTAGATTTTATCTACGGCAAATGCCATTTCCATAATAAGTTCTGGAACTGTCTCCAACTCCAAACTTCAATATTGAATGTCTATTTCCTTATGCTTTTCTAAGAATGACTTAGCATTGTCTCAAATGACTCATCAACAAGATGCCAACATTCTCTCTCATTTTCTCTCATCTTTGAGGCAAGAATCTCATAGAAGAGCAAATCTGTGTAAAGCTGGATTTAACTTTTTTCTGCACCTACACCCCGCCTTGGGGAACCCGGGAGCAGGGATTGAGGAGGTATTGCTTCCTCTGGTTGAGAATCATTGAGGAAAAACTGAGACAGGGAAGTAGGAAGTACTGAACTCTGAACTGTGTTCAGGAAACCAAATGACAATTTTGGAGGTGTCAACTCTGCAACAATTCTGGGCAGTTTACTGTTAAGAACTCAGGAAGAACTAGTGAGTCAAGTCATTATTTCAAGTTTCCAGTTGTAATTTTCTTAACTGCTTTATTTATACATGTTCCTCATGACTCCGGAGCCAGTTAATTCTATCTCTGAGTTATGTAGTAAATGTTCATCCAGCAGACAGGTTGCACATGACTCCCACTGGCCATGGAATCGAAGTGTTCCTGTCATCACTATTTTGGTTCCTGGGGTGACCTTAACTACCTTGTAAAAGCTGGACAAACTGTCTAGATTTGAAGTAATTGGTGATGAAATTGGTCAAACAATATTTAGGATGATATCATATCCGGAAAATCTCTTGCAAAAGAAAGTACTTTTAGAGGAAACACAAAAAGGAATTTTAAAAATACTATTTGGGTAATGCCCCTACGGGATTTTTTTTTGGCTAACAGGAAATGCATCTGAAAGTCGTTTCCCCTGACTGGGAAGGCCTGTGGGATGAATGAATGAGTCCTGCTGTTCTTCGGAATTACCTTACCATGGATGCTGGCATGCCACCCCAGCGGCACCCCAGGGCATCTGCCTAGATGAGTGGTTGTCACTTTTCTTCCCCAAGCCTGCCCTGGACCAAAGCTCTTCCTCAAATTTGTAAACTATGGAGTCACAGCATCATTGGTATTCATCATTCCTGCTGGCTTTTGCCCATGAGGGAAGGTCTCTGTCTTTAGTTTAACAAAGATCATTCCAGAGCAAGACTAGGAAGAAAGAGTGAGGCCTTCACATGGCATTAAATAGGCTTCCTTTCTCTGAGGAAACAAACACACAAACAAAGAACAAAATGAATTCAATAACTTTTAAAATTTTCAAATTACAAAGATTTGAAAGAGGTTATCCAAGATGGTAGTATTGCAGGACTGTCTCGCAGTTTGAATCCCAGGTTCCACACAGGAAGAGGAGGAGTCAGGCTCCTCCCCATTGCAAATGGCGGGAACTTCTGTGACTCCACCTCAGTGCGCCTTCTCAGTGCGCATGCTGGTTGGAGTTTTTCCAGGGACCACCTTCCCACCTGGCTGTCTCAGGAGTGGTCTGTTACAGTGGAATAATTGCAGCCAGAAAAAAAAAAAAAGGACAACAGGAGATTAGAGCTGAATTCGTGTCTTCGGATCTCACTTGTGGTAGGAATTGAGGCAAGCCAGTTGTCCTCTCTGAGTCTCTGCTTCCTCACCTGTAAAATCAGGGACTAGTAGTGCCTATCCCACAATATTATGGTGGAGATTAAATGACATAATGTGCCCGTCACAGTGCCTCACATATGAAATGTTACGTCCAATCAACATAGTTCTCTGTGTCCCTTCCTTTTAGATTCTGAAATTTACTTTGCATGCCTATTCCTAAAACGGTGGAAGTCCTTCTTCTCCTTTCCCCAGTGTTAATCTTGAGTTGCAGATAAAGAGAAGTAAACATCTGACTAGGGTAATGACATCTAGTTTAAAATGAAGGGATAAGCTTCTTTAGTATATTCTCTTTTAACTGTGAGATGTGATCTCCAGAAAAAAACTACATTTTATGAGCTATAAATCTGACTCATAATTACTGAAGTTTCTTAAACTAGCTTCCAAAATATGATGTATTTTCCTACTATATATCTAAGCATCACTGACTTACATAATCTTTTTCCTCCACATTTTTGACAATCTTTTCTTTCTCCACATGATTGAAATCTTTGCCCTAGCAGATGCCAAATTGTCACAACTCTAATAAATTTCTCACAAATCTATCTCACTTCTATCCAGGATTCGGCTCAGTCTAACAGAGCAAATTCGTCAGCAGTCAACCACCAGACTTCAAGGCAGTCATTATTAGAGAAGATCTGTACTTCCCCTCCTCCTCCCAACCACTGTGTATAAGTTGCTAAAGTGCATGTCCAAAGAGGGCTTAAAATCTTCCCACAGCAATACTCTATCCTGAGTTCCAATGAGATTCCTTGGCCTTCATAAGTAACCAATATGGAAAAAGATAAAATGAGCATAGAATTTTGCTCCTAAAATAGGCAGCTCAGAGTGCCTACTTTTGACTGAGAAAACAACCTCAGTTCTCTACCCATCCCTGAATCTGTGCCCTTTGCAGTGTGATTTTGCTGCTTCTTCCATCAAGAGTATAGTCTGTTTTCCTGTTCCTTCAATCTGGGTTGGACTTTTGATTTACTTTGGTCAATAGAAGGTGGCCTTGCCTCTGAACCAGGCCTTCTGAGGGCTTGTAACACCTCTGCTCTCTATTCTCTCCATCATGAGAACAAGCCTGGCCTAGCTGGCTGGAGGATGAGAGACCATGTGGAGCAAAGCCAGTTATCTCAGCCAAGACCCTTCCACGTGAAGTAAAAGCCAGTGCACGGTCAGACTTATGAGTCACTCCCAGCCAAGAGAAGAAGAACTGCTTATCTAAGCCCAGCCAAGATCGGCAGAACTGTCCAGCCAAGTCATAGAGTCATAAGCAAAAAAAATTTTTTAAAAAGTATATTGTTTTATACCACAGAGGTTTTGTGGTTGCTTGTTATGCATCCTAATTGTACACAGACAACTGATAACGTTAACTAACAAAGAAATGGTGGGAGCTCCTGGGGTAGTCAGGGAGATTTGTAGAGCAGCTGCCTTGGGATGAGAAAGGAGGAATTCAGTCTTTGTCTGCACTAGAATCTAGACCTTCATGTACTCATAGAATGCCTGGAGCAAGTCCTATGGCCAAGGCTTAATGAGGTTATGAGTAAGACTTTTTGTCTGAAGGGTCTTACTCCTTGCTATTTGAGGACACATAAGCCTCTGAGGTCGATTCTCCAGCTGAGGCACAGATAAGCAGGGAGCTGAGAAGATGATGCCAGAGGTCAGGCAAAGTTCTGTTGTGGGACTTTTCCTTAGTTCAGCTAAATACAGGGTCCTTGTCACAGGGCTACGAAAATTTAGGCTTGCAGACAATTTGAAGGGTGAGTAAGGCAGTGTGTTATTGGGTAAAAAGGGAAACAGGGACCCTCCATAAAGCCGGAGTCCCTGCTGGTGCAATTCTCACCTCGTAGTTTGAATCTCAGGTTGCACACAGGAAGAGGAGGGGCCAGACCCTTCCCTGCTGCAAATGGTGCAGACTTCTGTGGCTCCATCCCACTGTTCATTCCTCCCAGTGCACAGGCTGGTTGGAGTTTTGACAGGGAGCCCTTCCCACCCAGCTGTCTTGGTTCCATGATAAACACGATGCCCCTTGTTGGAGCATGAACTTTCTTGAGGGATTTGAGGGACAAAAGTAACACAGGTTTTTTATCAAAATTAAAAAAGAAAAACTGTTATAGAACCAAATGTAGAGCTTAAAAATATTTTTATGGTAAGGCGCAATCACCCATTCTCTCTTCTTATTATGAACTAAATTTTGTGTTCCCTTCCTCACATTCACATATAGAAGCCCAAACGGCCAATATGATGGTATTTGGAGGTGGGGCTTTGGGGAGGTGCCTAGGTTTAGATGAAGTCATGAGGGGGAAGCCCCCTTAATGGGATTAGTGTCCTTGTAAGAAGAGGAAGAGGCTGGGTGCCGTGGCTCACACCTGTAATCCCAGCACTTTGGGAGGCCGAGGTGGGTGGATCACCTGAAGTCAGGAGTTCAAGACTAGCCTGGCCAAGATGGTGAAACCCCGTCTCTACTAAAAATACAAAAATTAGCTGGGCGTGATGGTGTGTGCCTGTAATCCCAGCTACTCGGGAGGCTGAGGCAGGAGAATCACTTGAACTTGGGAGACAGAGGTTGCAATGAGCTGAGATCATGCCACTGCACTTCAGCCTGGGCAATAGAACAAGACTCTGTCTAAAATAAAAAATAATAATAATAAATAAATAAAATAAAATAAAGAAGAGGAAGAGTCTGGAGCTTTCTATCTCTCCAGCATGGGAGGAACCAGCAAGAAGTCAGCTGACTGCTACCTGGAAGAGGTCCATCACCAGGACCTGACCAGGCACCTTGATCTTGGACTTCCAGCTCCATAACAGTGAGAAATAAATGTCTGCACCAACCCAGTTGATGGTATTTTGCTGTGGCAGCCCAAGCTGACTGAGGCATTCTTATCTCAGCCAGGGTTTGCTCTCCTCTGCCATCAGATTAATATCATTTGAACAGTTTTAAAATCACTAGTCTGGATAGTGGTTTCCAAATTTTTCTTCTGTGCTTACTACTCTCCCATTATCAAAAGGCTTATTATGCCCCTTGCCATGTCATAAAACCACTTCAAACCCTTTTAACATAGTCTATGGTTGATGATTGTCAAACTTTACAGATCGGGGGGTTTTTAGAATTAAATTTTGAATTATGTGTTATACACGCTTTCCTAATCTTTCTATATTCCTTATGGACTGTCAGGCCTCTGAGCCCAATCTAAGCCATCATATCCCCTGTGACCTGCACGTATACATCCAGATGGCCTGAAGTAACTGAAGAATCACAAAAGAAGTGAAAATAGTCTGTTCCTGCCTTAACTGATGACATTCCACCACAAAAGAAGTGAAAATGGCCAGTCCCTGCCTTAACTGATGACATTACCTTGTGAAATTCCTTCTCCTGGCTCATCCTGGCTCAAAAGCTCCCCCACTGAGCACCTTGTGACCCCCCACCCCTGCTAGCCAGAGAACAACCCCCTTTGACTGTAATCTTCCACTACCCACCCAAATCTTATAAAACAGCCCTGCCCCTATCTCCCTTCGCTGACTCTCTTTTCAGACTCAGCCTGCCTGCACCCAGGTGATTCAAAAGCTTTATTGCTCACACAAAGCCTGTCTGGTGGTCTCATCACACGGAAATGGACTAGTTGACTCCCCATGAGAAAAGAGCAGGTGACTGCTCATCCACTGAGAAAACAGATATTTCACATTTGAGACCGGAGGGCTGCTAGGCCCAGGTGAGTATCTGACCCTGTGTTCCATTCATTTGTTTCTCATCCTGACCACTAGTAGAGAGCCCTGTTATTCTGCTGTTCCGGGAATCCAATTTGGTTTTTCAGTCCCTCAGCTGCTGGGGACTCCAACTGTCATTATAAGTGTATCCTCACTTGTTATGAGTTGAATTGTGTCCCTTCAAGATACATGTATTGAAGCCCTAGCCTCCAGTGCCTCCGAGTGTGACTCCTGTGTATTAGAAATGGGTCTTTAAAGAGATTATTAAGATGATCCCATTAGGGTAGGCCCTAATCTGATATGGCTGGTGTCCCTATAAGAAAAGGCAATTTGGACACCAGGGACCAACAGGGATGCGTGCACAAAGAGGAAAGACCACATGAGGAAAGAGAGAAACATCTGCAAGTCAGGGAGACAGGCCTTAGAAGAAACCAGTCCTTCCCACACCTTGATCTTGGGCTTCAGCCTCCAGAACTGAGAAAACAAATTTTTGGTGTTTAAATCACTCCATCTGTGAGAATTCATTACGGTGGCCTGAGCCTACTAATACATTATACTAGGAAACCAGCTTTAGTTCTTCAACTGTCTGTAATTTCTGGTTTTCTTAAATGCTAAGAAACAGAAAATTGCCTCTCACATTTCTCATTAAAAACTACTGCTTGGCTCTCCATCTTTGACGTGTAGTGTCAAGAATGAGCCTTCATTGTCTGCAAGTGTTTGTGATACCTGATTTATCAATGCATGTTGCTATTGGGTAGAGGATCATCTTGCTCTCATAGCTAATACTGATCAGGGAGAGAGTCATGGTCTGACTAAGTGTACCCAAGTACACTTAGCAGGTTAGTCCTTAGTCCTGGGTGCTTAGGAAACAATGACTAGCAGCCCAATTTCTCTTTCAGTCTCCCTCTCTCTCTCTCTGTGTGTGTCTGTGCGTGTGTGTGTGTCCTCACAAAGTTCCAGCAGCATTGCCTTGGGGATAGGAGTACAATCGCAATACTCTGAGATGCTAGCATGTCATGAAGGAAGGACAGAGCCACTAGTCAGAAGCCTAGATAGAGACTGTGCAAAGAGGAAGTAAACAGGGGCTTGTTAAAGAGATAGATGGGGCTGGGCGTGGTGTCTCACGCCTGTAATTCCAGCACTTTGGGGAAGCAGGCGGACCACTCAAGGTCAGGAGTTCGAGACCAGTCTGGCCAACATGGTGAAACCCTGTCTTTACCAAAAATACAAAAATTAGCCAGGTATGGTGGCACACACCTGTAGTCCCAGCTACTCAGGAGGCTGAGGCTGGAGAATTGCGTGAACCTGGGATGTGGAGGTTGCAGTGAGCTGAGATCGCACCACTGCACTCCAGCCTGGGCAACAGAGGGAGACTCCATCTAAAAAAAAAGAAAAAAGAGAGAGAGATAGATGGGGAAAAAGTCATTGGCCAAAGTCACAGCCTTACCTTCACTAGAAATCCATGAGCATCAGGCTGGAAGAGTTTACCTGGAGAGTGGGAAGAAAACGGATTGGAAAAACAAGAGAATAGCGAACCATGCAAGGATTATTCTCAGGTTGGTTAGTGACTGCAGCATTTTATTTTAGGCGTCCTGGCCTCACAATAAATTGTTTTTAGTATAAGTATGCCCCATGATATATTTGGGACATGCTTATACTAAAATTATTTGTTGTTCATCTGAAATTCAAATTTAACTGAGCATCCTAAGTTTTACATGGCAATCTTACCCAAGAGCTGATTCTCCACATAGCCAGAGAAATCTTCATGAAATCATGCAACTTCGAAGAGCCAAGCCTTTCATTCTCCCTCAAATTCAAGGTCCAAATCTTTGCCATGGTCTGCAAGGCTGGTCATGCTCATCCCCCCAACCTATCTCTTACCACTCTCTGCCTTGCCTATTACAGTCTTTGCTCAAAAGTCACCTACTGGATAAGGCCTTTCCTAGTGACCTTCTCTAAAATAGCCGGCCTCACCTGATAAGATCTATGCCTTTATTCATAGCACAAATGACTCGTGAAATGTGATGTGCCCATTTGTTATTGGATATCTTCCTTATCAGAATGTAAGCTCTGCAGGCTAAGTCTGCATTTCGCATTTCTTTTGCTTCCGTATTCTCAGCATTTGGAGCTCTACCTGACAGATGATACATTCTTAACAAAGAGTTGTGGAAAGAATAATTGAACCAGGATTCCATAATCAATATGCAGCAAAACTTAGCACATTGGTGCCAACTAGCACTTAGTAAGCTGGAATCTGCCTATGATTTTTAAGTGAATCAAGTAAAAATAATTCTAAAGATTATTAATGTTTCTAGCCTCCTTGGAGAATCAACAAAAACAAGAGTTAAGAAACTTTAGCTGGAAAAACAGAACTACTATTCAACCCAGCGATCCCATTACTGGGGATATACCCAAAGAAATATAAATTGTTCTATCATAAACACACATGCATATGTATGTTCATTGCAGCATTATTCACAATAGTAAAGACGTGGAATCAACCTAAATGCCCATCAATGACAGATTGAATAAAGAAAATGTGATGTATACACACCATGGAATACTATGAAGCCATAAAAAAAAGAATGAGATCATGTCCTTTGCAGAAACATGGATGGAGCTGGAGGACATTATCCTTAGCAAACTAGCACATGGATGGAAAACGAAATACTACATGTTCTCACTCACAAGTGGGAACTAAATTATGAGAACACATGGACACTAAGGGGGGAACAATAGACACTGGGGCCTCCCTGAGGGTAGAGGGTGGGAGGAGGGACAGGATCAGGGAAAATAATGGGTACTATGCTTAGTACCTGGGTGATGAAATAATCTGTACAACGAACCCCCTTGACATGCAGTTTACCTGTATAACAAACCTGCACATGTACTCGTGAACTTAAAAGTTTAATAAAAAAAGAAACTAGTTGGAGAAATGAGTAAGAAGGACTGAACAGAGCATTACATTGTTGATGTCCAATCACTCTGTTGAATGCATATAAAATTTCTTATTTAAACGTGTTTGCATTTAAAAAAACCCTTGCTTGTTTCTTCATTATGTTAATTTGTTCCAACTCCACATTTTATAATAGAGCTTTCTTACATTTCCATAAATAGGGATAAATATAAGAAATATTTCTTATATTTCCATATGGATAGCTCAAAGTGTACTTTTTTTTTCTTCAGTCAGCCCAATTTTTCTGAGCTTATGTGTCTTTTAATGCACTCCTTTCTTCTTCGTCTCCTGGGTGGGAAGACATTACATTTTAACTTTTAAAAGTTAGAAGAAATACACAAAAATAGCTGTAAGAGTCCAGTGGAAAATGGAAATATAAGAAATATTAAAATCTATAATTCGCAAAGTAACCACAACTCTCATCTTTAAATGAAAGGAGGAAATTCAAAGGCCCAGTCAAAGCAAAATTTAGCAGTCTTTTGGGTAATACATTGCAGAGAGCCTGCGGAACCGAAATCAAGATGAACCTTTGAAATGCAGGAAGTCTGGTCCTATCCATTTTGCATTCTTGTCTTGGAGCAATCGACTGTAACCTTCAAAGTATAATGAATGAATTGTGTTGCATCACAGAGAGGGTGGGAGTGGAGGGAGGAGGGAAGATTTAGGGGAAATGTCAGACTTGAGTGGGAGCTAAAAGCCTGTGATTGCATTCATTTGCTTCATACAGCTGAGGACGGCAAGCAAATGGAGCTGGGATACACTGAAAGAGATGGAGAATTACATATTTTTTCTTAATTAAATGCTTCTTGTGTTTTCCTTCCTGGCCTTCAATGGTACTTATTTTTCCCTACTTGTATTAAAGCAGCGTGACATTCTCTATAGGGGGAAAATACAGAGTTTCTTTTGGTTGTATGGAAATATTTACTGGCAGCAGACAAGAATATGTTTCTCCAAAGGGAAGGCTGCATTTGTCAAAGATTTGCTTGGATTCTGCCTTCCTTGCTGGGAATAGTTATTTACTCTTAATTAGCCCTAAATACAGTTGAGTGGAGGAAGGACCTTATTTTAAATGACTGACAGTGATTAAAAGGGCAGTTGATGGGCACGAATCAGAGATCATCATCAATAATAAAATCTGATGATAGGAACAACATGTATTTTATGTTCCCATAAACATAGATTTAGTGAAAGTAAGCCCACATAATAGTACTTGTGGCAGAGGCTGAATTGCTCTGAATTTAATTTAGAACAACATAAAAGATCCAGTATCAGCTGCAGGGCACCAGGCTGGGTTTCAGCCTAGGGGAGGCATCTGTTATGAGAACTAAGGCCATTTCTGCATTTTGTCCTGCATGCTTTCCATTTAGGAAGAACCTCATGAATATCTGGGATTCTCTGAAGGTGAACTCATCTTTCCAGAGTGTCAGCACAGTCAACCTTCTCAGCTACCCCATAGCACTGTCTTGACCACCTTATCTGTCACACAGATACACACACTCACAACTTTACAGCTAATTTAATCTCTTTTTATCATTTCCTGTCTGTCAACTTAATCTGAGTGAATTATCCTGGACATTTGTTACCCTTGGGCCACCATCCACTATGAGGATCAAGAAAGGGAAAGATTTACTTCCAGTAGAGATGGGAGGGACTCATTGATGGCTCCCATCTCTCCACCCCTTCCTGACTTCCCTGGATCATGTAGCGGTAGGGTGGTGGAGGAAGACCACCTCATTGCTGCACTCACCTGGGCTTGCTTTCCACCACCTTGGGCCTGGGCCTGCATTGTAGTGTTTTACTTACATAACTTTTTGAAATCAACACACCCCCATTGTCCCCAGGGCACATCCCCAGTGCACTCAGAGGTTTCTCTGATCACACTTACCAGTCAGGACTGTTCCTACCCCGCCCATGACCTCTTGCCCTGGGATAAAGAGTGTAGGAAGTCCCTCTCCATTTCAGTTCCGAAGGGATGCCCACGTTTCCTGTCCCAGGATGAGTGACAGTTCTTTTAGTGGAAACAACCACCACCACCCCCACCCCCGCCCCCAGCTTTATTATGAATGCAAACCTTACCCTTACAGTTTCTGGCAATCTTGATCTAGAGACAGCAAATGAATCTGCTATTATATAAATCCGCCATTATTTAAATTAGATCTCTAGTCAGGAAAGCTGATCTCATCCCTCACACCCTGCCTGCCTGGAAGAAGGGAGCAGTGTCCTGCATGCTCTTCCATGCTTTGCCAGCCAGAGCTCCCCCAAAAGCAGCTTTCCTGTGATACCTCCTGGGGCACAAAGTGTCTGATCCCACCAAGGTGAGGGTTAGCATTTTGCTAAGCTGAATTTTCATACTCAGACAAGGTGGGAACGGAATGAAGCTCATTCGTTTTACTTTAGGAAGAGTTAAAAGGTAAGATTTCTTTCTCAGAGACATTTTGCAAACACTGGCAATTTCCATCGATGACTCTCAGTGGTTTCAGTGGTTGACTTACGGACCTTAGAGGAAAAACAAGGTGACCAGCTGGGTCACACAGACGTATTCAAGTTAACCAGAAGAACCCAAAACGTTACAGCTCCAATGTGAAAGTTTTTGTTACAAGAATTGTTAGAGACCTGCTCTTTGCTATTTGCCGGAATAAATCCCTACCCCCAGGCAGCATGTGTGAAGATTGAAGTCAAACCTGCCACCCAGTGCAAAAATAACCCCAGGCCACACTTCCCCAAGAAAATACAGTGATGAAAAATAAAATACAATTGCTATTTTGTAGAACAGCTTCCATAAGTCTCTCTTGGCTCTGGGGAAATGAGCGAGATGGTTCTTTGTGAAGTTCATACTGATTAGACCAAATGTAGCCAAAGGAAATCTTATGTCTCTTCCATCTTTCTACGCCCAGTCTCTGGTGGATAAGGCAGGGCTGCAAATAGCCTAAAATATACAATCACTATAATTTCAGGAAGTGAAATATCTGAAATGACCCTTTGGAGAAATTACAAATAGAAATATGTGACTTAAGTGAGAAGCCAATGCTGTGGGGGAAAGGACTGTTTGGCAGTCACTAATGGAAGAAATTTACAGCACTCACTACCTGCTCTCAGCTCACAGGGTGGTTGGCAGAGTGAGGCCCCAATGGCCCACATGAGGCTGGTGTAGAGATAGGGCTGGCTGCTTGTTCTGGTAAGTAAATTGGTCTAACTCTAGAGCTCTCCAAATTGTCAGGCTTGAAATCCAACGTGTTCAGTGCCCTAATGTTCATGATAGTGATGTAAAGGAACATTGCTCTGTATTAGGAAAATCAGAGTGCTAAATGCCTAGGCCAAGGTATGTGACTTAGGGTGTTACCCATTCTTGCTGATGGAAGAGCCCCCCTGAAATTTGTTTTTTGTTGTTGTTTATTTATTCAACAAATGAACAAATGTTACTCGTGAGCTTACTATCCTCCAGGCACTATTCTATGCATTGGAGCTACATCAATGAACTAAAGAAGAAAAGGCTCCTTTTGCCCTCATGGAGTTTATATTTTAGTTGAAAGAGACAGACAGTACTAAAGTAGATGTCTAGCAGATTTTACGTCAATCACTGTGATGGAGGACAAATAAAGCAGGACAAGGAATACAGAGTGACGGTGGCCCAGTGAACAGAGACATGAATAAAACAAGGAAAACAGCTGTGGGGAAGAGGGTCTAGAAATGCCCATAAAAATATCCACTATGTCTATAGGATATCTCTCATCTCCATGCTGTTGCAACAAAGGGAGGAGATTAGAAGCTCCCTGATGATAACAATAAGAAAGTTATTGAGCCCTGAATATGTACCAAGCACTGTGCTATGCCATGTATTTTGTCAATCAATCCATTTATTGACACCATAGTCAGAGAGGACCAGAGAAGTTAGGTGATTTGCTGGAGGTCACACAGATAAGATGTAAGTGCTGGATTTGGGACTTGAACCTAGGCTTCCCAATCAACCCCAAACTTGATAAGAAACAATAGCAGTTGTCATTTATTGCGAAACTGCTATGTCCAGGTATTGTATCTGGTGCTTTGCATATATTGAATAGATGTTGGGGTTCATAAGGGAAACCAATGTCACACATATGTCTACTACCCTGGAGGTTTGTTTGTGGCTGATAACACACCCTCTCTACCTCTGGCATGCACCAAAGGTTAGAAAACAAGAGCACCACTTCCACTAAAACACTCTCAGCCTTATTACACAGTCTGCTCAATGAACCTTCAGTGTACTCCTGCTCTACCTCTCCAGCCTCATCCTTCACCAACCTCTCCTTGCTCACACTGCTCCAGCAGCATTGGCCTCCTTGTGGTTCCTTGAATATGCCAAGCACACATCAGCTTCAGGGCCCTTGGACTTGTTATTCCCTCTGCCTGGAACACTTGTCCTGAGATACCCACATAGCTGCTCCTTTACATCATCCAGTTCTCTGCTCAAACGTCGTCTTGAAAGGATGCATTTCCTCACCAACAGATGGAAACCAGTGCATACCCTGTGCCTGTCCTGTCACTTTCCACCTCCCTTTCTCTGCTTTATTTTTCTGCACAGCTCTTATTGCCTCTTGACACGTTTCACATTTGATTTTTGTTGTCTGCCCTTTCCTTATTTGAAGCTCTGTTTTGTTTTCCCATTTCCCCAGCAACTAGAGAACAAGGCCTGGCATACAAAAGGCATTCAGTAAGCAATTTTTGATAAATTATTAAATCAAGAGAAATGTACCTAATTAACAAGATCTGTGTATCTTGAAGAATGTTGTCAGGTGAACAGAGAAAAAGATGTAATACTTTTTTACATTCACCATGCTTTTCTAGGCAAGGTGAATATTTTTTCACTAATAGTACAACATAATTCCATCGAGACAAACATAATAGGGAGCCATTTCTCTGGGCTCCTATCAACAGAGAGGCATTGCAAGGTGGAAGCCAGTGGTGTTCAGAGACAAGGAGCTTTCACTCCAACACAGTCCTGGGTGTTTTATTTAGATAATATTGAGGGAAGGCTGATCAAAGGGTATTAAAAGCTTAGATGTTCACAAACATGTTCCTGATGCTTTCTACAAGTTAGGAGGCTAACTTAGTCATCCAGGAAAAAGATATTGGTGTCTCAGAATAAGGTGATGATGAAAAAAATAAAGAGAATGTATTTGAAGTGTATTTTGTAGATAGAATCCAGGTTTACTGATGAATTGGAGGGAAGGAACAGAGGGAAATGGAAAATACAAAGACAATTCTCAGGATTTTGGCTTGATCATGATAGTTACTGAAATATATAAGACTAGAGGATGATAGGGGAAATCTAGTTACCTTTTTTAGGTTTGATAAGTTTGAAAAACCTATCAGTTGTAAGTGGAGACATCAAAGCTTAGGGTAAATCTCTGAAACTGGAATAAATTTTGGACTCATTAGGATAAATATAATATTTAAGCCCTATAAAGGCTGCAGCCCCAAGATAAAACCTTGATGTACAGCCTTCCAAAGCTAGGTTATAAAATGACTTAGCCTGAGTTGGTCTCAATCCTCTCTCTCTCTCTCTCTCTCTCTCTCTCTTTCTTTCTTTCTCAGGGCTCATGCTTGAAACCCGGTCATCACATCTTGAGGAAGCTCAGGTGTATTAGTCCGTTCTCATGCTGCTGCAAAGAACTGCCCGAGGCTGGGTGATTTATAAAGGAAAGAGGTTTAGTTGACTCACAGTTCCACATGGCTGGGGAGGCCTCATGAAACTTACCATCATGGTAATCTTCACATGGCAGCAGGAGAGAGAAGTGCCAAACAAAGGGAGAAAGCCCCTATAAAACCATCAGATCTCATGAGAACTCACTCACTATCAGGAGAACAGCAGCATGAGGGTAACCATCCCCATGATTCAATTACCTCCCATCAGTTCCCTCACACAAGTGGGGATTATGGAAACTACAATTCAAGATGACTTTTGGGTGGGGACATATGGAGAGGCTTTGTGTGGATATTCCGACTGAGGTTTTGGCTTACAGTGAGCTTCAACTACTCCAGTTCCCAGTCTTTGAATCTTCCAGAGGAGGCCCCAGACATGGCAAGGAGATGGGGCATCCCTCTTCTGTCCTGTTTGAATTCCTGACCCACAGAATTAGTTAGCATAAGAAATGGTAGTTTTACACCGCTGAATTTTAGTTTAATTTTTTACACACATAGTTACTGGCACTTCTCTTTTGGGGCATGCTCCTTCATATTCTAGAGATAACTTGGAAAAAGTCTGACTACAGTGAAGCTGCCATACTGGAGATTTCACATGGAGACCACATAGAGCCATAGAAAGATGCTGGAAGAGCCTCCGCTGTTGGAGTCTGATGTGTTTTGAGCTCCTCAGCCTCTACTGCCAGACATGGAAATGGCAGAGCCTTTAGATGATTCTTGTCTACAGCCTTAAGCCACCCAGATGGTTCTACTGAACCCTGTCCCATGAGTGGTTTGTGAGCTGTTATTGTTTTAAGCCACAAAGTTAGCGTGCTTTGATATGCAACATTAGATAATTGCAACAGTGAACTTATCAAGGAAATGTAGCAATTAGTATGAGTTGCAGTAGGGGAAAAGTGAGTGAGAGGTGGGCAGATGAAAACAATGTGTGGTCATCTCTTTCAAGAGATTGAGTTGGGAATGGAAATCAATAACTGTGGTGGCAATATGAGAAAGATGAGGACATAATTTTTTTTCTAACATGGGAGATATTGAAGCATGTTTGCAGGATATTGCAAATAATTCTGCAGAGAAGTAGATATTAATTTATAAGAGCAAAAAGAATAGATCAAATGAACAAAGTCTTCGAGAAGCTTTAAGACTTCTTGAGAAGCAGTCATGAAATTGACTTCCCCTTACACTAGGTGAGAAGGAAAGGAAGATGGGTGTGTGTGGAGGTTTGTAGATTTGTTGGTGAGAAGGTGATGGTTTCCATCTGTACTAGTCTGCTTGGGCTGCCGTAACAAAATACTATAGACTTGGTAGCTTAAATAAGAGAAATTAATTTTCTCCCAGTTGTGGAGACAGGAAGTCCAAACCAAGGTGCCAGTGGCATTGATATCTGGCGAGGGCTATCTCCTTGGGTTGCAGATGGCTGCCTTCTTGCTTTGTCCTCACATGATAGAGTGAACACTCTGGGGTCTCTTCCTCTTCTTATAAGACTACCAGCCCCATTGACTTAGGGCCCCACCCTAATGACCCCGTGTAACCTTAACTTCTTTCTAAGGGCCCCATCTCCAGCTATAGTCACCCTGGGGGTGGGGGTGAGGGTATTCAACATATCAATTTTGGAGGAACATAGTTCAGTCCAGCAGCATTCAACAGTTTCTACCTTCTTAATGAAGAATAGGGCAACATTGTTGCTGGTATTTAAGGGGGCTGGAGGGTTGATGTGAGGAGAGATGGGGGTGGTTGAAATTATTATCTTAAAATGTAGAAATGTGGCATAAATTCTGGACTATGTTGAGTGCACAGTAGAGGTTGGCCAGCTCAGCCATTCAGTTGGCAGTGTAAAAAGAAGCAAAAATTGGGCAAAATCAGGTTCAGAGTCTTCCCTGGAAGGTACATCAGAGACAGTGGCATGGAATCTAAGGGTGTTTATAAGATAGTAGTTGTGATAATGGACTGTGTAATAGACACTAAGAAAATAAGACAAAATAATAAGAAAGTTATGGGGTCCTTGGATTGGTGGTCTTGATGAGTCTCAAAATACATTGCAGTGGAAGTTCTAGAAGGTCTAGAAAAATCTGGCCTTCACAGTTTGATAAGATTTAGGCAAAATGGGTTGGAAGGGTGGAAAGTGTTAGCTGAAGAGTGCTGGATACTGTGTAAGACAGCTACTAGGGATGACAGAGTCCAGGGACTGTTGCTAGTGAAGAAAACCTAAGTACTTAGAAATCCACTCTTTGGGATCAATGACCAAAGATGACCCAAAAGTTCAGAAAGGAATAGAGACACTTCAGTCTATTTTAAGAGCAGATTGTATTACCTTAGATATAAAACTTTTCCTATAAGAAAAATGGAACTGAAAAATCCTTTGAAAAGTTCCTCCTGAGAATTTTCATTTCCAAGTACTATAAAAAATGATTGCAGTGTCTCTTACATTAAGGTTGATACTGATGTTAAATGTGAAATATATGAAAACCTGTTGGAAGTCTCTGAAACGGAACTAATACACCTGTAGCTAGCTTACATAATGAGTCTCCCTTTGTTTTGTGGTATTTGGCCTCAGATAAATTGCTGATCTTAGCCCATGCTCCGTTGCCTTCTACTTGCTGAGTCTTTGCCCATATAGCTTGATGAATCTTGTGGAGACAAACATAATGCCTGCCACTGCTGTAACTGACCTGGGGCTGGGAGTGCTAGTTTCAGCACTGAACACATTTTCTCATTTTTTCTGTGTTCTTTTTGTCTCTAGTTTTGGAGGTGTTGGAGGTTATGATTACAAACCTTGACACATTCCCTGCATTGGGAGATGAATTGAAATATGGTTGTTCTGTTGAGATACCCTCTGGAAGAACCATACACACATACCCATTTATCAGTAAATGTGACTGGTGAACTGTATGCCCTAGAATGTTTCTAGAAAAATCAGCAAAATGAGTATAACCAACACACCAGGTGGTATTTCATAAAGATTATTTATGTCTAAACCAAAGGTAAAAGGAGATTATAGAGCTCATTTTTTTCTTTTATTCCCTTTCTCCTCTCTCCATCCTATCGTCGCAGCACTCATATCATCAAACCACAAAGAATTTACTTCTCCCAGCCTTCAGAATTAATAAATTACCCAACCTCTGGAATCTAGACGTAGCCACTGTCCAACAGAACTTTGTGATGATGGAAATGGTCCACATCTGTGCTGTCTAATATGGTGGCCTCTAGCCACATGTGGCTATTGAGAACTTGAATTTTTATTTTGTTTAATTGTGAATAATTTAAATTTAAATAGCCAGAGGTGATAATGACTACCTTATTGGGCAGTGCAACTAATCAGTTCAATTTATCGAGTACCTGCCTTATGCAAAAGAATGTAAGAGAACAGGGGAAAGAGACAGCTTTTCTTCTGAAGAAACGTCCTTGGTGCTGGTCCATCAGGCAGCATTTCTAAAGCAGACAAGTTCCCTGGAACAGAACAAGAAGGATAGCTTACCCCCTAGCCATCCTAGAGGTGAAAAATCTGACTCTCATAGTTTGACGTAGAATTTAGGCAAAATGGGTGTGTAACACAACATAACTAAGCTATAGCAACTTTGCTTGATATATAGGGCACGATTATCAGAAATATCACTGAAAATGTTCCAACAACTGTCTTAATCAAGTTTTTATGGCATAAAAACACAACTCCAATATCTGCGGTTTACAATAGCATACATTTATGATTCTTACCCGCATGTCTGCAGATTAGCTGGGTAGCTCTGCTTCTGCCTACAGGTTGGGCTTAAATTGGCTGCATGTATCTGCCACCCTAGGAAGCTCTCCTGGAAGATGGTACAAGAGGGCAAGCCAAACAAAACAAGCACACTGAAAGTTCTGTTCATGGTATTTGCACTAACATTTCATTGGCCAAAGCAAGTAACATGGCCAACCTGAAAGTCAGTGAGGCGGGAAGGTTTTCCCCACCTACCTTACTAGGAGGCGTCATACAGTCACATGGCAAAGAGTACAGATGTATCATGTGTTCCTGGGAGAGAGTGAAGTGTTTGGAACAGTCATACAGTCTACACAAATACTTAGAACTCCATGGGCTTGGTTAGGGTAATATTTTCTCAGACAGCGAATTCATCCTTTTCTTCAGGATGATTCTCCCTCCTCCTCCTACCTGTTGTAACTTCCTCGGGTGGAGTCCACTATCCTTGGTAACAGCAAAAAGCAGACAGAGCACCGAAGGTATCAAGTTGGCTCAGTAACCCAAGCCAAGTCAGAAGCCACCATACCAGAAGAACACGCCTGGGGAATCCTGGGAGCTCCTTCCATGCAACAGTGTCCACCACAGAGAATAGGCGAGTCACTGTGGATTTGCCAAAACTCTCAGTCTACTGGCACTGACTATAACTGTATAAGAAGAAGACATAACAAGTTTGTAGTATACAGGATGTTTGTAAGTTTGCAGGCTCAATGTAATCTTTAAATTCCAAATCCAAGTCCAGCCCCTTGTGATCTCATTCTCTGTCAGATCCCCAACACTTCCGCAGACCATCTCCCAAGGCAGAACTAGTAGACGATACATTGCTCTTCTTCTAATGGACTGCTTTCTTCATTTGCACATGGGTTTTTAAATCATTTACCCATTCATTCACTTATCCATTCAACAAATATTGATTTGAGTATTGACTCTGCTGGGAAATGTTTTAAGCTCTATGGATACTGCTGTGAACAAAAGAGAAAGATGTGTTTTTCTGATGAGAAATGAAACTGATAGGCAATGGAAAAAATAAATACATAATACAATGTTTTAAAAAGATAAAGTGCTTGAGAATGACTGGGGTGCTGTCTATCTTACACATGGTGGTTGGAGAAGTTCACTCTGAGGATACGACCTTGGAGAAAAGACCTGAATAAGTGAGGAATGAAGAAAATGATAGCAAAGTGTTCCCGGCAAAGGGAACATTGATGACCCAGGGATATACAAGGCATGTTTAAGGAGGAGCTTGAAGAACAATGTGGCTGGAACAGAAGGAGGTGGGGAGAGAGAGAGTAGGAAGTAATTAGACCAGATAGGGATTGGGGGCTTTGCAGGCTGGGAAGTCACTGGAATATTCTGAACAGGGGAGTGACATGAATGTAACTCGAGTGAGAAGGCATGCCGTTCTGGAACACACTGGCGTGGTGTCTGCCTACTTCCATGGAAAACCCACTTCTGTTCTGTCAAGCTGTCCTCCAACTGTGTACTTGCTTCATCTTGACTCATCAGTTCTTATGATTCCAAGAACTTAAGCAGTCTGTGCTCTCCCCTTCTCCATCTCACATGTCTTCCAGGATCCCCTTTGTATTCACTGTCCCTTGTTATTTCTGTTAGCTCAACCTAATATATTTCCCACATCTGACCTATTAAGATGGAAATCTGATCAATCCATTAGGCTTATATCACTCACTGCAAACATGCTAATTGTACGCTTGCTGTGTGCGAGGTTTTGAACAAGGAAATAAGAGGGCTCAAATGTGAATTGAAATGGATCTGGCAGTTCAGGAACTTACAGTGTAATATGGGGTTTCCCAATTGTTTTAAGTATAATGACCTCCATTACCATAAAAATTCTCTATCTGCTGCCTAATAATATTATATGATCTTTAATATTCATTCATTGAAGAACTACATAATGACAAGAAATTCTTATGCATTTTTTTTTCAATGAAATGGAGTTTTGCTCTTGTCGCCAAGGCTGGAGTGCAATTGTATAATCTTGGCTCACCACAACCTCCGCCTCCCGGGTTCAAGCGATTCTCCTTCCTCAGTCTCCCAAGTAGCTGGGATTACAGGTGCCCGCCACCACACTCGGCTAATTTTTGTATTGTTAGTAGAGATGGGGTTTCACCATGTTGGCCAGGCTGGTCTCGAACTCCTGACTTCAGGTGATCCACCTGCCTCGGCCTCCCAAAGTGCTGGGATTACAGGCGTGAGCCACCATGCCTGGCCAAGTTCTGATACATTTTATAACACTCTTTATGCATTTCTTTTGTATTAACACAATGGCTCTCACATAATAGTAAACACGTTTCTGATACGTTACCAATTCAGTACAATGTGAGCTGTGAGTGTGGATTTTCCATACTTTGTGATAATTTCATCTCACATTACACCCGTGGAACTGAAAAGTACCAAACCCGGAACAGAACCCAGCTGGCCCCCAGCCCCTTTACTCTGACAAATAGGGGCAAAGCTCAATGTGCAGAAATGTTGAGCTTTGGGGATGCCCCAAAATAAATGCACATACCTCACATGAGTCAGCATGAGTGGCCTATAAGCAACTGTGCTCTTGAATCAATTCCAAAAACCAGGGGCAGGCCTGGCTACATAATTTTCAGGCCCCCAGTGCAAAATGAAAATGCTGTCCTGTTTCTTCAAATACTTATTAAGGATTTCAAGACAGTGACAATTGAACACGAAAACAAGTTAAAAGAGTCTAAGCATGGGTCCCGGGGTGACCGGTGAAACCAGCCCTGCATGGGGGCCTACTATACAGTAACACATCTGCGCACACTAAGCCAACACAAGACATTACCATTCAACAGCAGCAAATAAAATGGCGGCACCTACCACGTGCCAGGCATTTCTCTAAGTGCTTTGTGTATAATATCACATTTAACTTGTGAAATAAGTACTCTTCTTATTCTCATTTTGCAAATAAGGAAACTAAGGCACAGATAGATTTAGTAACTTGCCAAGATTATATAGCTAGTGAGACAAAGATCCAGGATTCGAACACGCAGAGTCTGGCTGCAGAATATAGACCTGTAACTCCTAATGTGATCCTGTTTCCCTAATGTTGCTTGGCTTGTTTTGAGGATTAAATGAGAAAATATTGCGAAGGTGTTTGTTAATTTCATGTTATACATATTGAGCATCTACTGTGTATCAGGCATTGTTCTGAACCTATTTTAGCTCATTTAATTTTCAAAACTGTCATATGGATATGTATAATTATTAATGTTGAGGGAACCACAGAGTAGAGAGACACTAAGTAAATTGCCCAAAGACACACAGCAAGTGAGATATTGAGCCAGGGTTTGAAATATGAAAGTAAGTAGAAAATAAGTAATAAAAAATGAGAACATTCATTGTTATTCAGTTATATGTATTATACAGTTATTATATAATCATAAGAAATGTTGTGCTTTCTTGTAGGAGGGTTCTGAAAGCATTATCTTTAAAAAATTTCTTTTAGGATGGAAAGAGAATGAAAGAGTATAGTTAGAATCAGAAGACACAATAAAAGTAGGCTCTTGCTTATGTGGTATTCACATTTTATGGAAAAACAAGGAGCCCTTACATTTTCTGGGTCTGTAACTCATGTCTTACTTTTTTTTATGACGTTGAAATTGATTCTCTAGTACAATGTAAATAAGGAGGCTTTCCTTTTTCTCAGTTTTCCTCCATTTTCTTACTAATTAAACTTGCCATAAGGGTAATGATTAATCTTTCTCAACCACCAACTACCCTGCCCCCATCTGTGTTGAGCAGAATTTCCACACTGTTTGAAATGCTCATTCTCTGGTGCTGTAAAGAAATAGCACTTGAACATAAACTTAATTTATTTAGTAAGCCATTTTTACTTCCTGCAGAAAGTGTACACTCACCAGCAGTTTTGCCACGAGAGTACAGCGAGCAAAGGAGATAGGGTCATTTATAACCTGACGGGTCTACCTTACTGCTGTGTCCGGTTTCCATTGGCTGGAACGGGACCTCACATTCTGTATTCATCCTGATTGGCTAGCAACTTAGAACTTTTTAAAAGAGGCAAAGGTAGAGGAGAACAAAGGAAGGAGGAAGTAACTTGTGGAATGCTGAGAAAGATAAAAACGCTTTTCAATAAGGAAGAGAAACAGGCTATAACCGAATGCTTGCTTGGACCAGTATAAGCACGCCAGGGCAAATATTTAGGCTAAATTGTGGGAGCTAAGGACATAAAGTACATTGATTTCTTTATTATGGCTAGCAGAGATTTAAGAATGTTAGCACAGGTCTTTGAATAAATTTTGCTTTTAAGAGAAGTTATTATTTATTCCTAATTAGATGGGGGAGGAAAGTCTTTGAAGAGGAACCTCTATTTTACATTTTACAACACTGTGCAAAGATTATCTTTCAAAGGAAAAGCCTGGACCAAAAGTGTGCGTGTACAGAGACAGCGAGTTCATGGGTAAAAAGATTGTCTCCTCGTGAAAACTTAGCGTACAAATCTTTTCTGCCTCTTGCCACAAAGTGTGCACTATTTAATTTACCAAGACATAGACCAGACATCAAACCCCCAGTGGATGTTTTCACTTTTATTGCCTATTAGTGAGCATCGGTGAGCTGTTGAACATTAGCCAACACAGATAATGAAATCACCTTTTTCTGAAAGCAGGGGTTGATCTCAAACTACTCTTTATGTTATTCCCAGCCTCCTGTGAACCCCATCACAGTGATTGTGTGTATTAAGCAGAGAGTGATTGAGAACCTGTTAATGCCTTGTGGGAGAAGCAGAGGAATCAAAGCTTCAGGTTTTTGGAAATCTGTGATTGAAAAGCGACATGTATCCTCAGACACCTGATAAACACCATGGGAAGTACAAGGACAGGGTCTAGGAGAGAAATCCCTTTCACTAGAGGTTTCAAAATGGAGAGAAGGGGCTGTGAGCTGATCCATGCAACCGCTAAGAGACCTAATGTCTTACGTGCCTTCTGCACTTTTTAAAATTTTCCCAGATCTTTCTCATCAATGTAAAGCGCATCTAAGTATTTTCATATCAGATTCCATCCATGCTCAGGAATCACTTGTAATCACGAGGTATTTTACCGAACTTTCCATGATTTAGCTTATAGGAAGAGAAGGAGAAATCAAAGATCACAGAGAGACTTATATTTTTAATTGCCAGGGCTCAGGCACTGTAGCATTTAAACGCTCCTGGTGACTATGGTAGCTTACCTCCAAGCTGGCTGCCATCAATGACTTTCTTCCTTGTGGCCCATGCAATTCTTCCATTGTGAGGTTGAGTCTATTTCTCCCCTTCCCTTGAATCTGGGCTGGTTTGACCAATGGAATGTGGCAGAAGTGGTGTTCTGGGAATTTGAAGGCTAGTTCAAAAGAAATCTTGCATCTCTTGCCTAATTCTCCTGGAACACTCTGGGAGCTCTGAGCTACCTACTGTGTAAGAACTCCAGCTACCCTGAGATTGTCATGCTGGAAAAGCCACCTCTAGATACCACAATGACCGTTCAGCTGAGCCCAGTGTCCCAGGCGTCCCAAACAAGCCTCTGAACATGGGATTTTATCTCGGTACTTCCAGACCAGCCCATCTGTCAGTTGAATATGTCACAGTGAACTTAGACACCACGTGGAATAGGCCATACACCCCTGTAAGTCTCGGCTGAATTCTCCATTGATAAAAGGTATGAGATATAATAAAATGGAGGTTGTTTTAACTCACTACGTTTTAAGGTAATTTATTACAAAACAGTAAAGACTGGATCAGTGTCCAATCAGATCTCTAAGAAAATGTTGGTTTCACTGTATGTTTATAAAACAGAACAGACTTTATGTAATGTCATGTAATGGATCCCCATATTTCACAGATAAGAAAACTGAGGTTTAAAGAGCCAAGCAGCCATCCAGGATTCCCTCTTTCTCTTTCATGACTTTTTTCTTTAATTAACCTTGGCTGCTCTTAGAATAAATTAGAAAATTTATTAATGTTATCCTTGAATCCATCAATAATGTAAACAAATCTGAAATGGCTGGGAAGAGCAAATATGAAGAAATGGAAACGGTCTACCTAATTTGTCTTGTAGCCCCAGCATAGGGTTCAACACAATTTTAGGTACTCAATGAATTATCATTGAATAAACAAACAAAACAGTGAATGAATAAGTGAAAGGTCTTCTCTAAGTAAACTGAGAGTTTTGCAACTCAGTAGTTCTGTGTGTGATTCACTTTATCTACTCTATTTTTCACAATTAATTCATCTGACGCTTTTGATGATTCATCTGGCCTTTTGACAGATGACCCCTGGGGTGGCAACTAGTAAACATGTATTTGTCTCAGAATCCATGACTCTGTGGCATGGCTTTATGAAGATCAGAATGCCTGTCTCTGCCAGAACTCCATCTCTTACAAAGAAAATGGCTCTTCCTGGAAGCCGCCCTTCTCCATATCATGTACCATATTTCCTTTTCGGTGCTGCCTCTTCTCTGGAGGTCCTGCTGGCCACATGATAATTCAGACAAGAAATGGCTCACTTTTTTTCCTGTGAGTAAATTCACTTTTCATGATTGTTTTGTACCACTTTGGAGTCCAGTTATTTGGATGGAAGAGCTGAAAGTGACCCAACGAGGGAAGTATATGGTATTTGTTCGTGTCATATTTATGTGTATTCAACACAGAGGGCTGGAAATGACAAGAGTCCTGCTTATGGGGAACTTACGTTCCCAGTAAAAGAACAAACTACTTTTGGATTCTGTTTCTCCAAGTCAATTGGTCCTTTGGAGATTGAACAGCACATTAAAAAAAAAAAAAAAACAAACACAAAACCACTCACTGGTCATTAAGCTAGGAGAGCCCTTCTCCCAAGTCAACATCAAAACTCATGTTTATTCATATTACAAATCATAATACAGTGAAACTTCAGAATGGCAGTGCCCATAGCCTAGGGCAGGAAGTTGAATTTAGGAACTGGGAGGCAAACAGTTCTTTGGCTAGACTTCGTTGATTGGGGTATCCTGCAGAAAGACACCCTTGACCTTTTGACCTTTGACCCCCTGGGAATACTGAGTCTGCAGCTGCTGCATCTCCTGGGCTCTCCCCCAAGAAGCAGAGCTCTGAAGGTCCCTTGTGAACAGACAATGTGCTCTTATCCAAGAGGGATGAGATTGCCTCTTTTCAGGGAAACAGTCCAGGGCCCCTGTCTTTCAGGGAAATTACTGAATCATAGCCAAACTACAAAAATCAACTGCTAAAATAGCCTCAGAAAAATCTTTTTTTAAAAAAATAAGTAAATGCAATTCAAGAGACATTGGAGTTTTTAGAGCTCAGCTCCCATTTCTGCCGGGACATCCATTGCCAATAGAGGACCTGGGAGGCACCAGTGCTGTGATTCTGAGCTCACCAGCTGGGTCTTTCAGGGGCCAGTTGCACACCAGCCCCCCAATGCCAGCCAGTGAAAACCATTCTTCATCCTTTCGGCAAGTAAATATTCACCAAAAGCAGGACTAGATGCCAGACATTGTGCTATGCTCTGGGGAATAGAGTTAGTATAAAGAAGACACATGGTTCCTGCCCTCATGGTACTTACAGTCTTTTGGAAGAGAGAAATATTAATCAAACAATCCCTTAAACAACATATAGTTGTAACTGTGATAAGTGTTAAAAAGACACTAAATGACCAACTGTATAAAGGGGATTTGACCAGTCAGTGAGGGCAGGTGAGTCAGCTTGGAGTAAGAGAAATTTGAGCTGAGCTTTCAGATAAGCTGAATAGTGTTTAACTAAATGATAAGTGGAGGGGGTAGTATTCCAGCCAGACAAACAGCATATGCAAAGGCCCTGCAGCAACAGACAGAACATGAGAGGGATGAAAGTTTAAGGGATAGAAGATGGCCAGAAAGGGTGGTGTGGAATAGCAGGCATGGAGATGACTGTGTAGAACCCTCTAAATCACACTAACCAGTCCTGTCTTTATGACTTCAAGCTAGGGGAAGTAGCATATATGACATAGTCAGATTAGGGTTTGAAAAACCAGGTGACTTGCTTGCTAGACCCAGTGGAGCAGCTGGTATCAGTTGACCGTGAGGAAGTTGAGCCCCATGCTTTGACCATAGGCATCAATTTCCAGCCACAAAGAACCTTGTAGGACTCAAGTACCTACTGTGTCTCCCTTGTCTTCCATTACTTCCTGACCCTTCTCTTTCTTCTCCGCTCCCAAACCCTTTTGTCTAAACCAATATGCTGATCAGCCAGCTCCTTCTAATCCTAATCTCTTCCCCAAAGATTCCCTCTGGCTTCTTGCCTGTAAATGAAGCCTGGGTATCCTTTGAGGACACAGCTTCCAATGTGGCTGCCTCAGGCTGATGTCCTTTTATCTCTTCCAGCCCCACATATCACAAGTGCAGGAAGGCAGGATGGAACTCTTCCTTACCTGCAAATGCTACTACTTCCAGCTGCTTGTTCCCAGTCCCTTCTTGTTCAATCCCCTCTTCCTTTGAAATGCAAATAATCTTGCTTAAGCACTTTTTCCCTTCACCAGGGAGTCAACTACCAAGCTCCAGGTCACTCCTTCTTATCTCCAACATCCTCTTGGAAGATCCAGCCAAGACACTCATCTTCATCTACATCAGTGATCTTTTTTTCACTACTCTACCTCAGCCACCTGCTCTTAAAGTCAAAACCAGATTGTGTCAGCAGCAGACACCTTTTCAATCCCACCCTGTATCATTTCTTAGTGCTTGTTCAAATAGCCCCACTGGGGCCATTCTTTGACCACATTGTGACTGCTGAGCCATTGGCGTGACTTCTTTCTTTCTCCCTAGGTCTCTGCCAGTCTTCACTATGCTCTTTATCAGGACTGGATTTCACAATCCATCCCTGTGGGCAGGACATTGAATCAGATGCTCCCAGGGAGGCATCCAGTCATAGTATGAGGCAAAAAGAGTAAGACAGACAACATTGTAGGACTCTTCAAGAACTGATTGCATGACTTTTAAAGTCCCATATACCCTCCAAGGAAGAACTGAAAATGAGAAGAGAATATTGTGTGGGGTGGCTTTTTGGAAGGAGTAGTTGCTATGCTGAGTACCCCCAATCTAGACAGGGTACAGGAATGTTACCTTCATCACCTTAAGCCTAGTGAGGGGTGCTTCTAGAATGCCATGAAGAGAACTTGAAGTGTATTTCTTGCCATTGGAAAATATAGAAGATAGTAACTGTATTACTTACAGGAAAACTAAAGGAAGCAAGGAAGAGGGCTGCCTTTAGAAAAGAATAGCACTCCCCTTCAATGGCACCATGCTAGGATCAGCCTACACTTCTGGAACATTTTAGCACAAAAGCAATCACCTGGTGAGTTTTCTGTGGGTTGAATATGAGCCATGAAAGTGAAAAAGGAGTGCAAGAGCCATTTACCACCTGCTGTATTAGTCCATTTTCACACTGTTGATAAAGACATACCTGATATGGTTTAGTTCTGTGTGCCCACCCAAATCTCATCTTGTACTCCCATAATTTCCATGTGTTATGGAAGGTACCCAGTGGGAGATGATTGGATCATGGGAGCAGGCCTTTCCCATGCTGTTCTCATGATGGTGAATGGGTCTCATGAGATCTGATGATTTTAAAAATGAGAGTTTCCCTGCACAAGCTCTCTCTTTGCCTGCTGTCATCCATGTAAGACATGACTTGCTTCCCCTCCCCTTCTGCCATGATTGTGAGGCTTCCCCAGCCATATGGAACTGTGAGCCCAATTAAACTTCTTTCTTTTGTAAATTGCCCAGTCGTGGGTATGTCTTTAACAGCAGCATGAAAATGAACCAATACAATACCCAAGACTGGGCAATTTACAAAAAAAGAGGTTGAATGGACTTACAGTTCCACCTGGCTGGGGAGACCTCACAATCATGGTGGAAGGCAAGGAGGAGCAAGTCACATCTTACAAGGATGGCAGCAAACAAAAAAAGAGCTTGTGCAGGGAAACTCCGCTTTTTAAAACCATCAGATATCACAAGACTCATTCACTATCATGAGAAGAGTGCAGAAAAGACTCGCCCCCGTAATTCAATCACCTCTCACCAGGTTCCTCCCATGACACATGAGAATTGTGGACATTACAATTCAAGATGAGATTTGGGTGGGGATACAGCCAAACCATGTCACCTGCCTGAGTAAACCACCTGGGAAGGATTCTGTATGGAATGGATCCCCCCCAGAAATCTGAGCCTAAGCTGGAAGGGATTACAGTTGGAGGGACTTAGTGACAAAGTCCCCGAAGATACCACAAAAATATCCATGGGAGGAAGAGTTGGTGTTAAGTCTCTGCTATTCAGAGGCACACTTTGTTCTAGTCATCTGATGAAACCTTCACTCTTAATGAAGCCAATTGTCCCTTTTCTTTGTATTAGTCCCAGAAAAAAAAGAGAGAGAGAGAGAGAACCACTGGAGAAAATTACCTGAACAGATCCACATCCTTCTGAATAGATGATCAATGGACATCCAATAGCATAGATAATCTCATTATGATTTTCTGTTTATCATCATCTCCCACTCTCCAAAAACATCATTTCATACCATTTTCAAAACATCTTTCCTTAGCTTGTGAACTTCTCTCTATGACTTTCATTCTTAGTGGATGGGCTTGCCTCAAACTCCACAGAGAAACAAGAAACCCTGAGATACCAGCATAAAGAACCTCAAAGCATCAGCATCTGCTCCCATCTCCATCTCCTCCCATGTCAATGGGGGCCTGCTAACCTTTCAATCAGAGGCCAAACCCCACACTTCTGAACACTAGCCCCTCTCTTCTTAGGACCACCATCTTTGCTTTCAATTCTCTTTTGACCTCTACCTCTCTACTGATCCTGTTCACATAGGTGCAAAAGTCTCCCAACCTACACAAGCAAACTAAGAGAAAAATAGACCCCATGGAGATGTTTCCCTCGTTCTTCCAAGTCACACCCAAACTTTGCCATGGTGATGTCTATACACTCTTGTCTTCACAGGCTTACTTCCTGTTCTCTCCACACCTACTTACAGCCTGGTTTTCAGAGCCACCAAGCCACCCAACTGCTCTCTAATGAGTTTAAGGTGAATGAACGCTATAAACATTGGCCTCTCATTGACTTTTGATATATCGACCCTCCTTCCTTTCTTCTTTCATTCAACAAAGATTTATGGAAGATCTGCTACGTGTATGGCAGTATGCTGGAAATTCTTGAAACCTTCTCTTCCCTTGATAAAAGTGTCATCCCAATCTCCTGGTCTTTATACTATTTCTCTGGCCATTCCTCCAATCCCTTGCTGATTCATTTTACTCCATTCAACCTTCAAATGTTGTGTTGCCTGCAGAGGATCACTGCTGGGCCATCTTCTTTTCACCTTTACATTGTTCTTGGGCATCAACTTATATGCCGGCAAGCCTCATTTATATGCCCAGATCAGACCTCTCTAGCAAGTTCTAGATGCTTGTATTTAACTGCCTACTCTACATGCTGTGGGCTGGCCCATCAGCACATCTGTTCCACACCTTCTAAACTGCTCCTGTCATCTTCCCAGAACTCTGCTCCTCCTACAGTGGTTCTTGTTTCAGTAAACGACATCCCCAATCAATTCTTGTGGTTGCTCCATGACAACCTGTATCACCAAGTGGATGCTGTCATGATGTGCACACCACAGCTTCCTCCACATGCAGTTACCAAGCTGTTTATTTGATTCCTAAACATACACAAGTCCATCTATATCTCCACATTTCCGCTGCCATCAGCCTGGTCCAAACCACCATCATTTTTCAGCCAACCCATTGCACAGCAGTCAGAGCTCTCTTCCTTTGTCTCACAGTAGGGTGAGGGTGGAAGGCAAAACAATGTCTCTAGCTAAACTTTTAGGAAAGGGGACATTTGGGGCATTAACTTATGGTTCCTCCAGCCAGATATGTCCACAGGGGGACACTTTGCCCATAATATAGCTCCTAACAGAGGTGTGTCTTGTACTTGCAGTGACTATTTCTTTCTCTATTCTGGACATCACCTTGGCCTTTATTTTAGAGGCAAACGCACAGAGGAACCCAGGGTAAGTCTGAGTCATTCTTCACTCAAGGACTTCAGTAATAACTCCAAAGATAGCTGACAGTGGGGAAGACTGGAATTTTGAGTGCTGAGTTATTCTCCTATCCCAGGCACCTCACCCCCTTAGCCCAATCAAAGAGCCAGGGCACTCCCCACCCAGACTTCAGAGTGTAGTCCCGAATACACCCTCTAACATTGTTCCTCCTTTTCCATCTGTCTTTCTGCCTTTCTGGTTTCACCTTTCTCCTTTTTCTGGAAATCTCTGCTTCCCCACTTTCCTCGGTACACTGTCTTCCTTCAGAAGTCAGTGAGTCTTAGGTCTCTGTGTGATTCTGTTTTTGAAACTTCCAAGGTCTGCAGAAAGTCAAGACCATTGTCTTTTCTGTTCCTGGGGGTGGGGAAAGGTCAGGTTCAGGTCCTCAGAGTTGGAGAGGAAAAACATCTGGATTACATTTTGTAGCTTTCTCCATAAATCTATAAAACAAACAGAAACCCAAAAATAAGCCAAAAAAAAAAAAAAAAAAACCAGAAAGCATTTTGCCCAATGAAGATTAATGTCATTCCTTAAAACCTTATTGATTTATCTATTTATATTTCTCCTGTGAGTATAAGTTTTTCTTATATTCCCCAAACCCTTCCACTCAGGGTCTGCCTTCTCCTTGGGTGAATCTTCTCCCCTTTCTTCAAGCCTCAGTCTAAAATCTCTTCATTGGGGAAAATCCTTCCTGTCTCCTAAGGGCCCCCTTGTTGACCAGATTCACAGCACTCTCTCTGCAGTCCTCTTTCACAGCACAAATGAACATTGTAAGGAAATTATCACTGAGTGACTGTTTAACACACATCTCCTCATTTGGATTGTAATCTCCAAGGGCAGAGCCTCTGTCTCCCTCTGCATTGTATATCCACATTTGCACACAATAATCTCGGTTAACTATTGAAAGCCTACTAGATAACCAGGCATTTTAAATAAACTACAGTTATTCATTCATTCCTCACAACGTTTCTGTAAGATGAGTACCTTACAGAGTTAGGAAGAAAAGTGAGGGAAAGAGAAAAGTAATTTGTCCATATGCACAGCCAAGTAATTTGCCCTAGTAATGTACAGCCATTAGGGTGGATACAGGATCTCAATCCAGGAAGTCTGAACAAAAGGCTATAGACTATATATGAAATATACCTATAGATCAGTTTAAAAACTTCAGTTTCTTTAAAAAAATTTTTAATTGATACAAAATAATTATAAATATTTATGGGGCACATAGTGATGTTGCAATACATGTAATGTGTAGTGATCATATCAGGGTGATTAGCATATCCATCATCTTAAATGACTCAGTTTCTTAATGTCACAGTAAAATCGATATTAGGAAGACCGGAGAGGAAGTCCAGTTATAAAGTTCTTAAATGGGTTGCTGAAATTGGGTATTTTCCCATTTCTGTCTGATTTCTAGATAAATTGTAAAATTTTGAAACAAGCTTTCTCTTAAAGTATGGCCATCCCCCTACCTGACCGCTCACTCATCAGATTTAAGGTTTGGTTTTAATTTTCTGTTATGTTCTATTACTGTGGAAAGAAGCTAACTTAATAATCTGCCAACACAGAAACTTATTTCCATATGGGACAGAGAGGGGTTTTCTCAGTGATTATATGGGCAATGTTTTAAACTCTTAATCGTAATCAATTTTTATTATACTTCAGAGATCCTCCAGGAAACATCTCTGTATGATTCTCTAGGATGAGAAGATGATATGAATTCATGTCCCAGCTATCAGGAAGTTAGAGATTCAGGACACCCTGAGTTACGTCATCTAGCTTCTGCTAGCTCCAGAGTGAGCAGTGGGAGCTCAGAAGCCTTAGCCAGTTATTTACACATTAAAGAAGAGATTCTTTAACTCACTTTGATAGAAATAGATGATAAGAATAGTGGTGCTGGGCCAGAATGCCAAGAGGATTCAACGTCTTCCATCTTATAAGTCCCCACAGCCCTTTTACACTAAGAACTGCTTTTAAGTAACAAACAAAAGAATTGATCATAGTAGCTCAATGCTACCTCACCACTGTCTTTATTTCCTTCATTGAGTGCAATAAGCCAAAAGTGAGTCTTAAATTCATGGTTAGTGAGTTTTAAGTCTCACAGGGACGTTCAGAGAATCCCTTTGATGTCAAGAGAATGTTGTTCAGAATAATTAGGTAAGAGGGCAGTGCTGGTGTGTCTTGTGGAAATGACAATTCGGGGGAAGAGGTTAGTGAGCCATGGAAACCAGTTTTTATTTGAGGTAAAGAACACATATAAGAGTCAGGAAAGTTGGTGTTTGAAGCAAGGTCACACATGTTCTCAGAGCAGACTAGGAAAATGAATGAGGAAGATGATCGGCAGACTGAGGGGAGATCAGGACTTGTAGAAAGAGGGCTCCATGAACCTCTTTCAGCATTAGAAAGAGAAATGAAAAAATAAATCTGTTGTGGAAAATCAAGCCATGAGCTGCACTCAAGAGCCCCTAAAGATATTTCAGGGCCAATGATACAAATACTTGGGAGGCCTGTGTCATGGCTCCCCCCTCATATTCCCTCTTCTTCCCACACTAGCATCCTCTGATCAAGTGTGTAGGATCTAACTCATTATTTTAGAATGGCAAATAAATGTAATCATAAAGTAATCCATTTTATATTAATATTCTGAATGTTGGTCCCATTGTGTGGCCTTTATGAAAGAATTAAATGTCTCCCAAAGTTCAGCCTCAGATCCCCTGCCTTACCTCATTTAACTGGAGGGAGTTGGCACTTGTTTTGAATGCAGCTTGCCTGGAGCCACCTATGATGTACTGGATTAGAATCCCTGTGCATGCTGCCTGGGAATCCACATTTTCACAGTTTACATTGCTCAGGTTATGCTTATGCACACCTAGTTTTGATATCTCAAAGTGTGACAGGTACTATCCTTAGTTGATAAAATTAGCAGTTTGGCTCAGACTCATCAAGCCATGGGTTACCCCTTGTTTTTTTATTATAAACATGCATTGTCTCCAAAGGTTTACATTTGTTGAAAATGGAATACAGCTCACACTCAAGTACTCTTTGGCCTCTTCACCCCTTTCTCCTAAACATCTGAGGTTCTCAGTCCAAGGCGTGGGCTATGGTCTGAATGTTTATGTCCCCGCCTCCAAATTCACAAATGGAAACCTAATCACAAGGTGAGGTGAGGCCTTTGGGGAGGTGATTAGATCATGAAGAAGAGCCTGTATGAAAGAGGCGCTAGAGAGCTGCCTCATCCCTATATCACATGAGGATACAGTGAGGAGGTGAGTTCTGTGTATTAGTCTGTTCTCGCACTGCTATAAAGAACTAGCTGACACTGGGTAATTTGTAAAGAAAAGAGGTTTAATTGTCTCATGATTCCATAGGCTGTACAGGAACCATGATTGGGGAGGCCTCAGGAACTCACAGTCATGGTGGATGGCAAAGGGGAAGCAGGAATGTCTTACATGGCTGGAGCAGGAGGAAGAAAGAGAGCAGGAGATGCTATACACTTTTAAACAACCAGATCTTGCAATAACTCACTCACTATTGCCATGACAACACCAAGGGGGATGGTGTTAAATCATAAGAAACCACTCCTATGATCAAATAACCTCCCACCAGGCCCCACCTCCAACATTGGGTATTACAGGTAGACATGAGATTTGGGTAGGGACACAGATCAAACCATATCAGTCTATGAACCAGGAAGCAGACACCAAATCTGCAGGTGCCTTGACCTTGGACTTCCCAGCCTCCAGAACCATGAGAAATACATTTCTGTTGTTTATAAGCTACCCAGTTTATGGTATTGTATTATAGCAGCCTGAACAGTCTAACAAAGCATGCTTGTTCATATGCGCCATAGACTGAAATGCAGTTTACACAGTGCATTTTACATTATTAATGTTGTTTGAATCTCATCAACTGTGAGTTTGAAATTGTTAAAATCTCCTCACACTAACTCTCATTATAACTCTGTGGTACTTTCAATATAATAGGATAATTCTGTTAACTTTAAAAATCATAAAGTTTAAAAATTCTTTCTTGGCTTTCCTCAGTGTGTTTGATATGCTTAGGGATTAAAAATATATGACTTGCATAAAAGATAAGGTCAGAGTAAATTCTAAACCTCAACATAGATGGTCATGAGTTTCAAGGAAATAAATTTAATAAAAAAGCAGCAGCCTGGGCATTTATAAGTTATTTTGGATATAGATTTGGTCTTTTAAAAAATGTTATTTTCTTTCATTTCTAGCCCCCTCTGGCCTTCTTCCTTTGCTGGGGAAATTTTCTTTCCTTTCTCACATTTTTGTATGAGAGTGTTTCCTTTCTTTGAACAATCGAAGCAGTCTCTATCACTTTAAAGCAAACTCTCAGCTGGAAATTCCACTTGGTGTTTCAGCAAGGCACTGTTAATTAGCTCACAGAGATTACATAGAGTAGAACAAAGCAGGTTTGAGTTTTCAGTCTGGTTTTCTTGGTCAGGGCAGGCAATATTTGAAATGAGGTTGTCATACATTTTTTAAATGTATCTGATGCACCATGTTCATTACAACATTATGCAGATGTACTCTGGGAAACAACTAATAATGACAATTGAAGAATAGGAAATTCAAATACCTACTGCAGTGGATCATGATATGAGGAAATGAAAGTGTCACCAACCCTTCAAGGCCCATGTTGGTACCCAACAGAATACTGACAAGCAGACAATATCTTTAAAGAAGTCTCTCAAAGAGACACCAGGAAAAATTCCACTCAGTACACATGGAAAAACGACTTAACATCATCTCCAATTTTTCTCTCACATCAGAACAGCAGCCCCTAATGTCCTCTTTCCTCTCTCAAAACTCCTACCATCCCCATCTCCCAAATCCCAAGCCATGTTGCCTTTTCTCTCTTGCCCCTTCCTCTCACCATCCTGCATAATTTCTTTCCTCTCTAATATAACCCTCTGCCCTTTCGGATAGAACCCCAGGCATGAACATGCTGGTGTGACTTTGGGACAATCAGTAATTTGTATGTGGATTCAAACACCATGTTGAGTTTTAAGAATGTGGTTAGAATTTTCTTAAATGCAGTGTAAGCCAATGTATGGGTTATTGTGAAGTAAGTCCTCACTTATGAAAGTCTGACCTTTTGGATTCAGAAATAAGAGAATATCTGGTTATCCCTGGCAAAGGTCAAAAGAGGAACTAGCATGGACAACTGTCACAGATACTGTCCTGGTTTTATCACCAAAAGTTTCACATCCTAGGAACCCTTCAAATCTCAGCAGATGGAGAGAGTCAGTCACCAAGGAGGAGGCCCTTAGTTATTTCTCTGGACAGCCTGATGAAATGAAACCCCAAAGAGTAACCTAGAGCAAGTAACCCCAAGCATGCTTTGTTAGGCTGTTCAGGTTGCTGTAATAAAATACCTAACCAACATGGCAAAATCCTATCTGTACAATAATGAAATTGGTGCCTCTCCTTTAATTGGACAAGGCAAAATCATTATTCTTAAGGGACCCATGAGTTGCCCAGATAACTCCTTCTCCCCTGCTATGGTTTGGATGTTTGTCCTCTCCAAATCTCATGTTGAAATTTGATCCGCAATGTTGAAGGAGAGGCCCACCACGAGGTGTTTGGGCCATGGAAGTGGCTCCCTCATGAATGAATTAATGCCCTCCTTTGGGGGTGAGGGGAGTCACCACTCCATCAGTTCTCCTGAGAGCTGGTTGTTATAAAGAGCCTGGCACCTCCCCCTTCTCTCTCTCTTGCTTCCTTTCTGGCCATGTGATCTCTGTGCATGTCGGCTCCCCTTTCATTTTCCACTGTGAGTTGAAGCAGCCTGAGGCCCTCACCAGATGCAGAAGCCCAATTGTGAATTTTCCAGCCACCATATATCATGAGCCAAGTAAACCTCTTTTCTTTATAAACTACCTAGCTTTAGGTATTTTGTTATATCAGCACTAAATGGACTAAGATATTCGCCACTCTAAATCCCTCCCTTGGTTTCAGCATTCAGTGCAGCCTGCTTGTGATAGTGGCAGAGCCTTCCTCCTAGACAGTACCCAGGGCAACAGAAGCAGTAAGAAAACTTGTTCTTGGCTGGGCTTGGTGGCTCACACTTTAATCCAACACTTTGTGAGGCAGAGGAGGGTGGATGGCTTGAGCCCAGGAGTTCAAGCCCAGCCTGGGCAACATGACTAATTCCTATCTCTACAAAAAATACAAAAATTAGCTGGGTGTGGTGGTGTATGCCTGTAGTCCCAGTTACTTGGGAGGCTGAGGTGGAGGATTGATTGAGCCTGGGAGGCAGGGTTGCAGTCAGCTATGATTGTGCTACTGCACTCCAGCCTGGGCAACAAAGCAAGACCCTGTCTCAAAAAAAAAAAAAAAAAGAAGAAAAAACCTTGTTCTTGCTTTACTCAGACCTTTCAAGTCTTATATTTTCCAACAACTTAGCTTTATTTTAATCTTTAGAACTAGAAAATTAGTCATTAATCAGATTAAAACCATCTCTACATGGTGACTTCTCTGCATGGATGAAATGAATAATTTTAGCCTTGAAGTAATTAATTTTAGTCCTGAAGCAATTTAATTGTCCCCATTTTTATGAGAAGATGCCAACACATGAGTAGATATTGTTATTTTTTTTTGTGTGTAGTTCTAATGACATTATAATGATAGCTGTTTTAAATCTTAAAAATTACATTTTGGAAAAGGTCACACATGCCGTGCCTTTTCAAAAATTCAAACTGAAGGCCAGGCATGGTAGCTCACGCCTATAATCCCAGCACTTGGGAGACCAATGCGGGAAGATCATTTGGACACAGGAGTTCAAGACCAGCCTGGACAACATGGCAAAATCCTATGTCTACAAAAAATACAAAAATTACCCCGATGTGGTGGCATGCACCTATAATCCCAGCTACTGGGGA
Source organism: Homo sapiens (assembly GCF_000001405.40). NCBI lineage: Eukaryota > Metazoa > Chordata > Mammalia > Primates > Hominidae > Homo > Homo sapiens. The sequence continues at coordinate 224,184,237 of NC_000002.12, read as the reverse complement.
GGCTCACTTCAGCTCAGGTGGTTGGATCACTTCAGCTCAGGAGGTTGAGCCTGCAGTGAGCTGTGATTGCACCACTGTACTCCAGCCTAGGCAACAGAGTGAGACCCTGTCTCAAAACAAACAAACAAACAAAAAAAATCAAACTGATAGCATTTATGAATGGTCAGAATAATTTCTATTTCATTTTGCCTAGCTTTGTGGGCAGATGTGCTGAGGCTCAGCTCCTGTATACCCACTCACTAACCCCATGGATTGATTGGAATTGTCTTCATTTTGAGGCCTCATTGCTCACCCCTGAGTGCATGTCCTTAGGGCATTTCACTCATTGGTAACTTGGTAGAGTTAATTAGGCCTCCAGTGGGCTTAGGTCATTTATCCTTATAGTGGTCAGAAGGTTCTCGGCTTAAGCGAGACTGTGCAAAGAGGAGAAGCTAAAGTCTTACAAAAGCAAATCTTGTTGTTATTACAAATGCATTTATTAGTTTCAAAAGACAAAAGGCAAACGAAGCTAAATCAACAATGAACATCAATGGAATCACATCTTTAATAATTTTTTAAAGAAAATATAATAAAGGTATTAGGTTGCCTAATAATTATTCTGTTAATACTTTGCTATACTTTTGCATAATGTGTTTAATATACAGTATGAACTAGATAGACTGTTAAGTGTTGACTGAACTGGAACCAAAATATAGGGCTTATGAAATAATCATTCTATATCTGATACATTGGGAAAACTTCATCATAAGCATAACCAACCTAAATTCTCAGAACAAGTGGTCCACAGACCACATGCCAAAAGGGAAGACTTGCTAAGATAGAAATTCCAAATCCAGGATTTAAAATGGTCTCTGTGACTGTAAAAACCTTAAGTAGAACAGCATTGTGAACACTTTATGAAATACTAACCATCAACCTAAATCTCCTGTTTTCCTTGGTCATCAGCCCAGGAGGTTGGGGAATGTTGCTTCACGTTGCTTCACTCCTCGTTTACATGGGCTTCACCTTCCTGACCCTCTTCTAACAGCCGAGCTGTTTGGGGGCATCTCCTATCTCTCTTGGGCCCTTCCTTTGCCCCTTCACACCAGTTAGGACTCTTTAGGTCTGACCACAACCCAGTTCAACACTAGCTTAAGCAAAAATGGGGCTTATTACAAGAAAGAAGGGTATAGAAGCTCAAATGCAATGAAGAGCTGAGGACCTACGAAATACTAGGGGACCTCACGGTTTGCATCCAGCATGCACTGCTTTTATTCTATGTGTTCTTCAAGGCTTCATCCTTGGCAACACAGATAGGCCTTCTCCATGTGGCAGGGACGTAGCAGCTATCCACCCCAGGCTGACATTGATTCCAGGTTTGAGAGAAGAGCTCACCTCCAGCAGGAAAACCCCAGTAAAAACTCTGGGCCATTTGTGTCACAGGCCCCTCCCTGAGCGGGATGGAGGGGACACCAAGGTATCCTGTGGTCTCATCCCCCAACCCTCATCTCTGTTCAGGAAGGCAGAGTCTGTTGCCAGGAAAGGGGCCATGTGTGCTGAATGGACACATTATAATGGCTAATATTTACTTTGTCCTTAGCGTGTTCCAGGTACTGTTATATTTGTTTTGGGTATATTATCTCTTTAATCTTGCAAGGTCAAGATGCAGGTCTGATTATTGTCACATTATACAGAACAGGAGGAAATGAGAACAGTTAGATGATTTGTCCGAGATCACAATCTTGGTGAATATCAAAAGCAGGAGTTGAACCCAGACTGGCTGACCCCAGATCTAGGCACCCCATGGCCCACCTACCAAACCCATCAAATTCTCTTTCCCCCTTTTCTCTCTGTACTCTTCCCTTCTCCTCTGTAGGATGACTGACAGATGGGAGGGCTTGGTCAGGGTTAAGAACTACAGTGCAAGGAATTCTATGGAATGCTTTTTGTCCTGGCTACACAGGACAAGAAGGGCCCACAGAGCTTCCTCTGGTCCTTCTCAGTCTCTTTTTAGCAGTTTCTGTTGCTATTTTTATTGTGTTCAATTATTATCTCCCAACTAGAACCAAGAACTAGATTCAGATTCCTGATTTTTAGATAGAAAGCAGTGGCTAATATTCTTCAATAGGGAAGACAGCACCACTTCTTGTAGGCAAAATGCCCAATGAACATCGGAAAACAATTTTACACATCGGGAGGCTGAGGCAGGTGATCCCTTGAGCCCAGGAGTTAGAGACAAGCCTGGGCTACATGGCGAAACCCTGTCTCTACAAAACATACAAAAATATTTCCGAGCATGATGGTACATGCCTGTAGTCCCAGCTACAAGGGAGGCTGGAGGAGGGAGTATTGCTTGAGCCTGGGAGGTTGAGGCTGTAGTGAGCCGTGATCATGCCACTGCACTCCAGCCTGAGTGACACAGTGAGACTCAAAAAGAAAAGAAAAGAAAAAAAAACCAACAATTTTACATAAAACCATGTAGGGGGAAAATAAACAAGGAAAAATACTATACAGAGAGCTATTAAAATGATGAGTCACTCCTGTTTTATCAGATTACTATCCCACCTTAGAGCTAAATACCCACTAAAATACGACTTAGTGCTTGATTATAAACTGTCTTCTGTTTCTTGATTTCACATCTGTTAGGGGCTTTACAACCCATCCCAAGTGCCATCCTTCTATGTGACCCCCTCACTATTGGAGTTTTCCCTTCTCTGTGTCCTTAAAGCCCTTTGTACCTACATACCCTGTACACATACAACCCCCTGTTCCATCATTACTTGTTCCCATTTGCTTTCCTTATGTGAACAATTATGATTTTCTGAAGAACAGTAACTGTTCATGGATCTATATGTTTCTATCCTCCCTAATAATAACTGGTACAAAGTACAAGTTCAAGAAATATTAATTCACCATCCCCATTGATCTCCCTTCAGCTCTTCTAGTACATTCTGCATATTCCTGCCTTAGGTCTATGGGCTTATTCTAAATGTTTGAGTGAACATGCTGGACTCTGTGGGGCGCTTTCTGCCAAAATCAAGCCTACTCTATCCCTCTATTGCCTCTTCAAACCCACTGCTCAAAGTCATTCTGAACCACAAAGAAGAAGAAATCTCAGGCAAGTCTTGCAGTTTTCTGTTCATTCTCAGGTAATAGATGAATTGTCTGTATTTCAGAGACACGAGGGGGTTACATCACTTGGTCCAAACCACAGAGCTAAGGGAGTGATGGAGTTGGAACATGCATGCAGCTGTTCTGGCTGCAGCCCCATTCTCCTTCCCGCTTCCAAAGACATTTGTTGAGAAAAATCCCATGTCTTAGGAGGGAACGTGCCTGAGGCACCAGTGCATTCAGAGAAAGCTTTAAACTCTAGTCAAGAACTGGCTTGAGAGAGCCCTGTGGGGCATCTGTGTCCTTTGTCAGACTCCACACCCGCAGTGAGTAAAATGGCAGCTGGGTTCGGTACTCACCCTCACTTCTCGTACCCTGCTGTTCTCAGCCTTTGATCTGTGTACACATTGTTCCTTCTGCTGGCCGTGCCCTGGCATCAGTGAGTGCCAACATCTCTTCTCTGATGTCTGCAATCAGGCTTGGGGACTCTTCCCACTGTGCTTTTGTTGTGCCTTGGTTATACCTTTACCTCATTGGGATCAGTTTGGTGTGTGTGTGTGTGTGTGTGTGCGCGCACACGTGTGTGTGTGTGTGTGTAGACGTCTCCATAAGACTCAGCTCCCGAGGAGCAAGGATCATGCCTTCTTATCTGTATGGCACTAACATCTACTTCAGTGCCTAATATGTTTGGCTCTGTGTCCCCACCCAAATCTCATCTTGAATTGTAATCCCCACATGTTGAGGGAGGGAGCTGGTGGGAGGTGATTTGATCTTGGAGACATTTTCCCCCATGCTATTTTCATGATAGTGAGGGAGTTCTCAAGAGATCTGATGGTTTAAAAGTGTGGCACATCCACCATCCCTCTGTCTCCTGCCACCATATACAATGTGCCTTGCTTCTCCTTCACCTTCTACCATGATTATAAGTCTCCAGAGGCCTCCCCAGCCATGCAGAACTGTGAGTCAGTTAAACCTCTTTTGTTTATAAATTACCCAGTCTCAGGTAGTTCTTTATAGCAGTGTGAGAACCAACTAATACAATGCCTGTCATTAATATGTTATAAATTTTACGGAGCACCAACTACATACCAGGCCTACTCTACACACTACGGATATAAAGTAACAGTTCCTGTTCTTGAAGCTTTCAGTAATGATAGTAATTGTTGCAAATGTCCCCAACCCATTATGCCTGCCCCTACTGGGATTGCATCTAAGTTCTTGGAGTCCTGTGTTATGCTGAGGCATTGGGTTAGTGGGTGAGAGAGTGGGTGTCTTATCTTCAGTTATTGTTCATGCAGGACTCTAGTCCATTGCTCCTTGGAGTCTTGTCCAAACAGCCCCTTGGAGTCAGATCCTCTGTGCCTTTAACGCTAATCCTTGGCAAGAAGACACATTCTTCTCTCCCCACCCTCAGTCCCCTTCCCCCTTCACTGGGCCACAGGAAGCTCTGAGAACCGACCAAGAGCTTTCTGCTTCTATCCTCTTGAGGCACATGGTGCTGTAGACAACATTTTTACCTTCTCCCTCCAAATTCATATATTGAAGCCTAATCCCCAGTGTGACAGCATTTGGAGGTAGGGCCTTTGAGAAGTGATTAGGTCATGACGGTGAAGCCCTCTTGAATGGGATTAATATCTTTATATAAGAGAAGCCAGAGAGCATGCTCTCTGCTTTCTGCTATGTGAGCACACAGTGAGAAGACAGTCATCTGTGAACCAGGAAGAGGGCCCTCAGCAGATACCAAATCTGGTGGCACCTTGATCTTGGACTTCCCAGCCTCCAGAACTATGAGAAATAAGTGTTCGTTGCTCAGCCATCCACTCTGTGATATTTTGTTCTGGCAGCCCAAACTAACTAAGACAAATGATATCTGCTCTTAAGTCTCTTTATATGTATGTCAGGTTCGTGTCATGCACCATATGTACCCTCTGGATTTTCCCTCCCTCCACCAGAAAGCACATGGGTACCCCTTTATCAGGCTCTGACAATGCCTTTCCATCACTCCCCCACACTAAGAGAAAAGTGTCTAGTCTCAGAAGATGGAAGGTAGCTTCAAGTCAGCTTTTGAGTTTGATGTCAAAAGACTTTAACTTTTTTCTGTTACAATGACTTTCCCCCAAAGCAGTGGTTTGTAATGGTGATGTCCCAAATAGGAAAAGAGCAGGAGTAATAGAAAATACCAAAGAAATAAATTTCAAAAATAATTTTAATTTCAAACAGTATTGTTTGAAAAACAGTAATAGTGATTGCAGCTAATTACTTCTTAGCTCTTATAATGTGCCAGGAGCTACAATAAGTAATTCACACGTCATGTATAAATTAGTTATCACTACAACCCACAAGGTAAGTAAATTATTATCCCTGTGTGACAAACGAGGCACAGGCAAGGTCGCTGAAGACCAGAGAGCCAGCAGGTGTGAGAGCCTGGTGGGACTCCAAGCCGTCTGGCCCCAGAATCCATTTTTAACCACCATCCCTACTGCCTCCCTACATCGTGTGGCTTGACCTAGACTCAAAGTAGCTGACTACAGTGCAGCATGGTAAATTCATATCACAAACCAGGGCAAAGTAGGCACCCAATAAATATTTGCTGAAAGAAGACAAATGAACAAATGCAAAAATGTGGTTAATGAAAGCACACACAGAGGCAGTCCATCAGGAACATGATTTGGAGGCTGTTCACCATATTCTCCAGTCAAATAAAAATGTCATAAGTGAGAGATTTTTGCATGTTCTGGCAGAAACAATGACTGTTCTGCACACAGAGATCTGAATCCCCCTATGTCCAGACATGCTGTGGACCTGGGCAAAAAGCCAACGTGGGTCTGAGAAGACTCCTTAGAACGAATATATTTACATTTATTCCGTAAACCTGTGTTTCCTTGCCAACCAATAACATCCATCAGCCATGTTACAGGCACTCACTGAGCTAAGAAAGAGTTCTATTTTTAGCTGGCCTGTGGGTTGGGGCTCCCGGATTTATATATTCTGTTTTGGTCTTGATATTTTTCTTTCTCTCCCCTTTATCTTAGAGTCTGTGCTTACTTCATCAGTAGTTAGAACTGAAAACCTTGAGGGCCTCCAGCAGGGCAAATCAGTTTTGCGTGTTGTTAAAGCTCAGTTCTTGATAGCATTCATGCTGTCTCATCATGAGGAAAATTAAAGTAATAATAAAGGTTTTCAAGAGACCTCAAAGTGTGTTTTAACTGCATAAAAATTGGTTTTAAAGAGCAGTAAGCCCTGGAAACTAAAAGCTGGATGGAATCATGGGATATTTTTAAGTCAATGTTCCTGCTTTAACATGGCTATGATATTCGATGATAACTGTACAATATCCTATTGATCAGTGCCTACCACTGTGCTAGGTTTTGGGGAGGCAGTGTTTTTAATAAGCTTATGGACTTCTTGAAGGAACAAGATATATATATATATACACATATGTATAAAGAGCCAAATAAGGCCGGGCATGGTGGCTCACGTCTGTAATCCCAGCACTTTGGGAGGCTGAGGCGGGCAGATCACAAGGTCAGGAGATCGCGACTATCCTGGCCAACGTGGTGAAACCCCGTCTCTACTAAAAATACAAAAATTAGCTGGGCATAGTGGTACATGCCTGTAATCCCAGCTACTCAGGAGGCTGAGGCAGGAGAATTGCTTGAACTAGGGAGTTGGAGGTTGCAGTGAGTCGAGATCATGGCACTGCACTCCAGCCTGACAGAGTGAGACTCCATCTCAAAAAAAAGAGCCAAATAAGAGAGATATAATTGAGTGATGAATGAATCTCATAAATAGCAGGCACTGTGTGCTTCTAGGAGGATGGGGGCTCCTGCTGTGTGCTGAATTATGCTCCCTTCCCCAAGTCCATATGATGAAGTCCTAAACCCAGTACCGTAGAATGTGACTATATTTGAAGGTAGGTCTTTAAAAAGGTGATTACCTTAAAATGAGGTCATTAAGGTGGGCCTTCATCCAATATGACTGGTGTCCATAGAAGAAGAGATCAGGATCCAGACATGCCCAGAAGGAGGACTGTGTGAAGACAGAGTGAGAAGGTGGCCGTCTGCAAGCCTAGGAGAGAGGCCTCAGAATAAATCAACCCTGTGACATCCTGAACTCAGACTTCCAGCCTCCAGAACTGTGAGAAAATAAATTTTGTTGCTGGATTCAGTCAGTGATACTTTGTTATGGGAGTCCTAGCAACCCCATATATCTCCATTAGCTCCATAAGTGGTCCAGGAAGAACTCGTGGTGGATGGAGGAGTAAAAACCAGCCTGAAAGACGGGTAAGATCAGTGGATGGAGGCAGGCATTCCTGGCAAAGGGCAGAAGGCACCCATTGGAACCAAAGTAAATTGCTGATATCTCACCTCTTTGATGTAAAAAACAGCAATTTCATATGGTTCAACTGAATATAAGTAAAGGATCTAGGATAAGAAGGTGGCTGCCTGTCACGCTGGTGAGTGGTGACATATTACAGTAAAGCCTCATGGTTGTAAAGTACCCATTCCATTCAGTGGCTGGGGGTCAGTATCCTCTTAGATCCTCAGTTTCCTCTTCTGTGAAGTGAGGGCAAAATACCTGTACCTGATTCATAGGATTGTGGAGAACATTAAAGTAGATGATGCCTGTAAATGCTTAGCACAGGGCCTGGGACATATTTAAGATCTCAGCAAATGTTAGGATAGCTTTTAAGACTCCCTGGGTTGCAGGTTATAAGACCTAAATTGAAAGAATTTAATGGAATTTAATGGAAAAAGGAGAATTAAAAGAGCAGGGATGTCTTACAGAACACAAAGCAAGAACTTAGCTCAGTGGATCTCAACTGGGGGTAATTCTGCCCTCCAGGGGACACTGGCAATGTCTGGAAACATTTTTAGTTGTCACAGCTGGGGAGGTGCTATTGGCATCTAGTGGGAAGAGGCCAGGGATGGTGTTCAATATCTTACAATGCCCAGGACAGCCCCCACGTCAAAGAATTATCTGGCCCCAAATGTCAAGAGTGCTGCTTGTGAGAACCCTCCAGGCTAGAGACTGCAGAGTCACATGGACCCTCAAGGCCACATCTGTCCGTGTGTCCTGGCCATTGAACTTTTATCTCTTGGCTCCAAACACACCCTTCTTAACTCTTCTTTGTGATGCTTCAGCTAGGTCTCTACAAATCACTTTTTTTTCCCCTCGCTAACTGGTTCCATGCCAGGCTTTATGGAGGGGAAGGGATGCTAGAGAGAATCTGCCAGGCTGAAGGAGGGAGAAGGGACTACTTGCTACCTTGTCCCTAGTTGTCTGGCTGTTGCTGACTGTATCACCTATCACAGGTCTTTGCCCCAGCAGCAGCATCTGGTTCCTGTTTCCAGCTTTGTCCTGCACACCCATAACCCGCCTCATGGTGACCCTTTGGAGACACCAGCTGCAGCTGGCCAGCGCCCTCTTCCTGGGCCTCCATCTGTGGGGACTTCCTGTCAGTTTCAGAGGCACCAACACCAGCCAATGGTACTCCTCCTTCAGAGGTCTGAGTCTCAGCTCTTCATGTTTCTTTTCCAAACCTCCAGGTTCTGGTAACTTCCTCCATTTGTTCCCCTAGCCCTAAGAATGTGAGCTGCTTCCTGAAGTTACTATCTCTGTAAAACTTCCATGTTCCCTGTTTGCCACTACAGCCCCCAAAGCCTTTTAACCAAGTGGCATTATTAACTCTTCTGTTAAAATAGCTGGTGTAGTTTCTGTTTTCCTGACTGAACCTGACCGATATATACAGCACATCTACTTCATTCTTCTTTTTCACAGAGTGGTTTCACTGCTCAGCTCCCTGTCCCGTGGTTCCAGAGTTTAGATAGTGCAGGTTTAGCCACTTGAAGAGAGCGAATCTCTCTCAGTCCCATTACAAATAACTGAGAAAGTAAATCTAATTGGCCCAGCTTGAGTCATGTGTCCACCCTTGTCCAATCAGCTCTGGCAGAGGGGGAGGCCATGTTGTACAAAACGGCAGCCGCTTCTTCTCAGTTCAGGTCAAGGGTTTAGTAGGCAATTAATTTCCAGCTTTTTGAAACTCCTGAGTTTGTCCACTTAAAATATTTATTGTTAGTTGTAGTTGTGTTATCAAAGAGGTACCCTCGAAATGGCTCTCAGTAAGTTATCATTAAATAATGGCCTTTTTGCATTTTCCTATTTCGTCTTAACAGAAAGTTGGGAGGTGGTATCTTTTAGAAAAGAGGATGCAAACTCATAGATAGCCTGAGAAATATGACATATGAGATTTGCCTTGGAGCCCTCATATTCGTTTTCTGAGCCTATATTTAAACAGATCTTAAGGCTAATTTAAATGCAGATTTTAAAGAGGACTAAACAAAATATGATTTCTAATGGGCTTATGAGTCCCAAATACTGAGTTTTTAAAATGGTTAGATAAGTGATGTAAGATTATAGTCCTCAAAAGCTTCCCCTGGCCTTGGGGCTTATAGAAAGGGATCTGGATTGAGAGGCTAAAGCCATAGGTTTAAATCCTATCTACAAAACACATGCCTCAAGCAATCTCTCTAAGCATCAGTTTTCTCAGCCATTGTGGATTTTATGCTCAACCTCACAGAGCTGGAGTCATGATTAAATAAAATAATATCTGTGGAAGCTTTGAACAGAATGTCTAGAACTAGAGCCTTCATAACTGTGAGTTCTATTCCTTCTGTGTCCCGCAGCGTGTTTCTGAACAAAAAAGAATGAACACAAGTGAAGACTTTGTAGTAACACTAAAACATAGACCTGTTACTCCAAAGATGCCAAATGCCCCTTGTACATGGCCTTACTCTGTCTCCAATCCTTATATTCAAGATATCATCAGTCCCCATAGACTGGCAGCTGGACAGACAGGGGCCAAGGGGCACAAGTGTCTGGCTAAGAACACAAGCTCTGAAGTCACAACCACCTGTTTTCAAATCCATGCTGCTAACACTAGCTGTAGGACTTGGGGCAAATTACTTCCGCTTCATCCATCAAATGGGACTAATAATGACAGTAGCTTTGTCAACATTCTCGTTATGAGGAATGAGTGAGATCAACCATATAAAAGCACTTAGCTCAGTGAGTGCCTGTTACTTAGGAAACATTTAATAGCAGTGGGCTTTGCTTAGCTCTTATGATTGTCTTCTGTCAGTAAGCCTTTGGGAATTCAATGATAAAGGCAAAACGGTCCTATTAGATAAAGGAACTGGAAGGTTTTAAAGGCATATGGACTTCTTAATTTCAGAGGCATTCAATTTAATGCCTTTCTCTTGTAGCTGGAAAATATTTCTGCGTTTCTTGCTGTTACAATGTGCTCCAGGATCACTCTTTCAATGGGGTCCCTGGTTGACATTGACTGAGATGTCAGGTTCCTTACTTGGCACCGTGCAGTTCTCTTTTTGTCGAAAGCTCTATTGAGAGATTTCCTGAGGTTTGGGTGTTGTTAATAAGGAGGTCAGAGCCTATCTGGGGATGTGTGACCATGGGCTATATAGAGTCCCTCTGTGAATTGAGAAGAGCCACGTTGAACACACTGCATGACAACTATTCCAGGACTGCCTTAGGTTTGCAGACTTATGTTAAAAATAGCCTCCAATGAGACAGTGGTCTTAGAAAAATATGCAAAAAAAAAAAAAGATAGGTTACAATTATGGCAAATGCTTAGTATTGAATGTCTGATGAAAGAAAATTCTCTTCATATTTAGGATACAAATGACTCTTTTATGTCCATCATCAGGGAAATGGATAAATTGTGCCTTTTCAAAAAACAATTATATACAGCACTAAAAATAAATGAACAATAGGTTATTTTGAATATGGATGACTCACAAGCATAATACTGAGTGAAAAAGGAAGTTGCAAAAGAAATCAATTCTTTAAAAAATGGCATACAATTTTCTAAAGTTTCCAAGCAAACAAAACTGATTAAATAATATATTACTTCAGGAAGCGTGCTTATGCAGTACATCTATGAAGAAAGTAAAAAGATAACTTTTTCCAATTTGAGAAATTCCTTTTTTAAAAAAAGAATTTTTTAAGATAGTGTGATATATTCATACAAAGAAAAAAGAACAAATTACCCATGCATGCAAAAATGTGAATGAATGTCACAGACATTGTGCTGAGACAGAAGTGAGACATAAGAGTCCACACTGTATAATTCCATTTATATAAAGTTCAATAACTAGTAGATCTACTCTATAGGGTTAGAGATCAATATAATAGTTTTCTCCCTGGGATGGGGCGAGGGGTAGAGGTGAGGTATTCACTGGAAACGACCTGAGAGTACCTCTGAGATGATTCTATTTCCTGATCTAGGTTATGGTTACATGAATATTTACATATGTAAAAATTACCCTAAGTTATTCCTAAATTTTAAAAGTAATTAAAATGATGATAGTAGTGCATGATTTTTGAAAATTTGATGTCCTTTTGCTAACATGAAAATAAACAACCAGGTGGGGCACGGTGGCTTATGACTGTTATCCCAGCACTTTTGGACACTCAGGTGGGAGGATTGCTTGAGCCCAGGAGTTTGACACCAGTCTGGGTAATGAAGTGAGACTTTTTCTCTAGAAAAAATTTTAAAAATTTTCCAGCTGTGGTGGCACATGGTTATAGTCCCAGCTACCTGGGAGGCTGAGGTAGGAGGATCATTTGAGCCTAGGAAGTTGAGGATGCAGTGAGCCATGATTGCACCACTGCACCGCAGCCTGGACAACAGAGTGAGACCCTGACTCAAAAAAAAAGGCACCCTCCATAGTCACTACCATTTTATTTTGTTATTCTGTTGGCTCATGATATCACAAATGAACCCCTGCTCTAACCTGTTGAATTTTTTATAGCACCTAATCTATCCTTCCTTATTTATATGACATCTCTTCTCTATCAGACTATAAAAAAACAGGAGAACAGAATCCATGTCCCACAGATCCCAAACTGTACACTGAGGCACCCCAGGGTGCCACAGCAAATTCATAGGGTTGCTATGGGATATTTTAAATTTTCTAGAGAAACACAGCATCTGGTCAGATACCACATGAACTCCTGGCTCAAAGGTGTTGAGGTTCAAATTTATATTATGCTACATTCTTTTTCATAATGTCATATTTTTGGCAAAGTTGAATTTAGTGGTCACTATCTTAAAATGCAAGTAAGCATGCAGTATGGAATGGAAAATGAGGGTGGTGGTATCCAATCTGATTCTAAGGTTTGAGAATTTGTGCAGTGACCAACATGCACATAAATCCCATTTGTAAGTAACGGTGGTTATTTACAAATAAAATAAAAATACTTTTTTCAAAGTATGTTTTTCAATTTTAAATACATTTCAAATTTTAAGTACTTTTTTTTCACAAAAAATGAGATTACAGAGGGTCTGGGGGCTGTACATGTGCAGGGGCCTGGTGAGCTCTGTACATGGGACTGGGAGACCAGGGATCCTCCACTTGGAAAGGTACTTTTTAATTTGAAAAAATATATAATGGGAGCTACAACCACCCTCTCCCCACTCTCTGACTTAAAAGACACAAAAATAGATGTCTCTGAGATATATGGGGAGCCTGGGGCTTAAGGGTGTTTAAAGGGCTTCACAGGGGCCAGGGCTTAGAGGGGGTGTCACAGGCACTGGGGTGGCTCCTGCGTCAGTTGGTAGAACAGTAGGCTTCACTGGATGCCACCTGGTTTTCACTTACAGGGGAGACACAAGAGTCATTGTAAACGTGCCAACCAGTCTGGCACTGGCACAGGGTTGTGTAGTGGCCACAGTGGATGCTGCCTGAGTGGTTCCAAAGGGCACACAGCTGGTAGACAGGACTTCCGACTTTGTCACTGGCAAAGTCCCCTAGGCTCAGTCACTGCAGTGGGAAGTCTACACCTACAGAACTTTTCTTGATGGAGCCTCAGGAGGCAGAAAATTGATTCAGATGGAGCATGAAGATTCAAGGGAATCTTTGTACTGTCAACTTTTGGCACCATGTGTTTTCTGCCAATGTGGGTCACACACTGAGGCATTCTCTAACTCTAGCTCTTCTTCCTTGGTGAAAAGGCTTAAACAATCCCGCAGAGACACCTTGCCCCCAGCAAATCCTTTCTTGGGGATGGTCAGGGAGAGGTCACAAAAAAAAAAAACCTTGAAGGTCATAGAGTGGTACCCACAGGCCTGGCACTTGAGATAACTTTTCATCTGGCCCACAAACAGATCCACCATCTTGCTGTCCTCTTGTTCTTCCAGATAACGCTTCCACATTAGGTTGGCCCAGTCAGCATCATTTAACTCAGACTCTTTTAGCAGAGCACTCCCCTTGGTGGGGTGGAGAGGGAGCTGGACCATGGGCAGGGACTGGTGGAGCCCCGCGGCCTCCGTGGTTGATTTCAAGGTGTAGCCGCTCCCATAAGGAATGTCAGGAACTCTTGGGTATCCTGCTGGCTGTATCCAGAGAAGAATGTTTTTCAAATGTCTACCAAATTGTTAATCCATATGTACTTCTTAAGTTGTTTAAGCCTAATTGTTAAAAAAAAAAAAAAAAAGAACTGTTAGTTATTACTCTCAGACTGGTGGAGCCATAAAAATAGTACTAACAGACTAGGGGTGCTGTGACCAAGAAAGTTCAAGAACCCTGCCATGACTCATTGTAAATAACACGTAAACACAAACACAGTCATACACGTGCTAGTCACCCAGCGCAGGGTCTGATATGAAATGACTTTTTTTTTTTTTTTTTCTTTTTGAGATGGAGTCTCGCTCTGTCGCCCAGGCTGGAGTGCAGTGGTGCCATCTCGGCTCACTGCAAGCTCCGCCTCCCGAGTAGCTGGGACTACAGGCACCCACCACCACACCCGGCTAATTTTTTGTATTTTTAGTAGAGATGGGGTTTCACCGTGTTTGCCAGGATGGTCTCGATCTCCTGAACTCGTGATCTGCCCACCTCGGCCTCCCAAAGTGCTGGGATTAAAGGCGTGAGCCACCACGCCCAGCTATGAAATGACTTCTTAACAAACGTACTGAGGAATCAGTGGATGAATGAGGAAGCAGGGCTCCTCTGGCTTATCTTCTCATGCCTGGTTATGTGTTCAAATTGGCCATCTCAGCGTGCAGCTCTCTTAGTGAATAACTCCCTTCCAGCCTTCCATTGCACAGGCTGGGGACAAGAAAATGGAAGCTAGGTGAGGTCCTGGATCACTGGGGTACCGCTCTGGGCACACAGGAAATCAAGTGAGCATGACAGAGATTGAAGGCTTAAGGCTGAGGGAGAAGCTTGCATCCAAGACAGGTGACTGGGAACACACGAGAAAACCTGAGAACAAAAACACAAAGGCAGCTGAGAGGGGCAGAGGGAGAGGCTGAACAAAAGGGCAGGGAGGTGTGAGAGGAGACAAGAACAGGAGGCAAAGCCTGGCAGAGGCGTGAAGTGAGACACGGAAGAACCAGAAGGTCAAGTCATTGAGTTTGAATGTCATTGAGATTTCTTGAAGAAAAAGAGTAGGTTGGATGATGTGGTCAGTGTCTTGGGAAAGAAATGTCATTTTAGCACAAATGTTTGCAATGAAGCAACAAGGATACCAAGGTCACTTGGTTAATACGTAGCTTGGAGAGCTCCCAGATGGGCTTTCAGCAGGGTTTGAGAAGAATTCAGAAGCATGACGGAGACCTGAGGTAGATTCATCTAAGGGAATCATCCATTATGTTAGAAAGGTTGCAAGTGAAGGAAAACAGTACATGTTTTCTCTTTAGGCTGAAAAGTTCTACACTAAACTGTCTCCTTCAAATGAGGCTAGAGAACATGGTCTGATAGGGTTCACCTTTAGATTATCCATGGAGCAAGAGGGATGTGGCTCGAATATAAAAATCTGCTGTCACACAGATTATGTCTGCTGAACAATGGCTCCGGATGGCACACCAGACTGGCAGGTGGCTCTGCCTGCAAGACTCATACCAAGTTTTGTCTCATTCTGTCTTTAAGAGAGTTCATTCATTTTGCATTGCCACTCAAATTTTAATGTAGATCATATTTCAGTGTTATCTCTATGTGATCATACCATTTAAAATAAAGTATTTGCATCTGTTTGAACTTGGAACATTTTAGAACTTCATGTCAGACCTTTATTCTTAGTTGAACCATTATTCTCTCCACGTATAAGTTCTATTTATTCTGAAGTCCCCGTTATCTTTTTACTAGTTCTTTGAGGTTGTATTGTATCATGGTCTTTTTGGTGTCCTGAAAGAGAATGATATCAATGTAGTCAGTATCATCAAGAAATGCTCAAGAGGCAGCTGAGATTGGTGAAATTCACTAGACGAAGATCAAATCCCAAGTCTATCATACATTAGCTGTGACTTTGGCCCAGTTAGGTTACCTCTCTGAACATCTGCTCCTCCATCCATGAAATGACAAGGCAACAGTGACTGCAGGTAGAGTATGAGCTTGAGTTTCCCACAAACCTGTGTATGAATTCTGGGCCTACCATTTACTAACACCCTGAACCCAAGGAAGTGATTCACCTGAGTCCAAATTTCACCTTGTATAAAATAAGAATAATGAGGTTTTCCTCATGGGGTTAATAAGATAAATGAACGCAATTATAAATAGAACTGCTAATTGTCTTGTTTTGAACCCCACTGACTAGGATTTGAGTGCTCCCTTTATGAAAAACAAATGAGATTTTTTAAAGTAGGGCATATATATATATGTATGTATGTTAAGTGTTATAGTTATCTTGTGATGCCATGACTTAGGTGCAATTATGTCTACTTACTCTCTAAGTTTATGCGTTACTACAGTGATTTGCAAATTAGATGTAAAGTATGGGACTTGATTCCACACAAATTCGGGTGTGAAAGGCAGACGTGGCTGGCTCTGTGCAGCAAAGCACCCTTCAGAACTGTCAGCACACAGGATGTAATTATGAAATAATGCTCAATACTTTTATTGTATAAACATAGGGGCAGGTCAGTATTGGGTTTTGTATTAGTTTGTTTTCACACTACTATAAAGATACTACCTGAGACTGGGTAATTTATGAAGAGAAGAGGTTTAACTGACTCACAGTTCTGCATGGCTGGGGAGGCCTTAGGAAACTTACAATCATGGTGGAAGGCAAAGGGGAAGCAAGGCACATCTTACATGGCAGCAGGAGAGAGTGTGCACAGGGCAAAACTGCCACTTAAAACCATCAGATCTCATGAAAACTCCCTCACTATCATGAGAACAGCATGGGGGAAACCACCCCCATGATCCAGTCACCTCCCACCAGGTACTTCCCTGGACACCTGGGAATTACAATTCAAGATGAGATTTGAGTGGGGACACAGAGCCAAACTATATCAGGTCTACTTTCATCTTTTACATTTATTCAGCAATTTTGTTTTTGTGATTCTTTATCCTTAAACTTCATCTTTTATTATCCTTAAACTTCATCCCTTATTATAAAAGTAATACATACTTACTGAAAAAATTAAGATAGTGCAAATGATTTTAAAAATCACCTGTGATATCATGGTGAGAAATAACCACTACTAACATTTTGGTGTATAAATTCCTGTGTGTGTGTGTGCACGTATAAGTGGATATAAATAATATTTCACTGTAAACACAAGTTTTCAAGCTATATTTTTTCAGGTAACATTTTTTATTTTGATACAATACACATAAAATTTACCATTTTAACTATTTAAAAGTGTGCAATTCAGTGGCATCAAGTACATTCATAATGTTGTGCAACCATTATCACTATTCTAGTTCTAGAACTTTTTCATCACCCTAAAAAGAAACGCCATACACAATTAGCAGTCACCCCCCCTCCCCATTTCTCACACCCCTAGCCCATAGCAATCATTAATCTGCCTTCTGTTTTTATGGATTTATCTATTCTAGGTGTTTCATACAAATGGAATAAAAAATGTGTGATTTTGCATCTGGCTTCTTTCACTTCACTTAGCATGGTGTTTTCAAGGTACATCCATACTGTAGCATGTATCAATACTTTAATTCATTCATGGATGAATAATATTCCATTGTATGGACATATAATATATTGTTTATCCATTCATTAGCTGATGGGCATTTGGGTTCTTTCAACCTTTTGGCTTTTGCAAATAATGCTTTTATGAACATTTACCTACAAGTTTTTGTTTGACTACCTGTTTTACTCCTATACCTACGAGTGGAATTTCACGTAACATTTTATCATGAACATTTTTCTAGGTCATTAAAAATTCTTCTGCAATGTCTTTCCACATAGCTGCAGAAAGTTTCATTGCATGGCTTTACCAAAATTTATTTCACAATCCCCTATTGCTGGATATTTCATTTGCTCCAAAATTTTCAACATTGTAAGTCATGTTTTAGCTCTGTGGGACTCTTGATTGTTATCATTTTTCAGCACTTTCTATGGACCAGACCTGCCTAGGGGACTGTGTTTCTAATATATCTAAATCTCACAACAATCTTAAAAGATATACAGTGTTATTCTGATCTTACAGGTGAGAAAACTGAAACAAAAAAGACACATGTGGATGTGATATTAATGCTTGAGTCTGGATCAGAACCCAGGCCTATCTGTTTCCAATGCCTGAATACGTTCCATTAAGTTCCATTTACTTAGGGTAAAGTTCTAGTTAAGGAGTTATAAATCAAAGAACATGCAAAATTTTAAATTATTTGTTGCAGAACTTTAAAAAAACAAGACACTTTCGGTAACTTCATCAACCTTGAATCAAGAATTGTAAAGATTTAATTTGGTTTCAAAGTACAATAAAAAAAAGATGCTATAATCTCTGGCATGAAAGCCATATACAAATTGCAGAAAAATGAGCTTCTTGTTTATGTAGATCATAAATTTACTGCCACAGCACAAATGTGAATCTAAGAGGTCTCAAACTGTAGAAGGAACGGCTAGAATTCACCATATCATGCTCTGAATCTTTTGCACTTGTCTGATCGTGATAAATCCTTTGATGAGTAATTCAAATCTGGAGGTTGTCAATGTGAAAAGAAAGGGGCTCCCTCCAAATTTTCTCTGGGAGGAGAGTTGGTATTTTGGACATGATGTTCATATCTCTCAACAGAATGTCATTTTTTGATAAGTGGAAATGTGTTTTCCACAGGGAATCTGCTGCTCTATGTAAGAACTAGTTTTATAATTGCTCTAACTTCTGTATTGAATACCAGACTGAAAAAAATTTTTTGTGCTATGAGTAATCTTGGTTTAATGGCTATAACAGAACCAGTCCTGAATCAGTAAAAACCAAACTCTGTGGTTTGTTGGAGGTTTTTTAAAAAATTACACTTATTTGGTAATAAAAGGAATGTAAATGCAGATTTCCATCATTAAATGTTCCATAAGATAAACAATCTTTACTCGATAAATTGATTCCAGCTAGTAATTTTGTTAAAACTGACAACCCTATATCAATGTCTAGTACAATGCCTGTCCTCTTAGTAATTATTAATTTAATTCCCTGCATTGATTTATAAAAGTAGTGAGATTAAAATTTATTTATTCTGGTAATAAATATGTATTGAGCACCTACTGTCTTAAATTATTAGACACATCAATGAACAAAACAACTCCCTATCCTCATGGAGGTTAATATCTAGACCAGGTATCAGGGATGGGTGGAGGATACTAATGAGACCAAAACAAAAAAATGCTAAAACAAAGAAAAAGCAAAATAAGGGACAGAATGTAACAGTGAGGATAACTTTCAACCAAAGACCTGAAGTGAGAGAGTGATGCTCTTTGATGATGGAGAAGGGACCACTAGCTAAGAAATACAGGTGGCCACCAGCTGCTGGGAAAGGCAGGGAAGTAGATTCTCCCCTGAGCGCCTCTGGAAGGAACCAGTTCTACCAACATTTTGACTTTAGCCAGGTGAAACTGATTTCAGACTTCTGTCCTCCAGAACTGTAAAACAACACATTTGTGTTTTTTTAAGCCACTAAATATGTGTTATTTGTTACAGCAGTGATAGCAAACCAATGCAGTCTCAATAGAACTGAAGAACTGTTGAAGCCGAGATACTAGAGGGAGTAACATCAATAGCTGGGAGAATGGGGTCAGAAAAGGAGGTGTTTGAAGTTGAGCATATGGGAGAGTGAAATCTGTGGCTATGGAGAGGCTGAGACCATGAGATGCGTGGATGAGAAGGATAAGGACACAATCATTGGAAAGGACCTCAGAGACCAGGGGTGAGAAGGATCACCTAAGTGGGTGAAATCCTCCAGGGTCATGATGAATGTGGCACTGGGGAGAGTGACCCTGAGCCAGGAACTAAACTCTTCTAGAAACAGAGGTGAGTGACCTGCAGGTCTATAGATGGCTGGAGTAAGGAGGGTAGCAAGTGGTTTAGTCTGATAGCATGGGGTTCAAAATTGAGGGGAAAAGGGGAGGAAAGAGAGTATGAGCATGGTTTGGGAGAAGGACAATAAGGACCAAGGACAACACCTACCCCACCTTTAAGCCCTCGGGCTTATGCCATGAGGGCTGTGGGAGATAGAAGACAGCTGCAGAGAAAGCATTCAGACAGCGTAAGAAGGTAGGAAAGTTTGATGGGTCGGGGGAGGGATATGGGCGATTTTGCTGACAACAAATCTTGAGTTCCAGTGGGTCCCATGGCAAGGTTTTGCTCTGTGCAGGAGTGGGAGATGGGGCTAGATGGATGATATACAGGTGCTGTATGTAGGTGAGAGACTAGAGATGAGGGAGGACCTGGTGGAGATGGGGGAATCCTAGCTTCCTAATGGTGACTGAGATTTGTCCCAATAGCATCCTGGCAGATGGTGGTGAAAAGGTCGTGTGCATTGGGAGGTGGGTGGGGTCGTGTTATGGACACGCAAGAAGGCTCTCTGGGTCCCTCTTCATGCCTGTTTATGGCAGGAGTAGGGAAGGGGTGCTGTTTGTGAACGTGCTTTGAGAAGGATAGGCCATGCTATAAAGGGAAAAGTGTGTGATTACAAGGTCATGTGATAAAAAGTGATGTATGAGGGGGAAAAAATCCTTTTCCTGCCTTGTTTTCACAATAGCAGTCTCAAGCATCCACCCTGGGACTCTACAATGGCTGTCAGGCTTCCAACAACTCCCATTGTAGGTTGGAGCCTGACCTAATGAGAAATTAGAACACCGTCTTTCAAAACCCATGTCTCTGTCTGTTCAACACCAAGAAGGTCCAAGAATAGACTGAGCTCCTTTCTTATGACCAGGAGGTTAAACTTCAACTTCTTAGGTTTGGCGTTTTGCGCCCAAAATGCTCCTAAAACAACAGTTTTATAATAAACACAGAATCCTAATCTGAGTGTGAGTCAGGGGAAAATAATTCTAAACCTTGTGATTTCTGGAAGTGTTTAGATTAAAAATAAAAACCTGTGTGGCAGGACCAACCTTGCAAAGAGTAAGCTTCACAGCAAGTGCATGTTAGCTGTCAGAGTTGAGTCATTGGGAAAGGGAGTTGCCACAGGGACTTTGAGCTATTTATTATATGATGTCCAGATCTCAGTGGCCAAGTAGACAAAAGGCTGGATATACAGGGAATGGAGAGCCCAGTGGGGCAAGAATTGAAAGGGCATCTTACAGTTGTCTACTGTTTAGAAAGAGGTCTTACCCAGCAATATATGTGAACATAGGATTCTGGCCATTGTCTTTCTGATATCAGGGTGAGTGTATTAGTCTGTTTTCGTACTGCTGATAAAGACATATCTAAGACTGAGTAATTTATAAAGGAAAAGAGATTTAATGGACTCATAGTTCCACGTGGCTGGGGAGGCCTCACAATCATGGTGGAAGGCAAAAGGCACATCTTACATGGCAGCAGCAAAGAGAGAATGAAAGCCAAGCCAAAGGGGTTTCCCCTTATAAAATCATCAGATCTCATGAGACTTATTACTACCATGAGAACAGTATGGGGGAACCACCCCCATGATTCAATTATTTCCCACTGGGTCCATCCCACACAAGGGAATTATGGGAACTACAATTCAAGATGAGATTTGGGTGGGGACACAGCCAAACCATATCAGTGGGTATTCTGGGGGTTTTAAGTTGGGCTTGCTCACCATGTCAAGGGTATAATACACTATCCTGCAAGTATGGTGTTCATCTATGGTGCTGTATCCTGAACAAAGTATAGTTGTGGAAAACAACAGGTGCCTTGGGATCTGAGGACATTTTTTCCATAAATGGATCACTATCATCTCCACTTGAGAATACCAGTAGGGTCCTTGGCCATCAGTAATTAATTCAATTTTGCTGATTACTGAAGGGCATACAAAGAAGATTCTGGAGGGCACCCAGTATCTGCTCTTCCCCGTTTTTTGAAGGTGTTTAATCTTTCTTTCCATCCCTCAAGACATGGCAATCATTAGAGCTACCTCTAACTCCTGTGAGCTGGCAGGGGTGCTCAGAGATGGCAAAACAATTTTCCTATCAGCAAAAAAAAAAAAAAAGAAAATTCACTTTGGAAAGTCCCTTCTGACTCTAACATTCTGTGATCTTAAAGCAAACCTCCTCATCCCCATAAATCATAGTGTGTATCCTTAAGGCTAATAGAGTTTGACATTGAAGGGCCCATCTCATAGCTGCCTCTCCTGGTGGGAACAGTCAGAAGGGCACTCCATGAATCTTTCTGCTGTCCTTGAATGCTCATGCAAAAGCAGACAACTGTCACTTTTCTTGAACAGAGCATAATTTGCTATTACTTTACTCAAAAATACTTCAATGTAATAGATGAAGAGTAACACTGAAAAGCTGGCTTGTTGTTTTAGTCTACACTTTCATCCTTAGTCACTAGTAGCCAGACTTCAAAAATACCAAGCATCCTGTGTTTCAGTCATGTCATCAATTCTTGATTCCTTTCCAGGGAAGTATTGAGTTCCTTAGCAATGGCCTCTTACTAAGATCAGCAACCAATCCTATAAGCAAACAGAGAAGGGTGAAAGCTCAGGATGTGTAGGGCTCTCCAGGGATGCACGGAGTCACCGGTATCACAAAGGGCATCCACTTATTAGCTTGCTTTGCAAGCAGCTGCTGTCTTGGCCTAAGGGAACAAGAGGATTTGAGGTGAGGCTGGGGGCAAAGAAGGTAGAAAGAGGAAGACGATGCATAACCTGTAGGGTCCAAGGCTGGGAAGGGGTGCAGGAGGCATGTCTGGAGCATCTGTGGGACTGAATGAGAGCCCTGGAAACCTCTCAGAGGAGGCAGGGATGAAGGAAGACCAAGGCAAAGTTCACCTATTTTTCTATGTTTTCCTAAGTCAGCAAAATTGCTTCCCTATTATCCAAGGGAATAAAATGTTTAAGGAAACCCAGGAAGCATTTTAAGGAATGCTTGGTTTCCATGTGACTTGTGAGTATGTCGAAGTGATTAAAATATCATAGTCAGTCACTAAACAGGAGATGGTGTTTCTCTCAACCCACTTCACTGGCTTTACACAGGGGTGGTGTTTTTTGTTTGTTTTTGTTTTCTTATCACAAAGAACTTCATGCACTAGAGGCCTAAGCATCTAAGAAGGAGATTTCTGAGGCTCTTCCAACCCCATTCCCCTCCTATCCTCAGCCTGGGCTGCAAATCACTGTCACCAAAGCCAACAAAATTAGAAGGCTCCTTGACTTGGGGCCTGGAATCTATATTTTTAAAATTTCCCTAAGCAGCCAGATTTGGAAACTACTGAAAATTCCCAAGAATGATAGAGAGTGGAGAGAGAAGTGAGGGACTAGGGACAGAAGTCAGTAGAGGAGGGGCCGAGCTGTCCCTCTGTGTCCTTCTGCAGCAAGAGGCTGCACTTCTCGTCCTCTGCTCCTCCCTGTCTTTTCTCTGGCTCTTGAAAAGAGTGAGCAGAAACCAGGTAGAAAGACCCTTGGATGCCCTACACTAAGGATGCTTGCATTTTGGGGTCAGACTAAGTGGGGTCAGACTGCTTGGCCATCTGTGGCCTGCGTGAATTACCTAACTTCACTAAGCTTCAGTTTCCTCATCAGTAGCACTCACTAAATGGCTGCCACCATCAGTTCATGGGCCCAGGCCAAGCCATGGTTGGCTGTAGTCCATAGCTTCCAGGCAAGTGCTGACATCACAGCTCTGACAATTCCAGATACCAAAGATGTGCCAAGGACAGCACTGAGGTGATTTTCAGGGCACAGCAACCCCAATGGAGCAGGAGCCAACTGAAAAGTGACCAAGTCTTTCCACAGCCCATCCCACAGTCCTCTCCTCCTCACCCTGCAGACCCTTAGCCTTGCTGGGCTCTGAATCGCTAAGCCCAAGGCAAGCCTGTCTTCTTCCAAATGAACCACCATATTTTTCTCCCTACCTTTGCTTTCTTGTAAACTCTATTCTTTTGAAGCTGACCACTGCAAATACTTGGTCTAATTAAAGCAACTTTCAGTAAGGTACAGATGACTGTTGCATTTGCAACTTTACAGGGAGTCTATGTTAATTCAAAAACATCCCCTCGGAGTGGTAAAATAGATTCAGGAGATGGATCTTTATAGTCTAAAAAGCCTTCTGGGCTCCTTGGAGATTCAAAGAAAGTCTTCGCCCTGAAACTGTTCTGTCAACCCCATCATCACCACCCTATTTTTTTCCTGGGTCAGTTTTGCCTGTAGTTCTACACCACACCAGATGAAGTCAGGTACATGGGCACTCCTGAAGGAGGGTGTTGGCTAGCATTAAGACTATGTGGCTCCATCAGAAGCCACAAGCACAGTCACCAGCATTATCTTGCTTCAGAATGCCAGAGTTTCCCAGGGGTATCCATCTGCAACTGCTATCTATTCCCAAGCTCAGTCTGCCTGTATGGAATCCCTTCTACCACAAGTCTTGAATGAGTAAAATCTTGAATGGATACAAATGTTACACCTTCAAGTCCAAGAATATGGTTGGGTTATAAGATATTAAGAAGCTCAAAATTCCTGGGAATGTCATACAAACTGCCCATATTTCTCTAGGATTAGGTTTGTCTACACATGACCGTCCCCCCTACCAAATAGCTTAAATATATAACTATATTTCCCTCTCGTATAAAAGTCTGAAATAGGTGGCCCAAGGCCAGTAGGGGTGCCATGGTATCATTCCCATGATTCTGTCTCATTGCTGTTCCCCAAGAGGCCTGCATTCATGGTTAGCTCATGGTCCAAATGGCTGCTCCAGTTCCTGCCAACACGTCCACATTCCAGCCAGAAGCAGAGAGGAGAAAGGATGAGCACACACTCCACTTAAGGACAGTTTACAAAAATTTAACACAATTTCCACTGAGGTTCTGCTGAACAGAATTTAGTCACAGGACCACACTTTCCTGCAAGGAAGGCTGTGTGAAATGGAGCCTTTGCCTGAGTGCATCTCCACGTCCAGGTTATTGTGGACTTTCCTCACCCCTCCTGACTTCCATGTACTATGGCATCCCTGTGCCTGCCACTGCCCGAAGACACTGCCTCCTGGGGTGATATGGTTTGGCTGTGTCCCAACTCTAATTTCATGTTGAACTGTGATCTCAAGTGTTGGAGGTGGGGTCCAGTGGGAGGTGATTGAATCACGGGGGTGGTTTCTAATGTCTCAGTGCCATTGCCCTAGTGCTGTTTTGTGATAGAGTTCTCAAAAGATCTGGTTCTTTAAAGGTGTGTAGCACTTCCCCTTTTTCTCTCTCTCTATCCTGCCACCATGTTGAAGATGTGCTTGTTTCCCTTTGCCCTTCTGCCATGATTGTAAATTTCCTGAGGCCTCCCCAGCTATGTCTCCTGTACAGCCTGTGGAACTGTCTGTCAATGAAATCTCTTTTCTTTATAAATTACCCAGCATCAGGTAGTTCTTTAAGGCAGTGTGAGAACAGACTTATACATGGGGCATAATACTTATATATGGTGCATAATTTCTTGCTTCAGCAGTTACAGCACCTGTGAGGTCACACCCTATGCAATCCTAGGTGGTGATCTGGGACTGAGTCCCTGAGAATATTCACTTTTTATTAATTTTCCTAAGGCATGGTGGAGGACATCCTCCATTCTGGCACTGCAGTAGGAAAGTGGGAAAAAGCCTCCCAGGCAGTTCCTTTCACTAATCTATTAAGGTGTTAATGAGGTTTCTGATATGGCAAGTCCTGGACAAGGTGTTGAGAATACAGCAAACAAAAGGCTCTGTCTCTGCCCTCAAGGAGCTCAGAGACCCCTGGGGAGACAGGGGTGAGTGCAGTGTCAGAAATCTGTGGAAGGTTATAAGGGGGTTCTGAAGGAGAGTACCTGGATGGTCAAGGCAGATGGAAGTGGTCAGGTAAGTCACCTTGAAAGGGGTTAGGCTGAGATTAACTTTAGAGGAAAAGCAGGAGTTGGTCAGGCAAAACAGAAATGTGCATTCAATGAAGAAGGTTTACCATTGCCGGAAGCAAGGAGAAAGAAAAGAGTGTGCAGTGTTCTTGCAAGTATATGCTATTGAGCATGACTGGAAATGCAAGAGGATGAAATTAGAGTATCAGGAAGGAAGGCACATACCAACTCACAGTCTTGTATGCGATGACCAAGACAAGTAATGGGTTTGACCAAATTCTCTCTGGGATCAGAGTCCTGTTCGGGGATCTAAAGTATGGGACTGGATACTCCATTATGGACTTAACAGGATTTCAGCTTATTGCAACCTTAATCTTCAAATATGGTTTGCTTGTGGATCCTGGTCACTGGTCTCCACCTACTTGTCAGCACCCTTCTGTGTGTTGTGTGGCCTCCTCCATGTCTTGTCGACTATTTTCTACAACTATCTCTGTCATCGACTGTCACTTTCTCCAAATGCTTTGTTTGGTTTATCAAACTGTAATTTCTCTGCATCCTGTATGGAGGCTTATCCCACCTCTCAACCCAGCAGTCAATGGTTGAGGTCCCATTCACTTCCCCTGGCCTGCTCCTACCTAATCTGTCACAGCAAGTCAGTGCTGCAGATAGAAAGGAAATCTAAGCAGTGTAGATTACGGGTGAGGAAAGGTGTGGTAGGTAGTCTCTAAGAAGACCCCCAGTGAGCCTTGCTTCTAATCTTCACACCCTTGTGTAGTTGCCTCCCATATCATACCCAAGTTGGTCTGTGTGATTAGAGAATATGGCAGATGTGATGATACGTACTTTCAAGGCTGGATCATAGAAGACTTTGTGGCTTCTGCCACTCTTTCCTTATCACAGGCTCTGAGGGAAGCCAGCTGCCATACAGTCAGGACATTTACATCGCCTTATTGAAAGGTCTATGTGGGGAAGGACTAAGGCCTCCTACCAGTGGCCTTCTGCCATCAGAATTCAGGCCTCCTGCCAATAGCCATGGGAATGATCCATCTTGGAAGCAGACCCTCCAGCTCCATCAAGCTTTAAACAGCTGCAGCTGTAGCCCACATCTTGACTGCAACCTTAGGGGAGACCCAGAGCAGAATGGTCCAGCTAAGGCTGTTCTGAATTCATGAGCACAGAAACTGAGATCATAAATGCCTGTTGTTTTAAGCCATTGTGTTTTAGGGTAATTTGCTGTGCAGCAACTGATAACTAATATAACAGACTTCCCACCTTCTTCCTCACTCCCCTGCTAGAAGAGGTAATGAGACCTGATTGGCTGGATTTCAAGACATGGATTGGATTATGCTCATTGGTGAATGGGTCGCTGGCAACCAGTCAAGGACTTACTGAATGCCTACCATGAGCTGAGTGCTGTTTCAGGTGCTGGAGATACAGCAACGTATAAACCAGTGCCCCTGACATTCTAACGGGAGGAGGAAGGCAATGGAATCACACACTTTATCAATACATGCTATCAAAAATATGAAATTAGGACCCTGTTTCTTTAAAAAAATTTTTTTTAATTAGTTGGGTGCAGTGGCATGCCTATAGTCCCAGCTACAGGAGATTACTTGAGCTCAGGAGTTTGAGACCAGCCTGGGTGATACAGCAAGACCATGTCAAAAAAAAAAAAAAAAAAAAAATATGAAGTAGGCTCACCTGTGCAAAGAGTCAGGCGGAATGCTTTAGCTATGATGGGCAAGAAAGAGCCCTCAGAGATGGTGGCATCTGAATTCTGACTTGAAAGTTGAGGAGGAAATGACTATCTTGCGGAAGGCCATTACTAACGAATGCAAAGGCCAGAGAGAGAAAAGAAGTTGGCATGTTTTAAGGATGAAAAGAAGGCTAATAGCGGAAACGCAGGAGAGTGGAGGGAGGTGTATCTCAAAGCCATGTACCCGCACTTTCTTTCTTCTTGCAGCTGGCTGGGTCAGTGGAGGCAGAGCTTGTGTCCTTGAACAAAACCTTGCTATCTCATCCTCCCACTCTTTCCTCCTCTCCACACAGGCGCCCTCAGGTCTAGGGTGGAAAGGGGTGGGCTTCCAAGCTTTTCCAAAGTGTTTCACTGTGGGGAAATTAGGCCTTAGGACAATTTGTCATAAAACAGTAAGTGGATTTTCATTTTTTCTGTTCCCTTGACAACCCCAAAGAGGGAGGCAGGCTTGAGGAGCAGAGAGAACTCAGCTATTCCTGGATTCTTCAAATACTATCAACACTCACCACCTCTGTTCATAGGCGTGACTGTGGAGTGGGCACATGATGGAGAAAGTGTGTGTGTCAAAATTAACATCATGAGTCTAGAACAAAGCGCATGAAGGAGTAACAGACGAAGAGTATGACCTGATTCCTACCTCAAATATGTCATGAAGAAACTTTCCACGAGAACATTCCTGGGCTTGCATTACATGCTTATATGTGGGAATTAAATTCCTAACACCTTTACATGTTTACGAATATAAAAGTTTCCAGATCGCTCCTTTTAAAAATGTACAGTGAAAAACTATTGATGAAACAGGATATAGCCATTCTCATTCATAAGTCTTCAGATTTTCATGCAGAAGGTAAAAGCTGGGGGTGGGGTATTAAAGATCCAGTCATCCATCAATTTGTTTTTAGGAGGGAGGGGCCCAAATCCTCCGGTTCAGTGAATGGGCAAATATCAGAAGCAAGGTATTCCAAACTGGATGACATCATGAAGTTTGCAAGATACAAGCATGACAGGAAATGAAGTAAAGAATGTAGGACTAACTGCTGAGCTCTGTTAACCATGTAGCAGATCCTTCTAAGAGCGTTAGTGGTGAAACCAGAGAATTGTTTTTTGGCATTAACCAGATATGACAAAAATAGCACTAAATTCCTGCAAAAGCTCGGGGTGGGTGGCAGAACTATAGGATAAAATGAGATGTGAAGAGACTTCTGTGATGTCTGCCTACCAAATTGCTTTGAAGGGCAAAAAGTCAGAAAACCTTATAGATTAGAAATAGAGTAAGAATTACTTAGGGAGAGTTATGGAAGAAATAGCTGGTTCTCAGAAGACTTCTAAGACAAATGAAAATAAATGGAATTTCTGAAGTTCAACAATCAAAAACAAAAACAAACCTGAAAATGAATCAACCTAGTCAAATGAGTAGGAATCCATAGCTTAAAGAAAATAAGGGACTCACCTAAGAAAGAGCTCATACACTCTGCGGTGTCCTTCTGGTTTGTTTTTTTTAAATAATACTTTGATTTGCATAGACATCTGACCTGATAATGGGACTTTGATTCTATTTGGTGCCGGCCAAAAGGTGTATCCCTTTTGTCTGCTGATAAGGGAGTTGTTGGGCCTGGGTGAGGGCCAAAAAGCAAGGAGGAAGGAAAGTTAAGGAACAGAGTTTGATTCAAGCCCCTACTGCACATTGCAGACATTTCTGTAAGACGGAGTGCATAGTAACAGTTTGTCATCTAAATATCAAGAATACACAAAAGAGAAAGTCCTAATAATTAAAATCAGTACATAATTTTATTTTTTGTTTTTATTTCAAGCTCTCAACCCCCAATGGTAACCCACAGTCCTTTTATCTGTCCGCCCACAGCTCATGAAGGATGAACCTCATTCTGGACAAGAAGCCCCCAAGGCCCTGCACAGGCACCCAAGGCTGGCCTTTGTCTGGGCAGGGAAGATGGTGCTTTTACTGCTGACCAGCGCTATACTTGAAGCTCCCTGTGGCAGGCAGAATTCTAAGAATCACCCCCAAAGACCCTTCTTTGTATTGCCCCCTTCCCTATGAGTGTGGGTGGATCCTGGGAGTAATGATGAGATCCCACTCCATAACTGTTTCATTATAAGGTGAAGAAAGATTGTCTAGCAGGCCTGATGGATCACATAAGCCCTCTAAAAGCAGAGCTGTCTTCAGCTAGTCACAGAAGAGGATGTCAGCGATTGGAAGCACAAATAGGATTTGATGAACAATTGCTGGCTTGAAGATGAAGGCCCCATGGCAAGTAATGGGAGCAGCTTCTAGAAGCTGAGAGCAGCCCCTACCTCACAGCCAGCAAGGAAATGGTGACCTTGGTTCTACAACCCCAAGGAACTGAATCTGGCCAACAACTTGAGTGAACTTTGAAGCAATTCTTTTTCAGATCCTCCCAATAAAAGCCGTGCCTGGCCAGTACTTTGATTGCAACTTGGCAAAATCCTGAGCAGAGAATCTAGTCAAGCCTGCCCTGACTTCTGACATCTTGGATTGTGAGATAAGAGATGGCACTACCAAAAAAAAAAAAATCCTCAACAAAATGTTAGCAAACTGAATCCAGCAGCACATCAAAAAACTAATCCACCATGATCAAGTAGGCTTTATTCCTAGGATGCAAGGTTGATTCAACATACACAAATCAATAAATGTGATTCATCGCATAAACAAAACTAAAAACAAAAGCCATATGATTATCTCAATAAATGCAGAAAATACTTTCAATAAAATCCAACATAACTTTATGTTAAAAAAACCCTCAACAAATGAAGCATTGAAGGAACATACTTCAAAATAATAAAAGCCACCTATGACAAACCCACAGCCGACATCATATGGAGTGGGCAAAAGCATTCCTCCTAAAAACTGGAACAAGACAAGGATGCCCTCTTTCACCATGCCTATTTGACATAGTATTGGAAGTCATAGCAAGAGGAATCAGGCAAGAGAAAAAAATAAAGGATATCCAAACAGGAAAAGAGGAAGTCAAACTATCCCTGTTTGCAGAGAATATAATTCTATATCTAGAAAACTCCATACAGTCTTTGCCCAAAATCCCCTTGATCTGATAAAGAACTTCAGCAAACTTTCAAGATACAAAATAAATGTACAAAATTCAGTAGCATTTCTCTATACCAATAACGTGCAAGCTCAGAGCCAAATCAAGAATGCAATCCCATTAACAATAGCCACAGTAAGAATAAAATATCTAGGAATACAGCTAGCCATGGAGGTGAAAGATCTCTACATTGAGAATTACAAAACACTGCTCAAAGATACCAGAGATGACACAAACAAATGGAAAACATTCCATGCTCTTGAATGGAAAGAATCAATACTGTTAAAATGGCCATACTGCCCAATGAACTTTACAGATTCAATGCTATCCATATCAAACTACTAATGCCATTATTCACAGAGCATTCTAAAATTCTTATGGAACCAAAAAGGAGTCTGAAAAGCCAAGGCAATTGTAAGCAAAAAGAACAAAGTTGGAGACATCACATTATCCAGTTTCAAACTGTACTACAATGTTACAGTAACTAAAACAGCATGATATTGGTACAAAAACAGACACATAGACCAGTGGAATAGAATAGAGAGCCCAGAAGTAATTCTGCACACCTACAACCATTTGATCTTCAACAAAGTTGACAAAAACAAGCAATGGGGAAGAGACTCCCTATTCAATAAATGGTGCTGAGATAACTGGCTAGCCATATGCAGAAGATTGAAACTGGACCCCATCCTTACAGTATATACAAAAGTCAACTCGAGATAGATCAAAAACTTAAATGTAAAACCTAAAACTATAAAAACCCTGGAAGATAATCTCTGAAATACCATTCTAGACTTAGGACCTGGCGAAGATTTCATGACAAAGTTGCCAAAAGTAATCGCAACAAAAACAAAAATTGACAAATGGGATCTAATTAAACTAAAGAGCTTCTGCACAGCAAAAGAGACTAAGAGTAAACAGACAACCTATAGAACGGGAGAAAATATTTGCAAACTATGTATCCAACAAAGGTCTAATATCTAGAATCTATAAGAAACTTAAAGACATTAACAAACAAAAAACAAACAACCCCCCCAAAAAAGTGGGCAAAAACATGAACAGACACTTTTTAAATCCATGCAGCCAACAAGCATATGAAAAAATACTCAACATCAGTAATCATTAGAGAAATGCAAATCCAAACCACAGTGAGATACTATCTCACACCAGTCAGAATGACTATTATTAAAAACACAAAAAATAACAGATGCTGGTGGGGTTGCAGAGAAAAGGGAACACTTATACGCTGTTGGTGGGAATGTAAATTAGTCCAGCCATCGTGGAAAGCAGTTTGGCAATTTCACAAATAACTTAAACAGAATTACCATTTGACCCAGCAATCCCATTTATATACCCAAAGGAATATAAATTGTTCTATCATAAAGACATGTATGTTTGTCACAGCACTGTTCACAATAGCAAAGACATGGAATCAACCTAAATGCTCATCGACGGTAGACTAGATAAAGAAAATGTGGTACATATATACACCATGAATTGTTACTCAGAGCTCATTTCTTTTGCAGCAACATGGATGAAGTAATTATGCTAAGTGAACTAACATAGCATCAGAAAACCAAATACTGCATGTTCTCACTTATCAGTGGGAGCTAAGCAATGAGTACATGTGGACACAAAGAAGGGAACAATAGACACTAGGGCCTACTTGAGAGTGGAAGGTGGGAGGAGGATGAGGGCTGAAAAGCTATCTGTTAGGTACTATGCTTATTTCCTAGGTGATGAAATAATCTGTACACCATGACATGCAATTTACCTATGCAACAAACCTGAACATGTACCCTGGAACCTAAAATAAAATATTAAAGAAAGAAAAGAGAGATGATATTGTTTTAAGTTGCTAAGTATGTGGTTATTTGTTATGCAGCAATAGCAAATGCGTCTACCCCGTTGCCTGAAATTCCCTCCCATGTATCATTTCTTGAAGGATGTATTAGTTTCTTATTGCTGCTGTAACACATTACCACAACTGCATGCCTCACACAACACAAACTTGCTATCTTACAGTTCTGGAGGCCAGGAATCCATACCAGGTCACACTGCACTAAAATCAAAGCGTCAGTGGGGCTGAATTCCTTCTGTAGGCTCTAAGTCAGACTTTGCTTCCTGCTTTTTCCAGCCTCTAGAGGCTGCTGCCTTCCGTGGCTCATAGCCCCTTCCACCAATCACATCGCGATGACCTCTGCATCTGCCGTCACATGTCCTCCTCTGACTCTGACTCTCCTCCCTCCCTCTCTTACTTATAAGGACTTGTGTGATTACACTGGGCCCCCTCCAATGATGCAGGATAATCTTCTCATAGTGAGATCCTTAATTACGTCTGCAAAGTTCTTTTGCCGTGGAAAGTAACAACACAGTCACAGGTTCCAGGGATTGGAAAATTGACCTCTTTGGGGGCCATTATTCAGCCTCTTGTAACAGGCTTCCCTAACTTTGGTCTGCTTTTAATCTTTCATTTTTTGCTACTTGAAAGTGAGTAATACTTTTTAGAAAGAGTTTCTTTTCCAATCTTACCCATTCACTTACTCAGTATTTATTAGATGCCTATTTCACAAGACCATCCTGTTGTATAAATCAATAATTTATATAAATGGCATCCCTTCTGAAGTTGTTCAGTCTACACAAACATACCAGATGACTCTACTCATGCTTGTTAGACATTGAGAAAGAGATGTAGTGTAAACAAAATGACAAATCCCTGCCTTTATTTATTGAACGACTGCAGGAGGCTAGGGTGGTGTCTGGGCATGTGAATTTTCTAAAACTCCCTAGGTTATTCTGATTTGCACTGAAACATGAGGACCACTGAAGCCCTCAGGCCTGACACTACCTAGACCTCCTGAAGCAGAATCTTCATGGCGGGGGTGGGGGTGTCATAGTCCGTTTGGGCTGCTCTAATAAAATACCACAAACTGAGTGGTTTATAAACAACATAATTCTTTTTCTCATAGTTCTGAAGGCTGGGAAGTTGGAGATCAAGGTGCTGGCAGATGCAGTGTCTGCTGAGACCCACTTTCTGGTGTCCTTTCATGTTGGAAGGGGCAAGGCAGCTCCCTGGGATAGCTTTTATAAGAGCACCAATCGCATTGACGAGAGCTCTACCTTCCTGGCCTAATTACCTCCCAAAAGTCTTCATCAGCTCCTCATACCATCACCTTGGTGGTTAAGATTTCAACATAAGAATTTTGTAAGGGACATAAACATTCAGACCATGGCAGTGGGGTAGAGACAACTGTCTTTTGAAAATCTCCCTTATGTAATTATGATGGACACAAAGCCTTGGGTTTGTCTGCTTGAGACACGATGGTCTATCAGTTGGTGCCTAGAGGGCATGAGATATGGAAATTATGTTTGATGGAACTGGAGGAAGGAAAGAGTAAGGTAAGCAAGTGTCCCTGGGAAGCCCGAGGGAAGGACATATCCTCCAAGATCAGGGAACAGGAAGGAGTAATATAGGGAGAAAACCCATAAAGTAAAATCCTCTTCTCCACTAGGCAGTGGTGGTGACAGGGGCAACCTGAGAAAGGCTAGATGTTGGGGCATCTGTCTCCATTGTTGCACATGGGATCCTTAGTATTCTTAATAGTTGAAGGGACCAAAAGTGAGGTATCTGAAGGCCAGATAGAATCTGTTTTCAGAAGGTTGAAGAGAGACATGTTGAGGGGATAATTCAGAAGGGCTGTTTATACTTGTCGAGGCTGTAAAGAGCACAGGGAAGATTTTTAGAAAACGATTTTAACAAAAAACAAAATAGGAAAATGGAAAGTGTATTCATCACCATTAAGAGCAGAAGAGCATTTGGGAGGCCGAGGTGGGCGGTTCACGAGGTCAGGAGATCGAGACCATCCTGGCTAACACGGTGAAACCCCATCTCTACTAAAAATACAAAAAGTTAGCCGGGCGTGGTTGCGGGTGCCTGTAGTCCCAGTTACTTGGGACACTGAGGCAGGAGAATGGCGTGAACCCGGGAGGCGGAGCTTGCAGTGAGCCGAGATTGCGCCACTGCACTCCAGCCTGGCGACAGAGCGAGACTCCATCCAAAAAAAAAAAAAAAAGTAGAAGAGAAGAGAAAATGGCCTCTGAGAAGCACTTTAGGGCACAAGTCAAAGCGGCAGAGGGAAGGCAGGACTGTTTATAAAAGCTAAGTTGGAAGGACACTCACTGTGAGAGGGAGGCAGCCCGGGCTCAGAGGCCCTGGGCAAATGCAAAACCATCTCAAGGCCACGAATAGCAAGAGACTGGACTCCAGGCACCAAGAGGAAGTCAAGGGCCGGAGCTCTGGCCTGGGTCAGGACTGTCTGTGCTTCTGCTCAAATCCCCCAGGCAGGGAGGAAAATCTAAGGGTCTGATGAATGTCTTCTCATTGTTTACATGGTGAATGCCATGTTGTTTGGTATCAAAGCAACTTTTAACAACATTAACAGAATGTTTAAAGAAAATATGCATTTGTAACACCAACTACCTAATCTAACAGCAGAATGAAATCTTCGAGAACAACTATTTTGAGGATTGACATTCACACATATAGGCATCAAACTCCTATTCTGATTCAGAAAATAATTATTCCCTTAAAACATCTTGCTTTCCACATCTAGTTGCATGGAGAAAGATGTGAAATAAAAGTCAAGTCAAATAATGCAAAATAAAAGCCACAATTACACTTGGATAAGTGAAAAAAAAGAAAAATAACTCTTAATTTCACCCCTGAGAAACAACATTTTCTGTTTATACATGTATTTACACTTGTATTTCCTAATATCATACTGTACATACAACTTATTTTGTGCACACACACCACTTTATATAATTGGATCATCTTTTTATGTCATTATATGTTATTCTCCTGCCACACCAATAATAATGCTTATTTAGTAAGATATTGTATGGATGTGCTGTTTCTCAAGGTTCTCCATAAGCAGGTATGCATTTCAGAGTTTAGCAGCTGGGTCTTCAGTCATTTATTAAGAACTGAAAAGTTCATTCTCAAGGCTAAATAATAAGTGTATTAACATTTATTTAACCAGTAACCTGTTATCTGATATTAAGGTAGTCTAATTGTTTGATATTATTAAAATGTTGTTGTAGATACATTTGTGGTCAAATTTATTTCTTTTCATATCTCAGAACATTTTTAAAAATTAAATTCCTGGAAGTATAAAAGTTAGGTCAGAAGTTATACGCATTAAGAATGTATTGAAAATGTGCCCTACCGAGAGAGTGAGCCAATTTATACTCCTGCCAACAGTATGGGAGAGAGCCTGTTTTTCTCTACCCTCACCAATATTGGCTATGGTCATTTAAAAATTATTGCCATTTAAAAAGTGAAAAATGCTATCTCATTTTCAGTCACGGCCTTTTGATTACTCATTAGATTAATCTTATGTTTTTGTCTATTTATATATTTTTCTTTATGAATTACCTGTTCATAATGTCCTATGCTTATTTTTCCTGGCAAAGGTGTTAAACATTTATTGATGGGTTGATATTTGTTGATATTTGTTGATTTATAAGATCTATCGATTTCTAAAAAGTATAATATACTCTATATATTAAGTATATTAACCCTGGTCTGTCTTAGATGTTGTGAATATTTTTCCTAGTTTGTCATTTACTTTCTAATTCTGCTTAGGGTGAGTTGGGTTTGGTTTGCTTTGTTTATTTTGTTTTGAAGCCTAGTAGCTTTCTTTTTTTTTTTTTTTTGAGATGGAGTCTCACCCTGTTGCCCAGGCTGGAGTGCAATGGCGCAATCCTAGCTCACTGCAACCTCCCCCTCCCAGGTTCAAGTGATTCTCCTGCCTCAGCCTCCCATGTAGCTGGGATTACAGGCCCATGCCACCGCGCCTGGCTAATTTTTTGTATCATTAGTAGTGACAGGGTTTCACCATGTTGGCCAGGGTGGTCTTGAACTCCTGCCCTCGTGATCTGCCCACCTGGGATTACAGGCGTGAGCCACCATACCTGGCCTAGCTTTCAATTTTTTAAATATAACCAATATAAATATAACAAACAAAAATATCCATTTTTGTTTCCCTTCTAGCCTTCTCCTTTTGCTATTATATTTTAAAAAGCCCTCTCTACTACAAAATTATTTAAATATTGGCCTATGTATTATTCTAGAATTATTTTGGTTCTCAATCGGTTGAACTTCTTTTGGGTGTAGAATATAAGGAAAAGATCAAATGTTTATTCCCAAATATCTGGCCAAATGTCACAACACTCTCTATTAAATAAATCATCAAGTTCCCTTGTTTGAAAGCTACTCTTTCCATGCAATGATATTAGCTAATCCTTATTGAATAGTAACTATGTCCCAGGAACCATGCTAGGTGCTTTTCATGCATTAGTCCCCTTCATCCCTACCCCATGAGTTTCTAATATTATCTTCACTTTACTGAGGAGGAGATGAGCACAGAAGGATTCAGTGCCTTAGGCAAGATCACATAGGAAGTAGAAAGCCAGGAATCAAACCCAATCAGGCTATCTTCAGAGCCTAAATTCTTTCAATACTATACTATACTACCTTCATAAGTTTTGATATATTCTTCAGCTTATTCTGGACTTTATACTCTGTTTATTTATTTTTTCTTTAATTATAGTATCATTACCTTTACAACTGTATAATCTATTTTACTATCTGGTTGGGCGAGTCCCCTATGACTCAGAGCCTATGCCTTGGGTTCCTTAGCTTGCTCCGCACACCAGGATGTCATCACCAGAAGCAGGCTGGACACAGCTCTGGATGCTAGAACTAGAAGTCCCTTCTCTGGGGCTACTTTAGACACTTGAAGTTGGAAATATTAGGGTATTCTGTTAGCACTTCCATGTACTTCCCAGAAGAGCTTTGAAATTCAGGTTGTCGATGCTGGCTCCGTCAAGTCCCTGCTCTGATCCAGTCATTTCCATGGTCATTTGGAAGTAAAGGCATTGGCTCATAACAGTCTTCAGCTGGAACCCCATTATAATTTTTAAAGTCTAAATGTATATTTCAATGCTGCCTCTTTTAAGGGCAGTCCCTTTCAACTTCACCTCCACTAACTCTTGGTGCTCTTCTCTCAGTTCATCTGGGCTATGGCCAATACTCCTTTCCTCTCCCACTTGTTCCCATTGGCCTTCCAGGATCACATCCCTCCCTATGTCACAAAGGGGATTGGGGAACTTCACCCCAAACTCTATGGCTCCCAGGCACAACGCGTACTTTGAATTAAAGGCCCTTAGAGATTATCAGGTGCTAGAAGAGACCTTTACCATATCACATAAAGGCTGGACAGACCCACCAAGGAGAACAATTGTTTTTTTAGTCCTTCTGCTCCTGTCTCTTAATCCTCTACTTCTTCTAAATGACAAGCTGAAGCTCTTTTATCTGCCTATAGTCTGGACCTACCAGAGAAGAAAACAATGACCTCTGGTCCCTTCTCTGAGTTTTCATTAACTGAAACCGTATCACAGGAAGGAAGGCTAAATCTGTCAACAAACCCAGACAGACTTTTATCACATACCATTGTACACTCTGCAGGCCCAACAGACTTTGCCCGAGGCCATTGTGTGTTCATCAGCCCATTGAATTCTTCTAAAAATCATTTACCATCCCCCTAAAAATCAGCCATACTTCCCCATCTCCCTTTCTGCAAAGAAACAGGGTATATGAGCCTATGTACCTCCATGGAATATGAGGCAATCGCCCTGTGATTCTCCCTGCGTGCATGGTGGTCATAAATTTTAAAGCTCTTTCTATTATTAATCTGCCTTATTTAGAGTTAATTTTCCAGGGATACCTCTGAGGGTGAAGGAGAAGTTCTCTTGGCCCCAAATATTGAGACTTTGACTCACCCATTCCCCATCAAGTCCCTGACCATTCACCCACAGAGCTGTTGTACAGTCTCTACTAACTTCCTGAAGGCCAAAAGAAGAGAGCAAATTCCAATAAATAGCAAATGAAGTTCTGACCAAGCTACCAAGCCCAGCAATGGGTCACGTGCTCTTTAGAACATCCTTTCATGTTTCCAGAACAGGATGTGATTCATTCCCAAGGCGGCGTCCTCCCAGTCACACACACCAATAAAGGAGAGCTTGGGCCAGATACAACAAAATCACAAACAACTGCACAAAGGGTATGTTTTCCCATGGAATGTGCCCTATGATATTATGCAGCAATGTAGCCTTCTATTTCCATATTGCTTAAGCCTACAGTAAAGTTAGCTTCTATCTCTTGAATTCACAGCAGGTTGCAATGCTGTGGGTGCTTGGACTGGGCTGAGTAGTGATGGTGATGCTGGTCTGAGATTTAAAATATTTGACAACAGGTTTAGTCACCCCACAGGTTGATGATTAAGAAGAAAATTGCCAGAAGACACAATTGCCAGAATTTAGGGGAAGACTTCCCTGGGACTGTCAATTCTTCCAAAAACAAACCAACCAACAGACACCCCCACGGCATTTACCATAGTGCCTGGAACACAATAGGCTGTCATTAAATGTTCCTTTAATATGAAGAGAGAATATGTTTCATAAATGCAAAGGAAATCATATAGGTTGTATAAAGTTAATGGTTAAAGACCCAACATTTCAAGCCTAATACTTTTTGAAAAGAAATTCAAATTAAAATTTCTTTAAAAAATGTTAATGAACCTCACTTGAAATCTTAGGGGCTTTCCTTGGCTTTGTGCTACATTTTAGAAATTAGATAAAGAAAGAAACCTGGAGGTTTATGAAAATTTTGATTTATATAATTACTTTTCAAAAACCATGTCGTATCTTGCAAGACCTTCTAGGCTCTGTGCCTTTGTGCAAGTCTGTTTCTTTATGCTTGATTTGAAATTATTTTAGATAATACACATTGATTGAATGAGGCTCTTTCCCCTGAACCCCATTTTCCCTCAGCATTCCTCTACCATGAAAACATGTGCACACTCAGACACACACACCTAACATACCAAGGACATTTTCATCAAAATATTTGATTGGATTCAACTGGATCTCCTTCATTTTACAACTCAGTTTGAGAGTCTAGGTACAGACAAGCTCAAATCCAGTCTTATTTTCATTTATACCCTATTACATTATTTATTAGATAATGGGTTGTTGTCCCTATTGTAATCCTGAGTGAAAATTGGTATCCCTGACAGAGTAAATAAATAGAGGGAAAACCAAAACATTTTCAAGTGAATCACTACATTTCTCATTGAATGTATAGCTATATTTTGCAAGTTTCCTTTTTATTTTTATAAATTGATGATCCCCCAGGGAAGCATCTACACAGACAGCGTCCCATATAGACAGTGTCTCACATGCTTTAACCTCTTACTTCAAGTGACTTGTTGGCAAGTGGTCCTCCAAAAAGAGACTTGTTCTATTTCAACTTATTCTGGTTGTGAGAGCCTTGATGTAATGCCTCAAACTTGTTTTTTCAGTAAAGTGTGTGGATTTTAAGCATTGTTTAATATCAATAGACTCAGGAACTGGACTTATTTTCTCTTTTTTTAAACTCTGTGAAATTGCACAGGTTTTGGTGATTTCTGATTTTTCACAGGTTTTTTTTTAATGTTTCCTAACAAAGCAATTATTAAAAGCCTTGACCCTGAGTCTATCTCACATGCTCCATTTAAATTTACTTCTATGAAGTGGCCCTCTTTTAAGACAATTAGGAAGCTATTCAGTAATTCTTTGAATTTAACCCCTAACATATTCATAGCTGGGTTCTTACAATGAAGTTTCTTTGTCAGAATCCCACTACCTTTAGAATATTTTATTAGGATTTCAATATTTCCAAATTTAGAGGCATAAAATCTCAAAACAATCTTGGCAATATGTTCCAGTATGAACAATATGTGGCGCTGGGTGCAGTGGCTCACGCCTGCAATCCCAGCATTTTGGGAGCCCGAGGTGAGTGGATTGCTTGAGCCCAGGAGTTCGAGACCAGCCCAGGCAAAAGGGCAAAACCCGGTGTCTATTAAAATAATAATAATAATAATACAAAATTAGCTGGGCATGGTGGCCTGTGTCTATAGTCCCAGCTACTCAGGAGGCTGAAGTAGGAGGATCGCTTGAGCCAGGGAGGTGGAGACTACAATGAGCCAAGATTGTGCCACTGCACTCCAGCCTGACAGCCTGAGTGACAGAGACAGACTTTGTCTCAAAAAAAAAAAAAAAAATTATAATACCTTACTCAGTAGAATATTCTGATACATTTCTTAACTGAAACATACATCATCTTTATTGACCCCACTTCATAACACAAGTGCTATCATTCTGGTCGAGTCAGAAGAGGTGGTGCTAAGACACCACTGCCTGTTTGGAGGACTTCTTATGTGCTGGGCAGTTCCAGAAGCACCCATGCATGGGAGGCTGTATCCAGGAGTTGAAGATGATTTGTGGAGTGGTTTTCTTAATGGTTGCTGATTCCTAGAATTGCTTAAACAGTAAAAGCATAAGCCTATGTTACTAGGCTCTATTTATTAATGAGCCTTTGGCTTTGATTTTGGCTTGATTGATTAAGCTCATTGCCATCCATAATCCCCAAAATTAGTTGTAGAAAGAGTGCAGAAGAAGACCTTGTTGAGGAGCACCAAGATGACACTCAGTAAAGTACACAAATTTGCGAAAATTTTGCTTCTGATATTCATATAATCCAATTTTCTTGATATTTAGAAAGAAATATATTCCTTATCCTCCTCCTGCCACAGAAGAAAAAAAGGTTTACTTGTTGCTTTCAAATGTCTATCAAGATCATTACATTTTTTTCTTTCATTTACACATGTAGCAGACAAGAGGTAAGGCAAAGTGGAGTCCTTACATCCCAGAAATGTTTTATCTGACCCAGTAAAACAATTTTGTTTTGATTTTTCTTTTAAAGCCAATATATATTTATTATGGGTTTTGTATTTTTGTTATTTTCCAGATGTTATTTAGTCTTTGATTTTCTGTCACCATTTACTGGCCAGAAGAGGGCTCAAAAGTGTTGGAAATTCTAGACAACTCCTGTTGTTTTCTTTCCCTTGAACTGATTTGTATATATTAACAATTGTTTTTGTAAATTGCTTCGTGGGATCTTGGGTGTCACTTTTAGCTGTCATTTTTTTTTTCCTTTTTTATACACTTCACAGGATAGCAGTATTTACTTTTATGCAGCTCAGATTTCATGGTTCAGCAACATTTGTTCTAATGACAAATCTCCTGTCTTTTATGCAGTGAGTCAATGACACATTTGGAGTAATTTGATTAATACACTACTTTTTAAATAGTCAACAAAACCCCATATTTCATAGCTTCACTTCAACAGGAAAAAGTTTACATGCTTCAACTGTTATGACAACCTTAAGTCATATCTGAAGTATTTTAGAACATTTATCTCCATAGTCAATGCCTACTTTATTACTTCCCTTATTTTGTTTTTCTTGTCACTCTTTTTTCCCCTTCTATTACTTTTGGATCATTTATAAGAGCAGTTTCTACGTCAAATTTAGTACACTGAAGTTCGAGGTTACATTATTCAAGATGACTCATATGAGGAAAAGTAGATCCAGACATAAGCAACCCTTTTGCCCTGGGCAAGTCATTTAATTTTTGTGAAACCCAGAAAAACAGATTGAAGATCTCTAAGGTTGGTTCAAAAGCTTGCTACATCACCGGAACCCTAACCAGAATCCATTTTTCAGCCTGCAGGCAGGCTAGCACCATTGCATCAGAAGAAATTTTTATTTTTCCTTTCTCCATTAGCCAAACATATATGTACTATATTCCACAATAGGCTAGTTACTGTTACCTAAAGCCCTGTAACTTCCAATATTTCCTGTAGAAATTCAGAGTCCTTAAATGGGCAATATTTTTATACAAGAGTTTTCTCTGAGCAATCCCCACACAGCAACCTCGCTCACTCTGCAGTCACCAGGGCTGGGCATATTATAATTCTGTGCTCTCTGGATAACTTGGCCAGGCGGGTATGGCAGCCTGCTTTTGGTCCCTAGTCATTGTGCTTCCCCTGGAAGTTAACAGGGAGCCTTCTCCTAGAAGTTAACAGAAGTTCTTTCCAATCTGGCCAATGATTACAGTTTGTAGTAAAAAGTACACGTTTTGAATAATGAGATGCCTCTTTGCCGCCAGAGGTTGGTTTCTCTTCAAAAGAGCTCTGCGTATAAAACCTCATTCATCTCATCTTACGAATCAGAGCCCCATTTCCCTTGTA
Source organism: Homo sapiens (assembly GCF_000001405.40). Taxonomy (NCBI): domain Eukaryota; kingdom Metazoa; phylum Chordata; class Mammalia; order Primates; family Hominidae; genus Homo; species Homo sapiens. Next base: position 224,141,883 of record NC_000002.12, on the reverse strand, counting down.
CAATAGAAAAGCCAACATATAATATGACAAATACTACTTCTAATTCTACTGTCTTTTAACTTTCATATCATTGCTTTCCTACTTTGATGTGCACACTAATTATCTGGAGATCTTGTTAAAATGCAGATACTTGTTTAGTCTGGGGTAGGGCCCAGATTCTGTATTTGTAACAACGTTCTAGGAGCTGCTTGCTGTTGGTGGTCTGTGACCACTCTCAGAATAGCAGACTAACCAATAGCATGCATTGGGCATTCCTCACCTGTTCAGGGATAGATAAGGTACTCAGTTGTTCTAGTAAGGCAAGAAATACAGTCAAATCATTTAGGAGTATTCACAAAAATCTTGCTCTTATTTTATCCCCCATTCCAAGTGAAATTGCTTGCTCAGCAGTTCCAACACACGGCCCAAGGGCTGATCTCAATTTCCTTAAACTACTCCTGGAGTAGAAGAAATCTCATGACCCCTAACGAGTTAACACTAAACTTATTTACTACTTTAAAAAAAAAATCATTATCTGAAAGATCATACCCTAAACGAGCCTGGACAAAGGCAACACGATTATTTTACATGTCTCTTATAACGTTCCTATGGATATTCTAAAGTTTCTTCACTGTTAATTGTATAATCTCCTTAATTTATTCAGAAGAACGCCAGTGCTATCCCATCAATCCACCTGTGTTTTGAGTGCTCATTATGCTGAAGTCACTGGGAGAGGTAAATGATGCAACAAAAAGCAGACAATACTGTTCTTTTCCTTGGACACAGGTTCATATTGAATGCTTACAATGTACCAAAGATTTTTCTTGGCTCTTTTTGTAATTTGCCTCTTTGAATTTTTACAAAGCCTCCGAAGTAGTTATTATTATTATTTTAACGTTATAGGAACTGGGGACAAGTTGCTTGTTCAAGCTCACACAACTAGCAAATGGTGGATCAGAACTTTAACTCAGAAAGTCAAGCTTAGGGCAGGGCACAGTGGCTCACGCCTGTAATCCCAACACTTTAGGAGGCCAAGGTGGGTGGATCACTTGAGGTCAGGAGTTCAAGACCAGACTGGCCAACATGGTGAAACCCCATCTTTACAAAAAAAAAATACCAGAAAAAAAAAAATTAGCCAGGTGTGGTGGTGCACACCTGCAGTCCCAGCTAAGGAGTCTGAGGCACGAGAATTGCTTGAACCTGGGAGGTGGAGGTTGTAGTGAGTCAATATCATGCCACCGCACTCCAGCCTAGGTGACAAGGTAAGACTCTGTCTCAAAAAAAAAGACAGTCAAGCTTGGGTGCATGGATTTTCAAACAGTATAGTCTACTGTGTATATATCTCATGAGCACAAATGTAAATCTACCTAATTCTTGCAAAGAATTTTGATGAGTGGAGCTGAGGGCTAGAGAACTGCTTTCCCTGTAAACAAAGATATTGCCCTTTCCCCTCTAGGGCAGAAAGGAGGATGTGGGGCTTACTGGGCAACCAGGTCTGGTCCAAGCCCAGGTGTCTGTGCTTCCAAGCTGTGTTACCTTGGGCTGGCTCTTTCATCTCCTTAAGACTTAGTTTCTGCTATGGATGGAATATTTGTGTTCTCCCCAAAATGTGTGAGTTGAAACCCTAATTCCAATATGATGGAATTTGGAGGTGGAGCCTTTGAGAGGTAAGTAGGTTATGAGGGTGAACCAAATACTTCATGTTCTCACTTCTATGTGGGAGCTAAATGGTGAAAACTCATGGACACAAAGAAGGGAACAACAGACACTGTGACCAACTTGAGGCTGGAGGGTGAGAGGAGGGAGAGAAGCAGAAAAAATAACTATAGGGTTCTGGGCTTTGTGCCTGGGTAATGAAATAATCTATACAACAAACCCCCATGACACGAGTTTACCTATGTAACAAACCTTCACATGTACCCCTGAACCTAAAATAAAAGGTAAAACAAACAAACAAAAAACAGCCAGGCGCAGTGGCTCATGCCTGTAATACCAACAGTTCGGGAGGCTGAGGCAGGCGGATCACATGAGGTCAGGAGTTAGAGACCAGCCTGACCAGTATAAAGAAACCTCCATCTCTACTAAAAATACAAAAATTAGCCAGGCATGGTGGTGCACGCCTGTAATCCCAGCTACTCAGGAGGCTGAGGCAGAGGAATTGCTTGAACCTGAGAGGTGGAGGCTGCATTGAGCCGAGATCACGCCACTGTACTCCAGCTTGGGTGACAGAGAGAGATTCCATCTCAAAAAACAAAACAAGACAAAACCCACACACACACACACACAAGCAACCAACCAATAACAAAAAAGAATGGTGCTGTCTTTATTTTATTTATTTATTGTTTTTTTTTTTTTTTTGAGATGATGTTGCACTCTTGTTGCCCAGACTGGAGTGCAGTGGCTCAATCTCGGCTCACTGAAACCTCTGCCTTCCTGGTTCAAGCTATTCTCCTGCCTCAGCCTCCCGAGTAGCTGGGACTTCAGGCGTGGCCACCACGCCTGGCTAATTTTTTGTATTTTTAGTAGAGATGGGGTTTCACCATGTTGGCCAGGCTGGTCTCGAACTCCTGACCTCAGGCGATCCACCCACCTCCACGTCCCAAAGTGCTGAGATTACAGGCATGAGCCACTGCGACTGGCCTAGGGCTAATGCCTTTAGAAGAGGCCAGGCAACTAGCTCCTGTCTCTGCTCTCTCCCATGGAGGATTCTAGAAGTCTGCAGTAGGCAGCCTGGAAGAGAGTCCTCACCAGAATCCACCCGTGCTGTTAGACTGATCTGGAACTTCAGCCTCCAGAGCTGTGAGAAATAAATTTCTGTTGTTTATAAAGTACCTAATCTATGGTACTTTGTTACAGCAGTCCAAACAAACCAAGATAGTTTCCCTCCTGCAAAAGGACATGAAAACAATAGTACCAATCACATATAGGTGTTACTATAGGTAAATGAAAGAACACATCTACAGAACAAACCCTCTAAAGCATTAACTGACAAAGAATAAAACAGTGGTTAGCAAGGATAGGAGAGGGGGAGAAGGAAGTGGGAAGATGTTGGTGAAAAAAGGATACAACGTAGCAGACATGTAGGATGAAACAGTCTGGGGCTCTAACGTACAACCTAAGGACTAGAGTTAATCACATTTTATTGTATTAGGGATTTTTTGTTAAATAAGTAGGGTTTAGTTGCTCTCGTCACCCCAAAAAAGTAACTATGAGAGAAGGTGGGTGATATGATTTGGATCATGTCCTCACCCAGATTTCATGTCTAATTGTAATTCCCAATGTGAAGTGGGGCCTGGTGGGAAGTGATTGGATCATGGGGATGGTATCTCACAAATGGTTCAACGCCATCCCCTTGGTTCTGTTCTTGTGATAGTGATCGTGATATAGATCTGGTTGTTTAAAAGTGTGTGGTGCCTCCCTCCTCACTCTTGTTCCTGCTCCTGCTATGTAAGACGTGCCCGCTCCCTCTTCTGCCGTGACTGTAAGTTTCCTGAGGCCTCCTCAGAAGCCTAGCAGATGCCAGCATTAGGCTTCCTGTACAACCTGCAGAACTACAAGCCAATTAAACCTCTTTTCTTTATAAATTACCCAGTCTCAGGTATTTCTTTATAGCAATGCAAGAACTGACTAGTACAATAGGTTAACTTGCTTCACCACAGTAACTATTCGACTGTCTATATGTATCCTATTGCATCATGTTGTAAACCTCAAATATACACAATAAGATTTATTTATATAACAAATAAACAAAGATCAAAATAGTGATTGCTAGTTAATATTAAAGAGGGCCACAATTCAGATGTCAGTGTGGACATGAACAGCAGGAGGAAAAGACCTTGTGCAGGGACAACCCATACACAGCTTGGTGGCTGGAGGTAGAGGGCAAAGAGAAGGAAGAGGGGAAACTCCTGGGGTGAAAGCCTCATGACCAGGGAGAAGGGGGCCATCGATTCAGGCAAGGATGTTAGAAGGAAGGATAAGTTATGATAGAAGACACAATTCATTCTATGTAGCATTTACTATGTGCTATTTACTATTCACTCTCTGCTAGATGCTTTATAGCCACTGCCTTATTCAGTCCTCAACACTAGAAGTGAGCACTATTTATTATTATTATTATTATTACCTCCCCATTTTACATATGGGAAAAATAAAACTTAAAGAGGGTAAATATTCTGCCCAAGGTGACCCAGCCATTTGGGTCTGAACCCACCAATCCGAATCAAAGTCATGTTCTTTTATTTTTTGTATAAGGGGTACAAGTGCAGTTTGGTTACATGGATATCTTGCATAGTAGTCAAAGTCATGTTCTTAAGCACTATGCTGACCACAGGTGGGTGATAAAGCGGAAATAAGTATGGAGCCAAAACTGGTTTCTCTCTCCTCTATATCACAACCTGTATGTTTGGATTCCACCTTGCATTAGGGTAATGTGTTATTTCCTCTTCCAGATTATAAACTCTCTAAAGGCAGACTTTGAAACCCTTGAGTTCTCAGTGCCCTGGACTCAGGAGGCAATCTCCTATCTAGGGAAAGAAGGAAGGAAGGAAGGAAGGAAGGAAGGAAGGAAGGAAGGAAGGAAGGAAGGAAGGAAGGCAGGCAGGCAGGCAGGCATAAATAACTAGAAAGAGTCATCAGGACTAGACAGAAAGATTTTGATGCCATTTGTACAGAGAAAATATTTCACTGATTCATAAAAAGAAAACTAACAATAAGGTGCAAATAATATTAAAATCGTGTAAGGAAAAAAGCCATTCAAACCAAGAGGACTTCTGTGGACTATGAGCCATCTCTTATTATTTTCCCAGGCACTTTAACTTTTCACAATTAAATGAAATCTCTCTGTGCTTGTCATTGAATCCTTTGAAGATCAAGTATATGGAAAACACCCACCATTTGTCAAGGTACCTCTTATTGCAACCATTCTTTTTCTTTCCCTTTTTGTCTTTTACATCTGCTTTGCCCTCCCATCAGGGAAAGTTCAATCAATTTTTCTTCTGTGCTATTTGAACCTGTAGATGGCTATTGGCAGCATCCCCCTTCCTTCATTTATATCAGCCCTCTTCCAAGTCAAATTTATAGTTGATGAAAAGTTTGAATCCATTTTTAGTGCAGTCATGATAACTTGGCAACAAAAGAGAGATCATGGCACAGAATGGGAAATTAGGCTTCTTGTTCACACAGTTCTTTAGAGAATTCTTTAGATTCCTTAGAGCCATCTCTGTTTAATATCCTCTTGTGTTTAACACCAGGGGATGGGAAGTAAACCAAGAGAGAAGGTCATATTCCAGGAGCATTCCTTGATGGGAATGTGACTTGCAGCCTGACTTGCCCGCTTGCGTGGGGTTGGCCAATCATCTTGGCTAGATCTGCATCAAGCTTCCACCTTGAGTCATGGCAGAGGGGCCTTGTCATCTAGAGAAAAGACCGTGATCCAGAGAATACAAAATAAATGTGATCGTTTGTAGCACCCAGGCCATTTACTAGAAATTGTCCTTACCTGCAAGAGAGCAGAGGGCCCCAGAAGAACCTGCCTTTCCAGACACCTGCTCAGAAGCCTGATACAGGACCATTATCTGCTGACAGGGGGCTACCCGTAAATCCTACATTGATCACTCTTTCGGACCAGAGGATGAGTGCTGTGCCTTTAAGAGTTTACAATACTAACTTATATAAGCCTCCGGAGGGGACGAGGGTTCTCCTTCCATTCTTCATTCCACATTAAATACATGAATACTTTCTATCATTGGAGCAGAGGCCGATGAGAATCAGGACCTTGTCTGTCCTGTTCATCTGTAGTTCCCAGCACTTATCACAGGACTGTCAGCTGCAGATCCTCAAGGAATATTGTGAAATCAGTGAATGTGAAACAAAGGAATGAGAATGCATTGAGCATCTAGTGTATGCCATCTAGCACTTACCTCTTGTGACTGATGTGAAGGGCACTGCTAACCTATTTTTGCCCGCTGTGGATGCCAGAATCTGACTCTAATCGAGCAAGTTTGGTCCATGCACATCAGATACCCACTTGTGTGCAAGCACACCCAAGGGGTTCTTTTAAGTTGGGATTGATGACAAAGATGGAAAACTATGATGAAGATTGAGAATTACTGAGCCCATGCCCCTAATGTGAATAAAGTTCAGTGTCTTAAACATAGTCATATCTGAGAAACTACGAAGGGTAGACAATGGATCTTGTACTGGTTTTCAGTTCCCCTGCTTTTTTTAACCTAAAAAGCTGGTATTCAATTTAACCAGTTTTTTTTTTTTTTTTGTGGTGAAGGCCTCTGCATGGCTTCCATCTGTAGTCTTTCTTGAAGTCCACATTGCTTTTGTCTTTCAAGCCCTTCTTCTTGGTCTAGAGTCCTTAGCACACTCACAGAATGTCAGGGGGATACCTTACTGGGGTGCTGGATGATGAGAAGGGTTTGTAAGCCCCCTTATAGAGAGGTAGAGGGGAATCACTGCCTGCTTAGAGTTCACCTGAGCACGCATTCCCCATTTGTTGACGCCGTGACATTTCCTAGGCATCACCATTTAAACATCTCTCAGATGACAGCCCCTGAGGCATTGCTATTGAAGCCTTCTATGCCCAGTAGCCCCTGCCTCCGCATTCACATACTTCATTTAATCCTGCAAACACTCTGAGGCCAACTATCATTATCCCATTTTTTAGAATTTGCTAAATGCAGACTTTCCCTAATGCACCCCTTAAAACAGTTACCCAGATATTTCCTTTGAAAAAAATCTTCCACCGTCTAACAAGTTTGAAAAAAGATGCACAAATCTCCATGTTGGATATTCCCAGTGCACATTAATACCATGGAAAAGGAACTTATTTAACTTTGTTTTCCCATACTTTGATCTCTCTGTTTCTACATAACTTGGAAATGCTGGTCTAGATCACAGAACAACCAAGAGAGAGGGGAGTGATGTGAACCCACAGCCTTTTTGACTTTCACAGTCTACCGCAGTAGACTTTCTTCTATGAGATCATTTATATTTATAAGTTTATTATAATATACACAAGTTTATCACATTATACATGTTTGCCACACAGTATACAACAGCTACCTTCTATTTTTTTTTTTACTAGTTCAATAATGTACATTAAGTTTATCTGATTATATAGATGGAATACTGAAGGGAGAAAATAGGACCCTAAGAGGAAATTACACAGGACCATTTTGGGAGAATAGAGACAGACACACAACCTAGAGGGATTATGTCCAAGCTAAGCACATCAGTAGTGACTTAAAATAAATAGTGGCATGTTGAGGAAGCAGCCCAGGTTCCAGGATTTAGGTGTCACCATTAATCATACCCATCACATTGACAGGACACTCTATATATAGTTTGCAAAGCACCTGTCAGTGTACCATAAAATTTGATTCTCATAGCCAACATGGCTGGCAAGTTCATATGAATGAGCGCAAAGTCCAGGAAAGAACTTGCCCAATGCCCTTATAGCTTGTATTATAATTGGGAGTTAAACCCTGGTCTGGTTATTTTAAGTCCAGGTTTTTTTCCAGGGCAAGGTTGTTATGACTGATGAAGGATGAAGCTAAAAATGGGCAAGGAAGAACATCTGGGGACAAACTAAGATGTGAGAAAAAGCTAAAGCTCATTTATTTCACAATTTCACCTTAAACTGGACACACATTGCAAGCCCATTTAGGGAGTCCTAGGCAAAGAGCTAGCATTCCATTCAGATGCCCAAAGCACTTGAGCTTTTCTCTTGAGAGGGGTTGAGGTAAGGCTGGTGAGGCATTTGGGAATGTTAAGAATTAAATGAGTTTGGACCGAGTGTGGTGGCTCATGCCTGTAATCCCAGCACTTCGGGAGGCTGAGGTGGGTGGATCGCTTGAGGTCAGGAGTTTGAGACCAGCCTGGCCAACATGGGGAAACCCTGTCTCTACTAAAAATACAAAAATTAGCCAGGCGTGGTGGCGTGCGTCTGTAATCCCAGCTAGTCAGGAGGCTGAAGCAGGAGAATCGCTTGAACCTGGGAGAGAGAGGTTGCAGTGAGCTGAGATCGTGCCACTGCACTCCAGCCTGGGCGACAGAGTGAGACTTCTTCTCAAAAAAATAAATAAGTAAGTAAATAAAAAGAATTAAATGAGTTTGGAGCAAGGATTTTCATGGGTCGGGATCTCTTCCCATGGAGCTGGCACTGAAGCTGAAGAGAAACCAGAGAGGTTGCTAAGCTAAGAGGAAGAAGGCAGCTTGGCAAGTTGTAACATTAAAAGCTGGTAAGTAGAAGGAGCAGAACTGCTTCAAAAGCATGAGAAGACAGTGCTCAGCATCCCAGAAAAGGAAACGTCAATTAGGTCCTAATTAAATCATGGTGATTGAGTCATAACTTCATTCTATGGTAAAATACAATGCATTTCCTTTCTCTCATATATTATTGTCTTAGAATTGTGTGTGCCGTTTCCTAAAACACTAAGCCTTGTAGTAAAGATGAAAGAGTGGCTGGTCCCATTGACAGTTTCGTGAAATGGAGCACATTCACTGATTTCACTTTCTAGGCTCCTGTCTCCTACATGCCATCCAAACACCAGAATACATTTTTTTTCCCTAGAAAACGAGGGTTGAGTTTCTAAAATCCTGGCTTTTGAAGTAGAGAGAAATTTTGCCTTTATCAGTCATATCCAGGTTTCTGCCTTCAACTCTGCAGAGCATGGAGGCAACTGCTCCCTGGTCTCTTCTGGGACTTCCACCATCTTCTGGCAACTTGCTTCCAAGACCAGCAAATACAGAGAATTTCCTGACCTTCCTCTACTGGCCTGTGATGCAAGTTACACTCTCACCCACCTGAGCATGGAGCACCTCACCTTACTATTCACACCTCCACCTTACCTAAAATACTTTCGGCGTTTCCCTATCACCTACAGGATAAGATCAGCATTTTTAGCACTACATGCCAGGCCTTCATGAGGGACCCTCATGGCTAGTCTCAACTATCAAACCTCCACTCCCCAACTCACACCCTATACCTTGAACTCACTGAGCTCTTTGCCTTAACCAAACAAGTCAGCCTCATTCTGTCCCCCTTCCAAGGTTTGCCCCAACCTGGAATGCTGTCACCATGTGTTCCCATCCCTGTGTTTGTTATTGGGCCACCTCCTCAGACTTTAAGATTCAGCCGTGTCATTCATGTAAGAGTCATTTCTGGAAGTTTTTCCTTTATCTTATGCATCCCACAACCCAATTTGCATCAGATGAATGCCAGAGTTCATGCTGCCATCACATCAACTCTTAAAAGCTTCTTCTGACCTGTGCCCCTACTCAACACATGTTACCCAGTCATTTACAGAGTGCCTGCTAGACATTGAATCTTCAAGGGTGAGCAAAATGAACATCCAGCTTATAGTCTAATGGAGAAACTCAACAAATTATTACATATAAGAAAAGCATTGGCTATGTTCATTACTGTTAGGGAAAACAAAAGGATTCCATGAGTGTATAAACTTGTAGGCTGGGGAAGGATTCTTTGAGGAGGTGGTAACTGGACTGAAATGTAAAGTGTAAATAGAAGTTAAGTGAAGAGGGGGGTGGGAAATATCCCAAATAGGATGAGAAGTCCTGTCTTTATTTATCTCTAAGCCCTGAGAAATACAGGCATGAGATGTGCTGATTGGGACGTTGAAGGCATGACTGAATGAGGGATTTAATAAATAAATGACACCAAGGTACTGGTGTTCTGAGAATTGCTTCATACCTCTATGTGACCAGCCAAACAAACTCTGAAAGTCATTGAATCTACCTGGTGATTCTGATGTTGCACCTTCTCTTCCCACTACTCTAGGAGAAGGAAAGCTATGTAGGTCAATAACAGATGACCATCTGCTACCCCAAAGGATGGCCAATAGGAAGCTGGTAAGAAAACAGTCTCTTAGAAGTAGAGACCAAAAGTCTGAGGCCAAATTATCTGAAAAATAATGGCAAGGTCGGGAAAGAGGAGAGGAAGCGAAGATGAAAGGGGAGAGTAGGAATCATAAGAAGATAGTTCTGGCCATGGAAAAGCCGCACTTGAACTCTTCTTGGTCAGAAGCCAGGCATAATTATTAAAGGCAAATCCTATTTTAGAAATAGTGGAAGGAAACCTGAACCCCTGGGCTCTGCATAAGTAAAAGTTTGTTTGTTTTCTCAACCCAAAATGTGTTTGTTCCGAAGCCTTAGGGCGATTTGTCGCAGTGAGATCCCTGGGGGCAGAGGGAGGAGTTTCCACGGAGAATGGGTCTCAGTCCTGGAGTCAAGCTGGGACCAGTTTTATGAGAAGAGCCTCCTCCAAGGGAAACTTCAGAAATGTTTGTTTATTTTATTGATAATAAAAAATGGTATTATTGTTATCCTGATCTCATCAAGTCATTTCTCTTTCATTTTTCTTACTTACTGTGCAGGAAGCTTTGTAATTAGTTTTCTTTTTCTCTTAAACCTCTAAAGCAATGCCAGGAACAGATACATAACCATTCCTCTTAGGAGAGAGGGTTGCCTTCCAATATGGAAAAGTATGAAGGAGCTGGTTGCTGTCGAGTTCTACTCAAAGCCAATGTCATTAGTGTAATCGTAGGCTGCTGCCCTGTATTACTGAGGGGAGCTGTTCACCCAAAAATCTTTCAGATTGCTCTTTCATGCTGTTCTGGACTTGATGACAAATCTGAAACCTCCATATTTGAATTTCTAAAAGGATCCTCAATGCCTCCCTGAAACAGGAGTATGTACCCCTCATTGACTTATGCTCTCTGACTAGAACCCAGCCACCCAAAACCTCAACATTTTTGTGTGTGTGATGGAGTCTTGCTCCATTGCCCAGGTTGGAGTGCAATGGAGCCATCTCAACTCACTGCAACCTTTGTCCCTTGGGTTCACCCTCCCCAGTAGCTGGGATTACAGGCATGCGCCACTATGCCTGGCTAATGTTTGTATTTTTAGTAGAGACGGGGTTTTGCCATGTTGTCCAGGCTGGTCTTGAACTCCTGACCTCAAGTGATCCACCCCCCTCGGCATCCCAAAGGGCTGGGATTACAGGCGTGAGCCACCACACCTGGCCAAAACCCCCAACTTTATAAGGAGACTTAAAAAAAAAGGGATCCCCTCTCTGAAAACGGTAGGAATAAACAAAAGAAAACAAAACAAAACTGAGAACCAGAAAGTAAAAGTCTGATGAGTGGCTGGGAGCCACAGTATAAGTTTCATGAATGGAATTTTATACACAAAACTTGAAGGAACACATTTCCAGAATATGACAGAAGCTATTTGATTTAAAAAAAAGTATGAATTTTAAAGCTAGGCAGACCTTGGTCAAGTCCCATCCCTTCCACAAATCAACCATGTGAACTTGAGCAAATTTTGGTAAGAGGCTGCTCCTTAGTCCTCATTTTATATGAATCATAACTTAAAAGATTGTCAAGATAATTAGAAATTAGAAAATAGGCTCTCAAAGTTAAGTCTGACTTAGTTAGTCTTTTTATTATTATTATTATTATACTTTAAGTTCTAGGGTACATGTGCACAGCGTGCAGGTTTGACACATAGGTATACATGTGCCATGTGGGTTTGCTGCACCCATCAACTCATCATTTAAACATTAGGTATTACTCCTAATGCTATCCCTCCCCCAGTCTCCCACCCCCTGACAGGCCCCGGTGTGTGATGTTCCCCGCCCTGTGTCCAAGTGATCTCATTGTTCAGTTCCCACCTATGAGTGAGAACATGCGGGTGTTTGGTTTTCTGTCCTTGTGATAGTTTGCTGAGAATGGTGGTTTCCAGCTTCATCCATGTCCCTGCAAAGGACATGAACTCATCCTTTTTTATGGCTGTATGGCATTCCTTGGTGTATATGTGCAACATTTTCTTAATCCAGTCTATCATTGATGGACATTTGGGTTGGTTCCAAGTCTTTGCTATTGTGAATAGTGCCACAATAAACATACGTGTGCATGTGTCTTTATAGTAGGATGATTTATAATCCTTTGGGTATATACCCAGTAATGGGATTGCTGCGCCAAATGGTATTTCTAGTTCTTATTTAGTCTTATTTCTAACACAAATCCTGCAGATTTCCTTCTCTGAATTTCCCAAGTAGAAGAAAAAAGTTCTTCCAGGTGGTGGTGAGAAAGGACCTCTGATCAGCTGATGTTAAAGAAAAAGCTGACACCGACACTGACACTGAAATAGTACATCTTCCTGGAGTCCATTAGCCAAAAAGAGGAGAAAAATAGTCCTACCTTCTTCATTAGGTCCTGAAGGGAATAGAAAAATTAGGCAAAATAAGAGTGGCTCAATATAACAACCCACCAAAAGTTTTCCATCTACCCAGAATGTTGTAGTTAAGAAGGCAGAAGGTTAGAAAACTTCTGGAAATATTTTCATCCATGATTTTAAAGGATTTATTTATTCAATATCCATGAAATCTTTACTTACCTGTCATATTCTAGACACTCTTTTAGGTACTTGAAATACGTCAGTTAGCAGACAAGAGTCTCTGTCCTTGTGGAGCTGAAGTTTTTGTAGAGATAGACAATCAGTGAATACAGCAAAGAAATAAGCATTACACGATGTTAGAAGGTGCTAAGTGTAATGAAAGATGGGGGGCAGGGGAAGGGAGGGCAGGGGAAGTGGGAGGGGAGAGGAGCAGTTTGTGGTTTTAAGTAAACTAGTTTGGGAAGTATCAAAAAAGTTTGACACTCAAAAGAAAAACCCAAAAGGAGGATGGTCCTGGGAAAGCTAAAAATCACAACTCATTTTCTGTCACTTAATTTCTAAATTGAAATTCAACTTTATATCTCATTGCCCAGGTCCACTTAAATTCTTTTGAGAATGAGCCCAGATGTGTCCCCCACAGTGCCTAGGATGTCAACAAACATTCGCTTTGTCAAGCTTTTGATGGATGAATGAATGAATGATGACTATAAAACAGTCTCCTCAGAGAAATAATGGCTCAATTCACTCTAATAATTGAGAACCCATCTCCCAAGTGGTGTTCTGCTTCCCTCAGAACAAGCACATCTTTTACTCCCTGTTTCTCTCCCTGGTGAATTTCTCATTCACTGCTTCCAAGAGAGATGATATGTTTGGGCCAGTATGACACCTTTCACTATAGAACTCTACTCTTAGGCAGCCTCACACCAAGCTGCCTCATTGTTGAGTTTCCTTATAGTTCCTTTTCGTTCCAACAAAGACCAGAGGTCCAGGCCAGACTGTTATGGTCAGGATGACAGGGTCCCTGGCAGTAGGTGGGAAGGCACCACAGTTCAAACTCCCAAGACACGTTCCTCAGAAGGAGGCTGCAAGATAGGCAGGCATATAACGGTTTTATGAACCAGCAGATATTAGTTTCAAGAAGAAAATGAGGAGAGTGAGGTTAAGTTATTAGATAAGCTGCTGAGTTGCTGTGGGAATCTCTGTGGTTTTAATATTGATTCATTTCACTGCAAGCTGAAGTAATAACTTGAATAGGCTCACATATCTAACAAGATATGCGAACCTGGCCCCTAGCCAGGCAACAACCAAGTTACTAGATTCTCAAATGCAGAATGCTTTTTATTACATCCATTTAACTTACAACAGTGCTTCTCTTATATTAGACTTTTCACTTTCCTACGCCATTCCACACATCTGCAAAATCTCAAAAGTTAAGAGTCAGTATCATAAGTATGGAACAAAGGCCATACTTAAGAAGACATGTCCAAACCAAAAACCAAAACTCCGGTAAGTGAGTTTTACAAAAGTGTTCACTGTCTCATGAGGCTGGACCTGAATCAGTTCTCAAATATCTGAATTATGTCTACTGTTTAATTCTTTTGCGTGGAGGTTCTTTTGGGTCAAACACATTTATCTGTTTCCTCTTAATACTTAACTCAGTGTTCCAAGCAAGGCACTGGACAGGGCAGGATTTGATGGAAATGTGCTGAGCTGTGCTTAAGCTGACAAAGAGGAACAGTTAGCAGGGTGGCCTGGTGAAAATCAACCCAGATCAAGATAAACACCAAGGACAGTCGTTCAGGTTTCATTTTTAAGGTGGTGTAGCACTGAAGGGCTATGTGTCTGATGACCAGATGAAGGGATCAACCCAGCTGCTTCACTGAGAAGAACAAGAAAAACACATTATTTGCGTTAGGCTTGCCTTTGACATTGAACAACAAACAGACATCAAAACCCTTCTCTAATGGCAAGTCTTTCTCAATGCTTCTCCAGAGATCTTTTCAGTCATGCTTTCTGCTCAAACATCTGGGACTGTGTCAGACCGCGTTCATCAGTGGTGGCAAACTTCTGGTTCATGGGTAGGACACAGGATGCAGGGACATTTTGCCAGGGCTGCACTGAGTTTTTAAAAAACATTTAAGATAGTTTCCAGTATTTAAAAACTGAGAGGTTTCATGCAAAAATCCTGATACCCAACTTGTCTTGACAAATCACAAGATGTGGCAATACTGACAAGAAGGGTTAGATTTGGGCAGCCGTTGTTCATTTCAGCTAGACAAGGATGCATCAACTCACACAAACCTCTGCCTGGTTTTATGCATAGGTGTTACCTGCTTCATATGTGAAAGCATTTAAATTGTTGACAAACTGCTCTGACCATTTTGACAACTGGTTCAAAGCAGGGAATTACAGCCATCATTTATTGAGTGCCATAATATGGGCAGACAGCATTCTAAGCTCTCTCCGTGTACAAACTCATTTATCCCTCCGACAACTCCATAAACTCCACAAACTACAAAAGGGAAACTGAATCAAGAGAAATTCAGTGATTTACCGGGGGTCACGCAAGTAGGAAGTGCTAGAGATACGAGGAGAGCCAAAGAGGCTTGACTCCAGATCCCGATGCCTAATTTCTAATTTACCCTGCCTTTAAGATTAGCTTGACTTTGTGATTCCTCTCAGGGTTGATTACCTGGTCAGTTCTAGCCTCGCAAGTATTTCTCATCATATGTACCTTGCACATACAGGTAGATACATGATACAAGCCATGATATGTATGTATATATCCTGATGATCAGATTAAATATTTATTCATCCGCTCAACATCTGAGGGGCCTAAAGAAACAAGAAAATTAGCTACAGACATTGGCAGCCGTTGGGTAGAAATGAGCCGTAGCCTGTTCTGTGAGGAGGTGGCTGTGAAGGGTGTGGAGAGGAGATGGATGATGTGGCTGTCAGGAAGACCGCGAGCTCCTGAACCTCACTGGCTTTTTGGACTTGAGCTGTGCTCTGATCCAAACCACACACTGGGCTCAAGCTTTCCTGATTGATCTCAGAGTCTTCTTTCTCTGCTCAGGTTCCTCGTGACTATTTCAGGCCAGTAACTCCCAGACCATCCTCCACAGCCACAGCTTCATCCAAACTTGGATTTCCCCCAAACAGCCTTCCCTGGGGTTCATCGCATCTTTCTTGCTTCCTCTGAGATATCTTTTCTCTTCTCTGAAGGCTCTTTTATTAATAAGACCTGAAGGCTGAAATCATCCTTTTTCTTTCTAACAAAATAAACTACTTAGATATTATTTGTTTTATTCCATTTCAGAATATTCCCACTTTGAGAGTATTTTGTTGTTGTTGTCTGAGGCTTTTTGTTATTGTTTGTATAATGAAGCCCAGGCTGAAGACACTGTGGCGTCCCCAAGGCACTGCCTCTCAGCCCTGGAATTTTCCTTCAGCCTCAGCCAGCCACGCCCTCGGCTTCCTGTGGGCCCTGGCCTGAGAGCCCCTGCATCTGGAGGGCTGCTCGCCTCACATAACCACCTCCTTGCTGAGGCTCCAGGCTGGGCCTTTCTGGGAACCATAAATACCCAAATTCCCATGCTCCTCCCCAGACACTCTCAGAACCCCGGTCTCCTTGGAAAGTATTTCCTATCCTTATTTTCCAGGACTTCATAATTTAAATGGATTATGTTTCAGGGGAGGTGCAATTGATATCTTCAGAAATCAAAACCTTCTGGGGGAAAATTTACAAAATGAGGACTCCTATAACACCATATTTGTCTCACCTTTCCCTTGATTTTTATTTTTTACTTTGAGTACAAGGTACTGTCACTGTTATGGACTGAATGTCTGTGTCTCCTCCAAAACTCATGTATTGAAGTCTTACTTCAATATGATGATATGGTTTGGCTGTGTTCCCGCCCAAATCTCACCTTGAATTGTAGCTCCCATAATTCCCATATGTTGTGGGAGGGACATAGTTGGAGATAACTGAATCACGGAGGTGGTTCCCCCCATACTAATCTCATGGTAGTGAATAAGTCCCCCGAGATCTGATGATTTTATAAGGGGATTCCCCTTTCGCTTAGCTCTCATTCTGTCTTGTCTGCTGCCATGTAAGACGTGCCTCTTGCCTTCCACCATGATCATGAAGCCTCCCCAGCCATGTGGAACTGTGAGTCCATTAAACCTCTTTTTCTTTATAAATTACCCTGTCTTGGGTATGTCTTTATCAGCTGTATGAAAACAGACTAATACACAGCAGGTGAGGCCTTTGGGAGGTAGTTAAGTCTTTAGGGTAGAGCCCCCATGATGGTATTAGTGCCCCTATAAGAAGAAAAAGAGACACCAGAGTTTCCTCTCAGCCATGTGAGGGTACAGCAAGAGCAAGAAGGCAGCTATCTGCCACCCAAAGAGAGAGCCCTCACAAGGAACTAAATCTGACAGACCCTTGATCTTAGACCTACCAGCCTGTAAACTGTGAGTTTAAGCTATGGTTTAAGCTGCCTGGTCTATGGTATTTTGTTATAGCAGCCTAAGCTGACTAAGTTACCAACCGCCAAAACCCTTAGAGGTTAGGAAATCCTTTGAATTTCAATATGCTAGAATTAAGCTCCACAAAAGCAAGGATCTTTGTTTTGTTCACTGATATATCTCAAACTTTTAGCATTTCATAGGCACTCAATAACAATTTTCTGAAAAGAAGAAAGATCTCATTATTTAAGAACACACATATATATATTTAGAGATGGGGGTCTGTCTGTGTTGTCTAAGCTGGAGTGCAGTGTCTGTTCACAGGCACAATCATAGCTCACTGCAGCCTCAAACTCCTGGGCTCAAGTTATTACCTCAGCCTCCCAAATAGCTGGAACTACAGGTGCACACCACCATGCCTGGTAAGAACGATTATTATAGACTAGTAAATACATGAGAACTCACTGGTATAGCTCAATCACTATAAACATTTAAATGATCTTATCTATAACAATTTCCTTGGCAAGAAATAAAATTTTCTCTTCAACCTGAGTCACATTGTGAATTTAAATTATTTTTAAGATCTATTCTACTCCTTATTTTACTAAATTTCAAGTAACAAAGATACCTCCAACAAAGAAAGAAAAATACAGGAATACAAAAATTAAGAGTGCTCATTTTGATCCTGAACATTAAATTCTTTTTTTAAAAAAAAATATTTCTATATAACAAAAGTTACATGAATTTTCAAGATAAAAAACCTTTTGTCAATGCTTAGGGCAAATTACATAATAAAATATATTTTTTGCTTAATATCACTAATTCCAAATCATTCCTGAAAGTTTTCTGGTAATAAAGTCCTTTTCTTTCCTCTAGTAAAACCAAGGTTTAAGCAAAAGGCTATGTTTAATATCTTTATGTTGACAGTGTCTGGTAGATGATAGATATTCAATAAATGTTTGTTGAAGGAATGAATTTAGTTACTTTGTTATAGGGCTAATAGCATCATATTTTGAGAACCAAATTTGACCAATGGCTAGTAACATTGGCATACAAATGCCATGAGCTACAGTCTATCCCCGGAACATGTTATTGCCCCATGTTTCCAAAGGAGAGCTAAAAAGTTCAGCCTAGTTGACCTTGTTTTGCAGAAAATGGGGTTGTGAGAGGTCTTCGATCTGAGAGAGAGAGGGGAGATTGTGGGCAAGATGGAATAGACTAGACAGTTCCCTAGGTTTCCTGAGAGCACCAATTGGGGTTGGTATTGAATAGAGTTGACAAGCTTGTTTGATCTGAAAAGGGACATTGATATCAGTGGCAGAACCTAGGAATCTGCATTTTTAAACATGTATCCTGAGATAGATGTTTTGTAAATATGGTCAGAATTCTCCACCTTTCCTGAATCCATGCCACTTTCAATGTATCATCCCTGCTCCTCTCCCAAAGTTGTGAAGTCTGTTTCCCCACCCTTGAATTTGGGCTGGTCTTGCGACTTGCTCTGACCAAAAGAGTGTGGCAGAAGTAACACTGGGCTGGTGCTGTGCTAGACCTCAGGAGGTCTTGCTTGCCTCTACTTATGCTCTTGTTTGCTGCCACTGTGTGAGCAGGCCCAATCTAGTCTGCTGAATTATTCAAGACATGTGGCCCTTGTCACCCCAGTCAATAGCCAGTTAGCTATCAGACATATGAGTGAGACCATCCAACTGTGCCTGAGAAATGACTGCAGACACAGCAAGCCCAACCAAGATCAGCCAGGCCAAGCTGACTGGCAACTACTCAGTTGGCAGAAGTGCAGTCAGCCTACAGATTTGTAGGCAATAACAGATGGTCACGTTGAGCAACTGAGTTTTGAGGCTAACCAATGCACACATTAAATGATTTCTACAATCAGGCAACCTTAGGAAGCATTAGCATAGATGATATCTGCAGCTTTCTTGGAATAAAGAGATACATTTGAATGCCAAGCTCTATAAATCCCCAGTATTTAGCTATTCTGCCTCATTAATGAAGACAAGTAAAAATAAAATTAAGAAAATCGTAACTAAATTTTAACAGCTTAAAAAATCCACCAAAAGCCATCCAAAAATCACCAAGAACTATGATCTTCTAGGGAGGCACAGGGTTAGGTTATGAAAATAACCAAAGCCCTTGGGAGTGTGGCCTATGATTGCCATGAACTCTCTAAAATACTCTGTTTAGGTTTCTCCTCACAAATTCAATTAATATATGAAGCAAACAATGGTTCTTAATTTTGTTTTTCCTAGACTAACAGGTGATGGTACAGTAATGATTTTCAAGTAGCATAATTTGAGGAGTCTGGAAATAGATGCTGAATTCTTCATTTTCTACCTATGGGCACATTTTATACTCCTTCTAGTCCTTTGCCCAATAATAACACTGTATTTTAGTTGATGTTTCCAGATTAATGGATTGATGACTAGACAGGAAATCCTGTGCCAGTCCACAGGGCAAGTTGCCTTAGCTATTTATTAATCACCAAAAAGTGAACTGCACTGAGTCACAGCAGCAAATTAGAGAGGAAATCTTAGTTATATTGATAATTTTTAATTTGCCCCTAGGTCAGCTAGAATGCATAAGGGAAAGTGTTATAGGAACAGTATGTCTAAAAGAATACCAGAAGTCAAGTTGTTTGAGCAATCTCCTTCTTTGGAGACTAATGAATGAGTTACAGTAATGATCCTTATGTTCTGGCAACAATGAAAAAGAACTACTTTTTCAATTAGCACATTGATTAGAGGTTTCATAAGTACATTTATTCTCCTTTTATCAGCTAATAGGTTTTCTTATTGGGAAAACAATTCTGTCATGGTCTTACCTATTATAATGTTTTATTAAGACTCGTTACATTTTGAAATAATAAAAAGAAAATAGCACAAAAAAAATGATTCAAAAAGTAACCTTATTTTGAACAAATTTGCTTGACCAATGTATAAACTCACAACAAAGAAGAGAAAGGGGAGACCATAAACACTCAATATTTCATTCAAGATTTCAATAGATTTTTAGAAAAATGGAAATCATATGCAGGAGTTGTGAATGATCCAAGTGGAAAAAACAATAGTCAAGAATAGGTAGAGATAGGTGAGTGATATGGTTTGGTTGTGATCTGCCACAAGAAAACTCATGTTGAAATTTGACTCCCAAGGTGGCAGTGTTGGGAGGTGGGGCCTAGTGGGAGATGTTTGGGTTATGGGACAGGATCTGCCATGAATAGGTTAATGCCATCTTGCGGGATTAAGTTCTTACTATGATGGGACTGGATTAGTTACCTAGAAAGCAGATAGTCCCTTCTTGTGTTTGTTCTCTCTACACATGTCCTCTTCCTTCCATGTTTCTGCTGTGAGTTGAAGCATAACAAGAGCCTCATCAGAAGGGCTGCCCAACCTTGGACTTTGAAGCCACCAGGTTCACTAGCCAAATAAACCTCTTTTCTTTATAAATTACTCAGTCTCAGGTACTCTGTGATAGCAACGTTGAACTAAGACAGTGAGCATCTGTGAAAGGAAATGATCTGCCCTAAAGAACTACATGAAGCTTGAATTTGAGGATTCTAGGTACAACAGAGGGTCAGGGTGAGTCATGGGACTAAATATGGAACAAGGGCATAATTGAAGTCCATAGACTAACAGACCAAGCTAAACTTCACCCGGAAGCAGATGCCCAACAGACAGGTTTTTGCTCTTCCAACAAGGAGAGTTGTTTTCTTAAAAACTGAAAGAAACATTCAAAAGAATTAAGGCCTGATTGTAGGAGGTCGTATCCCCTAAAAATGATCTTCACATTCTCATATTAGGGTTTCCAAAACATAAAGACGGATCACCACTCTTTTATTAGACAATACAAGCTTCATCCTTCTTCATAGAGCTGCTTTTCCTAAAAACCCTCCAGGGAAATTTGACGTCTTAACTACACACATTTATTTCTTTAAAATTTTAAGTTGTTTTTATACACTTGGAAATTAAAAACTAAAGTAACCTTCTTATTACATTTTCTACCATCTTGGAGGCCATTTTCTATTCATGTTTATAATGTTATATTGATTACAAACTATAACATTAATAATTTTTTCTGACTTAAAAATATCCCTAAAGTAACTTCTTAAGGATGTGCTTACCAGATTGATCTTCACAGTGCTAAATATTATAGCAAAAGAAAAAGTGAAAAAACAGGCAATCTGGGAATGATTAAATAAATCCCTTGCACAAAATGAAATGCTATGCAGCTAGCCAAATTTTAGTATAAAATTTATTATTTAAAAATGTTTATCATATGTTATTCAGTGAAAAGGATGTTAGAAAATATGACAAAAGGCACTATTACATTTTTTATTTCTTATACTTAAATATCTAGATATGGATTTAAAAAAATGCCTGAAAACATATTCAACAAAATTATAACAGCAACTGGCCCTGGGTGGCAGGATTATGGGTAGTTTGTGTTTTCTTTTTCTCTTTTTTACACACATTTTTAAAATTCTACATAAACATGTAATATTTAAGTAATTTTATAATTTTATTCTTGAAGCAATCTTACTGTTCTTTTTTCTTTTTCTTTTTTTCCATTCTTATTCTCTTCTATAGAAAAGAACAAGAAAATATATATATATATCTGTATATCTATCTATCTATCTACCTATCTATCTATCTAAAGCTATATAAATGGCAGATCTATATAGCAATAGATAGATAGATAGATAGATAGACCTAGAAAAATCTCTTCTGGACATTGGCCTAGGCAAAGAATTCATGACTAAGACCCTAAAGGCAAATTGTACCCAATATGTAGTTTTTTATCCCTCACCCACCTCCCACCCTCCCTCCATCTGAGTCTCCAATGTCCATTAACCACTCTGTATGTCTTTGTGTACTCATAGCTTAGCTCCAATTTATAAGTGAGAACATACAGTATTTGGTTTTCCATTCCTGAGTTACTTCACTTAAAATAATGGCCTTCAGCTATATCCAAGTTTCTGCAAAAGGCATTATTTTTCTTTTATGGCTGAGTAGTTTTATTAGTCCATTCTCACACTGCTGATAAAGACATACCCAAGACTGGGCAATTTAGAAAAGAAAAAGGTTTAATGGACTTACTGTTCCACATGACTGAAGAAGCCTCAAAATCATGGTGGAAGGCAAGGAGGAGCAAGTAATGTCTTACATGGATAGCAGCAGGCGAAGAGAGAGCTTGTGCAGGGAAACTCCCCCTTAGATCTCATGAGATCTCATGAGACTCATTCACTATCACAAGAACAGCACAGGAAAGACCTGCCCCCATGATTCAGTTACCTTCTACTGGGTCCCTCCCACAACACATGGGAATTCAAGATGAGATTTGGGTGGGGACACAGCCAAACCATATCAGTAGTATTCCATAGTGTGTGTGTGTATATATATACACACTGTGAAAAATGATGTTGGTATTTATATTTATATGTGTGTGTGTGTGTGTGTGTGTGTGTGTATATGCTTTTTTTATCCACTCATTGGTTGATGGACACTTAGATTGTTTCCATATCTTTGCAATTGTGAATTGTGCCATGATAAACATTCACATCCAAGTGTCTTTTTGATATAATGACTTCTTTTCCTTTGGGTAGTTACCCAGTAGTGGGATTGCTGGATTGAATGGTAGATCTACTTTTAGTTATTTGAGAAATCTCCGTACTGTTTTCCATAGAAGTTGTATTAATTTACCTTTTCACCAGAAGTGTATAAGCATTCTCTTTTCACCACATTCATGTCAACACCTTTTTTTTTTTTTTTTTTTTTTTTTTTACTTTTTAATGACAGCCATTCTGGCTGGGGTAAGCTGGTAACTCACTGTGGTTTTAATTTGCATTTCCCTGCTGATTAGTGCTGTTGAGCATTTTTTCATGTTTGTTGGCCATTTGTATATCTGCTTTTGAAAAGTGTTCATTCAATGTCATTTGCCCACTTTTTGATGGAATTACTTGATTTTCCCTTGCTGATTTGCTTCAGTTCCTTGCAGATTCTAGATACTAGTCCTTTCTTGGATGCAGAGTTTGCAAATGTTTTCTCCCACTCTGTGCACTGTATGTTCATGCTGATGGTTATTTCTTTTGCTATCCAGAAGTTTTCTGTTTGATTAAGTCCCATGGATTTATTTTTGCTTTAGTTGCATTTGCTTTTGGGTTCTTAGTCATGAATTCTTTACCTAGGCCAATGTTCAGAAGAGATATTCCTAGATTTTCTTCTATAATTTTTATGATTTCAAGTCTTAGATTTAAGTCTTTAATCTATCTTGAGTTGATTTGTGTATATGGTGAGAGACAGGGATCCAGTTTGATTCTTCTCCATGTGGCTACCCAGTTTTCCTAGAACCATTTATTGAACAAGGTATCCTTTTCCCAATTTATGTTTTCATATACCTTGTCAAAGATAATTTGTTCTAAATATTTGGCTTTATTTCTGGATTTTCTGTTCTGTTCCATTTGTCTGTATATCTATTTTTATACCAGTACCATGTTGTTTTGGTAACTACAGTTAGTATATTGTAGTATAGTTTGAAGTTGGGTTATCGTGATGTCTCCAGATTTGTTATTTTTGCATAGAATTCCTTTTTTGATTCCATATGCATTTTAGAATTGTTATTTCTAATTCTGTGAAAAATGATGTTGGTATTTTGATAGAAATTGCATTGAATCTGTACATTGCTTTGAGTGGTATGGTCATTTTCACAATGCTGATTCTTCCAATCCATGAGTATGGAGTGTATTTTCATTTGTTTGTGTCATCTATGATTTATTTCAGCAGTGTTTTGTAGTTCTCCTTGTAGAGATTTTTCACCTCCTCAGTTGAGTAGATTCCTAGGGTTTTCTTTTTGTTTTTGTAGCTATTGTGAAAGGGATTGAGTTCTTGATTTTATTTTCAGCTTGATTATTGTTGGTAGATAGCAGTGTTCTTGATTTGTATGTGTTGCTTTTGTAACCTGATTCCTTACTAAATTTATTTATCAAATCTAGGAGTCTTTTGGAGGAGTCTTTAGGGTTTTCTGGTTATATGATCATATCATGGGCAAACAGAAATAGTTTGACTTCATATTTTCCAATTTGGACGCCCTTTATTTCTTTCTCTTTCCTAATTGCTCTGGCTAGGACTTCAAGTACTATAATAAACAGAAGTGATGAAAGTGAACATCCTTGTCTTGTTCCTGTTCTTAGGGGGAATGCTTTCAACTTTTCCCCATTCAGTATAATGTTGGCTGTGGGCTGGTTATATGTGGCTTTTATTATTTTGAAGTATGTTCTTTCTATGCCTAGTTTGTTGAGAGTTTTTAATCATAAAGGGATGATGGATTGTATTGAGTTTTTTTCCTGTTTCTATTGAGGTGATCATATGGTTTTTGTTTTTAATTCTATTTATGTAATGAGTCACATTTATTGACTTGTGTGTGTTGAACCATCCCTGCATCCCCGGAATAAAATCCATTTGATCATACATTGCCTTTTTGATGTACTGTTGGATTCAGTTTGCTAGATTTTGTTGGGGATTTTCTGCCCTTATGTTCATCAGAGATATTGGTCTGTAGTTTTCTTTTTTTTGTTATATTCTTTCCTGGATTTGATATCAGGGTGATACTGGCTTCATAGAATGAGTTAAGGAGAATTCCCTCTTTCTCAATCTTTTGGAAAGTTTCAGTAGGATTGGCACAAATTCCTCTTTGAATGTCTGAATGAATTTGGTTGTGAATCCATCTGACCTGGGATTTTTGTTGTTGTTGTTGTTGTTGTTGGCAATTTTTAAATTATTGATTCAATTTCATTGCTTGTTATTGGTCTGCTCAACATTTCTATTTCTTCCTGATTCAAGCTAAGAGGATTGTGTGTTTCCAGGAATTTATCCATTTCATCTAGATTTTCTAGATTGTGTGCAAAGAGGTGTTCATACTAGTCTTGAATGATCTTTTCTACTTCCATGGTGTTGGTTGTAGTGTCTCCATTTTCATTTCTAATTGAGCTTATTTGAATCTTGTCTCTTCTTTTCGTGGTTAATCTAGCTGATAATGGTCTATCAATTTTGTTTATCTTTTTAAAGAACCAATTTTTGTTTCATTGATCTTTTGTATTTTTTGTTTTAATTGTATTTAGTTCTGCTCTGATCTTTGTAATTCATTTTACCCCTGCTAAGTTAGGGTTTGGTTTATCCTTGTTTCTCTAGTTTCTTGAGGTGTGACATTAGGTTGGCAATTTGTGGTCTTTCAGAATTTTTGATGTAGACATTTAATACTATAAACCTTTCTCTTATCACTGCTTTTGTTGTATCTCAGAGGTTTAGATAACTTGTGTCACTGTTATCATACATTTTGAATAATTTTTAACCTGTTGTTAACCCAAAAATTATTCAGGAACAGATTATTTAACTTCCATGTATTTGTATAGTTTTGAGTGTTCCTTTTGAAGTTGATTTGTAGTTTTATTCCATGGTGGTGTGAGAAGATACTTGATATAGTTTTGATTTTTAAAAATTTATTGCAACTTATTTTATGACCTAACATGTGGTCTATCTTGGAGAATGTTCCATGTACTGATTAGAATAATATATATTCTGCAGTTCTTCGGTAAAATGTTCTGTAAAATATCTGTTAGTTCTATTTGTTCTATAGTGCAGTTTAAGTCCAGTATTTCTTAATTGATTTTCTGTCTTGATTGTCTGTTTAGTGCTGTTAGTGAAGTGTTGAAGTCCCTCACTATTAGTATGTTGCTATCTATCTCTTTTCTTAGTTCTGGTAGGAATTGTTAAATGAATCTGGGAGCTCCAGAGTTAGGTGCATATATATTTAGGATTGTAATAACTTATGTTGAATTGATCTGATTGATCCTTTTATGATTATGTAATGAACTTCTTTGTCTTTTTTACTGTTGTTGCTTTAAAGTCTGTTTTATCTAAGAATACCTACTCTTGCTCACTTTTGGTTTCCATTTGTGTGGAACACCTTTTTCCCCCCCTTGACCTTGAGTCTATAAGAATCCTTCTGTGTTAGGTGTGTCTCTTGAAGTCAGCACATATTTGGCTTATGATATTTTTATCCATTCTCTCAATCTGTATCTTTTAAGTGAAGTATTTAGACCATTAACATTCAACTTTAATATTGAGATGTAAGGTACTGTTCCAGTCATCACGTTGATTGGTACCTAGATACTTTGTTTTCTTCTTTGTGTTATTGTGTTTTATAGGCCCTGTGAGTTTTATGCTTTCAAGAGGTTTTATTCTTGTGCATATTACCCACTTGTTTCAAGATTTGGAACTCCTTTTAGCATTTTGTGTAGGACTGGTTTGGTAGTGACAAATTCCCTCAGCATATGCTTGTCTGAAAAAGACTATTTCTCCTTCATTTATGAAACTGAGTTTCACTGGACATAAAATTCTTGGCTGACGGTTATTCTGCTTAAAAAGGCTAAAAATAGGGCTCTGTATTAGTCTATTCTTACACTGCTATTAAAAACATACCTGAGACTGGATAATTTATGAAAAAAAGAGGTATAATTTACTCACAGTTCTGCAGGCTGCACAGGAAGCATGGCTGGGGTGGCCTTAGGAAACCTACAATCGTGGCAGAAGGTGCAGGGGAAGTAGGCACAGTCTTCATATGGCCAGAGCAGGAAAGAGAAAGAGCAAAGGGGGAAGTGCTACACACTTTCAAACAACCAGATCTCATGACAGCTCACTCACTAATATGTGAGCAGCAATGGGGGAAACTGCCCCCATGATCCAATCACCTCCCACCAGCTCCTTCTCCCAACTTTGGGAAATAAAATTCCCAAATAATACACCACCACCATGAGATTTGGGTGGTGTATTAGTCTGTTCTCATTCTGCTATGAAGAAATACCTGAGACTGGGTAATTTATAAAGGGAAGAAGTTTAATTGATTCACAGTTCCCCATGGCTGGGGAGGTCTCAGGAAGGCACCTCTTCACAGGGCAGCAGGAGAGAGAATGAAAGAAGTGCAGAGTGAAGGGGGAAAGGCTTCTCACAAAACTATCAGATCTCATGAGAACTCACTCAATATCACGAGAACAGCATCAGGGAATTGCCCCCATGATTCAATCACCTCCCACAAGGTCCCTCCCCCAACACATAAGGTTTACAATTTGGATTACAATTCAAGATGAGATTTGGGTGGGAACACAGCCAGGCCATGTCATTCTATACCTGGCTCCTCCCAAGTCTCATGTCCTCACATTTCAAAACACAATCATGCCTTTCCAACAGTCCCCCAACTTCTTAACTCATTCCAGTATTAACCCAAAAGTCCAAGTTTGAAGTCTCATCTGAGACAAGGCAAGTCCCTTCCATCTATGAGCCAGTAAAATTAAAAGCAAGTTAGTTACTTCCTAGATACAATGGAGGTACAGGCATTGGGTAAATACACCCATTCCAAATGGGAGAAATTCGTTAAAACAAAGGGGCCACAGGGTGCACACAAGTCCAAAATCCAATAGGACAGTCATTAAACCCTAAAGTTCCAAAATGGTCTCCTTTGACTCCATGTCTCACATCAAGGTCACAATGATGCAAGAGGTGGATTCCCATGGCCTTGGGCAGCTCTGCCCCTGTGGTTTTGCAGGGTACAGCTCCCCTCCCAGCTGCTTTCACATCTGGCATTGAGTGTCTGTGGTTTTTCCAGGCTTACGGTATACTACCATTCTGGGGTCTGGAGGATGGTGGCCCTCTTCTCACAGCTCCACTAGGCAGTGCTTCACTGGGGACTCTGTGTGGGGCCTCCAACCCCACATTTCCTTTCTGCAGTGCTCTAGCAGATGTTCTCCATGAGGACTCTGCCCCTACAGCAAACTTCTGCCTAGACATTCAGATGTTACCTTACATCCTCTGAAATCTAAGCAGAGGTTCCCAAATCTCAATTCTTGACTTTTGTGCACCCACAGGCTCAACACCACGTGGAAGCCACCAAGTCTTGGGGCTTGCACCCTCTGAAGCAATTGTACATTAGCCCCTTTCAGCCAGGATGGGAGCTGAAGCAGCTGGGATGCAGGCCATCATGTCCTGAGGCTGCACAGAGCAGGGGGCCCTGGTCCTGGCCCAAGAAACTGTTTTTCCCTCCTAGGCTTCCAGGCCTGTCATGGGAGAGGCTGCTGTGAAAATCTCTGACATGCCCTGGAGACATTTTCCCCATTGTCTTGGTGATTAACATTTGGTTCCTTGTTACTTATGCAAATTTCTGCAGCCAGCTTGAATTTCTCCCTAGAAAATGGGATTTTCTTTTCTACTGCATTGTCAGGCTGCAAAGTTTGCAGACTTTTATGTTCTGCTTCCTCTTGAGCACTTTGGTGCTTAGAAATTTCTTCCACCAGATACCCTAAATCATCTCTCTCAAGTTCAAAGTTCCACAGATCTTTAGAGCATGGGCAAAATGCTGCCAGTCTCTTTGATAAGCATAGCAAGAGTCACCTTTGCTCCAGTTCCCAAGAAGTTCCTCATCTCCATCTGAGACCACCTCAGCCTGGACTTCATTGTCTCTATCACTATCAGCATTTTGTTGAATGGTCAAAGGCATTCAACAAGTATCCAGGAAGTTCCAAATTTTCCCTCATCTTCCTGTCTTCTTTTGACATCCAAATTGTGCCCAGTTCCAAAGTTGCTTCCACATTTTCAGGTATCTTTATAGCAATGCCCCACTTCTCTGGTACCAATTTTCTGTTTTAGTCCTTTCTCACACTGCTGTAAAGACATATCTGAGACTGAGTAATTTATGAAGAAAAGAGGTTTAATTGACTAGTAGTTCTGCAGGCTGCACAGGAAGCATGGCTTGGGAGGCCTTAGGAAACTTACAACCATGGCAGGAGGTGAAGGAGAAGCAGGCACAGTCTTCACATGGCCAGAGCAGGAGAGACAGCAAAGGGGGAAGTGCTACACACTTTCAAACAACCAGATCTCATGAGAACTCACTCACCATCATGAAAATAGCAAGGGGCAAATCTGCCCCCGTGATCCAATCACCTCCCACCAGTTTTCTCCCCCAACATTAGGAATTATAATTCAACATGAGATTTAGGTGGGGACACAGAGCCAAACCGTATCAGATGCCAATCCCTTCTGGCTTGTAAGGTTTCTGCAAGAAGTCTGCTGTTAGTCCAATAAATTTTCCTTTATAAGTTATGTGATGCTTTTTTCTCATTGCTCTTAGAATTCTTTACTTCACATTGGCTTTAGATAGCCTGACAATTACATGCCTTGGTGATGTTCTTTTTGAAGTGAATTGACCAGGAGTTCTTTGAGCTTCTTGTTTTTGGATCCCTAAATCTCTAGCAAAGCCAGAAAAGTTTTCCTCAAGTATTCACTCAAATAAGTTTTCTAAACTGTTTGATTTCTCTTCTCCCTAAGGAACACCAATGATTCTTAGGGTTGGTCATTTTATATAATCCCATATTTATTGGAGACTTTTTTCATTAATTTTAATACTTTTTTCTTTATTTTTGTCTGACTGTGTTAATTTGAAAAGCCTCAAGCTCTGAAATTCTTTCTTCTACTTGGCCTAGCCTATTGTTAAAACTTTCCACTGCATTTTGTAATTCATTAAATATGTCTTTCATTTCCAGAAGTTCTGATTTTTTTAAATATCTATCTCTTTAGTAATTTTTTATTCATATCCTGAATTATTTTGTCAATTTATTTATTTGGATTTTTACCTTTCTCTTGTATCTCCTTGAGTAAATTAATAATCATCTTTTTGAATTCTTTATCCGGTATTTCAGATTTCATCTGTGTTTGGATCCACTGCTAGAGAACTAGTGTGATCTTTTAGGGATGTTATAGAACCCTGTTTTGTCATATTGCTAGAACTATTTTTCTGGTTTCTTGCCATTCAGGTAGACTGTTTCTTCTAATGATTTTTGAATTTTTTTATTCATCTGTCTTTTAAAATTTCTTTCCCACCTTGAGGATGTAACTTTAATGTTTATAGTTTACTGTGACCTAATTTGGCTCTGCATGCTTTCAGGTTTGAAGACTCTGTATGAATTCTTTGGTTATAGAAAGTCTTTATAATGCTGGTTTTCTCAGATGCTGGTTATGGTAGCAATGTGCTGTGTGTGTGAGCAGGTTCACTGTCTCCTGTGGAGCTGGAATGGCAAAGGTCTCTTGAAAGCAAGCTTATCTCATTCCCCAGTGGTGTGTACTTTTTAAATTTATTTATTTTATTCCCTCCTATTTTACTTACTTGTTTGAACAGTTCAGGCTTCAGGTCGGTATGTGTCCATGGGTTAAAAACAGCTGAGGCTAAAGCAGATGGGTGAATGCAATACCCAATGGTGGGCAGGAGTCCCAGCCTTGACAGAGGTGACTGGAGGAGCTCTCAATGAAATGCATTGAGATGTTTTCATGGGGAAGGGAGGGAACCCCCTCAGCTCCCCTTCCAGGCCAGAAGAAAAGTGATCCACCTCCGAGTCACACTCCTGACTCAGTGTTCTGGCTATACAGATCAGACAGGCAGCTGTTTTCATCTGCAGGAATGCTGATGCTCCACATAGAGAGGGATTGTGACTCTACCCCTCATGCAAGCCTTAACCTGGAGGGCACTTCTTCTGTGCAGATGCAGTGACCCTGAAGTGTTCCAGAAAGGCTGTTTACGGATGCATCCATGCCAAGCTCCAGTGAAAGAAGCCCCAGCTGTGTCTTCAGTGGTGGGCAAGGGGGAGAAGAAGTCCCCTTTTCTGAGATCCTTCACAAGCACCAGAGCTTGCTGACTGTTGGGGTAGAGCCACAGACTTTCCCCATTGAGCCCAGCACAGCACCCATGCCTGAAAGAAACTTGCCACAAGTGAAAAGTTCTGGAACTCAAGGCCGGCCATCTGGATTCTGTTGTGGAGTAGGAGTCCCTGAGGGCCAGACTACTGTGAATACTGCTGCCCCTCTGGGTCTAGCCACCCAGTGGGACTTCCACACTCCAGGCTGGTGGTGGGGAATGTCTACAAGGGACCCAGTGGATGTGACCTGTCCTCAAGTCTCCCAGCACCAGCTCTGATGAGGGTAGCAGGGGAGTGACATAGATTCTGTGAGATTCCTTGGCTATAAACAGCCTTAGTGTGTTGGTTTTCTCAAGTGCCAATTATAGTAGTAGTGAAATGGTCACAAGAACACACTCAAGACCTCCTGATCAGCCAGGGTGGCGATTAGCCAGCAGGCGATGGTGATAGCTGAGGTCATGCACAATTTTCCTCCTTCCTGGGTACCATGTTATTTTGCCGCAGATGCTGTAATGGATTGTGTCAGCTGGCCTCCGCCAGGAGGTGGTGCTTGTAAAACTGCCAGCTGCAGTGGTAGCTGTGGGATTTGCACTTGCCTTACGTTTGTTACCCGGGGAAGTACTCTCATGTCTCAGGCAAAGGGCAGGGCCATGGAACTTCCAAAAGTTTCTGTCCTTTGTGTTAAGCTACTAGGGCAGGTGGAGGGGCAAAGCTAGGTGGGGACTGGGTCAGGCAAGTCTGCACTCTGGCTCTCCACCTGTGGATGCAAGCAGTGGCCCCAGTGGGTATCTGAGGGCAATTCTCTGGCCTCTGGGGTAATGTTCCAAGGAGGAGCACAGCTGCCTCTGCTGCACAGAAAATTCCGCATAGGAAGTAGGGAGTAACAGGTGGCAATACGCCCCACCAGCTCCTATGCACTTGGCAAGGCAGGTTTCACACCTCCAGTTCCAGACTGTCTGCGCTTCAGACTCAAAACTATCCCAGGCCATAAGCCTTCCCCACCAAGACAGCACGGCTTTCAGGCACCGCCCCTCCCACTCTGCCCATGAAGAAGGGGCACCCAGCTCCTGCACCTGTGGCTACAATGCACTCCCCATTCGTCCCTCAGTTCTGGCCAAGGGGGTTTATCCCTAGTCAAGATTATACCGTAAATCTCAGTTGGGAGCTTCTCTCAACCTCTGACTGCCACCTAAGTTAGCTGGCCGATTTCCACAGTGTCCCCTGTGATGGAGGATCAGGAACAGCTTCCATCCATCCCCTCTGGAGTAGGAGAGTGCACACACCACACGTTTCAAAGCTATTCCTTCTCATATACTCCTGCTGCTCATTCAATCAGCTCCAGCACTGGGTAGGGTCAAGGCTGTCCCCCATGGCCTGGATTGCCAGGTTCCCCAGTGGGGGTGTACCTCCCAAAGGCAGCTTCTCCCCTTCTCACACTCTGGGGACTTTCTCTCCCTCTCACATTCTGGAGTTTTCTGCCTGGCTCAGAGTTTAGGCTGCAGCGCGCCACTTTGTCCAAAGGATCTGTGGTTTCTTTCACTTTTCCTGTTAGGTTCCTGCATTGCTTCTTGGAAAAAAGATCCCAGTGTGAATATCTGCACGCTATTTTGTCTTTCCAAGTGGGAGAGGCACGCTAACAGTGCCTCCGATCTGCTATTTTGCAAATTTTTCTTTTTGTGTGTGTGTGTGTTTTTTCACTTAACGTTGTAAGTTAGTAAAAGTTTTCTTTTACAGTAAATACTTGGTAAAAATATTTTGTCTAATGTATTTAGTCTCTTCTTTCTGAAGACTGTATACTATTATATTATATACTATATTATAATTTATCTGAGCATTTCTCTATTGTTGGATTTTTTTGAAATTATAAATGATGCTGAAATAAAAAATTCTTATTCAAATCTGTCTGATTTCTGAGTTCTCAGGGTACATTTTCCTAGATGTGAAATAACTAGACCTAGGAAAATAAATTTTATTAAGGCTCATGGTATATGTTGTCATATTTTGCCCTTATAAATCTTTCTCCATCTCTGGTATTTTTTCATAATTTTATCTTTTAGATTTAACTCTAGTATTTCTCCCATAGCTGTAAGGTGAGGTTATAATTTTAATTTTACCACCAGATATTTAGCCAATTTTTCCAATAATGCTGTTGAAAGCCATTCCTTTATGTTAGACACAATATTTATATATGCATACGCACAGTTGGTTATAGGAATACGTGTTCTTTTCTGGTGATTTCTGTATACAACCTTTGGGTGTAAAAAATGACACCATTTTGATGATCAACATTTTAAAGTGAGTTTTAATATCTAGTATAATAAGTCCCTTCTTGACATTTTTCAAAATTTTCTAAGCAGTTCTTAATGTATTAATGTTCTATTGCTACGTAATAAATTCCCACAAACTTAGTGGCTTAAAACAACACATGTTTATTATCTCATAGTTTCTGTGGGTCAGGATTTGGTAGATGTCAGATGAGGGCCATGCTCAGTTCCTAGAGGCCATTAGTCATTCTCTGCCAATGGAACACAGCTCATGACTGCCTCCAGTCAACAGCGCTCTCACTCTTATCTTCTTTTCTTTCTTTCTTTTTTTGAGACGGAGTCTTGCTCTGTCGCCAGGCTGGAGTGCAGTGGCGCAATCTCAGCTCACGGCAACCTCCGACTCCCTGGTTCAAGTGATTCTCCTGCCTCAGCCTCCCAAGTAGCTGGGACTACAGGCACGCACCACCACACCCAGCTAATTTTTGTATTTTTAGTAGAGTCAGGGTTTCACCATGTTGGCCAGGATTGTCTTCATCTCTTGACCTTGTCATCTGCCTGCCTCGGCCTCCCAAAGTGCTGGGATTACAGGCATGAGCCACCGCGCCCAGCCTCTTATCTTCTTTTAAAGGCTTCTCTGAGTGTGTCAGGTCCACTCAGGATGATCTCCCTTTTGAGTAACTCAATGTCAACTGATTTGTGACATAATCATGTTAGTGATGACAAAGACAGGAGGCAGCCAAGGCTCCCCACCGACCCCCCACTGCCTGAAGGCTGAAGAACTGAACTGCTGGTCCTGGATGAAGCCTGCCCTTTTCCCGACTGATTCTTTCTGAATAATGCCCACCTGAGCACTGGGAGGACAGAGTGGAGCCTCAGGAAGTTCACGTGTTTGCAGAGGAAAGGAGCCTGTCCTCTCTTGTTCCTCGGTGGTGACCTGGGCATTCAATCTGTGAGACGGCGGCCTGTTAACAGGAACCTCTCTTGCTTTGCTGAGAGTTTTTTTTTTTTTCCTTTTTGTCCAATAAACTCCATTCACCCTCACCCTTCAAAGTGTCTGCATGCCTAACTTTTCCTGGTCATGTGACAAGAACCAGGTTTTTTTCTACAACAGTGATACCCATCATATCCACAGGTTTTACCCACACTGAAGGGGAGATGAAGGTATTTATACTGGGGGCGGGGGCAGGAATCTTGGGCCCATCTTCAAATCCTGCCTACTGTGATGATAAATTTTATGTGTCAACCTGACTGGACAGTGAGGTGCACAAATATTTGGTCACACATTTTTCTGAATGTGTCTATGACAGTGTTTCTGGATGAGCAGAAATCATGGTCCTTCAATTATTTTCCAGACTTGAACCAGTTTACAGACCCAGAGCCCCTTGAATGAAGGGGAGGCTAGGTCTTTTTTGTGGAAAGACCCTAGTACACTGCTAAAAATTTATCCTGTTGACTTTTTCCTAGCCTTCCCCAAAGGGACCTACAGCCTTTTCACCAGGGTAACTGTCCACTAGGGAAAAGGAAATAATCAGACCTTTCAGGGGTGCTGGACACTGGCTCTTAACTGACACTGATTCCAGGATACCTTAAATATCACTGTGGTCCACCAGCCAGAGTAAGGGCTTATGGAGGTTAGGTACCTAGTGCAGTTTTAGCTCAAGTTCATCTCACAGTGGATCCAGTGGATCCCTAAACTCATCTGGTGCTTATTTTCCCAGTTCCAGAATGCATAATTGGCACGGATATACTCAGCAGCTAGCAGAATTCCCTGTTGGTTGCCTGACCCATGGAATGAGGGCTACCATGGTGGGAAGGCCAAGTGGAAGCCACAAGAACTGCCTTTATCTAGGAAAATGGTAAACTGAAAGCAATACTACATTCCTCAAAGCATTGCAGAGATTAGTGCCACCATCAAAAACTTGAAGGATGCAAGGGCGGTGAGTCCCACCACGTCCCCATTCAACTCACCTATTCAGCCTGTGGAGAGGACAGCTGGATCTTAGAGAATGACAGTGAATCATCCTAAGTTCAACCAGATTGTAACTCTAATTGCAGCTGCTGTGCCAGATGTGGCTTCCTTGCTTGAGCAATTTAACACATTCCCTGGTACCTTCCTACCTCAGGGGTAGATAGGCTCTCCAGCCGTATGTCATAATTTAGTTTATATGAATCTTAATCACCTTTCCCTTCCACAAGATATCACATTGGTCCATTACATTGATGACATCATGTTGATCGAACCTAGTGACCAAGAAGAAACAACTACTTTAGATTTATTGGTAAGGCATTTTTGTGTCAGAGGGTTGGAAATAAATCAGACAAAAATTCAGGTCCTTCTACCTTGGCAAAATGTCTAAGGGTCCAGTGGTATATTGCATGTCAAGATATCTTAACAAAGGTGAAGGGTAAGTTGTTGCATCTGGCCCCTCCTACATCCAAAAAGGAAGCACAATGCCTAGTAGGTCTCTTTGAATTTTGAAGGCAACATATTCCTCATATGGGTGTGTTACTGTGGTCCATTTACTGAGTGCCCTAAAAATCTGCTAGTTGGAACTCAGAACAAGAGAAAGCTGGGCAATAGGCCCAGACTGTGGCACAAGTTGCTCTGCCATTTGGGTCATATGATTCAGCAGATTCAGTGGTACCTGAATGTCAGTGACAGACAGGGATGCCGTTTGGAGCCTTTTGTAGGTCCCTATGGGTAGCACAGGCCCTTAGAATTTTAGAAGCATCCTCTGTGGATAACTATTCCCCTTTCGAGAAACAGCTCTTGGCCTGCTACTGAGCCTTAGTAGATATTGAATGCTTAACTGTGGGCCACCAAGTTATCATTTGGCCTGACTGCCCTTCATGAACTGGGTATGGTATCATCTGACCCACCAAGCCCTAAAGTTGGGCTTGCACAGCAATACCCCATCATCAAATGGAATGGTATATATGTGATCACACCTGTACAGGCCCTGAAGGCACAAGTAAGTTACATGAAGATGTGGACTCCACTCATGCTACACTGCCTTCTTTATCCCAGCCTGCGCCTATGGCCTCATGGGGAGTTCCTTACCATCATTTGAAAGAGGAAGGAAAATGGGCCTGATTTATGGATGGTTCTGCGGGCGTCACATGAAAGCAAATAGCTGAAGCACTGCAGCCCCTCCCTGAGACATCCCTGTAGAACAGTGGGGAAGGGAAATCTTCCCAGCAGGGAGAACTTGGAGTAGTGTGCCTGGTTGTTCACTGTGCTTGGAAAGAGAAATGGCCAGATATGTGATTATATACCAATTCATGAACAGTGGCCTTTGGTTTGGCTAGATTGCCCAACAACTTAGAATGAATGTGATTGGAAAATTGGTGGCAAGGAAATTTGGGGAAGAGGTATGTGAATAGATCTCTCTGAATTGTTTTTAAAAACTGAAGATATTTGTGTTCCTTGTGAATGCCTACCAAAGGATGAACTCAGTAGAAGAAGGTTTCAATAATCAAGTAGAAAGGATGACCTGTTCTGTGGATACTTGTCTTCCTCTGTCTCCAGCCACTCCTGCTATTGGTCAATGGGCTCATGAACAAAGTGGACATGGACGTAGGGATGGAGAATATGCATGGCTCCAGTATGTGGATTTTCACTCTCCAAGGCCAACCTGGCTATGGCCACTTCTGAGTGCCCAACTGCTAGCTGCAGAGGCCAACACTGAGCCCTCAATAAGGCACCATTCCTCACGGTGGTCAGCCAATCCCCTGGTGGCAAGTTGATTATATTGGGCCACTTCCATCATGGGAAGGATAGTTTCATTCTTACTGGAACAGACATTTAGTCTGATATGGATTTGCCTTTCCTGCATGCAGTACTTCTGCCAAACCACTGTCTGTGGACTTACAGAATGCCTTGTCCACTGTCATGGTATTCTGCACAGCATTACTTCTGATAAAGGAACTCACTTCACAAGAAATAAAATGTGGCAATGGCTCATGCCCATGGGATTCAGGATTCACTGGTCTTACAATGGTCATGATCATCCTAAAGCAGCTGGCTTGATGAAATGGTAGAATAGCCTATTGAAGACTCAGTTACACACCAAATATGCGGCCAGAACTTGTAGAGCTGGGGAAAAGTTCTCTAGAAGGTGTTAAATGCTCTGAATCCAGGTCCAAAACATGGTGCTGTTTCTTCCATAGCCAAGATTCTCAGGTCCAGGAATCAAGGGGTGGAAATGAGAGAGGCACCATTCACTATTACCCCTAAGTGACCCACTAGCAAAATCTTTGCTTCCTATTCCCATGACTTTGTTTTGCTGGCCTAGAGGTTTTGATTCCAGAGAGAGGAATGCTTTGACCAGGAGACACAACAATGATTCCATTGATCTGGAAGTGAAGACTGCTGCCCACTTTGGGCTCCTCATGCCTCTGAGTCAACAGGCAAAGAAGGGAGTTACTGTGTTGGCTGGAATGATTGATCCTGGCTTTCAAGGTAAGGAAGAAGAGAAAGTTTGAAATATAGGGGATCTCTTATGGAGTGTCTTAGTTTTGCCAACCCCTGTGATTAAGGTCAGTGGAAAACTACAACAACCCAATCCAGGCAGGACTACTAATGATCCAGACCCTTCAAGAATAAAGGTTTGGGTCACTGCACCAATAAAGACCTGTGATATCCTGAGGTGCTTGCTGAAGGCAAAGGGAATAATACAATGAGTAGTGGAACAAGGCAGTTATAAATACCATCTGTGACCACATGACCAGTTACAGAAAAGAAGACTATAATTGTTATGAAAATTTCTTCCTTATTTTGTTAGGAATATGTGTGTATATCTGTGTGTTTATGCATGTGTGTATTAAGCAGACAACTTTTTCTTCCCTCTCTTATTCCCTTATCATGTAATAGAAGACGTACTGACTTCATATCATAGTACTTAATTACTGTTAATTCTACATTGTATTTATCACATATTTAAGTTATTAGATATCAAGGAGAACAGTAATCATCACTCAAGGACTTTGCATCCTCTGATGGAAAACTGGTTAGTGCATTTTTATTCGTACACAGGATTGTTGTATCATGTTAGATGGAATTACAACCTTGTTATTTATGTTCTTTATTTGGAGAATAAGTATGATTTAAAGAGATGCATATGAGTGCCAAGTTGGCAATGGGTTGATTTGTGATAGTTTATTTTATGTGTCAAATTGACTGGGTCACAGGGTGCGTGGATATTTGGTTAAACATTATTCTGTGTGTGTCTGTGAGGTTGGTTTTGGATGAGATTAACGTGTAAATTAATAGACTAAGTAAAGTAGATGGCCTTCCTCAACATGGGTGGGCCTCATCCTCAGCTGATGGCCTGGATAAAACACACAAGGCAGGGCAAGGGGGAGCTGCTGCCCAACTGCCTTTATGCTGAGGCATCAGTTTTTCCTGCCTCCGAACTCAAACCAAAACTTCAATTCTTCCTGGGTCTCAAGCCTGCCGGTGTTTGGGCTGAAACTCCAACACTGGCTCTCAATTTGCCGTCTGTGGATCTTGGGACTTGTCAGCCTCCATAATCACATGGACAATTACTTTTACTCTCTCTTTCTTTGGACAACCACAATATACACATTTACCTTTATAATTTTAAAAATAAACTGCAGAAGAGTTTGGTCAACTTCCAAAACAAAATCCCACGGAAATGTTTCTTTACTTGTAAGTTATATAAACATCTTATTGAAGTATAGCATACATGCAGAGAAATACACAAATCACAAGTGTACACTTGAATTCTCACAAAATTAATACCTCCCCAACTAGTTCCCTAATCAAGAACCCCTTCTGCCCTTTCCAGTGTTTACCTCCCAAGGGTACCCACCATCCTAACTAAAACCTAGATTGGTTTTGCCTGATTTTGAACTTTATGTAAATGGAGGTATACAGTATGTACTCTTTTGTGTCTGGCTCATTTTACAGCACATTATGTCTATGAAATTCATCTATGTTGTAATGTGCAGTTGCTGTACAGTATTCCACTGTATGAATCCACGATTTGTTTACATATCCTGCTGGATTATTTTCAGTTTTCAGCTGTAATGAACTGTGTGGCATGATTATTCTTGAACAGTGGCCTTGGGGAATATATTAGATATAGATATATGGCTTGTGAAGATGCCATTGGAACTTCTAGGAAGGGTGATTATAAAAATGTTTCTGGGAATAATGGGTGGTAAAATATAAATTAATTTCATGGGAATTTTAATAGGAATTTGCATTAACTCTATATATAACTTTGGCAAAAACTGAAGATTTATCATCTGTGATTCAGGAACATGACAGTTGTCTCCATTTATTCAAATTCAAGTTTTTGTTCAATAATGCTTCTCGCACACTCACCTAATTTGATGTACATTGGCCCCAAAGTGGAAAGAAGGAGATGGAAAGGAAATAAGAGGAAGGAAACTCTGACATCTCTTTCACCTGTCAGTGTTGCGCCATGTTGCCAAAACATTGTTCTGGGCCATATTTGCTCATCGGTTCTGAGAGTAAATATGATGCTTTTGGTTTCCTCACTTGCATGGGTATTAATTTAGTCCAGTCATTAGCTTTCACAAGACACCTTTTGCCTTCATTTTTAGTTATCTATTGCTCATTTAACTTTATGTGCCTGACCTTTAAAGTGTACACTCACGGGAAAGCTCCCTGGGGAACCATTTGGGTTGTTTTAGAGACTTCCTTTTCTGCCTCAAGCACTTTGAGAAACGCCCTTCCCTCTTGAGTCATACTCCTGTTTAAAATCTTTTCTTCACATTTAAAAAACATCTGTTTCAGTACAATCTTGTACACATGTCTTAAGACATCTAGAATTCTTTCCATGTCTAGGATTGCTATGAAATGGTCATCAAGGCATGCCAGGAATTGACTAGACATCCTGCTTTAGACAAAGCTTCTAGCTGATAGTGAAGTGCTGAGGCATCCTGTTGCTATTGCATCATACTTCTGAGTTGAGCTGGTTCAATAATTCTTCATTGGAAAAGCATCTGCTAGACCGTCTGCCAATGACAGGGCCTTGGTGTAAACCATGGGCATGTTTTGTGACACTGAGCTCCTTCCAGCACTTTCCAGGTGGGGATAACTCCCTTGTCACTTGGTCAGTACTGCAACTCTTGTGCTCTCCTTGAACCTCTGTGCTCCTGGACCTGTGCAACAGGAACCCCTGAGGCCCTCTGTGGACCACAGGGAGTGCCTATCCTCCCCAGTAAACCAGATTATAGTCCTTACTCATCTTTTTGGCCCGTCTGCTCCATTAAGCTTCCCACCTCCAGACATTTCCAGGTGAGAGGCAGACAACACTCTTGTTGCTTGCTAATGACCCCAGACACATTTTAAGCTCTTATAGTTACTCCCTTGCCACCCTCCACTCCACTCAGCTATCTACACAGTGCAAACCTGCTCATTCTGAAGCTTAGTCAATTATCTCTCCAGGGAGTTGATGGACAGCCTCCTCTCAACTAAATCCCCAAACCCTAGGAATAATCCTGTTGAAGATCCAGGGTCACATGGCTAGGCAGGATGATGGTGGAGATGGAGAAAGTAACCACCCACCATTACATGGAGCCAGTGATCCCTGATTCCCTATCGCTCTTTCCATTTCCCCTTTCCTTCCCAGAAACCCCATCCCTATGCCCTGTCTGCTGAGGATAACAGGGCCAGATCTGCAGCCATTTAGTCAGACCCAAGACAGGGGCTTGGCCTTGACTTTTTAGAGCTAATTTTAGAATTTAGGGGTATATAACAATTTATTTGTCCTCAGTTTTGGTCCTAAGTCAACTATCTAAAAATAATATTATAAGTCTTAAGATACAAAAGGAAACTTATAATACAATAATGTCAGATAGTTATAAATGTCATAAACACAGTGAAATAGGGGCCAGGCACAGTGGCTCACACCTGTAATCCCAGCACTTTGGAGGATGAGGTGGGAGGATCACTTGAGGCCAGGAGTTTGAGACCAGCCTGGCCAACATGGCTAAACCCCATCACTACTAAAAATACAGAAATTAGCCAGGCGTCGTGGCATGCACCTGTAATCCCAATTACTCAGGAGCTTGAGGCATGAGAATCACTTGAACCTGGGAAGCAGAAGTTGCAGCGAGCTGAGATCATGCCACTGTACTCCAGCCTGGGCGACAGACCGAGACTCTGTCTCTAAAAGAAAAAAAAAGAAGAAAAGAAAGGAAATGAAATAGGACAATGGGATTGACCATGGAGGGGAAGGTCCAAGACAGCCTCTTTGAGGAGGAAGCATCTGAGCACCCACCAGAATGACAAAAGTCTCTGAGCCCTTTGGAGATCTGGAGGAAGGGCATTTCAGGCAAAGGGAACAACAACAGCATGTGCAAAGACTCTGAGGTGGGAGTAAGCATGAAAATTTTGAGAAACAGAGAGAAAACCAATGTTCCATGCAATATGCATTTTGCTTGGGGATGGGCATGATTTCACCCCCATCCTCAAATTGCTACCTAAAGGACACCTTTCATTGATAACATTGAGGACATTGCAGAGCCTGTCCTCACATTGGAGGGAGGGACAGGTGATGGTCACTGAAGCCGTTCTTAGAAAGAACCATCCACAAGCAAGTTTCACATAACCACGTAATTCAACCTTGGACCCTTAGACATCGCTAACATAAAAATCATTCTTGTCTACTTTTATGTGATATATATACACTGGAAACACAACACTGGATTAATTATTCTCTGCAGATGTCTGAACATCCTTTAAAAGGAAATAGCTAATTAACTTCTTCATAAAGGTCCTTGGCACCCAGGAAGCAGCAGTTACAATTCTGAGTAATATAATCAAGAAGGCTTTATACAATCAGTTGAACCAAACAAAGAAAGACATTTCTTGGTATGCATATTAGCAGCAGTACAGGAAAATAAGCTGTTGAACATGTCATTGGAACTTCTAGGAAGGGTAACTATAAAAATGTTTCTGGGAATGATGGGTGGTAAAATATAAATTAATTTCATTATTCTCATACTTGGCTAAGATTATAAAATGCCATTGATATTTCTTTAAAAAGTAAAACTTTCATTTTCAAAACATCTTTATTTTTTTAGAAGCCATTCCAACTTATCTCTCCAGTGCAGAATTATGATAGAACTCTCTCATTCCTCTGCTGTTAGGAGAGCCTGGAGCACTGGCCACACTTGGTTCTCTTCTGGGGAATGCACTTCCACACTCGAGGCCAATGCTGAAATAGGCATGCAAGGGGTGTGAAGTGACCTGGAAGGGCAGTGGAGGCTCTCCACAGCCTGTCACTGAAACCCTGGAGCGGTACTTAGAGAATCAGTGTCTTACAAATCTTCCCTGAACTCCTCCACTGTTTTCTGCTTCACACCTGTGAGCTTTTTCTCTATAAGGGCTCAGAGTCCATTGACCGTGATTGGAGACTGAAGCCATGGCTAAGCTGTTTTGTGGCAGTCTTCCCACACTACCAGACACGAACTGACAAAAACAGAACAAAGCCAAGGCCCTTGTCTTTTCTCCTTCCATCAAAAAACAAGTCTCTATGCATCTCAGTTCACTCAAATCGACTTCTACTCCAGTCTCTGAACTTTGTGCTCTGTATGAAGAGCCAAGTGTGCTGGGTGCAGTGGCTCACGCCTGTAATCCCAGCACTTTGGGAGGCCGAGGCGGGTGGATCATGAGGTCAGGAGATCGAGACCATCCTGGCTAACAAGGTGAAACCCCGTCTCTACTAAAAATACAAAAAATTAGCCGGGCGCGGTGGCGGGCGCCTGTAGTCCCAGCTACTCGGGAGGCTGAGGCAGGAGAATGGCGTGAACCCGGGAAGCGGAGCTTGCAGTGAGCCGAGATTGCGCCACTGCAGTCCGCAGTCCGGCCTGGGCGACAGAGCGAGATTCTGTCTCAAAAAAAAATAAAAATAAAAATAAAAAAAAAATAAAAGGTGCAGCTCACTGTCAGCGCTCATTTAATTTTACATAAACACACTATTTGAGGCTGAAGCAAATATAACTGATTTTCAATGTGAAAATAAAATATAAAAACTGTTCTTGGAATTATTTCTAAACAGAACTAACATGGGAATCGTCTGAATCATCAGAATAATCTATTTCGGAAAAATCAGATTCATCCAGTGAATCTTTGGCCAACAACTGTTCGGGAACGATGTTAACATCACTCGTAGGAATGCTATGTTTTCTAGGATTTGACATTTTCAGTGACCGAGAATTACTATATTTTGTCAATGGG
Source organism: Homo sapiens (assembly GCF_000001405.40). Taxonomy (NCBI): domain Eukaryota; kingdom Metazoa; phylum Chordata; class Mammalia; order Primates; family Hominidae; genus Homo; species Homo sapiens. Next base: position 224,098,979 of record NC_000002.12, on the reverse strand, counting down.
AAATACCACTACTAAAAACAAAATGCTATAAATAGAATGATGCTTTTTTTCCCAAAATTGATATACGAAAGCAATGTGAAAATAATAATGAAAGCGATGTATTTCGTGACAAAGTTATCTCCAAATAAATGCTGCAGCCGCAAGTGCCGCCGGCGACTGTCCTTGGGGAAACAAGAAAAGAGTTAAAAGCAGAGCGTTTTCTCCAGTTCATTGCAGAAAAGGAAGTCAGAGATTCAGAACTGGGGAAGAATTGGATACGCTCTTGCTAGCTTGAAGATGGAGAAGGCCATTTGGCAAAGAATGCAGGCAGCTTGTAGGAGCTGAGTGCAGCCCCTGGCTGAAAGCCCACAAGGAAATGGGACTTGAATCCTACAACTCTAAGGAACTGAATCCTGCCAATAACCCAAATGAACTTGGTAGTCGATTCTTTTCCTGAAGCCCACAGACAAGAACTCAACTTGACTGACACCTTGACTTTGGCCTTTGTGATCCTGAGCAGAAAACCTAGCTACTTCATGCATAGACTTTTGACCTGCAGAACTGTGACCTGATAAATGGGTATTGGTTGAAGCCACTAAGTTTGTGGTAATTTATTACATATCAATTGAAAACTAATACACAGGTAATGGTTCTTTGGTTAACCAAAGTCAAAGTTTTGAAATAGCAGTGGATGTCCTCAGCCTCAGAGTCCTACTCTTTGCTCTAGGGAAGGACGGGACATGCCAGTGCAATCCCCGAGCCTCCAGAAAGTCATACATGTGTACAGTTCCAGGGTGGGATCTAAGATAGCCAGCTTGGCCTCAGACCAAAAATTATTAGAAATACATTATTCAAATGTTTATATTTTCCTCAGAATCTTTCTCCTTCCATTCTCTGATACATGGGAAGGCTCCTTTCTCCCTTCATCTCTCTCTCTCTCTCTCTCTCTGTCTTATTAGATATTTTCCTCACTTATTAAATATTTTCTTAGGCATAAGAATTCAGGCTGTGTTCCTTCTATGTGCACCTGATATAGGTGGATGGAATGAACAGATGATGGTGTACAAGACAGAAGAAGAAACAAAGATCAGAGGAAAAGAGAAAGAAAAAAGAAGGAAGGGAAAGAAAACGAAAAGGAAGGAAGTAAAGAAAGAAGGAAAGAAAGATGGAAAGCAGAATGAGAGAGGGGTGTTTCAGTTATCTATATAACAAATCACTCTACAACTTGGGAGAGTTTGAGAAACAGCCGGGAGACCAATGAGTCTGCAATGTCCTGAGCTAAGGAGAAAGTGCAAGAGGCTGGACTCAGGAGAGGCTCAAGGGTTGGAGCAGGTTGTATGACACTTTGGAGATCATCGTAAGACCCTGAGTCGGGGACTGACATGATATGGTCTGTTTTAGAAGGATACCCCTGGCTTTGTGTCAAGGAGCAAGGGTAGAAGGGGGTGAGGGTGTGGCTAAAACAACAGCTATTTTACTTTCTTCTGATTCTGTGGGCTGACTGACCTAGCTGGATGGCTCTTCAGCTCCATATGATATTAGCTGGGGCTACAGCCATTCAGGGATGTCACTTAGTGAAGCCACTTAGCAGCTTTACTTTGTCCAAGACAGCACACTCATATGGCTGACAGGCAATGTCAACTGCTGTCTGGGAGCTCAGGTGGGACTGTCAACCACAGCCCCATGGTTCTTCTCCATGTGGTGTCTCCATGCACCTTGAGCCTCTCCCAGGATTACAGCTGGGTTTCAAGAGGCAGGAAGTGAAAATGTTTCATCTTCTTTAGATTGGGGCTCAGAAGTTCAAGAACATCATTTTCCCTGCATTCCCACGGTTGGAGCCCAACGTAAGAATAACCCAGATTCCAGAGGAGGAAATAAGCTCCACCTCATGGCGTGAGAAGAGACGTATGTGTACAAGTTGGTGAAAAATTGTCCTAAAGCATCTTTGGAGACTCACTGCCACAGGGTGAGAAAGAGAAGTGCACACCGCCACCCCAATCCCTGCTTCTACCATTGCTCCCTGACGTGAAGCCAGAGGGATCCTTCTAAAACATACCAGATCAGGTCACTCCCCAGCTCAGGGTCTTACAATGATCCCCAAAGTGTCACACCTGCTCCACCCTTGAGCCTCTCCTGAGTCCAATCTCCTGCACTCTCTCTCTGGCTCACTGCATTCCAGATTCACTGGTCTCTTGGCTGTTCCTCCAACTCCTCAGGCATATTCTTATCAGGGACTTTGCCTTTGCTCTTTTTTTTTTCTGTCTGAAACTCATTCTCTGGTTATCTACAAGTTTCATTTCCTAGTTTCTTTTAGCTCTCGGATCAAGTGTCAGGGAAGATCATCCTAACCATCCTAACATAAAACAGTAACCTCCATCATCCCACTGCTATGGACTGAATTGCATCCCCCTAAGTTCACATCTTCTTTAGGTTGTTTAGATGCTCTTCACATCCATCCCCAGTACTCCCCACCATGCCAGGACACAGAAAAAGGCAAGGAAGAGAGGAAGAGAGCCCTCAGAAGGAAACAAATTAGCCAGCACCCGGATCTTGGACTTTCCAGCCCCCAGAATTGTGAGAAAATAAATTTCTATTGTTTAGCCACCCAGCCTATGGTATTTGCTATGGCAGCCCAAGCTGACTAATATATCTACCAACACCCTCTGCCCACCTAGCCTGCCTGTTTTTTTTTTCACTGCCATTATCACCATCTGGATGATCATACACTTATTTGTTATTTGTGCATTGTTAGTCTCTCCACCATCCCCCAGACTACATGCTCCATGAGGAGAGACACTGTCTGTTATAATCACCACCATCTCGTTAATACCTAAAAGAGGCTGCTCAAAGAGGCTGTTCATAAATATTTGGTGAAAGATTTGAATGAATGAGAAAATAGGGATTTTTTTAGCATGAATAAACGGAGGAGGAGCACTGTTTCTTTACCAGCTGAAAGCAGAATATTTCTCCTCTTTCCTAGCAAAGACAGCAGGTGTTTTCAAAAGGTAGCACAGATGAAATGCTGCAGAGATAACCCCTATTTAAACCCTACAAGAACACAGTGGAATAGGAAACAAAAGGGTGTCAGGATGGTAGATGATTCTGGACAGTATACAGCCCAGAATCTCTAATACAGTGAGACTGCTTGATTTTCATACCTGTTTTCTCACCCTCAGGAACCTGTTAGTGCAGCATAGGCTAGATAGACCTATCCACTGGGAAAAGGGGCTTCAATTCTCATTATAGCTCCATGATGTGTACTTTGAATCTGTGGCAACATTAAAGGTATATCTCAGAGCATCTTTTAAGAGCTCTGAGAGTTTGTTTCCATAGCAAGCTTGCTGATGGTGCCCACTGAGACATTGCATCATAAGTCTATGCCAGAATATTTTGATGCCAGAGCATTAACCCTTTATGGGGACTATCACTAACTCTTTAACACCAAAGGATAAGTCTGCAACAACCTCTGAGAGAGGTGAATTGGGAAGCAGCTGTCATGTGTTCCTTAGGCTGATCATATCTCACTTTGTTTTTTTTTTTAATGAAGATGATTCTTTCTATCTGGCCAATGGCTGAATAAAGAAGCTGATGTTGCAGTCCTGGTTTACCAACCAGGAAACTGATGTTGAATAAATTCTTTAAAGTCAGGTCACAAAGGAACTAAAAGAAGAATCAAGATGAAGAGTTGAGAAATGCAAGCTAATGGTCTGACTTTTAGTGTCATTTTCAACAATACCATAGCAAGAACATAAAAACTACGAACTAAGAGCCCATATTAAGGGGCCATTTCTAGTTTCCAAACCAGAATGTCCAGCTCAGTTTCCTCTTATCAAACCATTTATCTGCAAATGCACCATGAACCCCTAGAAGAAACCAGAGAGCTACAGAGAGTGGATCCACAGAAACAAACTTGACAGACACTCTGCATTAGTTGCTTCGGGTTGCCATAACAAATTGCTATGACTTGGTGGCTTAAAACAACAGAAATGTATTCTTTCACAGTTCTGGAGGCCAGAAGTCCAAAATCAAGGCATCAACAAAGGTTGGTTTCTCCTGGAACCTCTGAGGGATAATTCGTTCTATATTTTTCTCCCAGCTCCTAGTGGCTCTGGCAATCCTTGGTGTTCCTTGTCTTATGGATACATCACTCCAATATCTGCCTCTGTCTTCACGTGGCTTTCCTCTCTGTATCTGTTTGTCTTCTCCTTTTCTATCTCTTACAAGGACACTCATCATTTGGATTTAAGTGCCCATCCAAATCCAGGATGATCTCATCTAAGCCCCATACCTTCATTACATCTGCAAAGACCCTAATTCCAAATAAGGTTACATCTTGAGGTTCTAGGGGTTATGACTTGGGCATATCTTTTTGGGGGACATACTTCAACCCACTATACATTCTTTACTCAAACTGTCAACAGGCTCCCAGTCTCACAGCCACAAATATTAGTCATTACTTGATCTAAAGCACAGATAGAATGGATAGCATTGAGCCCTCTCTAATCTGTAACACTCCGACCCCTCTCTAAAGTCCTATTTCATTTTTCTTCAAAACTCTTCTTGACTTATATCTTCCCAAACACAATCCAGTAATTCCTATAAATATCAGTCATCCCCTCCTAAAAACCCACTTATTCTTCAGATATCTCCATTTCCATACATCTGTATGTAGTTACAGAGTATGTTGAAAAACATACGGGCTTTAGATCCTGGCTCTATCACTTGCAGCACTGTCCCCATCACCATGGGAATGGGGTACCCACCCTCTCTCAGGCTCGGTCTCCTTATCTATGAAATGGGAGTTGCCACAAGAAGTAATGGAATTGCATGTAAAGCACTCAGCTCTGTGCCTTGCTCATAGATAGTAAGGGCTCAATCAATGCTGGCTAGTATTTTGTTCTTCCAGGGAAAACACATTTCATCTGTGTGTTATTGAGTGCTTACTCTAGGTATGGCACAGTAACAAGCATTATGGGAGTTTTTCTGAGGCCAAAAAAGAAACATAATTGCTCTTAGAGAACTCACAAATGGATTTTTTCCTTTTTCTGAAATTCTTAGAGGAAGGTTTAGTAATGTCCTCAAATCAGAATGCATGCACCGTGATTCTTTCTGTCTCTACAAAGGCCTTAATGTTTTACCATTACCAATAATGGGCATTTATCCTAATTTAACATCTCTAAGAAACAAATTACCTTTCAAAAACAACCATTTCTCTCCTTAAAATCTGTTTTCTGTCACAGCTTCCTGGCTACTCTTGTGAACTAAATAAGCTCATCTCCTAGTTTTCTTTGTGATTACAGATTTTCAACCATTCAGTACTTTTTAGCAATCTTCTGTTGTTTTAAGTTGTGGCAATTTGATTTGGCCAGCAAATTCCACGGGTCTAACCTGACCATGGCAAACTCATTATTAGCACTTGTACTGTTCAACAAGAAATGTCCCACTTTGAGTCTCTCTGGTACAATGTCACTGTTGGTCAAAATAATGTCAGGCCTCTGAGCCCAAGCTAAGCCATTGTATCCCCTGTGACCTGCACGTATACATCCAGATGACCTGAAGTAACTGAAGAATCACAAAAGAAGTGAAAATGGCTGGTCCCTGCCTTAACTGATGACATTACCTTGTGAAATTCCTTCTCCTGGCTCATCCTGGCTCATCCTGGCTCAAAAGCTCCCCCACTGAGCACCTTGTGACCCCCACCCCTGCCTGCCAGAGAACAACCCCCTTTGACTATAATTTTCCACTGCCCACCCAAATCTTATAAAATGGCCCCACCCCTATCTCCCTTCACTGACTCTCTTTTTGGACTCAGCCCACCTGCACCCAGGTGATTAAATAGCTTCATTGCTCACACAAAGCCTGTTTGCTGGTCTCCTCACACGGACGCAAGTGAAATTTGGTACCGTGACTCAGATCGGGGGACCTCCCTTGGGAGATCAATCCCCTGTCCTCCTGCTCTTTACTCTGTGAGAAAGATCCACCTACAACCTCGGGCCCTCAGGCCAACCAGCCCAAGGAACATCTCACCAATTTTAAATCCAGTAAGCGGCCTCTCTTTACTCTCTTCTCCACCCTCTTTTACTATCCCTCAACCTCTTTCTCCAATCTAGGTGCCATCCTTCAATCTCTCCCTTCTCTAAATTTCAATTCCTTTCCTTTTCTGGTACAGACACAGAGGAGGCACATTTTATCCGTGAACCCAAAACTCCAGCGCCAGTCACGGACTTGGGAAGACAGTCTTCCCTTGATGTTTAATCATGCGGGGACACCTGCTTGATTATTCACCCACATTTCAGAGGTGTCTGATCATGCGGGGACACCTTCCTTGGTCCTTCACCCTTAGCAGCAAGCACCCTGCTTTTCTGGGGGGCAAGGACCGCTCACCCCTTCTCTCCGTGTCTCTACTCCTTTACCACTTTTCTGGGGGACAAGCACCCCCCACCCCTTCTCTCTATGTCTCTAGCACTTTTCCACTTTCCTGGGGGGCAAGCACCTCCCACCCCTTCTCCACTTTCCTGGGGGGCAAGCACCCCCAACCCCTTCTCTCTGTGTCTCTACCACTTTTCTGCTTTTCTGGGGGGCAAGCACCCCCCCACCCCTTCTCTCCATGTCTCTACTCTCTCTTTTCTCTGGGCTTGCCTCCTTCACTATGGGCAACCTTCCACCCTCCATTCCTCTCTCTTCTCCCTGAGCCAGTGTTCTCAAAAACTTAAAACCTCTTCAACTCACACCTGACCTAAAACCTAAATGCCTTATTTTCTTCTGCAACACCACTTGGCCCCAATACAAACTTGACAATGGCTCTAAATGGCCAGAAAATGGCACTTTCGATTTCTCCGTCCTACAAGACCTAAATAATTTTTGTCAACAAATGGGCAAATGGTCTGAGGTGCCTTACATCCAGGCATTTTTCACACTTTGTTCCCTCCCTAGTCTCTGTTCCCAATGTGATTCCTCCCAAATCCTCCTTCTTTCCCTCCTGCCTCTCCCCTTAGTCCCAACCCCAAGCGTCACTGAGTCTTCCCAATCTTCCTTTTCTACAGACTCATCTGACCTCTCCCCTCCTCCCCAGGCTGCTCCTCGCCAGGCCGAGCCAGGTCCCAATTCTTCCTCAGCCTCGGCTTCTCCACCCTATAATCCTTTTATCACCTCCCCTCCTCACACCTGGTCTGGCTTACAGTTTCTAGCCCTCCCCCACCTGCCCAACAATTTCCTCTTAAAGAGGCCACTGCAGCTAAAGGCATAGTTAAGGCTAATACTCCTTTTTCTTTATCCCACCTCTCCCAAATCAGTTAGCGTTCAGGCTCTTTTTCATCAAATATAAAACCCAGCCCAGTTCATGGCTCATTTGGCAGCAACCCGGAGATGCTTTACAGCCCTAGACCCTAAAAGGTCAAAAGGCCATCTTATTCTCAATATACGTTTTATTACCCAATTTGCTCCCGACATTAAATAAAACTCCAAAGATTAAATTCCAGCCCTCAAACCCCACAACAGCACTTAATTAACCTCGCTTTCAAGGTGTAAGATAATAGAGTAGAGGCAGCCAAGTAGCAACATATTTCTAGGTTGCAATTCCTTGCCTCCACTGTGAGACAAACCCCAGCCACATCTCCAGCACACAAGAACTCCAAACACCTGAACCACAGCTGCCAGGGGTTCCCCCAAAATCTCTTCCCCCGGGAGCTTGCTACAAGTGCTGGAAATCTGGCCACTGGGCCAAGGAATGCCCGCAGCCCAGAATTCCTCCTAAGCCATGTCCCATCTGTGCGGGACCCCACTGAAAACCAGACTGTTCAACTCACCTGGCAGCCACTTCCAGAGTCCCTGGAACTCTGGCCCAAGGCTCTCTGACTGACTCCTTCCCAGGTCTTCTCAGCTTAGCAGCTGAAGACTGATGCTGCCCGATCGCCTCAGAAGCCCTGTAGACCATCACAGATGCCGAGCTTTGGGTAACTCTCACAGTGGAGGGTAAGTCCACACCCTTCTTAATCAATACAGAGGCTACCGAATCCACATTACCTTCTTTTCAAGGGCCTGTTTCCTTTGCCTCCATAACTGTTGTGGGTATTGACAGCCAGGCTTCTAAACCTCTTAAAACTCCCCAATTCTGGTGCCAACTTAGACAATACTCTTTTAAGCACTCCTTTTAGTTATCCCCACCTGCCCAGTTCCCTTATTAGGTTGAGACATTTTAACTAAATTATCTGCTTCCCTGACTATTCCTCGACTACAGCTACATCTCATTGCCGCCGTTTCCTCCAGTTCAGAGCCTTCTTCACATCCTTCCCTTGTATCCCCTAACCTTAACCCACAAGTATAGGACACCTCCATTCCCTCCCTAGCAACCGATCACATGCCCTCACCATCCCATTAAAACCTAATCACCCTTACCCCGCTCAACGCCAATATCCCATCCCACAGTACGCTTTAAAAGGATTGAAGTCTGTTATCACTCACCCGCTACAGCATGGCCTTTTAAAGCCTATAAACTCTCCTTACAATTCCCCCATTTTACCTGTCCTAAAACCAGACAAGCCTTACAGGTTAGTTCAGGATCTACACATTATCAACCAAATTTTCTTGCCTATCTACCCCATGGTGCCAAAGCCATATACTCTCCTATCCTCAATACCTCCCTCCACAACCCATTATTCTGTTCTGGATCTCATGCTTTCTTTACTATTCCTTTGCACCCTTCATCCCAGCCTCTCTTCACTTTCACTTAGACTGACCCTGACACTCATCAGGCTCAGCAAATTACCTGGACTGTACTGCTGCAAGGCTTCACAGACAGCCCCCATTACTTCAGTCAAGCCCAAATTTCTTCCTCATCCATTACCTATCTCAGCATAATTCTTCGTGAAAACACACGTGCTCTCCCTGCTGATCACATCTGGCTAATCTCCAAAACCCCAATTCCTTCTACAAAACAACAACTCCTTTCCTTCCTAGGCATGGTTAGGTACTTCCGCCTTTGGATACTTAGTTTTACCATCCTGACTAAACCATTATATAAACTCACAAAAGCAAACCTAGTTGACCCCACAGATCCTAAATCCTTTCCCTACTCCTTTCCGTTCCTTAAAAACAGACCTAGAAGCTGCTCCCACACTGGCTTTCCATAACTCATCCCAACCCTTTTTCATCACACACAGCCAAAGTGCAGGGCTGTGCGGTTGGAGTTCTTACACAAAAGCCGGGACCACGCCCTGGAGCCTTTCTGTCCAAACAACTTGACCTTACTGTTTTAGCCTAGCCCTCATGTCTGCGTGCGGTGGTTGCCACTGCTTTAATACTTTTAGAGGCCCTCAAATTCACAAACTATGCTCAACTCACTCTCTACAGTTCTCATAACTTCCAAAATCTATTTTCTTCCTCCCACCTGACACATATACTTTCTGCTGCCTGGCTCCTTCAGCTATACTCACTCTTTGTTGAGTCTCCCACAATTACCATTGTCCCTGGCCCAGACTTCAATCTGGCCTCCCACATTATTCCGGATACCACACCTGAACCCCATGACTGTATCTCTCTGATCCACCTGACATTCACTCCATTTCCCCATATTTCCTTCTTTCCTGTTCCTCATCCTGATCACACCTGGTTTATTGATGGCAGTTCCACCAGGCTTAATCGCTGCCACTCACCAGCAAAGGTAGGCCATGCTATAGTATCTTCCACATCTGGCTACCACTCTGCCCCCCTCCACCACCTCTCAGCAAGCCAAACTCATTGCCTTAACTCGGGCCCTCACTCTTGCAAAGGTACTACATGTCAATATTTATACTGACTCTAAATATGCCTTCCATATCCTGCACCACCATGCTGTTATACGGGCTGAAAGAAGTTTTCTCACTACACAAGGGTCCTCCATCATTAACGCCTCTTTAATAAAAACTCTTCTCAAAACTGCTTTACTTCCAAAGGAAGCTGGAGTCATTGACAGCAAGGGCCATCAAAAGGCATCAGATCCCATCACTTAGGACAACACTTATGCTGATAAGGTAGCTAAAAAAGCAGCCATCAAAAGGCTGATCCCATTGCTCAGGACAATGCTTATGCTGATAAGGTAACTAAAAAAGCAGCTGGCGTTCCAACTTCTATCCCTCACGGCAGTTTTTCTCCTTCTCATCTGGCCACTCCCACCTACTCCCACTAAAACTTCCACCTATCAATCTCTCCCACCCAAGGCAAATGGTTCTTGGACCAAGGAAAATATCTCCTTCCAGCCTCACAGGCCCATTCTATTCTGTCATCATTTCATAACCTCTTCCATGTAGGTTACAAGCTGCTAGCCCATCTCTTAGAACCTCTCATTTCCTTTCCATCATGAGAATCTATCCTTAAGGAAATCACTTCTCAGTATTCCATCTGCTATTCTACTAATCCTCAGGGATTTCTCAGGACCCCTCCCTTCCCTACACATCAAGCTCAGGGATTTGCCCCTGTCCAGGACTGGCAAATTGACTTTACTCACATGCCCCAAGTCAGGAAACTAAAATACCTCTTGGTCTGGGTAGACACTTTCACTGGATGGGTAGAGGCCTTTCCTACATGGTCTGAAAAGGCCACCACGGTCATTTCTTCCCTTCTGTCAGACATAATTCCTCGGTTTGGCCTTCCCACCTCTATACAGTCCAATAACAGACTGGCCTTTATTAGTCAAATCACCCAAGCAGTTTCTCAGGCTCTTGGTATTCAGTGGAAACTTCATACCCCTTATGCCTCAATCTTCAGGAAAGGTAGAACACACTAATGGTCTTTTAGAAACACACCTCACTAAGCTCAGCCTCCAACTTAAAAAGGAGGACTCTGTCAAGGATACAGCCCAAAAACTTGCCAACCATGCAAGTAATTAGGCTGAACCCCCTTATGCACTCTCTAATTGGATGTTCTGGGCCCTCCCAATTCTTAGTCCTTTAATACCTGTTTTTCTCCTTCTCTTATTCGGACCTTGTGTCTTCTGTTTAGTCTCTCAATTCATACAAAACTGCATCCAGGCCATCACCAATCATTCTGTATGACAAATGCTCCTTTTAACAACCCCACAATATCGCCCCTTACCACACAATCTTCCTTCAGCTTAATCTCTCCCACTCTAGGTTCACACGTTGCCCCAATCCCGCTTGAAGCAGCCCTGAGAAACATCGCCCATTATCTCTCCATACGACCCCCCAAAATTTTCGCTGCCCCAACACTTTACCACTATTTCGTTTTATTTTTCTTATTAATATAAGAAGACAGGAATGTCAGGCCTCTGAGACCAAGCTAAGCCATCATATCTCCTGTGACCTGCACGTATACATCCAGATGGCCTGAAGTAACTGAAGAATCACAAAAGAAGTGAAAATTGCCAGTCCCTGCCTTAACTGATGACATTACCTTATGAAATTCCTTCTCCTGGCTCATCCTGGCTCAAAAGCTCCCCCACTGAGCACCTTGTGACCCCCACCGCTGCCTGCCAGAGAACAACCCCCTTTGACTATAATTTTCCACTACCCACCCAAATCTTATAAAATGTCCCCACCCCATCTCCCTTCACTGACTCTCTTTTCAGACTCAGCCTGCCTGCACCCAGGTGATTAAAAAGCTTTATTGCTCACACAAAGCCTGTTTGGTGGTCTCTTCACATGGACGCGAGTGAAAAATAATGCCCCAGAAGTAGGGCTCCTCTAGATTTCTCTGAACTAACAAACAAATCAATAATGATCAGGCTGGTTTGGATGATAAATATATTTCCTTCTCTGCTAATTTCATAGGAATGGCAAATCCACATATTGTTTGTAAGATAAAGCTCATGGATTATAATCTTGAATCCTAAATCCTGACGCTGATATGCTGTTTCCTCTGCTCCCTGATCCTATGAGGTAGCAGAATGGCACAATTTCCTAGGATCACTCTAGCTGCTATTGCTGAAATCATGCCTACACTTTTAAGGCTAACACAGAGCACATAGTCAGCCCATGTAATAATTCAGCCCACAAATGAATCTTACTTGGATGATATAGTGTAATTTCTTTCTTTTGTTTTTAGGGGGCAGGTGGTCCCCAAATCGAAATGGTCCTTTGTACTCCTTATTGTGTTTTTCTCAATGTAGGCAACTGCCTGGTCCCTGAAGCCATATGAATTGCACATCTCCTAGTGAAATGTAGCAATTTTACTAGAAGACGTGTGATAGTATTGGCTAATAGGCCCACTTAGTGTTACTAATAATTCTTTGTCTACTAGGCACACCCATGTAGAGCTGGCTTGGTCATCCTGACTCATGGGCTCATATTTCAAGCTTACTCAGACAGTTAATTGTCAGAGTGTTTGATTCCAAAAACCACATGCTAAATTTCACTGAGTTATGGCACTTTGGTATTTCCTAAGTTATGGCATTTTGGTATTTTGCTGTTAAAATGCTGGAAACAATATGCCTGAAATTTTCCCCTAGTAGAATATTTAATTTTTTAATTTAGCATTTTTATATTTTAAGCTGGCCCAATAAACCCCAGAACAGAGTTTAAAATGTACCCAGAAGCTTGAGTTTACGAGGCAGAACAAATACCAATCAGACTTACAAGTCTTTCTCGCATGGAAAACTTGACCTACTCATGTTGAGTGAGTGTTCCACAGAAGAAGCTTTCCTTAGCCAAACATTCTGGGAAAACTCTCTGATAAGTATAGGTAAATAACCTTTTTTGTTGGTCTTTAGTATGCTCCAAGAAGAGCTACAGTACATGCTACTTCCCAAATACATTTGTCTAGTAAAGTCTTTTTGTACAAAATATAGTCTTGTACAAAATATAAAGTCTTTTGTACAAAATATCTGCTCACTAGTATTCGAAGGCACATGCTTTGAGAAAGGCTGATGGAAGCTGGTGAGCAGAATGCGTGACAAACACTTAATAAACACTTAATCCTGGTGCCTGAGCTACCCCTAAACAACAATCAGACCTTTTGAGCAAATCTCACAACTGCTATGAGTTACTCTTCATTCATTTAGAAAGTTAATAGGTTATATTCTCTTCCAGCTCAAATAGTTTCTGACTTGCCTCAGAGCTTCATAATATTATATTTGGTCACTTTCACTAAATGATTAATGGAGACAAAGAAAAAGAATACTACCGTATTAAACAGAATTCTAGGACTTTCCAGGGCAACCTGACTTTGCAGAACTACAATTAGTATTCCAAGGTAACATGGTAATAATTTCCTGAGACTCGTGGCATTTTCTCTAAGTGGTGTTTCAAGTCGTGAAGTGTTAAGATCACTAAAAAAGTCTGCTGTTGGCTGCTTTATTAATCCAAGATTTTTCAATGGAATCATCACCAGAACCCTTAGACAATCCCACTTGTAGTACAGAAACTGAGAGAGGCTAAAGAATTTCCTTATTCAGTTTCTTAACGTTGGTAGAAGTAGGTCTAAAGTTAGGACTCCCAGGGCTTCCAATTTATCTATATGGTTGGGTTTTCCTTCTTTACTGCAGTGAATGAGGATGGAAAAGGAGGTCACAGGTCCATCTCCTCTCCTTCTGAGTCTTCACTTCCTAGGGTTTATATCTAATGACTCATCTTCAGTATTAGCTTAAGTGGCCTGGCAACAACCAGAACACTGTTTTCAACAGCAATTTGTCTTTCAATGGCTCAGGAAGTGGGATCATTTTGTACAAGTCACAAATACAGCCCACCGAGCTCCCCAGTTTATGACTTTTCTTTTTAAACTTAAGATATAGGAAAAAAAATATTCACTTGTTTATCAACCTAAGGAAAAATAGGTTTTCTTGTTATGAATAAGAACAAAGAGTTGGCTGAAAATACCACTTCTAATTAGGTAATGAAGTTGTAATAAAGTACATTCAAAATGAAAATTAATTTCCATTAAGCAACTCACTCTCGGCACTGTTTGTTCTTATCACAGATACAAACATATGCTTTGACTTTTCTTCTGGATAATAATCTGTACTTGAAGAATGGAAAGTTTTCTGTTATATATTTGAGTCCAGAAAAGCTACCTAACTGTCCTACATGAGAAATGGCCAATGTTTGGTGGTGGATGGAAAGTATACATGAATTTATATCTAATTTTTCCAACAAGGTTTGGTGGAAATGAATATGTGAGTGTGTGTATGTGTGTGTGTGTGTGTGTGTGTGTGTGTGTGTCTACACAAAAGATGGAAACAACTCAAACTAGCACTTAAGCAAAAAAAAAAAAAAAAGTAATGTATTGGCTGGGAAATCTGAAATGTGTATCTGGTTTCAGTATGATAAGATCTGGGCCCCAGTTTGTGATTCCTGTACTCTCTTCTCCCTCTCTCTCCATATACCTCTGCTGGGTTTCAATCTTAGGCTCTCTCTCCGTCTATCACCAGCAAGATGTCTGCTCATAACCCCAAGACCACCTTGCCCTTATAACTCCTGGCCCTCAAAGAAGAGAGAGACTCTTTTTCTGCTTTCACAGATCGCATCGCAAGGCAGGGTTTTGGTGGGCCTGTTTGAGTCATGTGCTCATGGCTGAGCCAATTACCACAGTCAGAGTAATGGGCTACTCTGATTGGCCAGTCTTGGGTCATGTGTCCACCCTAGTGTCAGGGGAAAACAGGGCTCTTATCCTACCAACATGGAGGGAAGGACAGCTTTCCAAAGGAAGATAGGCTGGGAGCCACACACAAGAGACAGCTAGTCCAAAATACACAAACTTCCTGGCAATCACAGCACCAGAATGCTGAATATAACCTCCAAGTTCAGTTATTCTTCTCTTTCCTACACAAGGTCCTACTGAGGCACACAGCACATTTACAAACCTCTTCCCCCAACCGACTATTCCCCTTCTCTGAGGTATTTGCTAATTGGAGATGGAAACCCAGACACTCAAAAATGTAATAGAAACAGAAAGAGTAGTGAGACAAAGTTTCTAGAATTCAAAGAAAAGCAAAAAGCTTCTTTCTTTATTGGGAAATTGTGTTTTGCTTAGATTTCAGGAATTTTCTTTCTTTTTTTTTTTCTTTTTTCTTTTCTTGGCCTCTGGTTTGCAATAGTACAAAATAAGGATAAAGAAGAAAAATTAAACATAGCATTCTACTATCCTACTCAAATGTTCCCCAGCCTACTAGTCAACTGGTTGGAGAACTATAAAACATAGTTTATAGTCCATAGTTCATAGGTGGAGAACTATAAAACAAAGAGAAGAATAACTGAGCTTGGAGGTTACATGTTTGTTTATTTGCTACACACACACACACACACACACACACACCCTCACACATTCATTTCCACCAAACCTTGCTGGAAAACTTAGATGAGTGAGCACTGACTTCTGGAAAACATTTGCTGAAGACTCAGGTAGAATCTACGATTCACGATTTTTTTCTTTTTCTTTTTTTCCTTTCTTTTTTTTTTTTTTTTTTTGAGACAGAGTGTTGCTCTGTTGCCCAGGCTGGAGTGCAGTGGCACTGATCTCAGCTCACTGCAACCTCTGCCTCCTGGATTCAAGCAGTTCTGTCACCTCCGCCCCCGAGTAGCTGGGATTACAGGCACTGGCCACCACGCTCAGTTAATTTTTGTATTTTTAGTAAAGACAGGGTTTTGCCATGTTGGCCAGGCTGGTCTCAAACTCCTGACCTCAAGTGATCCACCCGCCTCGGCCTCCCAAGGTAGTGGGATTGCAAATGTGAGCCACTGCACCCGGACTTTTTATTCATTTTTCTTTAAATACTGGCTTGCCCTCTGAGTCATGGTTTTCGACACTAGCTGGTGCCCCTGTCTGGAACACCCGTCTTCCTGCCCACTTGTGGCCTCTTCTGTCCTCCATCTTCATCTCCACAGAGAAGCTCTTCTCCCCGGTCTGTAATAATGACTCACTCATCAGTTTTACCAATCACAGAACCCCATTTGTTTCCCTCATGGAGAGAATCACAGTTGATTACATGTTTGTTTATTTGCCTATTTATTATTAGTCCTAGATTATAAGCCCCATGAAGGCAGAGTTCTGCTTAATTTGCCAATGTCCACCAGCAACTAGCATAATGCCTGGCACTCTATAGAGGGCAAAAACTGAAAATAAAGTATACCAGAAGAAAGAGGTAACTTAGGACTTCTTGGTCCTTGGGCAGGCTGAAACAAAAAAGCAAGGGGAGGCTTAAACTACTAGGCACAGATAGTTTCTTTCTGGCAGAAATTGGGAATGTAATGAGACAGAGTCGGTGTTGGGGGGACCAGAGCCTCTGCTTCAGGCACCATCTGTGATTCTTCCCATCTTCTGTACCCATTTCAGTGTATGCTCCCCATTCTCTGTCCTGGCAAAACTTGCTCTCAGGAAAGAGCAGATAAAACTCCTTCACTGTGTCGTATGTGACTAAAAACAGCTTAATATGATAACCTGTGCCAGGGCTTTTTGAATTTTAATACAGACCAAAGCCTCAAAATCTAACAATTTCTGCCATGGAGCTGGGGAGGATAGGAGATATACAGGGTGTCCTCAAAGTCTGGGAAAGAAAGCAAATATGCATAAGGTGGTCTATGATATCCTCAATGTGTAAAGTAATAAAGTATTATCTATGTTTCTATACTTGATGGACTTAATCCTATATTTCCCATTATATACATATTTTCTAACATATATACAATATATAATGCATGTAAGAGGAGAGAATGTTTAAAACTCACACATTTAGAAGGTTCTAGGGTTAAAATGAGAGAAAATGGATTATTCTTGACCAGACATAAAGAAGGGGCAAGACAAATAGCCTAGCACTCTGGAAAAATTGTCATAAAATGCTGTGGGGTAAGACACCAGCAGAGAAATGGGAAGACACAAGGGGAGACGGAGAAGGACAAAAGTTCTCTTAATCTCAGACTTCTAAGAGTGAGGTTGGAAATAAACATGTTTGCCTGGGGTAGATGGACTGGGATCTAGAGTGTGTTTACTTACATGTAGAAACATATTTTGTTGTTGTTTTTATCAGGGATTGAAGCTGAAGTCTGAATAAATCTATCCTTAACCACTGTACTTTGGCTAAAAGAACTGTCTAACCAACATTCATGGAATTCAGGTTTCTAAAGAAAGATGCTTCTTCTGGGACACACCCTGTTGGATTACAGGTTTCTAATCTCTCTTGAAACAAAGAATGCATTTAATCTCTCTCTAGATGTGGAGCCAAACTGGTGGTGAAGGCCCCACCATAGTGTCCTGTTAATAAAGGCACTAGGTCACCATGGTCATGTGGACAAAGTCTTTGCATAGTGGCCTGACCATTTTGTGTAACAATTCATACTTCCAGACTGGCCATTCTCAGCTAACCAGGTTTTTTGAGTCCTTGCAGATGAGCTCACTTCCAACCTGTTACCTATCCCTGCACCTCAGCTGTTCAGTACTATGAGTAGTATTTACACTAATATGTCAACAAACTACTTGATTCCAACTTAGGAAAGTATAAATAATGCTACTAACAATTATAGGTGCTGGGCTTTAAATAATGTAACTTGCTTTTGATTTTTTCTTTCTGGAAGTCACCACTAGAGACTTAAGGAGGATGAAATGAATAGTTGGGTACCAGCAAACATCTTAATGCCAGAAAAAACTTGCTGACATCACAGACACTCAGAAAATCAGACCAGACATGACATGTAGTACATACGAAAATGGCACCGACCTGTACAAAGGGACGGAGCCCAGTGTTCAACTGGTATTTCATGCCTGGGTTATAAGTTTCCTTGAGCCATGATGACCATTTTGTCTGTGGTTTTCTGCTAGGCCTTGGATTAAAGAACAAATATAATGGTAATTTTATGCCCTTGTCCCTGCCAATGAGCCTGTCAAGAGGATTTCTCAACTTTCAATACTTCTTTTCTTAGCATGAAAGAACAAGTTGATACCTCAGTCAATACTGTCATTTCTTCAAGCATTTGAAATATTTTGAATGGACCACAAAAGCTTTGGATTTCTTGTATCGCTTGTAACCATTTCAAATGGACCCTAATGCTTAATTTAATTTGTATTGGGGATTGCTACACTGACTGATCATATTCTCTCTGTAAAGTGGTTTTGGAAATTGTGAATACTGGAATTTAATTATACAGACATATTTTTCCAATAAGGGCTTGTTCCGTTTTGGCCATAGATATGCCTCGGGTCAAAACAAGCTGCTCTGTGAAAAATGAGGTACATAAACCAGTTAGAAAGAGAAACTCCTGGTGTGAGGCTACAACATAGACTAATGCATTCACACAACTCCAGAATGTACACAGACAGTTCCACCTGCATAACCGTGGAATTAGAATGAACTCTTCTCAATTCCCATTTTACAGGCAAGACTGAGAGAGATTGAAAGTCTTGTCCCATCACAGGGCTGGTTAATGGCAGAGTAAGACTGAGCTCTGCGCCATGACTTTAAAATGAAGCATTGCCTTCACCTTATGATCCTTTTTAAGTAAAATCTGTTAATTTTCTCAATCAACAGAAACATAATGACTGACTGATTACTAGGTTCCAGGCACTAGGATTTGATTGTGAAATAGTGTAGACCCCGTCCCTGCCCTCCCGGAGCTCACATCCACACGGGTGAGACAGACAAATACATAAAATAATAACACACTGGGATATGTACCATAAAGGAAACACTCAGGGGGCTGAGAGAGAATAATAGTGAGTATCCACTTTACCTACCTAATGGTAGCTCCCCACTTTCGACAGAAGGGGCATTTAAGCTCAGAGATCTGAAGGATGAAAAAGAGATAGCCATGGGAAAAGTTTGAATGGCACGAGAAGAAGATTCCAGGCATTCAGAGGTGCCTTCAATGATGTTGAACATGAGGCCAGTCTAAACTGTCTTCTGAAAAGGGCAAGCCTATTGTGTCCAAGGATGGATCAACTGCCTGATCTCCAGATATATTTAATACCTGGCCAATTCCTCCTTCAGTCCAGGACAATGCTTCTTATATCCATAAGAAGGGAGCTCCTCTTGTTATTTAGAAGGAGATGCACATACTGTTCCATCTTCTCCCCACCTCTGCCATCTATCTGTAAAGTAAATGCACCTGACACTGGTAACTTAAGCATAGCCTTTGAATGACACTGTATGGCTGATGCACCTTGTATTAGTCTGTTTTCACACTGCTATAAAGAAATACCTGAAACTGGGTGATTTATAAAGGAAAGAGGTTTAATTAGTTCATGGTTCTGCAGGCTGTACAGGAAGCATGAATGAGGAGGCCTCAGGAAGCTTACAGTCGTGGCGGAAGGTGAAGAGGAAGGAGTCACATCTTACATGGTCAGAGTAGGCGGAAGACAGTGAAGGTGGAGGTGCTACACACTTTTAAACAACCAGATCTTGTGAGAGCTCACTCACTATCATGAGAAAAGCAAGGGGGGAAATCCATCCTCATGATCCGATCACCTCAAACATTGGGGATTACAATTCAACATGAGATTTGGGCAGGAACGCAAACCCAAACCATATCACACCTGAATGTATGTTTTGAGTTAGGGAATTGGATGTTGGCAATCCAGAGATTTCTTCCTTGTCCGTGAAGAATATCTGAGCCCTGGGCCCATCCCATGGAACACGGGCCATCCAGGGGATTGAGGCCCTGAGTTTGGGTTGGATGGAGGTTGCCAGGTGGAGGTGGTAAGGGGAGGGTGTTAAGTGAACTGCGACATAAACTGCATGCTGTTTGCAAGTGGTTGCAGTTCTTCTGCCCAGCCCATTATCACACCACTGGGCTATGCAGTAATCTGGTTCAGCCCGCTGCCATTGAACTGTAGGTAAGGTGGATACCTTGTTCAGCTTTCTGCTACTGGATTCTCTTGCCTGTATGTAAGCCTCTAATAAAACCTCTTGTTTGCTGGCTCTGGGTCTCCTCTTCTGCCTCTTGAAACTGGGGCCTTCCCTATTGAGGTTAACAGGGGTTTGGCACAACAAGTAATTGACAAGGCAGGCAGGAGTTCGGAGAAAATCCTGTGAGCACCAAGACAGTGGGATCGGGGAAGGGGAAATCAGTGGGGGAAATCCCAGGTTGGCCATCCACATCAATGTGGGGCCCAATAGCTGCTATCTTTGATGCATGGGGCCTACCACATGAGTACAGGATGCCCTGAAAATGCCGAAGGATCTGGAAGAATTTTTGCAGGGGGTGGATCTGACTGAGCATGGGTCAGATGCCTGAGCAGTGGCAGCCACGGTTGGCTGGCCACTTCTGACC
Source organism: Homo sapiens (assembly GCF_000001405.40). Taxonomy (NCBI): domain Eukaryota; kingdom Metazoa; phylum Chordata; class Mammalia; order Primates; family Hominidae; genus Homo; species Homo sapiens. Next base: position 224,078,817 of record NC_000002.12, on the reverse strand, counting down.
ACTCAGAGGCTGAGCTCCTGGCACAGGCGAGGAAGGGTTCATCTATTACAGAGTGAACTGTGATTACCACAAGGTGCCAGATACCGCCGAGACCTTGGCTTGTTGGTTGGCCCGTTTGAAGGGCCACCACCTTCCCCACACCCCCAGGGAGCAGACCCGCAAGATTTGTCCCTATCTGGAATACAACAGCACAGTGCAGGACTGCACCACTGTGGAACTGGTGGAGCTGAGGTTCCACAGAAGGGGAGAGTCAGTCATGGGGTGGCTTCTCCATCTATGTGACATGGGGCGGAGGGTTTTATACTCTCTGAACTAGAGATGAATAAAATGGCACAGTCCACTCCGCCCTCAGGCAGTGCTGCTGTGGCACTGATAATGGGAATTAAGCCATCCCCCTCAGCTGGGGGATGCTGACGGCAAAGCAGCCTGGATAAATAAGGGAGATGCCCCCACCTCCTTCACAAAAGCAGACTATGCAGGAATGGTGGGAAATCCTCCAGGAATAAAGGATGAAGTATGCTCTCTATGCTGAGCATTTCCGAGGTCGTCATGATGAATGTCTCCCTGCTGGCATGAAAGATGCTATCTTGCAGTCTGTACTTGGATAGAGCACCCTTGACATAACTAACTGTATTTTAGAAAAAGGCTTCATTTTATATTTCAGAGAGTACTTTGCCAATAAGCATAAGACATTTTACTTAATAAACAAATAAAAACATAAAGACTGCATCCAACCAATAAGAACACAAACAAGCACACTCTTCCACCAGTTCTCACCAGAGGACTCCATGACTGTAAGAGAGCAGGCCTTCAGCTCAAAACTGCCATCTTAACTGACATCATCTTGCAGCCACTCATAAGAATTAAGCATCTGCTGCCTAGGGCTCTGCCACATCAAAGACTCTTCTTTGCGAAACAGCCTAGACCAGAACTCTTTTTGTCTTCTTTGCTCCCCTGGACTGGTTAATTAACTTTCTCCTATATCTTTTTCCTCTTGATGTTAAAAGTTACTTTGTTATGGAATACTTAATCTATAACATTTATATTTTACACATACTATTATGTATGGTTTGCAATATTGACTGACTGGTGAAGTGCCCATGGCTCTGACCACTGAGTGAATGGGAAGTACTAAGAATTGCCTCCTTTGAAACTCCATGCAGCTCGTGACTTTTGTGATTGAAATAGCATCAATAAAGCCTGACATTGTGGAAAGACACAAATATGCACAGACCTGGTTATCTCTAACCTTGCAACACTCATGTCAGTACTCAACCGATGGTTTGGTGCACTAGTGTCTATCCTGAGCCTCCTGGTAGGAAAAACATGGTCTCAGGTGGCCTTGGTGGCCACCAAATTAGGAAAAATGAAGAAACTTGTGTGGACAAGGGATGCATGCTTGGATGAAAGACAAGGGATCCAAAGGGAAGGAGACAGCCAAGGGGCCTGTCAGGGTGACCCACAGACAAATGTGATGTAACCTGGTAGTAGCAGGGACACCTTTTCATTAAACGGCTTAAACAGCCTAATGCTGTTCTGGTGGGATGATGGCCAAAGCGCAAGCCAGAAAACAGTGCTTCACTAAGGAGCTTCAGGTTCAGCCAGCTGCCCCCTGTGCAGAGGGAATGGCAGGTGCCAACCCCTTTAGACTAGGATGAAGGCCAAGGCTCCAGAATTCTGATAAGAGAAATGGTGTCCAGGTGTCTGGGGACCAGAGGCCACAGGTAGAACTAACTACATATTGGTCCCCTAAGAATAAATAGACTGTGCTTGTCCTGGTGGATACTGGAACCGAATGTACTCTCACATATGTTAACGTTTATCAGTTCCAAGGGTCTATAACAGCAATAGATTGGTGGGGGCCATGAAAGTCAGGCAAGTTGACTAGTGTGACAAGTTGAGAGACTGCCACCAAAACTGTATTTAGTATACACAGCTCCCATCCCAGAATACCTTTTGGGAATGGCTATATTATCATGCCTGACCCTCCAAACAACTGCTGGGGGATTCCGACTGAGAATTGGGTGTGAAGCATGTGATTGGGAGAATGAGAAATGGGCACCAGGACAGTTGCCAGTCCCAGGGTGAGTAGTAGCTCTGAAGCAGTACCGTCTGCCGCAGGGCATGATGAGATCACAGGGCTGTTAAGGAGCTAGCCTGGGTAGGCATTAGAAGGCCAGCACTCAGCCCATACGGCAGCCCTATGTGGCCTGTGTAGAAGCATGATGGGACGTGGAGAATGAAAGTAGATGACCAGGAATTAAATAAGATGGTCCCCTCAATGTATGCAGCTATTCCCAATATCACCTCCTGTATTAGGCCATTCTTGCATTGCCATAAAGAAATACCTGAAAAGGGGTAATTTATAAAGAAAAGAGGTTTAATGGACTCATAGTTCTACAGGCTTTGCAGGAAATGTGCTGGCATCTGCTCAGCTTCTGGGGAGGACTGAGGAAGCTTACAATATGGTGGAAGGTGAAGCGGGAGGCACATCACATGGCCAGAGCAGGAGCAAGAGGAGTAGGAAGGGAAGTGCCACACACTTTTAAACAATCAGATCTCATGAGAACTCACTGTCAGAGGACAGTTTCAAGGGGATGGTACTAAACCCTTCATGAGAAATCCACCCCCATAATCCAATCACCTCCCACCAGGCCCCACCTCCAACAATGGGGATTACATTTCAACATGAATTCTGATGTGAACACAGATCCAAACCATATCACCTCCCTCCTGATGAGGACAGGAGAGGCCCTGGGCACATACCATTTTGTTATCGATTTAGCCAATGCCTTCTTCAGCATCCCCATTTCCGCAGAGAGTCAAGGCCAACATGCATTCACCTGGGAAGGAGAATAGACCTTTACCCTCTTATCCTAGGAAACTGTCCCAGAGGGGGTATGTGGTTTCCATTACGTTGATGATACCATGCTAACTTCAGAGTCTTTTCCAGTTTACAAACTATGCCCCAACCCTGCTGCCTCAATCGGCCAACAGAGGGTGAGCAATTGGCACAAAGTCCAGGGTCCACGCTTGTCAGTCAAATACTTGGATGTCATCTGGTCAGGTGAGACTAAAGTCATTCTGTGTGTGGTTATGGATATGGTGCAGGCTTATCCACATCCCACTGCACCAAAGCAGAGTAAACCTTCCTAGGCCTTCTAGGGTAAGGGCTTCCTTCTATTCCTCATCTGGCCCAATTCCTTAGGCCCCCATACCACTTAGTCAAGAAAGGCGCCTGCTAGGAGGGGCCCACGAGAGAGGATGCAGCTTTTGAATGAGCTAAAGCTGCAGTGAAACAAACACAAGCCTTGTGGGTTCTAGTGCAGGGACAATCCCTGAATTAGATGTGGCCGGTTATCCTGAGGGGTCTGAGTGGGGCATGTGGCAAAGGCAAGGACATAAAACTTGTGCCTTTAGGATTCTGGTCCCGGGGGCTGAAGGTGGATTACAATGTCATGGGGCAACAACTCTGCTGCATGTCATGTCTTGCAACTAGTGGAGGATGGTGTGGAGGGTGTCCTCATGCTGATGCACACTCAGAACCCCATGGCAGGTTGGCTGGAGGATGCTTTTCAGAGACTGAGGTCTGGGAATACCCAGACACAGACTGTGGCCAGATGCCATGCATGCCTGCAACAGAAGAGCACATTGACTGGTAGCCCCTTGAGCACCAAGTTCCATTTGGTGCTTGGCCCTGTCACTTTATGTCACAACTGAAGGACAGTCTTTGACAGAGACCACTGGACTCTACAGGTTCCCCCCTTCATACAGGAGGACAGGGCCCAATTCCTGACACACCTTTGCCCCAGCCTGGGGCTCAAGGCAACCTGCTGTTGCCCTTACCACATGACCTGCCCACCAGGGACCACATCATTAAGTAGCCCCAGAAATAGCAAACCAGCCCCTACCAGTTCAGTTTTCTCACCCCATGGGGGAAGGGCCTAAAACAGGTGATATAGGTCACACCTATTTTGTACCCTACTCGCACTCTGGGATGGTGAGTCCCCTTGTGCAGGGGGCCGATCATCCTCTCATTGTGGAACATTGCAGTGTCCTGGTATCTTGCTCTGGCCTTCTGCCACGTGTCACAGAAGGGGAAAAATCCATTTGGACAATAAACCAGGCATCAGACCAGGGGTGGTGTTCTCTCAGAAAGACATAATGATATGGTTTGGCTGTGTCCCCACCCAAATCTCACCTTAAATTGTAATAATCCTCACACATCAAGGGTGGGGCCAGTTGGAGATAATTGAATCATGGGGGTTGTTTTCCTGATACTGTTCTCATGGTAGTAAGTCTCACAAGTCCTGATGGTTTTATAAATGGGAGTTCCCGTGCACAAGCTCACTCTTGTCTGCTGCCACGTAAGACGTGCCTTTACTCCTCCTTGCCTTCTGCCATAATTGTGAGGCCTCCCCAGCCATGTGGAACTGTGAGTCAGTTAAACCTTTTTTCTTTATAAATTACCCAGTCTTGGGTATGTCTTTATTATCAGCATGAGAACAAACTAATACATACAACTTCCTGTGTCTTGCTAAATGGCCATGTTTCTTGCACCCACTAAACATCTCACCATCCACCCGTTGATGGTGTGCAGCAAACTTCTTTGCCAACTGGCCACAGAAGATGGCCTTTCTTGAGAACAAAACAGAATTTCAGGCCTGCAGAGAGCTGCCCCCTCCTCCTCCACAGGCCTGCCATGGCGCATCCAAGATCTACTCCCTAGTGCTTGGATGAGCTTCGTCATTATTGTGTTTGTTGTTCTTTTTGTAGTTGTAGATTGTATTGCTGCTGCTGGCACCTGGCTGCAATGCTCCTCAGCATACCTGGCCCAAGGAAAATTGCCGAAAAATGGCATGATAAGAATGTGAGAGCCATGCAAAGTTATGCTGGGTTGGAATGTATGGTAAACTCACCTGATGGCAATGACTTGAGCATGGCCTTAGAATGATGCTGTATGGCTGATTCACCTGAATGTGTGTTCCGAGCCAGGGAATCCAGGAGTGGCCAATCCAAAGATTCCTTCCTTGTCTATGAGAAACATCTGAGCCCCCAGTCTGTCCTGAGGGACATGGGCTGTCCAGGGGATGGAGGCCCTGAGTTTTGGGTTGGATGAAGGTTGCTTAGGTTTTCACTACTTACCCTGCTCAAGGAGTCTTGACTCCTTCCTGATTTGAGGACCCATCTTCCTGGAAGAAAAAATATATATATGCAACAAAACATAGGATTTGGGAAATTATTCAAATAGTTTCTGAGTTGAAGAGAATTCCACTTGCCCTCATCAGTTATATTTACAGCACAATGAGCTCAGTTCTCCTTATTTTACAGACAAACTGACGTGTAACTGAAAAATGATGTTCAGAAAGTACTGTTGCATTGGGCCTGCTGATTTGATGACATGGAAAGTCCTGACCACATCCAAATCCATTGCCCTTCTTCAGATCTGTCCCATTAAAATGTCCGAGGGCCCACGATGCTCATCTCTATTTAAATATTTTGTTGTTCCTTTGGGACATAAATAGGAAAGGTTTCTCAAAATTTCAGCTGACTACACTCAGATCCCCTCATGCCAGACCTCACATACTATGATGTAGCATTTTGTAGATAACATGGACAGACACCCACCCTGTCTGCCTGATGTAGTAAATAACTTTACCCGTCCGCTGATCTTGGATTTGACTGCTGATGCTTGCCTGAAGCCTGGGTACTCTCCAGCCTGTCAGTTCAGCTGGGATGATACTAATGAAGCTGTAGCTACAAACTCAGCTCCCCTGGGGACTCATTAGCTTCAGCAGGAAAAAAAAAAATGTTCTAAATTTTCCTCATAGCCCCAGCCATCTATTTTGGAAGCACACCCACTGGGGAACAAGGGGCATTCTACATCATTCTCCCTGTATGTAATCCCTCTTCTTCCCAACAAAGCTTCTTGCATGAGAGGTTTAGACTCGCCAAGCCACCTTATCTCTCAGTTATTTCTTAACTGTCTGGATTTCTTCCTCTTTCCAACATCATTGAAACAATTCCTGCTAAAACCATCAGCAATCGGCTAACTGCCCTGAAATAAGGACTTTTCAGGGCCAATCCATTTCTCCAGAGAGGAAAGAAGAAAAGACAAACATAGTTCCTTCAAAGAAGATAAATGAGCCCTAGTGGATGCTATGCAGCCAGAGTCCTCCCAGCTGCTGGGACATCTGGGGGCTGAAAGCTATCAGCTGAGTTGCTCTTTGGCATCTGTGTCAGCTAAGGAACTTGTTGCTGTCTTGCCCAGTTTTTTGCCTTTCTTGGGACAGCCAGCATCCAATAACTGGTTGTTGGGACATGGGTATAAAAGTCCAGCCCTCTTGCCTTAAATCATGACAACTCTGAAGGGCCATTCTTGTTCCCAAGCTCCTTGTAGGATCAACTGAAAACTTTGTTGTTACTGCCCTGATATGACATCATCCCTTGAGGAGACTGGCCATATAGTGACAATGTGAGTATATTGGTCGCTATAGGACATGAGTCCTATATAACATCACATTGGACCAAAGAACATTATTACGGTATCTCTGGGTCCCATTACTTACCACACTTTTCAGAAGCTAGAGGCCTGATAGAGCAATAGCATGGACTTTTGAAGGTGCAATTAAGGTGCTGACTTGGAGATTATACCCTGCAAATGTGCCCCCTCCCCCAAGATTCAACATATATTCTAAATCAGTTACGATTCTACAATGTTGGGTCTCCAGTATGCAGAATACACATATCCAGAACCAAGGGGTGGAAGGAGAAGTGGCTCTGGCCACCCTCGTGCCCAGCTATGTACATAAGTCTAGTTTCTGTGGATTAAAAGGTCCTAGTTCCCAGGGTGGAAATACCTGCACCAAAAGGCAAAGCAAGAGTCCCATTAAACTTTAAGCTACTAGGCTGTACCAAGGCACTTCAGGTTTCTCATGACAAGAGACAAGAAGGCAAAGCAGGTTTTCCCCATCTTGGGAGGAGTGCTTGATTCTGATCCTCAAGAGGGAGTAAGGCTGCACAGTGGGAAGAAGGAAGAATATGTTGGGCACCCAGGTGACCCACTAGCGTGTCTCTTCACGCTTCCTTGCTCGATTTTGACAGTGAACGGATACATGCAGCAGCCACAGCCTGAGAAGGGCATATTGAGCAGTGTTCAGACCCCTCAGGGTTGAGAGTCTGGGTCATTTACTGAGTGAACCACCTAAACCAGCAGAAGAGACAGCTGAGGGTGAGATACACCTAGCATGGCAGATCAAGTGTGACTTCAAGACCACCTATAGTGATGAAGCCTGTCACTCATCCCATTCACCTTTTTCTTGTAGGTTTTCTCAGGGAAAGAGATCAACCAGAATTCTGAGGGAGTTGTTTCCACGACTTGTTACATGAAAAAAATCGGATCCCAGCAGCACAGGGGGTGGACTGGAAAGCATGTTTTAATGCAGCACCCAGATCCTCCCTCTCAGGGTGGTCACCCATTCACCTAATTGCTTGGAGTGGTGGTAGCTGAAGACTTTCAGTTCGGTTGCCCTCCAGAAATTGTCCTATGTTAAGTAGAGCAACCCCACACCAGAGAATGCTGTCTTTTCACTTGCAGTGCATGTCCAGTGACTGCTTCATCCTAGGAAGGTATAAAGAACCAGCTCCTCTAAGCTGGGCGAGGTGGCTCATGACTGTAATCCCAGCACTTTAGGAGGCCAAGGCAGGCAGATCACTAAGGCCAGGAGTTTGAGACCAGTCTGGCCAACATGGTGAAACCCCGTATCTACTAAAAATGTAAAAATTAGCTGGGCATGATGGCGCATGCCTGTAATCCCAGCCACTCTGGAGGCTGAGGCATGAGAATCACTTGAACCCAGGAGGTGGAGGTTGCAGTAACCCAAGATTGCCCCACTGCACTCCAGCCTGGGCAGTATCAAAAACAAAAAAACAAAACAAAACAAACAGCCCCTTTGCCTCAAGACATGACAACTCTGAAAGGCCATCCCAGTTTCTGAGCTCCCCATGGAATGGGACAAAGTCTTTGTGACTGTATCACAGTCCAACTCCTCCCTCTGATCAACCCTGCTTTTGCCACTCCCCTGTGGGTACTGATATTGGCCACACTCCCCAAAGAACTTTCTACCCACCAGTCTCTTAGAGTCTGTTTCCTAGGGAACCTAAGACTGGAGTTTTAATATTGGAAGATGCTATAATATAGTGTTCAGGGGCATGGATTTTGAAGTCTCATAGAGCTAGTTCACATCCCAGCTTTCTGTTGTTTTAAGCTACCAAGTTTGTGGTAGTTTTTATGACACTGTTCCATAAACTACGAATCTGTGAACGCTTAAGCAAGATGCTTCTATTTTCTAAGCTTCTGTTTCTGCATCTATAAAATGACAATAATGTGGGACTCAAAGGGCTATTGTTAATGAGCAAATTAGATACAATGAATTTCTTAGCACAATGCTTGGCCATAATACTCCAGAAATGGAAGCATATATATTTAAGTGCATCTCGTGTTGCGTTCCCTCTGGAGCAGACCCTGTGCCAAATATTTGAGTGCGGGTAGTTTATTGAAGAGGTGATCTCAGGAAGCATCCATAGTGGAGAAGGGAAGTGAGATGCAGAAAGGAAGGAAGCCAATACTGAGTACATTAACGTGAAAGTTACTGCTGTGGGCAATTAAAGCTTGGTCCCACTAGGGACCTCTGAAAGACTGAATAGAACTTGCTTTTCTCAAGTGGAACCACCAGAGTAAGAATCTAAGGTATTGGCCCCCAACTTCTATTCAACATCTTCTCCCCAGGGCATTAACGCTTTGATGTTTTTAGTTGGCCTCATCTGCCCCCGGGCCAAACACAATGCAGCAAGCAGAGAAAGCCCTTAGGCAGAGAGTGAGAGGTGCATACAGGTAGAAGCCATTGGTGTGTATGAGAGTGGTGAGTGCTGAGGGAATATGGATAGGATGATGACAGCATTTGCTGTGACATGTGTCTGCACATATTATACAGTACCAGCAACCTCGTAGCTTTCACCGTATTTATTAACTTTCCTCTTCTCTTGGTTCCTTCACTGTCTTATATTTTGGGGGTGTAGTGAGTTGGATGATGTCTCCCCCAAAAGATATGTTCATGTCCTAACCCCTGGAACCTGTGAATGTGAACTTATTTGGAGAAAGGGCCTTTGCAGATGTCATTAACTTAAGGATCTTGAGATAAAATCATCCAGGTGGACCCTAAATCCAATGACAAATGTCCTTATTACAAGAGAGAGGCAGTGGGAGTTTTGAGACAGAAGAGGAGACGCAATGTGACCACAGAGGCAGAGTTTGGAGTGATGTGGCCGAAAGCCAAGGAACTCTTGGAGCCACCGGAAGCGGCAGGGAGGAATATTCTGCTGGAGCCTTCAGAGAGGACCTGCCAAGTCAGACGTCTCACTTCCAGAACTGGGAGAGAATGGATTTCTGTTGTTTTAAGCTACCCAATTTGTGGTAATTTTTATGACAGCCCTGGAAAACTAATACAGGGAGTTTCCGGGAACTTGTTTCTGACCCATCTTCAGAGAGTGCCAGCAGCCTTTGTAGCAGTTGAGTTTTCAGGGAGTGGCTTGCACACAGACTGTCTCTCCAGTCATAACCAGGTTTTTTGCTTGGGGGACCTGCACCAACTGTATTTCCCAGAAGTGCTTTAGGAATTGAGATCCAGGAGATTCTAGACCCTGGGCCCCTGGCTCCAGACTATAGGTGTAGCCCTTCTGTGAAGTTCACTGGACATTTCAGAAAAGCCAGAGGACACAAGATCTCTTCTATACTGAGAAAGCTTGAAAAAAAAATGAGTTAAATTAAAGCTAATCAATGAAGCTGATTATTCAAAAACACTTCAAAATTTTTCTGCAAAATGATGCACAAATTAGATACTTATTCCACAAACACTGATCAGCTTCTGCAGTATGCCAAGAATTTTGCTGGGTGCTAATATCTCACAGGCAGGAATCCTCAAGGAAAAGTAATGGTGAATTTATTAAATACACAGGTACTGAGGCTCATATTTCTACTCCTGGCAAAGGCTATGCCTGTGGTATGTCAGGGTGGAGAAGATCTACTTTGGCTCTCTTCAGAGAGTTCCGGCTATCTGGCCCTTTACTTGGAATTCCTGCTGTTCCTGAAATCCATCTGGTTCTGGATGGGACATCTGAGATGTACTGGGAAAGCACTATCCCCAGGTGACATTGGATGCAGAGGCTACAATGCCCGCGGAGCCCCACTCACATTTTAAAGGATGGCATCTCCATACTTGAAATAGGAGAAAAATATGACCCTTCTCACCCGTCCTTCCTGGACCAGCTAGTACAACCTCTTCCAAAATGCTTCCCAGACTTTTCTGACCCAGTTAATCCATCCACCTATGGTACTCTGAGCTGAACTACCAATGCTGAACATTTAGATTGTTGCTTAACTGCTTTGTTAACTGTTATCCCCCCCAGACAGTTGATGAGCACCTGGAAAGCAAGAACATTGTCCTAGCTCACTTGAATACTAATAGGTATCCAATAATTTGTTTGAATGAATATTGAATGAAATTCATTCAACAGTTGAAAAAAATGAATGCATCTTGACACTTCTCTGCTCTAAGCCTCCCACTGTTTCCCTTCACATCCACAGGAGAAGCCAAGGTCAAGGTCATTACAGCTGCCCACAGGGCCCGCTGTGACCCAGCCACCTGCTCCCGTCAGGACCTCACCTCCTATCAGTCTTCCCCTTGCTCACTCTGTGGCCTTCTTGCTGTTCCTTGAACACACCAAGCACACCCTTTCCTCAAGACCTGGTGAGGGTTGCTAGATTCAGCAAACCAAAATACAGCACTCCTGGTTCAAGTAGAATTTTAGATAAACTGACTTAATATATCTTATGCAATATTTAGGATATACTTACACTAAAAAAACTTGCTTTTTATTTGATTTCAACTCAAACCAGCATCTTGCATTTTATCTGGCAGCCCTACGTTCTGGTTCCTCTTCAGGGAACAGTCTTTTGCTAGATGACCATGTGGCTCAGTCCCTAACTTCCTTCTGATACCACCATAGTGCAGAGGCCCACCCTTTGCAGCATGTCTAAAAGAGCACACCACCATCACCAGCTCTATCCCTCTTCATCCCTGTTTCCAGACTTAGTCTTCTTAGCACTATGAAAACTGGACAGTATATTTCTACAGGCTCTTTTCTGTTTTACTTCACTCTCAAGTAAACCCCACATGAGCAGGGACTTGTGTCATTTACTGATGTATTCAGTAAACACCTGGGACAGTCTGGCACAGCGAGCCCTTAGTGACTACCTATTGAATGGCTTTAAATTTGAATGGCTTTTAATTTTCTTTAAAAGGTTAATTCCTTGGTTATTAAAAAGTCAGATGGTGGCGAGGTTGCAGAGAAAAGAAAACTTATTTTATTTTACTTTAAGTTCCAAGATACATGTGCAGAACGTGCAGGTTTGTTACATAGGTAAACATGTGCCATGGTGGTTTGCTGCACCTATCAACCCATCACCTAGGTATTAAGCCCTGCATGCATTAGCTATTTGTCCTGATGCTCTCCCTCCCCACGCCCAACAGGCCCCAGTGTGTGTCATTCCCCTCCCTGTGTCCATGTGTTCTCATTGTTTAGCTCCCACTTATGAGTGAGAACATGTGGTGTTTGGTTTTCTGTTCCTGCATTAGTTTGGTGAGGATGATGGCTTCCAGCTTCATCCATGTTCCTGCAAAGGACATGATCTCATTTCTTGAGAAAAGGAAATATTTATGCACTGCCGGTGGGAGTGTATATTACTTTAGTCATTGTGGAAAACAGTGTGGTGATTCTTCAAAGAACTTAAAACAGAATTACCATTCAACCCAGTAATCCTATTATTGGGTATACAACCAAAGGAATAGAAATCATTCTACCACAAGGACACATGCATGCAATTGTTCACTGAAGCACTGTTCACAATAGCAAAGACATGGAATCAACCTAAATGTCCATCGACAGTTGACTGGATAAAGAAAGTGTGGCACATTTACACCATGGAATTCTATGCAGCCATAAAAATGAATGAGATCAGGTCCTTTGAAGCAACATGGATGGAGCTGGAGGCCATTATCCTTAGCAAACTAACACAGGAACTGAAAACCAAATACTGCATGTTCTCATTTATAAGTGGGAGCTAAACAACAAGAACACATAGACATTAAGAGGGGAACAACACACATGGGGTCCTACTTGCGGGTGGAGCAGGGAGGACAGAGAGGATCAGAGAAAATACCTATTGGATACTATGCTTATTAACTGAATCATGAAATAACCTGTACAACAAACCCCTGCGACACGCAATTTACCTATATAACAAACCTACACTTGTACCCCCAAACCTAAAATAAAAGTTAAAAACTAAAAAATAAACCAAAAACATGTTAATTCTTATAGAGACTTTTGGGAGGTAAATTTCCAAGTTTAAAATGTTAGTATGATTCCCCCTTTAAGAGAATGACTCCCTCTCACTCTCCCCCATCCATCCTGACAGACCTTCTCAATAAGAAAACATCTCAAGTGAAAACGGAATTGGCCTTGACTCTTGGGCTTCTTTGGTGCAGTCTTTTCCCTCCTTTGTTCTATGCTGAATGCCAGCTTGGAAACATACATATTACTTATTTAGAAGTCACAGGAAAACATTTAAGTTCTCATCCTTAGGTTGGCAGAAAAGTCCACTGATACTTGAATCAGAAGACATGTTTGACCTTGAGTTTTCCCTGCAATGTTGTGTGAGCCAGTTTATCTGTAACTGACAATCTGAAGAAGGCAACGATGAACATTAGTGACTGAGGGGATGACCCATGCTATTCCATCCCATGTTCCACTTTTCTACTTGGTCCTTGCCCAGAGATATGAAGAGAAACTGTTCTCTGTTTTATTGTAGAATTCAGCTGTAAAGGAAATTTTAGCTGTTATAACAAGCTGCCAGATGAGGCACACTATTCTCATTTCTGTTTCTTAAACATTTGAAGGATGAGGCATTGCTTGTAAGCATCTAATAGGCAATACTCTGGCTTCAGAGAAGTTGACAATAAGGAGAGGCAATCTCAGCTCACCCAGCCAGTATCCAACAGAGCACCTTTTGCCTTCTGAATCTTTGCCCAGAGCAGATGCATGGGCCAGAATTGTGTTGGGTCAATCTGGACAAAATGGGCTTAGAACCTACAGCTCTCTGATACTCTAATAGTAGAGTCTTTGAGATTTTCTTCTGCCACCACCACCACCCAACCACCACCACCACCACCATATTAGGCCAGGTTTCATCACCATATGCTTGACATCCTGCCAATCAACACATGATTCCAGGCTCTGAAACTAATCATGATTTCTCTCACTTGTTCAGCAATTGTTAGTTTGTGGTACTCTAGGTTTCTGCCCCATCAGGAGTCTTCTGCCTGGCTTTCAAACCCTCCATCATCTACCTTCTACTTACCTAATCAGCCCCTGCCCCCATCTCCCTAATTTTTAGCTTCTTTTCTAGTCTATATCCACCTCCAGGTAACTTTCAGAGTGTTTCTTTTGCCACCTTTATATGCTGAAAACCTGTCCAGCCTTCAGGATATACTTCAGCCTTTACTTATCTCTCCTTGCCCTAAAACTCCACATTTATCATTTGAGTAGATACTTGCTGCATTTTAATGTTTTCTGTTCCTTTTCTCCGCAACTAAATTGTAAGTGTCTTAAGATCTGGAATAAAGATATGAAAAATGAAAACTATATCTGATTATTGATTAATTTCCAAATGGCCTCAATGGCAAAGTTAGCACCACACCTAAGTTGATAGCTATGCGTTTGGTTCTCTCCTACAAACAATAAGTAAAGGAAACGTCATTGTGGGTTCAATGGCTTCCTGACACGGGACTTTAAACAAGCTTATGTGACCATTTGGAGAATCTGAAGCAACTTGACCCCAGCACAATAAAAGCTGGTCTATAGCCTCTTTTGAGGAATCTGAATATTTATGTGGTAGACACTGATGATATGTTATCCTAAATTCTTGTAATAATCTCGAATTGTTAACAAAAGGATTGTTATCTCACTCTAAGGTTAAAAACAAGCTTAGACAGGTCAGAAAGTGCGTCCAAGTTCACACAGTTGGTCAACGGTGAAGTCAGGATGAAGACACGGTGGGTTAACTTTCAGACCCTTAAGCTGTGGCTTCCAAGGCACCTTCCATTCATACCACAGGTATTCTAGATTTCAAGCACCGACACCATCAGGGTAGAAATGGATGAACAAAAGTGTGGACTCAGAGGAGCTATCTGCCAAGTGCTGAAATACACTGGCAGCATTGTACACCTAAGAGCTAGTCAATAACATTATTTCTTTACATTTCTATGGATGTTTGAAAAAACTAAATTCACAAAGCCTTCAGAGAACCCTGGATTCGCTCAAAATTTTGACATGCTGAACTTGATAGTGCTCAGGAAATATTAAACATCTAAATATGATTGATTATTCTCCTGAGGAAGGAAAAAAATCAATGATTTACTTTTCCTCCAGTTTGCTAGAGTTTTCTTTTTTCAAGGCCTTCCTTTGAATGTCTAAATGCTTAATACAAATAAGTCCTAGAAACCTACATAACTGTCTTACAGTTGTGTTAAAAAAAAATACGTGGTTCAGGCCGGGTGTGGTGGCTCATGCCTGTAATCCTAGCACTTTGGGAGGCCAAGACAGGCAGATCACTTGAGGTCAGGAGTTTGAAACCAACCTGGCCAATGGGGTGAAACCCCATCTCTACTAAAAATACAAAAAAGTTAGCTGGGTGAGGTGGTGTGTGCCTGTAGTCCCAGCTACTCGGGAGGCTGAGGCAGGAGAACCTGTAGGCAGAGGTTGCAGTGAGCCAAGATCGCACCACTGCACTCTAGCCTGGGCAACAGAGGGAGAATCTGTCTCAAATATACGTATATATGTGATTCAGTAGCCAAAAAGTAGCTTAATGGAAATTCTACTCTTTGCTTGCATGTCTCAGGGAATATCAGAAGGGATCAGATTGCTAAACCATGGCCTCTCATCCTCATTTCTTTTCTATACAGAAGTTACGCCAAAGCCTCTCATTTGTCACATCCCCAAAATTCTTTCTGACATTCAACCCACAGCAATTCTCTGTGTTCCAGTTCTCTCCTCTCTAGTTCAGTATTCCTCTCCACCCATTCTAGTTTGGCATCACAAAACAGCAACAACCAAAACCAGACTAGCAGAGGTGTGATATTCCCACCTATGGGAAATTAATAATGGCATCGATTTTGCATGCGTCTCTCTATCCACACTGTTTGCAATGTGACTTTGTAGCGCCTCCTGACAAGGGGTGGAAATGACTACATGCTTGCTCTGAGCTCAGACCTCAAGAGGCCTTGCATACTCTTCCTTTCTCTCTCTCTCTTCTGCTCTTCCTCTTTCTCTCCCCTTCTCTTTCTCCGTCTCCCTAATAACCCTGACATAGTTATTGAAGATGAGAAGAGGACAGCCTACTTGTCCCAGCTGAAAACATCCCAGACCAACATACAACCAACCAACCCAAACACATGAGAGTACGCCAGCTGTCAGCTGGTCCACCAACTCATCATAGATGTATGAGCAGGTCCAGCCAAGAGCAGAAGCAGCACCAGGCCAAACCACAGTTTCGTGAGCTAATTAATGTTTAAGTTAATTAATGTTTAAGCTGGTTTAAGCCATTCCTTTATGGAGTGGTTTGTTACACCACACTAGATAACTGATATATTTGTAAAAGAGGAGACAAATCAGAGCTAGGAGCAGAGGGGAAATAGGGAATACTTGCCTGTGAATAAACTGTGCTTGCGTTGAGTGGAAGCTGATATTTATCTGTGAGAGTTCCTAACAGCAACACTAGGGTTCAGTGTTACGTTTTCTTCTTTTAGTCTCACCTACCAAACTAACTCGGGTAGAACTAATGTAAATGTAAAAACTATCCATAGATTTCCTATTGCAAATGTGGACATTTTTCTAGCCCTTACTTGACCATAATAATTTAATCTGCAATCTTCTCTACAATCCAAAGCAAAGGTCTTTTTCCACCATTCATGTGGCTTCTGGTCAGAGTCCATTGCTTAGGGATTTTGCTGAAAGCAGTGCCTACTGTGTCAAAGAAGCATTTATCACAATCTGTGAAAGGTTTATGTGTAAGCAAAAGCAATGTGTATGTCACTGGGTCCTGACAGAGCTGTAATAAAATCTACATATTGGCTGTATCCACTTAGGATATATTTCCCTTCTGAGAATATTTGTTTGCTTTCAGATATTTTGGACATAAATTGTTTTGAAGTTAGGGTGTACACTTCTGAGGCATTGCCAAACAAGCTGCTTTCATTACATCCAAATTCTACCCCCATAAGAGAGTCTATAGCTAAGTTTTTAAAAAGTAGAGCTACAACATAATGATGATGATAAAACATTTTCTCAAGATTTAACAAACACACAAACTTCAAGATAAATTGGATTAGGAAATTCTGTGTAATGTCACCATCTGGTTGCTCCTGCAAAATGTTACAACTGTCTCGATGCCAATAATCAACATTTTATTAATGCCTTAAAGCAAGAAAAGATCATTTTTTAAAGGACCTAAGAGAATTGTTTTGCAGTCTTTAATAGTCTCATGAAGGACAGCATATCAAAGTATCTTTGGGGATGCTTTGCTTCCAACACAGAAATCAACTGTAACTAAATTAAGAAAAAGAAAAACTTATTGAAAGGATACAGGCTCTCATAATCATAAAAGGAAAAGCTTGAAACACACACACACACACACACACACACACACACACGCAGATTTCGGAAAGGGCTAAGAACAGAGTAGCTTCAGGTACAAAGGTGTCAGAAACTATTTAATGAGTCACCTCAAATTGCCATTGTCATGAAGAACAATCTCCAGCTGTTTTCCGTCTTTTTGCGCCATATTGCTTAAGATTCCAATTGCAGGAGGAGAGTATCTACTTGGCCTAACTTGCGTCAGCTACTCAATCTTGCCCAAGGGAGGGCTGGGCCACCTTGATTGGCAGTACCCCCAGGACTGCTTCCAATGGAATCAAGTGTGTGGGAGAGAAGGAGGTAATTCCCAAAGCAACATCAAGGTTCTGCAACTTGAAGAATGAAAAATGAGCACAGGAAAATGAAGCAATAGAAACCTCCCACAGAAGCCCATGCTCAAAAGACTGGCAAACCAAATAAAACCTGAAGTCAAGACCCCATCTCCCATTCCTCTACTATCTTCCACTCTATGTGGAGACTTGTAAATAGCCTTAAAAAACACTCCATGGACAGTGCCTGGGGTGGAGGTGGTGGATAAAATATTTTAATGACAATTTAAAAGGAGAGAGCGTATTAATTTTCAACTTAATTGGACACTAACTCTCATCATCCAGAAGCAGGGTGAAAAAGAGAATAGAGGTTATGGTGAAGTGAAAGTGAACACAATGCAAGGCAAAGAAGAAAGAAATAAAGTCACTGTCAGAAAAAAAAACCATGATAATTATTACTTCCCTATGAAACTACACAGACTAGATGGACTCAGAATGGGTGTTTGCCTGTGTTAATGTCACTGCATTCTATGCCTTAAATGTACCTTCAAGGATCCCTAGGACAATCCCAATTTTTGTACCTTCTGGTCTGGGTCTCTTTGGCCTATTTCTATACTCTCTTCTTTGTATCTAACCTGGCTCTTTCCTCTTATAACTTATTTAATTTATTCTTGTGCTATTATTGGCAATGGTGGAGAATAACATGTCACAACCCTTCCTATAAATATCTTCTCATATGCTTGCAGTTCGTAAACCTATTCTCAATCCTGCTATGAACCAAGTAGTATGATTCAACAACCTTCTCCCACCAGTCCTATGTACTGAGCCTTTAACAAGGTTTTCTGAAAAGAGAGGTGTCAATTTCACTGTGTTCCCAGAAGTGACAGGGGTCTATTTTTTCTCCATTCAGAGTGGAAATAATAAAAAGAGGAAGAATCACAGTGAATTGATTTGGGGGTTGATCACCAACCCTTCCTTAAAAATGTGTACATGTGAATGTCCTTTCACACAAATGCAATCACAGAATTTCCCCGGAGCACATTAGACCTGGTGATATGTTAGACTCTCAGCATACCAGATTGGTGGGGAAAAGGCTAAAGTCATAACAAAAAGGAACCAGAGCAAGGCCAGGGACAGCTCCTACCCCAGTTAACCAGTTATGAAGCATAACAATATCCGGAAATAGTTATATGTGCTGGACCTTATGCCAAGTGTTATATATGAATGATCTCATCTAATTCTCTTACCCACTTTTGCTTTAGAGTTATTTTTCTTACCTACAGATGAAGAAACTAGGGTTCATAAGGTGAAGAAATGCATTCAGGATTACACTTGTAGGAAGTATCAGAGCCAGAATTGACACCAGGTCATCTGGTTCCAAGGCTTAGGCTGGAAATCACCATATTCTCAAGGGCCATGATACCCGATGTTGGAGCTGGAGAGGGAGTGCCCAGTCTGGTAGGCAGCTGCCTAGGGGATCTGGAGGAAGGTGGAAGACCAGGATCCCAGGAGGGTATGGGGGGTTCCAGTTAAGCCTGCCAGGGCTTGGGCCGGCCTCACATCTCAGCAGGAAACTATATGCCAAGCAGTATCAGAGCCTGACTGCCTTAGGCATGCCCATTGTAAAGACTGGAGACCTGTTACCTGCTGGGCCATTCAGGCAGAGTTTGTCAGCCAATAAGAGGCAAGCCTGGCAACACATCCACAGCTCCCAAACCCTAGGGCCCTGCTCAGTAACTGGCCCAGAGCCTAGATTAAAAAAAAAAAAATTACCAAAGAGTCCCTGAGCCTGCTGTGTACTTCCTACATGAGCTACAGCACCACTCACAACCAACACTACGTCCCAATCACTATGTCCAGCCAGGTTCCTGATGGGTCCTCCATTTCCTGCTGGACCAAAACCCTAAAAATATCCCCAGTGTCTTCCTACCCCTTTCTCTCTCCAGTGAGCTGAATCCTGGCCCTCAACCCGCAGTCATTTGTCAGTAATACTGGTTCATTCCAAATGCACCTTCCCTGGATTCAAAATAGTACTTTCCATTGATGCTGGCTGCCATGACCACTCAGAGATCTTACCACCCTTAGCCATCAAACCGGACCACTTGGCTACTGTTACCAGCCCAGATTAAACCCCATCTCACTCGGTGATTAAGGTGGCTGGCTACCTCCCCTGGGCAGGCCCTGAAAAGGTCACTCCCAATTCTATCAGTCCCAGTGACCCAGTCCAATATGACTCAGTTTACTCCCCCTCTCTACCAGTTTGTGGGTTTGGGAGTTTCCAAATGCCTGAAGGCCAAGCTCGAACATGTCCTCATAACATAGGAAACAAAGCAGTGTGCAGTTTTATTGGCTGGCTCTACATAGTATGGGGCAGCCTATCATGAGCAGCCACACAGGTTCACAGTAGTCACCTGCATGACTGGTCATCAGCAGACAGGCTAGCATGAGCTGCAGCAGAAGCCCATCTGACTCTCACTATCAGAGCTAAGGATCACAGGAACTAATATGCCTCACTCCCTGTTGCATACCCTCCCACTTCTCAGCATCTATACTGGATGTTTGCTTATTGAGGACCTGTCTCCCCTTGCCTCTGCCCCAGGTGATATGGTTTGGCTGTGTCCCCACCCAAATCTCACCTTGAATTGTAGCTCCCACTATTCCCATGTGTTGTGGGAGGGACCCAGTGGGAGGTAATTAAATCATGGGGACGGGTCTTTCCCATGCAATTCTTGTGATAGTGAGTAAGTTTCACGAGATCTGATGGTTTTATAAAGGGGAGTTTCCCTGCACAAGTTCTCTTCTCTTGCGTGCCGGCATGTGAGACTTGCCTTTCACCTTCCACCATGATTGTGAGACCTCCCCAGCCACGTGGAACTGTGAGTTCATTAAACCTCTTTCTTTTGTAAATAGTGCAGTCTCAGATGTGTCTTTTTCAGCAGCATGAAAATATACCAGGTTTCCCCTGAATATCCACTAGCTTTTCCCACTTTGAAGCTGCATCTCTTCTCTGCTCTTGTTTTTGGAAAATACTGTTATAAAAGCCTTTTTTGTGGCTGTCCCCATGGACCATCTCTGTGTGGGTGGCACTGCTCCATTCAGGCACCAGGCTGTTAAAGCTGATGGCTTCACTCATTCTGGGCAACACTGGACCACTCCAGGCAACCCTCACAATCTCAACCTGGCTGCTGCCCAGTAGCTCTCAGAAACTTGAATGAAAGAAGCTGTTATTCCAGAGGTCTATGATGATTTCTCTGGAGCCAGGGCTATCAATGGGCTGAAAATGGGCTTCAGGAGTCTATAAACAAGAGTCACCTGTACTAGTAAAATAATTTTTAGATGTGCATTTTTCTGAAAAGAGACTGCATAGCTGTCAGGATATTCTCTCTCTCACCTGCTCTTCCTAAGTCCTAGCAGTATTGTCCCCTGGGATATTTGGCCGCTGGCATTCCTCCACCATCATTCTGATCCAAACTCTGAGAACTGCTACCACAGCTTCCCAGTGGCCTTCTGGCCTATGTTCTTGCCTGCCCCCTACAATCAGACTCGGACACTACAGGAAGCAGGCAAATTAAAACACAAATTTGATTGGGAAGGCCTATTAACTTGAGTGTGTTCTTGTCTTCCACATCCATCCATCCACTGAAATATTTTGCTTTTGCTGCCTAATTTCCTCCCTTTTGCTCTGCCCTCTAATGCAGTTCTGCTTTTTCGGCCCAGTTCCCATGATTGTTGTGATACTGAATCAAGATGAATGTACGGAGAGGTGGTACAAAGAGATGTGAGGAAAAGGGGAGGCAATGGTAGAACCGTGGCCATTCAGCCTGAAAGCTGGGGAGATACTAAAGGTAAAAGAGGGACAGGGGAATGAAGTGAGAGTCGTACAGCTGCCATGGGATTTGAGAGGAGAAAAATGGTGTTTTTAAAGAAGCACTGCTAAGTGTTATAAATCTGGGGTACCCAACCCTTGGGCTTCAGGCTGGTACTGGTCCGTGGCCTGTTAGGAACCGAGATGCACAGCAGGAAGTGAGTGGTGAGTGAACCAGCATGACCACCTGAGCTCTGCCTCCTGTTAGATCAGCAGCGGCATTCAATTCTCACAGAAGCAAGAACACGATTGTGAAATGCGCATGCAAGGGATCTAGGCTGTGAGCTCTTTATGAGAATCTAAGCTCTAAGATCATCATGCCTGATGACCTGAGGTGGAAGTTTCATCCCAAGACCATTCTCCTCCTCTCCACTCCTTGGAAAAATTTATTCCACAAAACAGGTCCCTGATGCCAAAAAGGTTGGGGACTGCTGTTATATCTTGTATTCATCATTGTAGCAGGTAGAATAGTGCCCTCTCTGGAATGCATGTCCAGCTAGAACTTCAGAATGTGGTCTTATTTGGAAATAGAGTCTTTGCAGATGTAATCACTTAAGTGAAGATAAAGTCATACTGGATTAGGGTGGGCCCTTAATCCAATTGTTATGGTTTGGATATTTGTCCCCTCCAAATCTCATGTTGAAATTTGATCCCCAGTGTTGGAGATGGGGCCTAATGGGAGGTGTTTGGGTCATGGGGGTGGATTCCTCATGAATAGATTAGTGTCCTCCCTAGGGGATGAATGAGTTCTCACTCTACAAGTTCCTGAGAGGACTGGTTATTAACAAAGAACTTGGCACCTCACTCCTCTCTCTTGCTTCCTCTTTCACCAGATGATCTCTGCACATGTTGGGTTCCTTTCTGCCTTTGGCCACTAATGGAAGCAGCCTGAGGCCCTCACCAGATGTAGATGCCCAATCTTGAACTTTCCGGCCATCAGAATCATGAACCAAATAAACCATTTTTCTTTATAAAGTACCCAGCCTCAGGTATTCCTTTATAGCAACACAAAGTGGACTAAGACACCAATACTAGTGTCCTTATAAGGCCATCTGAGCACAAAGACATACACAGAGAAAGGCTTGTAAACATGGAGGCAAAGATTGAAGTAAAGAAGCTACAAGTTAAGGAATATCAAGGATTGCCAATAACTGCTAGAAGCTTGGAAGAAGGAGGGAAGGATTCTTCCTTCCACCCTTCAGAGGGATCATGGCCCCAGTGATGCCTTGATTTCAGACTCCTAGCCTCCAGAACTGTGAGAGAACATAGTCATGGACTGTATAATGACTTTTAGGTCAACAACAGACCACATATATGACAGAAATCCTATAAGATTAAAATGGAACTGAAAAACTCCTATCACCTAGTGATGTCATAGCCATCATACATCATAGCCCAATCATTTTATTTTAAAATAAATTTTGTGTAGCCTAAGTGTATAGCACATCCTCAAATAACATCGTTTTGTTCAAAGTCATTTTGTTATAACATTGATGAGAAAAAAATAAAGTCTATTCCCAGCTCAGGCCACTGTCTGTGAGGAGTTCTCACATTCGCCCCACGTCTGCATGGGTTTTCTCCGGGTACCCCAGTTTCTTCTCACATCCCAAAGATGTGAATGTTAGGTGAAGTGGTGTGTCTAAATGGTACCAATAAAATCTACAGTCGTGTACAGTTGTGTCCTAAAGGCCATCATATTCATTTGCCACTTAGTGACTCACCCAGAGCAACTTCCAGTCCTGCAAGCTCCATTTGTGGTAAGTGCCCCATACAGGTGTGTTGTTTTTAAATCTTTTATACCATATGTTAGTGTACTTTTTCTGTGTTTAGATATAGTTAGATACACAAATACTTACCATTGTGTTACAATTGTCTATAGTATTCAGTGTAGTGATATGCTGTACAGGTTCATATCCTAGGAGTAACAGGCTATGCCACATAGCCTAGGTGCCTAATAAGCTATACCATCCAAGTTTGTGTAAGCACACTGTGATGTCTGCACAATGAAATCACCTAATAATGCATTTTTCAGAATGTATTCTCATTGTTAAGTGATACATGACTGTAAATTTCTGTTGCCACCCAGTTTGTGGTAATTTGTTACAGCAGCCTTGGGAAGCTAGTATAGTCATGTTATGCTGCAGTGACAAACACAGTGAAAACTCGGGGCCTTAAAAGGGGGGTTTTATTTCTGATTCATTGAAGTCTGTTGCAGATGAGCAGCCATCTTACACCTTGAAGCTATGCCACTTGGAAAGGTGGCCTCCAACATCACTGTGGCTGATGAAGCAAGGGCCACAGCGTTATACAGAATGTTTTTAAGAAAGAGACCTGGAAATAGCTTACATCATTGCCATCAGAACCCAGTCCCATGATCTCAACCAAACTGCAAGGAAAGCTGGACAATGTAGAGGAGCACATAGATATTGGGTGAGCTTTGATATGGTTTGGCTGTGTCCCTACCCAAATCTCATCTTGAATTGTAGCTCCCATAATTCCCAAGTGTTGTGGGAGGGACTAGGTGGAACATAATTGAATCATGGGGATGGCTTCCCCCATACTGTTCTCATGGTAGTGAATAAGCCTCAGAAAATCTGATGATTTCGTAAGGGGTTTCCCCTTTCACTTGGCTCTCATTCTCTCATCTGCCACCATGATTGTGAGGCCTCTTCAGCCACATGGAATTGTGTGCCCATTAAACCTCTTTTTCTGTATAAATTACCCAGTCTCGTGTATGTCTTTATCAGCAGTGTGAAAACGGACTAATGCAAGTTCTAATACTCTCTGCCTACGATACCCTTTAAAAGGCACAAATAATAAGAACTATCTTTGATTGCATTTCTCTATCAAATGATAGTGTTTTGCATTTGAATGCAATATTATGGCAAGACTGAGTCTTAAGGTACCCAGAGGGAACTGATTAGATCGTATAATCCTATCTTTCCCAGATTAGAGCACTTCGCTGTATTTCTTTTTTCTTCTAGGACAGAGAGAAGAATCCTTACTATGGTCTCCAGGGTCTATCCTAGGTCATCTGGACCTCTTCAGTGTTAGATGTGCCACTCCTCTCTCTGTCTTTCTCCTCCTGTCCCATAGATCTTCTTCAGGTTCCTCCAGGGCACCACACTGCTTCCCACATGGAAGCTTTGCACATGCTGCTGCCCCACACTATTGCAAGGACACTTTCCTCCTCCGCCCTTCACTTTCTGATGTCAGTTCATTCATTGCTTATGAAGTGAAGTCTTACCTTAACAGGGCCTCTTCTCAAGCTAAATTCTATCCTTCAGTTGTTCTCATAAAGTTTCTTATATTTTTTGTTCTTCTTACTGATCATACTTTGTCATTATATGTACGTGTGATTATTTGATCAATGTCTCTGTCTTACTCCCATATTTGAGTAAATATTTGTTAAAAATCAATGAATGAATGAATCCTGGAAAGAGCCTAGGATCTAAAAATATTTAATGACTGCCTTAAAATAGTTTAAAGTAGTGTGTGTTCATTAAGATGCTTTTGGCTGCAAGTAAAGGAAATAATAACTCAAAATTTCCAAGACAAAAAGGAATATTTATCTTATCTGACAAGGGGGACTGGGGTAGGAGGCCTCCTGGGTTGGTGAATTCAGCAGCTCAGTGACATCATCAAAGATGCAGAATCTTTCTATCTTTTGTCTCTTCCACCCTTAGTATGTTGCCTGAGTTCCTCTCATGGTCACAAGTTGGCTGTTGTGGTCCTGGGCATCAGATTGAAGTATGGATCTCCTTTTTGCCTGAATTTTTTTTTAATACTCAACACAACCTTTCTCAGAAGCTCTCCCATCAATTAACCATCGTATACATAATTGGCTAAAATTAGGTCACATTTCCACCCCTAAGCCAAACATTTGGCAAAGAGAATGAAATTATCATGATTGGTCAAGATTAACCAGGATTTTCTTTTAAGGCAATTAGCAGAAGGATAGATGGATAAATGCCTTAACAAAATCCAGATTCTGCAAGCAGAAAATGTGATGGTATTTACAGATTAACAACCCTATCTCCTATACACTGCTATAATCAGTATTATAGAATAAAATAAGCCTTCCACGATTGTATTGCCAGATTTTTATCTGAGTATATAATTTATTATGTGGATACCCATCTTGATGTGTTAAAAGGTATCAGCTAGAATGCTATATTGAGCTAATTGTCTTGATGTGGTCTGGCACTTTTTCATGACTAAGAGGCAGGAAGCATAAAATATTACCAAGCTATACGTACTGACACACATAAAAACCTTTTTGCATGAGTAAATCAGAGTAAGCATTCAGAACTATGGAGACATAGGGATAAAGAGGGACCAAGTGGATTATTTCATACCTATGCTCATGACGTGTGCACCAAAACTTTAACATTCAAAAGTGTGCCATGCCTCAGTGGCAGCAAACACACATAGGACCCAGATCTTGGTTTCTTTTTTTTCTTTTTTCTTTTTTTTTTTTTTTTGAGACAGAGTCTCGCTCTTTTGCCCAGGCTGGAGTACAGTGGCGTGATCACAGCTCACTGCAAGCTCCGTCTCCTGGGTTCACACCATTCTCCTGCCTCAGCCTCCCAAGTAGCTGGGACTACAGCCACCCCCCACCATGCCCGGCTAATTTTTTGTATTTTTAATAGAGACGGGGTTTCACCGTGTTAGCCAGGATGGTCTCGATCTCCTGACCTGGTGATCCGCCCGCCTCGGCCTCCCAAAGTGCTGGGATTACAGGCTTGAGCCACCGCGCCTGGCCGATCTTGGTTTCTAAATTATTTTTCTTCAACAAAAGTAGCCCGGGCTCCTTGGAGAAATGTCTAATTCTAGGGCTAAAGTGGAGAAAATACAAGCTAAGCCTGGAACATCTTGTAGTTCCAGAAAGCAAAAAGTGGTCAAAACACAAAAGAATATTCTGTAAAAGTTAATGGATTCACAACATTTAACTTAAAAAAAAAAAGACAAAGAATGAGGGCATATCAAAGGGACACAAGAAGAGCTTCCAGTGGCCAATGCTGGAAAAATCTGAGCAACAAAATGAATAGTGTGGTATTCTATTATAACCCATAATATAAAATAAACATAAATGAGCCCACATTTATATAAATATATAATTGAATTAAATAAATGAATAGGGGAGAGGATACAAATCTTTCCTACAGAAGAATTCCATTTAATATAAGTAGACAGTAGATATTCCCACCTCCAGAAGGCAGAACTAAACTTCCCTGTGTGTGAGCTGGACTTAGTGACGTGCAACCAAAGAGTAGAATATGGAAAAGGGAAAAACAGTAACTTTACAGTAGAGAAACATGGCAAACACTACCTCAACCAAATTGATTAAGGTTAACTCCACCGCTGATGAGTCGTATTGATATCATGTGCCCTTGATATGACATGATGAGGACACTTCACCTGTCTGGTAGCCTTCCCCAGGACCCATAACCCCAATCGAATCATGAGAAAACATCAAACAAACATACATTAAGGGATATTATGCAAAACACTTGACCAGTACACCTCAGAACTGTCAAGGTCATGAAAAACTAGAATGAGAAACTGTCACAGACCAGAGGAGACTAAGGAGACATAACGACTAAATGGGTATTCTTCATGGAACTCTGGAACAGAAGAGGACATTAGAGGGAAAAAACTGTTGAAATCCAAATAAAAGCTGGAGTTTAGCTAGTGATAAGGTGCCAGTGTTAATTTCCAAGCTGTGACAAGTATAAGAGAGATTCCCCATATTATCTTTACAACATTTCTGTTCACGTAAAATTACCTCAAAGTAAAAAGGTTTATTTTCTCAAAAGTTTAGTTAAAAAAAAATAGGTTCAGAACCACTACTCTAAAAAATCTATTCTTGGATTAGGCAACCATATCAGTGGGGTTGGTTGCCTAGGTGCATGAAATAAATAATACTGCTACTCTGCCTCCACTCTCTCCATTACAGCATTTTCTGATTGTGCTTTAGTATAACGCCATCATTAGAGACAAATCTGCAACCCACCTCCAGGAGTTTTAGGACTTCAGACACATACCTGTGTACCATCCTCATTCCTAGCTTCATGTCACTATCTTCCCTTTATTTTCCCTTTGCTCAGATTTCCATATATATCCCTGTAGTCAAAGGAGGAATAAAAGATAAATCCATATATAGGAATTGGGTCATTCATCTCTGGGCCCTAAGCTCACAGTAGCAACCACTCACACATCACTTATTCTGCACCAGGCACTCTTCAAACACTTAGCAAATATGCATGCCTTTCCACTTCATAACAACCCGATAAAGTAGCTACTGTTCTTGACCCCATTTTACAGTTAAGGAAACTAAGGCCTGGGGAGGTTAAGCAACTTATCTACATTACAGAGAGAGTCAATGACAGAGTGTGGATTTGAACCCAGAAAGTCTGACTCCAAAGTCTGTGTTCTTAACCTTATAATGTCAAATGGTTTGCAAAATGAGAGAGAGGGAGAGAAAAAGGAAAAAAAGGTAGGGAGAGGAATAGATAGAGTGTGGGTCTCTAGAAACCATTTTGATGGAAGACGGTGCTGGCTGCTGCTCACAGTCACAGGATTTGAGGAGTGCTAAAAGATTCCCATTGTCATTCCACTCAAACACATCTGTACCACTGAATGATACATTACTCACTCTTTGGGGGTCTGAGATAAGAAAAGCTGTCATTGAAACGTACATATTTTAACCAAGGAGGTGAAAGATCTCTACAATGAAAACAAACAAATGAAAAAACACTGATGAAGGAAATTGAATAAAGCAGAAAAAAAAATGGAAAGACATCTCATGATCATGGATTAGAAGAATTAATATTTTGAAATGACCATACTGCCCACAGCGATCTACAGATTCAATGCAATTCCTTTCTTAATACTAATGACATTCTTTACAGAGATAGAGAAAACAATCCTAAAACTTGCATGGAACCACAAAAAGCTCAAATAGTCAAAGCAATCCTGAGCAAAAAGAACAAAACTGAAGACATCGCACTACCCGACTTCAAATTACACTAGAAAGTTAGTTATACTATTAACCAAAACAGCATCGTATTGGTATTAAAAACAGACACATAGACCAATAGAACAGAATAGAGAACCCAGAAATAAATCTGTTTATTTACAACTAACTGATTTTTTTACAAAGTCTCCAAGAGCATACATTGGGGAAGGATAGTCTCTTCAATAAATGATGCTGGGAAAACTGGATATCCATATGCAGAAGAATGAAATTAGTCCCCTATCACTCACCATATATGTATAAAGATCAACTCAAAATGGATTAAGGACTGAAATGTAAGACCCAAAACTTTTAAACTACTAAAAGAAAACATAGAGAAAATGCTTCAGGGCATTGGTCTAGACAAAGATTTTATGGCTAAGACTTCAAAGCCACAGGCAACAAAAATAAAAATAGACAAATAGGACTAAATCAAACTAAAAAGGTTCCACATAGCAAAGGAAACAATCAACAAAGTGAAGAGACAACTTGTAGAATGGTAGAAAACATTTGCAAACTATACATCTGACAAGGAACTAATATCCAGAATAGACAAAGAACTCAAATAACTCAACAGCAAAATACCTAATCCAATTAGAAAATGGGCAAAGGATCTGATGGATATTTCTAAAAAAAAAAAAATAAATGGCCAACAAATGTATTAAAAATGCTCAACATCACTAACCATCGGGGAAATGCGAATCAAGATCACAGTGAGATATCTTCTCACCACAGTTAGAATGTCTATGGTCAAAATGACACAAAAAATAAACACTGGTGACAAGGTGCAGAAAAGAGAACCCTTATACACTGTTGGTGGGAATGCAAATTAATACAACCATTATGGAAAATAGTATGGAGATTTCTCAAAAAACTAAAAATAGAACTACCATATAATCCAGCAATCCCACTACTGGGTATTTATTTAAAGAGAAGAAAATCAGTATACGGAAGAGATATCTGCATGTTTAAATTTATTGCGGTACTATTCACAATAGCTGAGATAGACTCATCCTAAATGTCCATTAACAGATGAATGGATAAAGAAAATGTGGTACATATACACAATGGAATACAACTCAGCCATAAAAAAGAATGAAAGCCTGTCATTAGTGGCAACAAGGATGAGACTGGAGGAAAATTATGTTATGTGAAATACGTTAGGCACAGAAAGATGTATACACTCATGTTCTCATTTGTATATGGGAGCTGAAACATGCTGAGCTCACAGAAGGAGAGAGTAGAATAGTGGTTACTAGAGGCAGGGAGGGGAAGGAGAAGGTGGCTAGGGAGAGGTTGGTTAATGAATACAAAATTACAGCCAGACAGGAGAAATGAGTTCTGGTTCTCTATAGTGCTGGAGGATGAACACAGTTAATGGTAATTTATTGCATATTTTCAGTAAGCTGCAAGAGAGGATTTTGAATGTTCCAAACACAAAGAAATAATCAAGAAATAATCAATCTTTGAGATGATGGATGTGCTAATTACCCTGATTTGATTATTACACATTAATACATGTATCAAAATATCACGCTGCACCCCATAAATAAGTACAATTATTACGAGTCACCTAAGAATAAAAGGAAAAAAATACTCCATCACAGAAAAATGCAAATATTATTCAAAAGGAAGTAAAGCCAGTGTTAAAATTGATTAGCTGGCCAGTCCTGTAAAATGAGGCAAGGGGCAGGTGACTTTTTTTTTTTTTTTTTTTGAGACAGGGTCTCACTCTGTTGCATGGGCTCCATGGCACAAACACAGCTCACTGTAGCCTTCACCTCTTCGGTGCAAGTGATCCTCCTGCTTCAGCCTCCACCTGTGTTGCTGGGACCACAGGCTCGTGCCAGCACAACCGACTAATTTTTTTGATTTTTTGAAAAGATAGGAGTCTCACTATATTGCCAAGGCTGGTCTCAAACTCCTGGGCTCAAACTATCCTCCTGTCTTGGCCTCCCAAAGTGCTGAGATTACGAGTGTGAGGCACCATGCCTGGCACAGGTGACTCTTATATGTGGAAGAAAGGTCCAGAATTTGCGGGGTTTCCCAGGAGACAGGAAGAGGTAGAGCCCCACTTTGGGAGGCTGTGAGAAGCCTGCATGAGAACACTGCAGGGGGTAAAGGAAGGGAAGCACTCAGAGGTGAGAGGAAAGAAGGTGGGGAGAAGCCCCAGAAAGCTGTGGGGCGAAGTGTGGGCAAAAGCCTCACCCACCTGGACATTCCTCCAGTGGTTGGTTGGTTCTGCAGGTCATCATGGACAAGCCAAGCCAGAAAGAGTCAGGCAAGCAAATATCTGCAATCTCACAGCTGTACAGCTTTCTGTTCACTTTCCTCTGGAAGCCCTCTTCCTTTTCCTCATTCTTACAAACCATAAAATCTAAATTAGATATAACATTAGTCTCAGAAAGACCAAATGTATCTAAACGCACTATTCCCATTTCTTCTATGCAACATGGGATGCTTATGAGGCAGCACAGAATGTGGACATCTAAGTTAGAATAATGATTCTAACGACTGATTATTGAGAGCTTTCTAGGTGCTTTCTACCTACTTTTCATTTTAACTTCTCAATGAGCCTCTGAAGTAGCATTGCTACTCCTTTAACAGAAAGTAATTTGAGCTTTAGAGGTATTCAGGGAATTACCAAGATTTTAGGCTGGCGAAGAGGAGAGCCTGGATTCCTGCAGTGGCCTATATATAATTCTAAGCACAGGCTCTTACCCAGTGTTTCACGGGCTGCTCATTTACCTACGCAACCTTGGGCAAGTCATTCGGGTTCTTGGACCCCAGCTGCCTTAGACATTAGATAAGCAAGTTAAATCAGTTTTTTAAACTTTCACGTTCATATGACTTCACTGGGGATCTTATTAAAATATGTCAGGCTGGGCATGGTGGCTCACACCTGTAATCCCAATACTTTGAGAGGCTGAGGCAGGAAGATCGCTTGATCCCAGGAGTTCGAGACCAACCTGGGCAACATACAATGAGCCAGACACTATAGGAAGTGTCTCAGTTTGCTTGGGCTGCTATAACAAAATACCTTAGACTGAGTGGCTTATAAATAACACGAATTTATTTCTCACAGTTCTGGAAGCTGGGAAGTTCAAGATCCAGGCACCAGCAGATCCAGTGCCTGGTGAGGGCCTGTTTCCTGCTTCCAAGAGAACAGTCTTCTTGCTGTGTCCTCACATGGCAGGAGGAGTAAGGATCTCTCTTGGGTCTCTTTTATAAGGGCCCTAATCCCAATCATGAAGACCCTGTCCTCATGACTTAATCACCCCCAGTGCCACCCATTGGTGACTAAGTTTCAACACAGGAATGTTGAGGGTACACAAACATTTAGACGACAGCAGTTTGCATAAGGCAGAGCCAGCAAGGAACTGAGATCAAATGTGTGCTTCAGAATTAATAATAGTAATAATCTGTGAAGGTTTTTAGACTTTACAAAGTACTTCACCTATCTTATATTCTCTCAATAGCCCTATAGTAGATATTCAATTACTCTTCCTTTATTATTTTTTTTTAGACATGAGGAAACTGAGCCCCAGAGAATTCAAATGACTTGCCCAAGATCACAATTAAGAGGTGGTAGAAACTGGACAAAAACCCGGGTTTTCTGGCTCCCAGTGTTCCGTTTTCTGAGATGTTCCCATCATGCAATGCTCTAAGAGTTGGAAGAGGTAGGGAACGTGGGACATATAAGGAGGAACAGAAGCTTGCAAACTGCCCAGGCAACAATTAGAATAGTAAAATTAATTGCATTTTTTGTTCATTCCACAAATATTTATTATGGACTTCTCTGTGCAAGGCACTGTGTGAAAACATAAAAATATACAAGACATGGCCCATTGCCCTGAGGTTGGAACCTAAACCAAATGCTTACATCCAAGGCCGGATGTGGTTGTGTGGAATATGCAGCCCATACTCAGAGCCACAAGAGCAGGGAGTAAGGGGAAATCGACACTGGCTAGGCTGAGAAGGGAAAACTGTGAAGGATGAAAATGATTTCAGTGGCAAAGAGTGGTGGCAGATTATGTCCAAAAATGGCCAAAGTAATCCCTCTCCTCCCGCATGCCTTTTTGAAATGGATTTCACTGCTCCTCTTATTATGGACTAAATTGTGTCCCCACCAAATTCATATGTTGACACCCCAACACCCTAATGTGACTGTATTTGAAGATAGGGTCTTTAAGGAAGTAATTAAGGTTAAATGAGAACATAAGGGCGGGGCCCTAATCCAATATGACTGGTGTTCTTGTAAGAAGGGAAAGAGACAGCAGAGGCTGAGCTCCATGGTTCACACCTGTAATCCCAGCACTTTGGGAGACCGAGGTGAGTGGATCACCTGAGGTCCGGAGTTTGAGACCAGCCTGGCCAACATGGTGAAATCCCATCTCTACTAAAAATACAAAAGTTAGCCAGGCCTAGTGGCACAAGCCTGTAGTCCCAGCTACTCAGGAGGCTGAGACAGGAGAATTGCTTGATCCTGGGAGGTGGAAGTTGCAGTGAGCTGAGATTGCACCGCTGCACTCCAGCCTGGGTGACAGAGTGAGACTCCATCTCAAAAAAAAAAAAAAAAAGAAAGAAAGAAAGAAAAGAAAAGAAAAGACAGTAGCAGATCTCTCTCTATATATATATACATATATTAAAAAAAATAAAAAAGTGAGGCCACAGTGAGAAGGTAGCCATCTGCAAGCCAGGAAGAGAGGCCTCACCGGGTACCAACTCTGCTGGCACCTTGATCTCCAGCCTACAAAACTGTGAGAAAATAAACATCTATTGTTTAAGTTACCCAGTCTGTAGTATCTAGTTATGACAGCCTATGCTGTCTAATACACCTCTCATCAAGAGGTAGAGTCCACTTCTTGAATCTGAGATAGCCCTGTGACCTGCTCTGAATTGTGACCGCAGAAGTGGTATTGTGCCAGATCCAAGGCTAATCCTTCATAGAACTTGAGGCTTCTGTTTTCCCCACCTTGAAGTCCTCAGCCATCCTATAAAGCCTGACTACTGCTGGAAAAACCATGTAGGAAAGCCTTAGAGCTTGAAATATAACAAGGTGAAAAAGGCCCGTGAAGATGAAAAACTAGAGAGAGAAGACTGAGGGTTCCAGCCCTTCTCTCTGAGAGTCCACATGCATGAGTGAGGCCACCTGGAGTCCTACGGCTGCAAGAGTGAGGTCAGACAACAGGAGGTGGAGCAGAGTGAACCATCCCAGCCAAACCATGCCCATCCAACCCATACCATCACAAACAAATAAAATGGTTGTTATTTTAAGCCATTAAAATTTGGGATAGTAGGGCCGGGCGTGGTGGCTCATGCCTATAATCCCAGCACTTTGGGAGGCTGAGGCAGGCAGATCACCTGAGGTCAGGAGTTTGAGACCAGCCTGGCCAACATGGCAAAACCATGTCTCTACTAAAAATATGAAAATTAGCTGGGGTGGTGTTAGGCGCCTGTAATCCCAGCTAAGCAGGAGGCTGAGGCAGGAGAATCGCTTGAACCTGGGATGTGGAGGTTGCAGTGAGCTGAGATCACACCATTGCACTCCAGCCTGGGTAACAAGAGAGAAACTCTGTCTCAAAAAAAAAAAAAAAAAAGATAGTTTGTAATGCAACACTAGATAACTGATACAGGTGGAGTAAGAAAAGGGTATTCAGGTCAGAGAGAATGGTTTAAACAATGGCATGATGACATAAAAAATACAATTTTGATATAGGTGAGTAATTCTGATTGGGAAAGCCTTTAAGAACATAGAGAAAATGAAAAGATAATGCAAGAAAGGTGGGTTGGGGTTAAATTGTAGAGAGCTTTCATTGTAGTAAATTTTTATTAAGCATTTATGTGTCAAATACTCAGTTCTTTTCATGAATTAACTACACAATCCTCACATAGCCCTATGAGTGGGTTATTCTATTATTATCCCCCATTTTACAAAATGGACACTGAGGCTCACAGGTTAAATTACTTGAAAAAAATTGCGTAGTGATGAGACTGGGATTTGAACACAGGCAATCTAACTTCAGAGCCTGTGTTCATAACCTCTACAGAAGACTGACTAAACCAAGGAATCGGAACCTTCGTGATGAACAGTGGAATTATTTTAAGCTGGGGAGTGGCATGACCGAAAAAGCACTTTAGAAAGACTAAGCTGGCAGTTACAGATAGAATCTGGAAGCTGAGAGAATAGTTAGGGTGCTATTGGAGTGGTAAGAGTTTGAACTGACTTGAAAAAATGGAAGAGGGGTGACTCAGAGGGACTTGGGGGAAAAAATTTAAAAACTACTAACAGCACCTAAGGAATTGCTGGAAATGGGATGAATAAAAAAAAGAAAAGGGGCTGGGTGCGGTGGCTCACACCTGTAATCCCAGCACTTTGGGAGGCTGAGGCAGGTGGATTGCCTGAGGTCAGGAGTTCGAGACCAGTCTGGCCAACATGGTGAAACCCCCTCTCTACTAAAAATACAAAAAAGTAGCCAGGCATGGTGGTGCACGCCTGTAATCCCAGCTACTTGGGAGGCTGAGGAAGGAGAATCACTTGAATCCGGGAGGCAGAGGTTGCAGTGAGCTGAGATCATGCCACTGCACTCCAGCCTGGGTGACAAGAGTGACACTCTGTCTCAAAAAGAAAGGAAGGAAGGAAGGAGGGAAAAAGAAAGAAAGAGAAAGAAAGAAAGAAAGAAAGAAAGAAAGAAAGAAAGAAAGAAAGAAAGAAAGAAAGAAAGAAAAGAAAGAGGGAAAGAAAGAAAAAGGAAGGAAGGAAGGAAGGAAGGAAGGAAAGAAGAAAGAAAGAAAGAATTCATTCCCATCTTTGTGCTTTGGTGACTGAGATGGAAGTCATGTCTGTAAAACACATGGAACACAGGAGGAAGAACTGGTTGGGGGATGAAGATAATAAGTGGGTTTGACTTGTTAGGTGGGAGGTGATGGTGGGATATTAAGTGGAGGTGTCTGCCAGGCACTTGGAGATAGATGAGTGGTACCTTGGGATGGTGGCCAAGGCCATCTGTAGATATGGGCTTAGAATTCATCCAGAACTAAGCAAAGTTACAGACATTTAAGGTATGTCAGTTAGGCATCCTAGGTTGCTGGCAACAGAAACTGAATCTGGCTAACAAGTAGAAAAGTCTCACAGAAACAGAGTTCACTGTGGACCTCTGCTCAGACGGGACAGGGTCTATGGCAGCTCTGAGGTCCGGGTAGGAAGAACTCACAAATTCATCATTCATCAAGCTGAGATAAGTCAGCTGCAATTACTTTTTCATTCTTTTCAAGATTCAAAGAACTGGGAGGGAATCCAGTGAGCTTGGTCATATGCCCATCCCTTGGCTAGTGAAAGTAAGGATACCTTGATTTCCTTCCCAACAAAATGCTGCATAAAATAGAAGAGGTGTTTCCACTATCAAAAGGTGAGGAGGGGAACAAGTGTTGGTGGCCACAGATAAATCAATGTTCGTTCCACTGGGAGAGAGTGTGGAGAAAAGAGGAGGGAGCTGAGGACAGTCAACTGCATGGTGCCCACCTGTTGGAAGATTTGATGGAAAAAGGATAAAGGCAAGTTAAGGCATAGGAAGAGAGAAAATAGGCAAAGGAGTTTCCAAAAAATGGGCACACATATGAGAGTGAAATCCTGCCAAGGACTCAAAGGTGATAAAGAATGTTGAAAAACTACTGGGGTTGCCATTGGAAGCTATTGGTAACATTTGGGAGAGAAGGAGGGCCCGAGGAAGCGAGGAAGAAAAGGAGGGGAGCCCGATGATGGGGTAAGAAGATTGACCGAAGAGACCCATGGAAAAAGGGAGGCAGCATCTATTGTTTGGTGGTAAAAGGAAGGAGAGCAGCTGGGCTGTTGTTTGAAGGGGTCAGTATCACAACGACTCTCAGAACCTGGCTGTTACATCCTATTTGGTCACATATAAGTAGAAAATAATACCCAGCCCAGCACTTAGTAATGTCTTTTCTCTGAAGCTCTTGGTGAAAACTAGTGACGACAATAGCAAAGTGCAAACTGATGCTCTGGTTTAATCTGTTTCAGAAGTTACAGAAAGAGGAAATTGAATTTATTTGAAAGCCAACTTTAAAGGGAAATAAAAAGATAAATGTCTTTTCTAAGCTAAAAAAAAAAACCCCAAAGCAATGCAACAGTTTCAGAAACTAATTGTATAAGTGTACTGTTATTACCAGTCTCTTTTCCCCTGGTTGAAACAATCTTCCATAACAACATTTGCAACTATAATATTGCGTAACAAGCACTGTTACGGTGTAATGTCTTTTAAATAGGGGTTAGATAGGAGAGAAGTGAGTATCCATTATCTTATTATCATAACATCCGTCAGTCTTCCAGACAAAACACCATCATCCCACTGGGAGCTAAGGACGGTTTTTACTTAAACACAAGGTCATACTGTTTGGGTGCATGGGAGAGCAGTGGAGGTGGGGTGGGGGATTTTCATTTATTCCAAGGCACTCAACGCTGGACTTCTTCCAAGAGAGGAAACAAGACTAAATAGATCATTTGTTTTATTCTGTTTGGGCAGTTCTTGCATTTCTCCCAACTGTGGCTTATGGACACAAAGCCAAACTCAGAGCCTAGCTGGAGCTGGCTAAACTCCAGGTCAAAGGAATAAACAATTTGAAGCTCTATTTGCGGATTAAGGCAAGCCACACAATTGCAGGACAAAATGAAATTTCACTGTGAATGTGAAGTCACAAAGAAACAGCAGGTAGAAGTGTTAAATGATTTGGATTTCTCAAACAAAACCGAGGTAGAGGTAGGAAGGAAATGTGGATTGGAAGTACACATCTATGAGAAATGCATCTCAAAAAGGGTCAAATATTGGAGAATACTGGAGGAGGAACCTGCTGCTTGTGGGGACCAACTGAGGTAGGAACACAACATCTTTGGAACAGCCCCTCACGGTGGGTGTCAAAGAGCCTGGCCATTTGAGTGTCATGGAAAGTGTAGCTTGGGTCATTACTTCTGTCTCCTCTTGCTGGCATCAGGAAGGCTGGCCAACACCAGCCATGCACACTCAGTAACAAGTATAGTTGGTATTCCCAGCATATCCCACTGGCAGAATGGGTCTTTGTCTTCAATCACTTTCCTTTGGGAGACCTCATCGTTGGCCTCATCGCATGTCTAGCGAGAGAGAAGGGAACATTAGTGTCTAGGCTTACTTTAGCATATTAGTTAGCACTGCATCCACTGTGATTTCAGAATTGACAAGTCACGTACAGTATTGCTCAAAATGTTCCTTCGACACTACAGGAAAGAATGGGGAAGTAAATGTCAGTCATTAAAGTGTAACCCAAAGAGGTAAGTCCTAAGGACTTCTAACGTCTTTCATAGATGAAGAATTTGGACCCTATTTACACTCTAATTGGGAAAGCAAAAAAGGCTTGTTGTTGTTTTTTCTTGAAAAACATTGGCTCCTTCAAGACAAGAGACTGAAACTCTTCAAAATAGTAATTTTGTGCATTTCTCTCACTGGTTTGAGTAACTTTAGTAAAAATTTAAAGTTACACATAATTAACCAAAGTGTGTGAGATAGGAATCAACGTATCAATGTTAATATCCTGATTGTGATATTATACAATGGTTTTGCAAAATGTTACCATGAGGAAGACTTGGCAAAGTGTAAAAGAGACCTCTCTGAATCATTTCTTAACAACTGCATGCCAGCCTACAATTACCTCTATTACAAATTTTAATTTAGAAATGTGATTGAGACAGAAATGGATGCAGGGATTCTGGCACATTTTCATAATAATCTGGCTTCACCCACATTTCCCAGTTATTTCTCCAGTAGTTTCTTGAATGACTCCCTTCCATCTGGAAGAGGATACTCCCAGCTTTTCAAACACACTGAACGAGCTCATTCACACCTGTGGGCTTTCCCCCCTCCTTTGAATTGTTCCCAGCTCCAGCCCACACCGCCCTGACTGGACCAAGCACAATACTGTCACTGAAACAGTTCTTAGCATGTCTAAAAGTCACTTGGCTAGTAGTTCATCCACTCGTCAACAAAATTTATTGAGTAACTGCTATATGTGTGGTATGGCTCTAGGCACTAGGGATAGAGTGAGTTGGAAACAATATTGAAATTAGTTTCTCTTCCCTGGTCTCTGGGAGTATATTCCAATGAGAGAGAGTAGAAGAAAACTAGCAAGAAACAAGGTAAAAAAAAAATCAATTCATGATGAGGGTTATGAAGGAAGTCATAGGTTAGAGGGGATAAAGTGACTTTATCTCAAGTGGTCAGGGGAGGCTTCCTAGGGGAGAGGACATTTGAGTTGTGACCTCAAGTGTAAGGATGCAGACAACATAGAAGATCCTGGGACAAAAAGCATTTCAGGCACAGAGAATAAGAAAGTTACCCTGTAACTGAATATAAATATTTGGTATGACTGTAAAATAATTAAACAGATGCTCATTTTTGTAGACTGTTTGCTCCTTATTTTAGGACCAAGCCTCCCATAGCCTGTTTCCCTCTATGAGAGACTGAGAACACCCTTAGGCTGGTCCAGATTTTACACTTTTCAGAGCAACCCCTTCCCCAACACACACGTGCACACTCTGGCACGGCCACCTGCATGCCAAGGGGTGACTGCAGGCTGATCTTCCAAGTGGCTCTCATCAGTAGCTGTACCCTTAATCCAGGGCTGTGTATAGGGAGATTTACATTTCTTCCTCGCTGTTGGGGCCGTCTGCCTGCTAGCGACGATTCTACACTAACGGCTACATAAATTACTGTCATTAAAGTTGGGTCCTTGGGTCCCCAGAAACCTAACTAGAGGCAAAGGAGGAACCAACTAAGAGAGGTCCAGGTAACAGAGCCCGGAGCGGGACGGTCATTTGTTGCAGGCCCCTGGGGTATGTGCCTGTCTATCGCGCACCGGGTCCCAGCAGCAGTGGTTACCGGCTGAGAAGGGCTGGGTTCCCAGGACGCTGCGGGTACCTCATGCTATCACCATAGCCGGGAATCCAGTTTTCTGGTTCCCCTCGTCTGTATTTGCCTAAGGCGACTTGCCGCCGTTCCTCTGTCCCCTAGGCAGGGAGAAGTCAGCTCTAGGACACCCTGCAAAACGCCTCGAGGGGTTATCTGCCCCTTCCCGGCCGCGTCCTGGCACCGTTTCCCCATCACCCGGAGGACTGAGCGCTGTCTCAGGGCGCCCTCTGTCTCTTCCAGGGGGCAGCCAAGACGACATGCCCTGCGTCTCAGGGACGCGGTACGAGCCCTGGTATTCCCCCCGCCACCTCACACACCCCCATCCGGGAGACCCACGTGCAGCTGGGCCCGGGCTGGCGCCGCACCTCGGGGTCTGCGCGTCTCCCCGGCGCGTTCCGGGCGCAGCCCCACGACACGGACCCCTGGCGGGGCGGCATCCGAGAAGTCGCAGGCGGAGAGGGGGCGTCCTGGAGGCCGGGCGCGGGGACGCTGCGGCCCGCGGCCACACAAAGGAGGCGGCGGGAAGGCGGGGCAAGGCGGGCCGGGGGCGGGGGCGGCAGGAAGGGGCGGGGGCCCGCGCGGCGCCGCCGATAAAGCCCCCGCCGCCGCGGCAGCCAGCTTGCGCTGTGGGGCTGCCCGGGCTGCGCGGCGTCTGCAGGCGCCACCGCTGCCTCTTTCCGGCTGTGACCCTCCTCGCCGCCGCCGCTTGGCTGCGTCCTCCGACTCCCCGCGCCGCCGAGACCAGGCTCCCGCTCCGGTTGCGGCCGCACCGCCCTCCGCGGCCGCCCCCTGGGGATCCAGCGAGCGCGGTGAGTACAGGCTGCGCGGTGAGTCCCGGGCGCGGCCGGCGCTGCCCTCGGCGGGGGACGCTCCCCGGGGCTCCGCGCGCCACCGGCCCTGCTCCCTGACCTTGCGCCCGGCCGGGAAGCTGCGGGGCCAGCGGGACCCTGGGGCGCCGACGTCGGGGAGCAGAGAACTTTCTCAGCCTCCCGCGGGCCGCCTTGGCCGGGGCTGGGTGCTCGCCGGGCATCCCGGTCCCGCCCGCCGGGAGCCCCGAGCGGGACCCGGGCAGGGCAAGGCGGGGCCGCCCCGGGGTGGCGTCCAGTGATACCCGCAGCTGGGAGCACCGGGGCCGGCGTGGCTCCTGCCCGGCCATCCGAGCCGGCCCTGACCCTGAACCTGAGGTTTCCAGCTGCTCGCCGGCAACCCCTACCCCGGACTTAGGCTGCGCGCCGCCGGATGGGGAGAGACTGGCGCACTCTTACTTGTTACCTCTGCCTGGGCAGAGGGAGGTGACGCGCGGTGTGGGGAAAGCCTTTAACTTGGCCTCTGGCAGCCGATTTAACCCGAGCGAGCAGGTCTTTGCTATTTTCATCATCTGTAGAAACGGGAGTTGCGAGGCGGATGAGTGACTGCAGGTAAAATGAAAGTACGGTACTCAGAAATTCTGGAAGGAATTAGGCATTTAATGTGTCCACAAACTGAGCGGGGAAGGAAGGCTTCTATTACATAAGACAGCACTCCACCTTCAGGTATTATGGAAGATGCTGTTGAAGGTTTTAGTGTTTTAATGAACGAAACACATTCTTTGTGTGTGTGTCTCTGGAGAAATCTCGAATGCTGCTGTCTTGCTTTGGCTACTTTGCAGGGGACGTTCTTATATTTAGCATCAGCATAAAAAGGTGTTCGAAGGTGTGACTTCCTCTTTCAAGCCAAGAAGCCGTTTATTTGTCTGAATTGTTGTGGAACAATATATGTGATAATTGTGTACTTTGAAGATTTTATATCAAAACTTGAGCACAGATAACTGGAAGAATTGTCAACATTGCTAATTTGTATATCCTAAACCACACTTCGAAAATTGAAGACAGTTTCAACACTATCTGAAGGTCTAAATCAGTACTTATTTGCTATTTGCAGTATTTCAATAGAAAAATTTTTG
Source organism: Homo sapiens (assembly GCF_000001405.40). NCBI lineage: Eukaryota > Metazoa > Chordata > Mammalia > Primates > Hominidae > Homo > Homo sapiens. Next base: position 224,037,965 of record NC_000002.12, on the reverse strand, counting down.
GCTATGCAAATGAAGGTACTAACCTGAGTAATCTAAGGTTTCTTTTAACCCCCAAATTTTGATTCTTTGTTAAAATAATGTTTGAAAATATCGTACCATGCAGGGCAATTACTGAAGGTCATGAAAATGTCATCGTATTTTATTCTAAAAACAAAAATGAATCTATGCAGAAAATTTCCGTGTCCCATGAACTTCATATTAGTTTAATTTTAAAAGTACTGTCTCCAAAAAAAGCTAATTTTCACTTCCACACAAGGGTGATTAAATACCAGTCAGAGATTGTTTGAGGTGGTAGAGTTGGAAATGAGGTGGTGACCTGGCCACGTCCCTGGGTGCATCTCAGCCTTGCTGTCCTCTTCCAGCCAGTTCTTTTCCCATCGCATGGGGACTTTGGCTCTTGGGCTATTTCTCCTCCTCTAGACCTAAAGTCCATGTGGGGGACGCTCTAGATGCGCACTTCCTTGACTGTCTCAAATCCAGTGTCTTCCATGTACTCCAGCTACCAAGTCCTCTAAGTACCTCCAAGTCTTGCCCTCTCTTGAGATGCTCAACTTCTGAAAACTCTTAGTGCCTCCAACCCGCAAGCTCCTTCCTTCCGGGTTGCAAACCGGACTCCCACTGTAATCTTCAATGCAAGCGATCTCCAATGCTTTTCCTCTTGCGGGTTTGGCAGGTGACTTTGTAGCCCATTCTACCAGGAGAATAGAGGTCATAAGTATCTCCTCACGTCCTCCCCCATCTCCCCTGTACAGACTTTTCTGTGTTTACCCAGTCATCCAATAAATCTTCTTAAGCATCTACTGTGTCTGGGTACTTTGTTGGATACTCATAGGTGGTAAATAGAGCAGATCCTTGCTCGCTTGAAACTGTCATTCTTGTGGGAGAAAACCAACTAAAAGCAAACATAATATGTTGTAAAATGTATGATAAATGAATAAGGTAGAATTATAAAGAAAAATCAAGTTAGACTGAGAACTTAGAGAAATATAGAGAGATGGCCTCCTTGGGGCAGTGACTAATGTCTCCAGCTGTGTCCTGAATCCCAACTCCCAGTGCCTCTCTCTCCTTGTGAGTGTTACTCCCTTTTCTTACTTTTATCTTCAGTCTCTCCCTGTGAGCTTTTTTCTTTTTTAGTAGTATTTTAAGAATGCCTTAACCTCCCTTGTCCCTGCATCCTCAGCTCACCTGTAGTGACAACCACGTCTCTCCAGGCTTCTTAAACTGGTCTGCCCTTCCTGTTCAGCTCTTTGCAAGCTGGCCAGAGTCTCCTCAAAGTTCAAGGCCTGTGACTTCCTGAACAAGCAATCTTTTTTTTTTTTTTTTAATTTTTATTAATATGCTTTAAGCTCTGGGGTACATGTGCAGAACGTGCAGGTTTGTTACATAGGTATACACGTGCCATGGTGGTTTGCTGCACCCATCAACCCATCACATTAGGTATTTCTCCTAATGCTATCCCTCCCCTACCTCACTCCCCGCCCCCCACCACAGGCCCCAGTGTGTGATGTTTCCCTCCCTGTGTCCCTGTGTTCTCATCTGAACAAGCAATCTTATGGATACCCACTAGGTTTCTCCGTGGCATTTGATGAGGTTCTTCTATTCCTTTCTGATGGTTTTTTTTTTTTTTTCCATCCCTGGTTGCCACCTTCTGGTTTTCCTTATTCCTCCCTGGCATCTCTGCTACCTCTTGGGGTTACCCAGGGTTCGCTGTCATCCCTTTTGTGCTCTGTGTATTTGGGTGAACCATGTTCCCACAGCTTCGACTCTCACCAATATGAAGCGAGTCCCAGATTGGCATGTTAAGCTAGCTTGAGCATGCTCCTGTGTTCCAATCAGTTACCTGCAGTCTGGTGCGCTTACCCGTGCCCTTTAGGCCAAAAAAACACCCCAAAATAAATCCAAAATTGATTTTAGTTTTCACCACCCACCCCATATCCGCTTCATTGTTAGCGAAGATTTGTCCGTTTTTTTTTGGCAGTGGTTCCACCGTTCATGGAGATGTTGGAGCAGGGGTCTCACGGTGATGCCAGGCTCCCGCACTGCCCACATGCAGGCTGTCACCAGATCCTGTTGCTTCTTCATGCTGTGAAATTCCACAAAGGTCCGCTCTAGTCACGCTGGCCTTGCCTTGCTTTAGAGCCCAAAAGTGGCAAAATGGTGGCCGGTGTGCCACTTCTAGCAGTAGGCAGCAGTGTTGTTGGCCTGAACAAAGTATATACAACTTGAGTTAATATTTAGAAATCTGGAGATGCCACTTGGATGTATAGCTTCTCCTAAAAGCCAGAAGACCTGGATGAGGCAGTGCGTGGTGGCTCATACCTGTAATCCCAGCACTGTGGGAGGCTGAACCAGGCGGATCACTTGAGGTCAGGAGTTCAAGACCAGCCTGATCAACATGGTAAAACCGCGTCTCTACTAAAAATACAAAAATTAGCTGCGCCTATAATCCCAGCTACTCGGGAGGCTGAGGCAGGAGAATCGCTTGAACCCGGGAGGCAGAGGTTGCAGTGAGCTGAGATGGCGCCACTGTTCTCGAGCCTGGGTGAAAGAGTGAGACTCTGTCTCAAAACAAAAACAAAAACAAAACAAAAAAAACCTGGAATAGGAAGCTTACATTCCCATGTGGCAAACCTCAGCTGCTGCTGGGTTTCCAGTGCCTGAATACACTGGAGGTAGGTTGCTTTCTGGTTCCCCCAGACCTGTGACCCTTGCTTATAGTGGCGTTCTGGCTCCCATGGGCTTCAGAGCTAGAGACCCTAGGCTGAGACGATCATCGACAGCCTGGGAATGCCTAGTGCTTACTGCACAGTGTCGTGCACCTCATGTTGCATCCCTTCTAACTCTCTTCCATGTTATTGCTGGTGTGACTTTCCTCCTGCTGCCCCAAATCCAAGTCTTCTTGGGTCCCTCCTAATAAAATTCAATGGCTCCCTCTTGATCTGGGCTTAAATCCCTGACTCTAAAGGAGTGGCCATGTCATATCACAAGTTTGGTATCTCAAGATTGAAAGATGAGCTCTCCGCTATCTTTATACAGTGTTGTACCCGAGTTTCTGAAGATGCTTTTGAGCTTCTGTAGGGTAGTTAATACAGAGTTCTAGTGTTGATGACAGTCCTGCTGTTTACAAAGCATTTCTACAAGCCTGACTACTGCCCCACTTCCTCGCAGCCCCCCTGGGTGGAGATAGGGCAGGGTCGATTCTATATCCCAAACAGCAGTGGGGAGTCTGTAAATATGGAGGCATAGGCCATCCCAGGGAGTCCCCCACCCTTGGAACATGGGGAACCTTGTTTTACATGTGGTATCCAGAGTCATACAGTGTGTTCCTGAGGTCATTTAGACACCTTAGGGCAGAGTCTTGACCCAGAACTCAGTTCCTGTCAGCATGCAGCCAGGGAACTTTCCACAGTGCTCCATGGGCTCACCAGGCTGCTGGCCATTTGTAATGACCCAACAGAGTCAAAGCTTTCTTCACTCCCTTCCCATCTCCTTGCCTTGTCCCCTGCCTGAAACATTCTTTTCTTGCAAAACTGAACCTCCCGTAAACTGCACTGGTACCGCCCAGTGCTTTTCTGCCTTTGCTCCTTCTGTACCTCTGCCTGGAATTCCCTTTCTCCTCCTGTGTTCATTGTCTGGCTGATTTCTCCTTTTTCAAGACTCAGGCTCAAAAAGGCCTTGCTGGCAGTCACCACCCCAGCCCTCTGTGGCACATGTGCAGTGTACACACACGTCACCCCTCCCCGTGCCTACCTCAATGATGGCAGTTTTTTGTGTTGTAGCAACATGCCCTATCCAGTAGACTCTAAGCTCCAGAAAGACGTGCCTGTGTTTTAGTTTTATTTGCACCAGCGGTGGTGTGTGGCCCAAAGGCAATTAACAGATGTCTGAACTAAACCATATTCATATTTTTTGTAAGTTTACTGCATGCTTTATGGAAGAGTGTTTGTATTCCAGACTCAAAGGGGAGCTCTCTCTGCCAGACCTCCAGCCCTCATTTTGGTACTAGCAAATTTAATATATATCCTCAGACATTTTAAATTTTTGATTAACCTTGTCTTTTGAGATAAAACATTACTTAGAGAAAAGCGGAAGTCTAATACAGAAGCACTTGTGTGCCTGTGTTCACTTCAGTTATCCTCATCTGAACCTCCCTTTGGCATGGTTCTGCCCTCCTTGAGGTCTGTTGGCTGGGCTGCACTCTGCATTTCGTGGTTTTACAGGGTAGGAGAATGCATTTTGGTTTATTTCTATTAACTTTGGTGATGGTGATATATGACCTCTTGGTGACTTTTTTTTTTTTTTTGCCATGGAACTTTTTTGGCTGGTATCGTCAGTCACATTTGGTGGAAAGAGCAGGCTGGGAGAGGGTATGGGCTGCACCACCAATAGAGCGTGTAGGTTACCATCTAGAACTCAGTTTCCTTGTCTGTATAATGGGTATATTGAAATAAATGATCTAAAAGGTGTCTTATTTTTAAAACCTATAAATTCTTGGCTCAGTTTCCTTTTGATGTGGCTTTCTCATAAGTGTTAAGTCTAGATAAAATTTTTTCGTAAATGCATTATCCTGTGCTCATACACCTTAAAGTTCTTGTCTCTCACTTTTTTAAGCCTATAAAATCATTCAGCATTATATTCAGAAACAGCATCATGGGCCAACATGAAGATTTAGTTTGTATTCCCACTTAGAGCATTTATAAAAATTTTAAATAAATTAGGTCCCATATACTTGAATCTTGTCAACCTGTTCTCCACACATAAATGTGCCCATCTTCTCTTTGCAAACCATCTTTCCTCATGAGTAGATTGCACGCCTAATCTGAAAACCAATGTTGGGTTTTTAAAAAATACCCTTAGATACAGAATGGAGTCAAATGCAATAAACTACATCTTTAGGTTATCTCTTGTCTGCAAGTTCCCAATTTAAGAATACTGAGAGATTAGTATGATTTTATTTCTCTTTTGAGAAATACCACCTCCCATCCAACAGGCCAAGTCTATTTCTACAGTCAGTGAGTCTTGCCTTTATTCTGCTGTTAGATTTCTAGGTCTGGATGTAAGCCCAGTCCAGGGAAGTCGGCATCCCTTCTGGGATTCTTTCTGTGCATGAGGATGGCCACTGAGCCCAAGCAATCCTCTATTTGTAATTCCACTCGTATGTTTTGGCAAACATGTCCTAGGATTCCTCCAAAGGTTGGGGTGGACACCCTAGTTCAAGATTAGATCAGGAACACCCAGGCTTTTGCCACAGTTTGACGTAAGACATTATCCTTTGCTTCAGAAGATCATTTGAGAATTGGAATTTACATCCATTGTGCCTTTCCATTTTTCTTATTTAATTCTTTGAAGAATAATATGAGGAGACTTTAATATAAAAGAAAAAATCCCATCAAGAGTCAGAAAGGATTTCCTGTTACGGCTGCAAATCTTGGTAAATGCACTTTGTTTTTGTAAACCGTGCCCCACCCCCAACCCCTAGTGTGAACTCGTAACCTGGGGAATTTCTCTTGAGAGCATACCAAAAATAGCATCAGTGCCTTCTCTTACCCCTACCCCAACTTTCGCCCTCCATGTAGTTCCAGCAAATATAGCTATAGAAAAAATAACCACTTGTTTTTATCCTAAGTTTTTATGGGCCAAATCTTGAAGGTGGATGTGGGTATGTGAAAGAGTTTAATGCCAAATACAAAGCCCACTCGGAAATGAATAAGGTGACTACAAATGAAAATGGATGTTTCTTTCTTCCTTTGGGGAAAGTGCTATGTAAATAAAGGCAATGTTTGCTTCCTCTACTAAAATTTATTTCTGCAGTTTTTAAATAAGAAATCCACTCAAGAAGTTATTCTTACTGAGGATTTGGTCACTGTTAAGATTATAGGAACTATTAACTACTGCATTATCTTTTGCTTACAAGAGAACAAACCCAAATCAAAATAACTCGGAAACAAGGCGGAGAGCTGTTGGCTGACACTGCCCACTCAAGCATGGGAGAGGTGACTCTGGCCCTGAAGATGACTGGAACCAAAGACTGAGGACTTGGAGGCTTTCTTCTCTTTCTCCTTGCCTCTCATCTCTGCTTCTGTCTGCTGATTGTGGTTGTCCTCTCCGGGACCATGACTGTAGGTAGCTCCAGGCTTACCTCCCTACAGCCTCCTCAGTGAGGAGGAAAGAGGGGCTTTTCAGCCAGTTCCAGCCGGCGGGGGGGGTGGGGGGTGGAAATCCTAGGGAGGAATTCTGATTGGCTTAGTTTCAGTCACATGCTGTTCGCTGTACCAATGGCTGTGGGCAGAGGAGTGAGGTCCTATGATTGGCTGATGCTAAGTCACATGGTCACATGCTCGTCCCGATACCAATGGCTGTGGGCAGAGGAGTGAGGTCCTGTGATTGGCTGATGCTAGGTCACGTGGTCACATGCCCTTCCGTGTACCAATGGCTGTGGGCGGAGGAGGGAGGTTCTATGATTGGCTGAATCCCAAATCACATGGTCAATCCTTGGTTAGGAGGAAAGGGAGTGGAGAGGACCGTGCTGCCTGGCGTTCCCCAGCTGCCTTTCTTTCTGTTTTCCCCCCAACGGAATCTCTATGTGGTCTCCTAGAGCCTCGTGCCTGCCTCTCAGCTAGATGCTGATATCATTCCCACTCATGTAGTTGGGAAGGAAGGGTGTGGCAGAGATAAAGGGTCCACGGTCACGCAGTATGTGGGGGGTCACACAGCCTGTATGCCAAAGTGGCACACCCTGTGAATATGTAGGGTCGCACAGCCTTTATGTGTCAGTGCCAGAGCCTGGACCCGGGTCTGTAGATGTGTGAACCGTGAGCTGATACCATGGATATTCAAAGATTTACATCCCATCAATGTTTATACCTTCTTGAGAAGAAATTTGTGTCAAAGCACACTCCTCCTTTCAAGACTACCTCCTCGCCGTGCTGCGTGATAGCCCTAGTATCACAACCAAAACACATGATACAGAAAGAGGCCAGTATCTGTGTGGTACGTTTGAATCATGGTTTTATGCCTTTGGCCCCCTAGTTCCTTCCTCAGACACTTGTTTTTTTCTGGGACTGAAATCTAAAATTAGTACTGACCTTTGGATTGAGAAGGTAGAGAGATTTACACAAGAGTCCAAGCGAATAACTTAAGCTGAGCTGGATAAAACTCAGCAGAATCACAGAACAAGTGTGCCATGACTTTTCAAACATGCCTAATTGAACTCTGTTTGCGATTTAACTTCTTTTTCAAAGGTTTATAGTTACCTTTATTTCAAAATTTGTCATTTTAAAATATGTGTTTCCTCCTTTTCCTCCACTGTATAGTAATTAAGAGTGTGGAGGATTTGGAGGCCAGCGGGCTTTGGTTTGAATCTAGAGGCTACATATTGGAGGGTATGAGCCAAAGCCAAATTTCTAAACATCTCCAAGCCCATCCGTGAGTTGGGCCTAAAGGTGTTTAGGCTTAAGGGCCACCCCTGAAGTGTTGTGAGGATGAAGCGAAGAGTATATCTTAGGCGCTAAGCACAGTGGCAGGAATGGAGCTGACTTTCGGGACACGAGGTGGCTGTGGTTGTGGCATTGGGTAATATTTGTCACAGAAGTACAGGTGAGCACTTCTCTGAGACTCATGTCTTCCTCGTGTCTTTGGCCTGATGAATGAGTGACTTGCTCTGTGTCTTTGCATGCTTTGTTTCCAGACACCTTTCCTGCTGCACTCTCAGTGGGCAGTACTCCCCAATGATCACCTGGTCATCTGTCCTGCCCGCAGGCTTCAGGCTCTTGTGCGTTGGCCATGAAGCAAAGGAAGGCTGTTGCATGAAATAACCTCCTTCTGACTCCACCCTTGCATTTGTGAGATGTAAACAGCAGTGTTACCAAGAGGTCTTCCAGGGAACACGTTGCAGGTAGCCCTGTCATGCTGGCTGCTTTTTTCCATTAGGTTAGTTGTGAATAACGAATAAATGTCTATGCAGGGCCAGACATGTCTATGCTGGCTCACGCCTGTAATCCCAGCAGTTTGGGAGGCTGAGGTGGGCAGATCACTTGAGGCTCGGAATTCAAAAACAGCCTGAACATAGTGAAACCCTGTCTCTACTAAAAATGCAAAAAATTAGCTGGGCATGGTGACGCACGCCCGTAATCCCAGCTACTTGGGAGGCTGAGGCATGAGAATCACTTGAACCCCGGAGGCGGAAGTTGCAGTAAGCAGAATTGTGCCACTGCACTCCAGCCTGGGTAACAGAGGGAGGCTCTGTCTCAAAATAAAACAAAACAAAAAATGTCTATACAGTAGGAAAAATAATCTATTTGGTTTAATATTTAGGTCTCTGCAAGGGTAGCATCCAGAGGCTTCTCTTTTCATTCTTGTTTTTCTGACTGTGAAAAAATCATTCTACTGTGTCCAGTGATGTCCAGATACCAAGAAATAACTATTTTAAACATATGGTGAATATTGTTAAAGCACATGGTGATGGTCATTTAATTATGATTTGATTCCGTCAATATGCAAAAGAGTTCTAAGAATGTTGGGTTAACCTTAGCAAGCATTCCCAGATAGGAAATGTGTTTTCTGCTACCATTGATAGGATTTTTTTAAGGATTTTACTGGCAGTTATCCACTTTGGACTTCATACAGCAGTCTGAGTATATGCCCACACCTGAGTTGTTGCTCTAACAGTGAGATTAGGGGATGCCAGGGAGAATCTGTGTGATGACTTAATTGTAAGGGAGAGCTTTCTTTCTAAAGGTGTGGATTTTTCTGTTTGAAATGTGTATACTAAAAGAATCCTATTATCTTATGCCAAACCTGTGCTAATTTCTTAATGACATGTTAGTTAAAATAACAATTTGGAGGATTGGCTAAGGATGCCACAGTATTCATAATAAATCTGTTCTTGTGCAGCAAGGTGGTAAATCATGAATATCAAAGTTCTGATCATACTAATTTGAATTAATTTAGCATAGTGGAAAGTATGAAGACATAGTTTTTCCAATGCATATGTCACTTCTTAGCCTAAAATTTCTACGAGTGGGGCAAGTACATTTTTTACATGTACAGTGGCAAAATTGTGCTTGTGTACTGCTCTCTACCTTGTGTTCTGGTTCTGCGTGTGTTTTCTCTGCCCTGTTAGGAACCTGCAAGTGGAGTATCTTATTCTTTTGGGCTCCTCCCACCATAGCTGGCACAGAGGAGCCCAAAAAGTACTTCCAAGGGGAGAGGGAAGTGGAAAATTATGCATCATCAGTGTGTCAAGTACTATTAGGCATCTTTTATACACGATCCTGTTGAATCCTAACAACCCTTGTAAGGTAGAAATCATTCCTGGTTTATAGGTGAGAAAAATGAGATTCAGGTGTGTAGAACACCCGGCTCCGATTCCCACTGATGGGATATAGACTCCGGGTCTGTGTCTCTCTGTGGTGGACACTTTGGATCCTGAAACGCTATCTTCAGGAATGATTGAGGCTAAGCCATGTGGCTGAGCAGTGATGCACGGCCTCACAGATTGAAGGTCAGAGCATTGCTGGGCAGAGGATGAGTTTAGAGGTCAAACAAACTTGGTTTCAAACCCCAGGTCCACACTTAGTAGTGTGTGGCTTTAGGCAAAATACTTCCCTCTCTGTGCTTTATTTCCATAGCTAGAGAATAGAGAATGATGAGGATATTACCCTCCTTGCAGAGAAAGATCACAGTGTCCCCAGTTAACATGCAGGGAAATGGGAAATAGGAAATACAGTGACTCAAGTTGCTTGGCAAAGGCAGGGCTGTGGCAGGTTGAGAATTCACGTCTTTGACTCCTGTCACCTGTTACCTCTCCAGATGCCAAGTCTGGGTACAGTTTGATGACAGAACTGCCATCACCTGCCACTCACCCTTGGTTAGCCCTTAGCGGCCCACATAACTTGGTGGCTCTTACAACCCGATCCTAGAGTCCCATGGCTGATTCATGCTCTTTTTCTCTATTGTGTCGTCTCTGTATTCACTCCTGTGTTCTCGAGGAAGATTCATTCTAGAGGGTAAAAGAGAGTCCACAAGACTTGTTCTTAATGTATACACCCCACACAGGACAAGAAGGAAGTTGAAGGTGGCAGCCTGTTGTATTTGGGTGACGTGCAGCTGAAGAGCTAGTTTTTGAGCACTTACTCTGTAAGAGGTGCTTAGAGGGGCACAGAAGTATCTGCAAAACAGGCCAATCTTTGAGGGGTTTATTTAGGTAGAAAGGGCACATCCATGATATTTAATAACAATTTGAGATAGTCTAGAACAGTGGCATATGGTATGGGGGAGGGGGAGGCAATCAGGGAGCATTGTCTGTAGAGGATCTGAAAGCAAAAATGAAATTACCTCAGTTTTTTTTATTATCATGGTGATAAAATATTCCTCCACCAGACCCAACCACTTCTACCACTCCCACCTTGTCCCTAAGTCCTGTACTGGATCAATAATCAGTTGCCAAAATGAGTTGATACCAGTGACATGTTTGGGAGGTCAAGCTGGCAGTGGTCAGTGTGGACTGAACTGTTGGGGAAGGCTGCGTGGAAGTCCCCTCCCCTCCCTCTCAGTTAGGACAGGACACCAGGAGAGCAGTCTGTGACCCTGAAGACTGCAGCAGTCCCTGATGCCCATGCGAGCCATGGGCCAGGAAAGTGCTTTCTGTGCATTGCCTCACCACGTGAGAGGCTGATAGCCCAAGATGGTTCTGTAGCTGAGGAATCTGGGTGAGTGACAGGTGTCCTCCTATGCGAGATTAGGGGAGTAACGCCCAGCTTTCAGACAGCCAGCAGGGGGGCTCAGTAGTGCTAATGCCAAGCCCTTCATGCAGAGAAGTGACTTAAGTGTCAGTTACTACTTTGTGCCAGAGGTAAATCTCTCTGCAGAGGGAAATGTTGGCACATAGCTGGTAAACACCAGTGTCTAGGTAGCCCTCCTGGGCACAACCGTCCTCATTTTTTCTTTTACTTGACTCTCCACTAAATCCTTTTTGCCCGAAACTTTGTAGAATTGGTATTTATTGATTTGTACCAGCTAAGAGTTGGCTATTTAGTCTCTGACGTGCTCTTTATGGCTGAAGAAAAACAGGTAACTCCTTCACAGAGGAGAGATTAATTCCCTAGAAAGGAAGACAAAAGTTTTCATGGACAACTTTGGAAAGGTGTGAAGCATTAAATATCTATGACAGCAAGACACGGGAATACACAAGCCTGTGTTAAGGCCTGATCCCTTCTGGGCCAGGCACATAAGCTGAAAATGGTACCTGAGCAATTTCTGAGTATGTCACGAAAAGGCACTGAAATACAGAAGTTTCTCTATGGAAAAGAGTGTCCCGGCTTGGAAACTGTGTCTGAAGCAAAAAATTTCCTCAAAATTGTTCTTCAGAAAGGGAGTTGCCGTCTAGTAGGGTCCTTACAAAATCATTAAGAGTTCGCAAAAAAACTAGATAGATGAGATCCATGAGTGACTGGCTGAGAACAGATGGGGAAGGCAAATTCGCCTGAAATTCTCTCAGTCAATGCATATTATGAATGCTTATCGAGGTTGCTTCATGAAAAGGGGTTAAATTTTAAAAAAGAGAGGCAAAGAAATTGAATACAGATTTAGTACTTGTTCTTGAGGTTATAACTTCAGAGTTGCCAGATATTGAACGTTGAATTAGTTAAGGTAGTGCTAGTTGTTGTAACAAATAAACCCAAATATGTACCGTGACTCAAACATGATGGAAGATTATTTTCCACTTGTATAAAGCCCGAAGTGGGCGTGTTTATGTGAAACCTGGTGATTTGGCGACCCAGCCTCTTCCTGTCTGTGGTTCCACTTTATTTAACAGGCAGCTGCTAAGGTCACGTACTTGTCAGCATTGAACTGGCGGAAGCAGAAAGATCATGGAGGACTGCATATGGGAGATTTTGATAGGCTAGGCCTGGGAGTGGAATGTGTCACTTCTCCTATTTCATTAAGAACAGTTCAGCCTTATGGTCACGCCCACCTACCTTGAAGGCTAGGAAATGTAGCCCAGCTCTGCGGTTGGCAAGAAGAGGAAATGGGTTTCCTGAAGAGCTAGCTGCCCTCTGTCATTTGAAATTTTATTAAGACCATTGAAGGTCACTTTAAAAGTAACACGATCACTAATATGCTGTGTGGATCGTCAATATATTTTTGCCTCTGAGGGCAACTTTCTTGGTCACTCTGAAGGGCTTCTGATGGCCTAGGGTAGGTGTTTCAGTGGCAGTGTTGCACATCGTTTTGAAAAGTGCTGTGTGATAGGCAACTTGGAAGGTAAGGAGGTGCTGTGCTTAGAAGAATGGTTACACAACTCACAAATTGAGGACAGGCATGTGGACACTACCTGGGAAGACTGTGAGCTAAATTGCTTCATGGAAGGTGGACATGGAATGAAAAGTACTATTTCTAACTCATAGGGTATGTGATTTCATGTGAGTCATAAAGTTTATTTGGGCAGATTGACCAAAATTTGTAGGGGGTAGGGATTTTCTCATTGGGAAAAGAAGAGGGCTGTCTTATCTGGGGGATGCCCTATATCCAAGCATGCATGGGAATTAGAAGTTAATCAAAGAAATAAAGAATTAACGCTGGAGGAGGGGAGCCTCACTCTTGCAATGTGGGAGAAGTTGGTCAGATGTGCTGGAAACACACTTATACATCTGGGAGGAAAAAGAGAGGTGAAAGCTGGGGAATGGGGTTAGTGCCAATCCTGCACTCTGAGGGAATGAAAAGAGACCCAGGGGACTGGGCAAGGGGCGGGCAGGTGACCTGTCCCTGGGAGAAGCCCTTGGCCGTGCCAGTCTTGTGGTGGGTACCCCCGTGTGCTCTCTTTTTTTTCTGTGTGATGTGGGCAGGTTCCCCAACCTCTCTGCATCTCTGTGTGTAAGAGTCTGTGAAATGATGTGTTCACAGAGCTGTGCACATAGTAGGGGCTTTATGAAAGTTTCTTCCCCCATCTTCTGTGCAGCTACTCACCAGCCCCATTGTTGGGGATCATTGTCTCCATAATTGGCTGTGAGTAACTGGGGAGATGTTCTCCCCTATAAAATGCAACTTCATGACAAAAAGAAGCTCAGCCCCCTTCATCCCTAAAGATTCGTTGGTGCAGTTTCTTATACCAGAGGTTAGATAAAGCTGAGAAGGAGAACTTCCATTGTCATTGACTTTTAATTCTAGAAGTCCCTGTTCTCCTATCTTAGCTTTGGATGTTGGCAGCAGGGCAGCAGGCGGGTCTTGTGAAGAAAAGTTCTGTGGAACCTAAGAGTTATTGACTTGTTCTTCAGCATCTTCGCGTAATCCTCATAGCAGCTCTCTGAAGTTCATTGGTGGGGAAGGAGGCTTATCACTGATCTTATAGATGAGGAAACTGAGTTGCAGATCAGGTATGTGACTTACCCATTGCAGGCAGGCCCAGGACTAGACAACAGGCCTGTTCCACAGTAGTGTTAAATGGGCATAGGTTTCTTCTGGGAAATAGCAAACGTCCCCTGGCCCTTAAATCCCTTCACAAGGCATTAGCATCAACTGTAGCAAAGGAAATGGAGTCAGGTTACAGGACGAAGCTCAGTAGCTGGGTGACTAAATCCAGGTTCGGAACCATGTTTCCCATCACTTAACATGGTTTCTGAGCTTTGAAGAACTTTTTTCGTTTGATAGGTGCTTGCTTGGCAGGAAGAGGTGGGCAGTGATCACCTTTTTACAAAATTTTTTTGAGATTTTCTTTGCAAACTCTTTGTACTGAAGGAAGAAAGCAAAAGGCGCAAAGAGTTGGAGATAAAAGCACAGGAACCTTTCTTAAAGTGGAAGTTGTCTTCTCATATCTTCCCCATCCCTCATTCCCTTTTCCTACTTTAGAAGTATTTCTATACCTTGTGCCTACAGATACATATATTTTTATTTACTTACTATATTTTGGAAAATGGCTCATATCATTTTTCCCCAGAAGTCAAAATGTGGGAACCAGGGACCACCCACCTCTTGTACCCAGTTCAAACTCTTTCTGGGTCACTGTTTTATGTGTAATTCATGCCAAAAAGTTACACTGAAGGATATGGATGGACCAAAGCTGCATGGGTTTCTTACAACAGGCCTGGGTAGAGAGGCTTGGTGCAAGAAACCCACCTTGATTACAAGAGCCAGAATGGAGAACTGAAAAAGAAAAGAATGTCTACCCAGTGTCACAGGATTACTTTTGTGGGTGCCAAAACATATCTCAAAGTAGCCCTTTAGTCACCTAATAAAAGATGGGAAATGTTTAGTCCATGTGTACTACTGGAATCCATGTATTTTAATATGACACCTTTGATATATTTGGAGGGAGGGTAGGAAAGATGTTCTCTGTTTTATTTCTTCTGAACCTTTTTAAAAGTTTCTGAACTGCTTAAATGAACCTACCTGTAGACTTAAATGTGTTAGGAAGCTGATTTAGCTGCACTGAGCTCTTCCTTTCCCTTACTTCCTTCTCAGGTTGTAGAATACAAGCTCAGCACTTTCCTGGCTTCCCTCTATTGCTCTGGGAAAGATAGTAAGTAAATAGTGTCTGTTGCCAAAGGGAGAAGAATAAACATAGGCTGGATCACCAAATGGTGCTGCATTTTATTTGTATGGTGTCAGAGACACTGGCTGCTTAGATGGCATCACTGAGGGAGATCCCCAGCATGAAGCAGAGAAGACAAACTTGGGAGTTTGTCAGGATACCCAGGGTCATTGCAGGTCAGAGAGACTGACTAACAATTACCAGACTCACAAGAGACGGATAAATAACAAGAGGGTCCTCTGACCAATAAGGACTTTCCTCACCTTAACAAAATCTTCATGGGAAGCCCACTTGTTATAGGAGGCTTGATTGGTGTATTAGTCTGTTCTCACCTTGCTATAAGGAAATATCCCAGACTGGGTAATTTATTAAGGAAAGAGGTTTAATTGACTCACAGTTCCTCAGGGCTGGGGAGGCCTCAGGAAACTTACAATCATGGTGGAAGGCAAAGGAAAAGCAGGCACCTTCTTCACAGGGTGACAGGACAGAGTGAGTGCAAGCAAGGGAAATGCCAGACACTTATAAAACCATCAAATCTCATGAGATTCACTCATTATCATGAGAATAGCATGGGGGAAACTGCCCCCATGATCCAATCACCTCCCACCTGGTCCTGCCCTTGGCACAGGGGGATTATGGAGATTATAATTCAAGAAGAGATTTTGGGTGGGGACACAGCCAAGCCATATCAATTGGTAAGTACCATGTGAAAGCAAGTTAATGGCCCATGTCATAGAACTAAAACCATTTGTTTTAGTTCTGTGTTGCTTGTAGGGAATTTTCTAGTCAGTTAGCACAAGAGGTTTAGTGGTTCAGCCAAGTTTCACATACTAGGTCCCTTCATTTCCAGAGATTGGGAGTGTCTAAAGGACTAATTTTGTAATGTCAGATAATGTAAGAGAATAGCCCCTGGTGACAGGTGATTGAAATAGATAATTTCTGAGTCCTTTCATTATTTCCTATCTGTTTCTTAATTCGTGAAATAAAAGTTAAGGGTTATCTAAGGAAGAACACTAAGTTATGACTAGTACTTTCATTTGTTCAATAAATACATATCTGGTGTTCATTATGTCATTTAACTTTAAATTTTTTTTTTTTTTTTTTCTTGAGACAGGGTCTCACTCTATCACCCAGGCTAGAGCACAGTGGTGTGATCTGGGCTCACTGCAACCTCTGCCTCCTGGGTTCAAGTGATTCTCCCACCTCAGCCTCATGAGTAGCTGGTACTACAGACGTGAGCCGCCACACCTGGCTAATTTTTTTTTTTTTTTTTTTTTTTTGAGAAGGAGTCTCGCTCTGTTGCCCAGGCTGGAGTGCAGTGGTGTGATCTCAGCTCACTGCAAGCTCCGCCTCCTGGGTTCATGCCATTCTCCTGTCTCAGCCTCCCAAGTAGCTGGGACTACAGGCGCCCGCCACCATGCCCGGCTAATTTTTTGTATTTTTAGTAGAGACAGGGTTTCACCGTGTTAGCCAGGATGGTCTCGATCTCCTAACCTCATGATCTGCCCGCCTCGGCCTCCCAAAGTGCTGGGATTACAGGCGTGAGCCACCACGCCCAGCCTAATTTTTGTATTTTTAGTAGAGACTAGGTTTCGCCATGTTGGCCAGGCTGGTCTCAAACTCCTGACCTCATGTGATCCACCCACCTTGGCCTCTTAAAGTTGGGATTACAGGTGTGATCCACTGTACCCGCCTTAACTTTAAATTCAGATACTTTTAATTCTTTGGTTATGGTTTGTTGGTTGCTACCACTGTGGGTCACTGTCTTATCCTTCCCAGTAGGGATAGATGTGGCTGCTCTTCTGATTTTCACCTCCTCTTACTAATTTACCCTGTGGTGGGAAACACATCAACTGATAGTGTTATTTCATGTTAAGTAAAGGCAAATAGCCACCTTCCTCATTTGACTGAAACTCAATGTGTCACATTCTACCTCTTTTCTTAGTCCTTAAGGATTTCTGTCATCTGTTAGTCTGCAGGCTCTTAAGGTCAGGCTCTGTCTTCCCTTCATCTTTGAAGCTTCTACTCTTGTGCTTCCCTCTTGATGTAGGCCCTGAATCACTGTTTTGTTGACTAGGAGAGCACATGAACTGTTTGTGCAACCTCTCAAGCTCCGTTTGAAATGGAAGATGATCATACATCTTGTGGCACCCCTTTTTCCCAGATCCCAAGCTTCCGGGCACCCTTTCTTTCTTCACCTCCACAGATGCTGCCTTCACCCACCCTTTGATGAACCATCTTGATCAACTGCCAAGAATGTCAAGGGCATTTCTAACGCCAGGGCAACAGCTATGAGCACTTATGAGACCACATCAGGTTTGACTCCTGAACGAAGGATGTCCTTATCCATGGTCTCTTTTTCCTGGCAGGCATCTTGCTGTTATTTTGGAAATTTTCTCTGGGCCGTAGAGGTTTGAACCAGTCATGTCTAGGAGCGTTTGTTTTCTCAGGAAAAGCAACCCTGTTAAAGCCATTGTTTTAAAAAGTCACTTGGAGCATTAAAAACCTTTGACCATCCATTCATAGTGCTAAAATTTAGGAGTGGGGCTTCAGGCAAGCAATATTGAATTAAATGTGTGGAGCACTTTAAGACAGCATTTGATTGTACATTTAAAATAGGGAATGCAAATTGAAATTCCTCCTGGGTGCTTTAAATCATGCATTATATGTGCAGTATTTTCAATTAGCTGCAGAAAAAAATATGTTCGGTGTGGCTGTATTTTTACAGCTGGGAATTGCTCAGAGAACACAATTGACTATTTCATCCATGTGAGATTTATTTAAATGACTCGTGGGGCATTTGCAGTTTAGCCAATAATTGAAAATATTGTTGCAATGTGGCAGGTAAAACTAGGAAATCATTTCGCATTCCTGCAGAGGTGTTCCAAGCTCAGCAGCATATTATATTAGTTGAAGAGGGGCAAACGGAGTGAGATCAGTGTTGAGTCCTAGTCTTTCACATTTCATTCCTGGGTTTTGCCCCACCATGGAAATATATGGGATGGTGCTTTCCAGAAGGACCTGAAACGCTAAGGTGTTATCTTGTTTCTATTCTGTTTTTATATGCCAAACACAAATGAATGGTCAGACCAGATATGGAAAGACCCATCTATCCCCCAACTCTCTTCTGACTCCTATACCTTTCTTTCTATTCTTCGTACCATTTCACTTCAGACGTCACCTGGAATACTGATGCAGGAGGCTAAGCTGAGTCTCTCAGGGTAGACAGTTCAACCTTTCCATGGTTGTTCATAAATATTACTAGGGATTTGGAATGCATGTTCCCACTAAAATGATGTAAATGTGGTTAAGTGATACCATATTAAAATGCATCATTACTTGTGTGATTCAGACAAAGTATGGGTTAACTAGGCATTTTGAAGGCAGAATTAAAATACTAACCACCACCACTTTCTCTGTAATAGTGGTTGCCAACCAGGGGTGATCCTTCCTCTCTCCTTCAGGGACATTTGTCAGTGTCTCCAGACATTTGGTTGGTCCATCTGGGTGGGGTGCTATTAGCATCTCTTGAGTAAAGGCCAGGAATACTGCTAAACATTCTGCAATACACAGGATAGCCCCCTACAATGAATAATTATCCAGACCCACATGGCAAGAGTGACAAGGTTGTGAAACTTTGCTCTAGAAATGTGTACATTCTTTTTTTTTTTTTAAAAAAAAAAAAAAAGACTTCCTCAAATGCTTTAGACCATACCTGCTTATAAGATGGTGGCCACTGTAATTGACCTTAATACATGATGGTAATCAACAGATCATTGAAAGCTTTGCTTTTTCATCAATGCCTCCATTATATATTGAGCACTTCAGTGTCCATGTGCCATGCTGGAGGCTGGGGTGCCATGCTGGAGGCTGGGGTGCCATGGTGAACAGGATGAACAAGGTCCCCAGTGGGCTCACAGGCACAAAGACAAGGGAAGATGACAGTGATCCAGTTAGAGGGAACATAGGCATGAAGGCCTGAGGCTAGGAAGAACCAACCACGTTCTGTAAACTGCAAGGAGGACAGGGCACTGTAGTCTCCACCTTATTGGTGGCCTAAGTTACCTGCAGTCTGAAAATTGGTACATGCAGTACAGTAAGATGTTTTGAGAGAGACATCACATTCCAATAACTTTTATTACAGTATATTATCCATATGTATAATATATAAAAAACAATATATTTTTATTATTGTACTATTGTTATTGTTCATCTCTTACTATGCCTAATTTATAAATTCAACTTTATCATAGGTACTTATGAACAGGAAAAAAACATAGTGTATATAGGGTTCCAAATTTTCCATGGTTTCAGGCATCCACTGAGGGTCTTAGAACGTATTTCCTGCAGTTGAGGGGGCCTCCTGTCTGTGGAAAAGGAAGCCAAATCCAGACCAGACAGGCCGACTCAGAGCCTATGGAGAGAGGGTGCTGAATTTTCTTGCAAGAGCATGGAGAAGTCATCATAGGGATTGACTCAGATTTTAGAGTCACTGGGGCAGTGCAGGCAGAGAGATGGGTCTAGGAGACCAGTGTCCTCCTCCGGAGATGTTGGTGGCTTGGGCTGGGGATAGAGGAGCTTGAGAGGGGTGGATCATTCAAACAATGGAGAGCTTTTCCTTGTTGATGGTTCTGTGGGATAAAGGAAATGATGAAGGACAGTTTCCAGACTTTGGCTTAGGTTCTTGGATGAACAGTTGGTGGTGTCACTTAGAAAGATATAGAACCTGGGAGAACAGCAGGGTTGGGGTGAGGAGTACTTTTTCTTCTCATCCTGGTTTTCTATGATAAAGGGACTTCTATATATCTTTCTACCCCTTTTATTATTTTATTATTATTTTTTTTTTTTGAGAAGTACTGTGTTTTAGAGTCTGCTTGCAAAAATGGAGGGTTTTTCTCCTGGATTACCTCATCTTCCAGTTACCATTGTTACAGGCTTTCCAGTGGAGCTCAGATTTATTTCTAAACGATCTCTTTGAGCAATGATCAAGCATTTTCTATATGAGGTATTTCATCCATCTAAACAAAACTGTGATGAGAGTTGGCCTAAACTCTAGACTTCTATCATGGAATGTGTTGACCACTGAGGCAGGGCTGGTCTGGCTTTAACACACTAAAACTTCTTAAAGAATTATGTTAGTATAATCCCACCCTATTTCAGTTTCAGGCTGGTAGGAAAACACTTCCTTATTCATGAGGTTGGCAGCCTTGGAAAGAACACAAGGAAAATCGCCAGAGCCTGACGCCCATTTCCTCAGTCGCCAGTGACCATCAATCATTTCCTAAGCCCATCATCAGGGCTGTCGATGGAGTCACAGGGCTGAGCTGCTTCCCCTGGGGAGGGCAAGGCCTCTCAAGTCACCTTCCCTGAGGACCTGTGACCAGATGTGAAAGTCTGATAAAGTCACATACTAGAGACCCTTGACTCCCTCTAATAACAAAGAAATAAAGGAAATTGAAAAAAGACCACAAGTCTTAAAGGCAGCTTTAAACATGTGTTTTGATTTTTAGAAATTATAATATTTGAACATTTTGCCCTTGAGGAAATGTTAAGCTGGACTGTAGTATAGGCCTTCAAAGCCTGAAGAGAGGACCCCAGGCCTTCGTGATGATGGTGGTAAATGGGGTAACAGCAGAGGCCAGCTTCGAGTGGGGCCTCAAGAACTGTCCTAAGAACCTGAGACATAGTACTTTTTAAAATCCTTATAACAACTCTTAAAGTAAGAACTACTATTACACCGATTTTCAGATGGAGGAGCTGAGGCACACTGAAGGCTAGCACTTGTCAAAAGTCATACAGATAATTGGCAGTGGAGGTGACATTTGAACTTGGGTGGTTTGTCTTAGGAACCTGCAGGGGCCATGTATAGTGTCCTAAATCCTTTTGTTAATTTCTTATAGAATAAGAATTAATACTGTTATAAGTCAAATAATTATGAGAATGTACAATTATGCAAGCACCCTAAAACTGTAGCTATTCTTTTTGAAAGGACCAAAAATATTACATTTTTGTGTGATTGTACATTTGCAGTACAGGGAAAAAGTAAGAAATAAAAAGATCTGTCTTAAGGTACATTGGCATTTGTTTGCTGACTAAAATTTTACAGTAGGGTTTTTTTGTTGTTATTTTGAGATAGTTATATAGATTCACATGCAGTCGTAAAAAAAAAAAAGTAGTAATTCAGAGAGCTCTCGTGTACCCTTTACCTGGTTTCCTGCAAAGGCATTATCTTGCATAACTGTAGTACAGTACCACAACCAGGAAACTGACATCACACAATCCACCCACCCTATTCAGATTTCACCAGGTTTACAGGTACTCACTGGGGTGTGTGCATTTACTTCTATGCAGTTTTATCACATGTATGGACTTGTGTGGGCACCACCACAGGCAAGATACAGGACATTTCCACCACAGGGACCCCTCATGCCTCCCTTTTATCGTCACACACATCCCTTTCCCTCTCTTGTTCTCTAACTTCTGGTGACTACTGATCTATTCTCCATCTCTGCACCTTTGTCATTTCAACAATGTTATATACATGGAATTACACACTATGCATCTTTTTGAAATAGGCTTTTCCATTCAGCATAGTTCTTTGAAATCCAACCAAGTTGTTTTGTGTGTCAGTAGTTTATTTCTCTTTATTACTGAGTAGTAGTCTGTGGTGTGGATGTACCACAGTTTAGCCATTCACCTACTGAAGAACATCTGGGATGTTTCCACTTTGGGACTATTAAAAAATAAAGTTGCTGTGAACATTGGTATACAGGTTTTTATGTGAAATGATTTTCATTTCTCTCTAATAAATGTCCAGCATTGCTGGATTATACAGTTAAGTGCATGTTTAGTTTTGTAAGAAACGGCCAAACTTACATTAAAAAAAAATAAATAATAAACAGAAACTACCAAACTATTTTTTTTTTTTTTTTGAGACGGACTTTCGCTCTTGTCGCCCAGGCTGGAGTGCAATAGCACAACCTCGGCTCACTGCAACCTCCATCTCCCGGGTTCAAGCGATTCTCCTGCTTCAGCCTCCCGAGTAGCTGGGATTATAGGCACCTGCCGCGACGACTGACTAATTTTTATATTTTTAGTAGAGACAGGGTTTCACCATGTTAGTGAGGCTGGTCTTGAACTCATGACCTCGGGCTCAGGTGATCCGCCTGTCTCGGCCTCCCAAAGTGCTGGGATTACAGGCGTGAGCCACTGCACCTGACCTACCAAACTGTTTTCTAGAGCGGCTGTGCCATTTTATATTCCCACCAGCAATGTGTGAGTGATCCAGTTTCTCTGCATCCTCACCAGCAATTGGTGTTGTCACTAGTATTAGCCATTCATCTGGACATATAGTGACATCTCATTGTGGTTTTAAAAATTTGGATTTCCCCAGTGGCTAATGATGTTGAACATCTTTTAATGGACGTATTTACCATTTATACATCCTCTTTAATGGAATATCTATCCATGTCTTTTATTTCCTAATCCGATTTTTTTTTACAGTTGGGGTTTAAGAGTTTTCTGTGTAGTCTAGATACTAGTCCCTTGACAGATACGTGATTGGAGAATATTTTCTCCTAGTCTCTTCATCATCTTTGCAGGATCTTTTGCAGAGTAAAACTTTTCATTTTGATGAGGTCCAATTGATCAGTTTTTCAGTTTATCAGTTTTTCGTTTTATGAAACTCAGGCTTTTAATGTCAACTTAGGGTTTTGATTCCTGCCTGTTGTCATGCGCAGTGCCGGGTGGTGAGAAAGAGAGCCATGGAACAAGATAGACACTGGAGTGTGAATGATTCTTCCAGTTTCTGTCCGGTTGGGTTCTGCAGTATGTCTTGATGAGCTGCCTATTTGTTGGAGTCATGGACACAGAGTTGCCCTTGTCTTGCAAAGGCTGTAAGGTGATGATGGTATGAAAGGAAAAATATTTCCAGAATAATCCATGGTACCTCCCAACACAAGGTTTGTTTGCACTTGAGAGCTTCTGTCTGGAATACTCTTCCTTGCTTCCATCTCTCCGCCCCTTTGTCCAGTCACTTCCAGTCCATCCTCCAATGTCTGCCCATGTGGCCCTTCCCAGGAGCACTTCCCTGGCCACTGCCTCTCACCCTGGCCCAGGTGTGCCTCTGCTTCCATTCTTACACACTCTCCTCGATGTCAGAGCATTTGTAAAGTAAATACGTGAAAATGAAAGTAAATATCAAGTAATAAGACGATTTGATTAAGGTCTGTTTCCCCTCTAGACCAGGCTTCCCCAACCTTGGCACTACTGACATTTCGCTGGATAATTCTTTGTTGCAGGCGGCTGTCTTGTGCATTGTGGGTGCTGCTCAGCAGCACCCCTGGCCTCCCCCCACCTAGCAGATGCCACGGCACCACCCTCCCTGGCCCCCACCTACCAGATGCCATGGCACCACCCTCCCTGGCCCCCACCTAGTGGTGAAAACCAAAAAAAATGTCTTCAGATAGTGCCAAATGCTCCCTGAGCGACAGAGTCACCCAGGTGGAGAACCATGCCTTGAGACTCTGAGAGGTGGGAGGGCAGGTACCAAGCCCCTTTTCATGCCTATTCTCTCTCTAGCATCCCAGCGCCAGGCCTGGCACTGTGGTGCTTCATTAATATTTGTAGGATAAATTAAGGGATAAACCAACTTAATAGGGGACACTTGTTTACACGGCAGCCTTGGAAATGCTACCCTGACTTCAAAGGAACAAAGTGGGTTTTGTTGGGCACTTGAGACCCAGGAGAATCTAGAGTCTTCTGTATTCAGGTGGATATGGGTTTCCTTATGCAGTACCCAAGACAGCCCCCACACTGAAGAGTTATGTCAGTAGTGCCGAGATAAAGAAAGCCTGCTCTAGGGCACAAGAGAACACACATTCCCACTCTCGCCCCAGGCGCCACACAATGATCCCTCTGACTTTCCCTCTGACTTTCCTTAGTTTAGAATCAGAGTCTCCGTCTGAAGTCCTAGACTGTTTCTCATCAATGCAATGACTGCATTGATACCAATTTACCTAGTGGTTCTCCCTGGAATTTTTCTTTTTTTCTTTTTCTTTTTTTTTGAGACAGTGTCTTGATTGTTGCTCAGGCTGGAGTGCAGTGGCATGATCTTGGCTCACTTCAACCTCTGCCTCCTCGGTTCTAGTGATTCCCCTGCCTCAGCCTCTTGAGCAGCTGGGATAACAGGTGTGCGCCACCATGCCTGGCTAATTTTTGTATTTTTAGTAGAGATGGGGTTTCACTGTGTTAGCCAGGATGGTCTCGATCTCCTGACCTCAAGTGACCTACCCACCTTGGCTTCCCAAAGGGCTAGGATTACAGGCATGAGCCACCTCGCATGGCCACTCCCTGGAATTTTCAAGCCAAGGCTTCTCTATTTGGGAGAGGAAGGAATGAGGCCAGTTACTTTTGTGTATCCTAGAAGGGAAAGGATGTGGTACTGGTAATTGAAGCTTTGGCCTGCCAGCCCACCTTATCCAATTTGTCAGCCCAGGTTCATCTACATCCTGTTGAGAAGTTTGGCAGCTGGAGGTGGACATGCACACACTACACTGAACCTCCTGCAACAAGCACTGCGGAAGGTGTGAACCCCAGGCTGAGTGACTGGGCAGCTGTTCCTCTGCAGGAATAGAGGAGCCCCAGCCTCCTGACACGGTGCACCTCCTGAAACCCACAAAGCAGCAGTAGGGAACCGTGGATGACATTACCAGTCCTCCCCACCTACCGCCTGGTCACTCCTTACAGGCTGCCTTTTTCTTCCTAAGCCAAAGCCAGCTCTATCATTCAGGTTCAGGAAACAGAACAGCCAGCCACTGAGAGAAAAACCTAAAACATTCATATATAATCTAAATTATTCTTACAACCACTGTTCTTACTCCCTGGGAGCTTTCTAAACCAATTTTATCCAGTTACCTGCTTAGCTAAGCAAAACGGAGCCCAAACCCCTGCTTCCCTCCTCTTCCTCGTGAAAAGGGAGCAGGACCCAGCTAGAGGGAAAGTGCAAGTGAACACTGCATTAGGTCTCCAAACCGCCCTGTGCAAGTCACCCCAGAAAGGCCACCTGAAGGAGGGCCTGTCCTGTCTGCTGGGAGGCCCTCTTTTTCTCACAAGGAGAGTCCATGCCTTATGGATAAACAGAGATGCCTTTTCTAGGCTGTGAGAGCACCACTTTGGCAGTGTTCATGGAGGATATGGGGTTTTATCAGGCAGGAACTCAGCAGCTCCCACGTTCCTATTTCAGTGAGCCGGGGAGAAAGGCAAGGAAACCCAACATATATTGAGTTACTACTATATACCAGGTACTATGCTAAACACAGAGAATAAAAAAATTAAGTCATAATCCCCACCATTAAATATCTAATATGTAGATTTGGCCACATACATAGGTCAAATCATGTTCACCAAAATAACACCACCATTTACTGAAAAAACTCAACATGAAATGGTCTGTGGGTTGTAATGGGGTGTAACATTCATCTTAGTGTATATAAAAAGATTCCACTTTATTATTTCTCAACTCTTTCTCCTTTTCCAGTAAATACCATTTTTATTAAAGTTTTATGATCCTTTGGTTTAGCCACTGTTGTGCTCCATAACCTTCTCTGCTCCCCTTTAGAACACATTTCAGCTATTCCAGAGTCTCAGTTCCTGATAAAAGGAAAAGGGATGCTTGTTATAAGTGGTGATTTCATTACAGAAATTTTGAAGGCTACATAACGGTATACAGAATAATAAATATTCATATTCCCACCATCAGAAATAACTATATAGATATTTTAATATCTGTCCTGTTAGTCTTTTTTTGTGCCTGTGTATAATTTTTTTTTTTTTTTTGGGATGGAGTCTCGCTCTGTCGCCCAGACTGGAGTGCAGTGGTGGGATCTCGGCTCACTGCAAGCTCTGCCTCCTGGGTTCACGCCATTCTCCTGCCTCAGCCTCCCAAGTAGCTGGCACTACAAGCACCCGCCACCACACCTGGCTAATTTGTGCCTGTGTATAATTTTTACATAGTTAATTATACCATACTTTTTTCCAGTTAAGATATATCCAGAATGTATTACCATGTCTTTAAGTTTTCTTCAGAGATAGGTTCTTAACAGCCAAAGGATATTGTGTTGGATGGATGTCATTAACTGTTCCTTATTGTTGGACATTTTAGGTTATGTTCTCCCAGAAGCAATCCCTGAGCCAAGCATAAAGTGCAAGTGATTCATTAGGAAGTGCTCCCAGTTGAAATAGTAAGGGAAGGGGAGAAGTGGGAATTAGAAAGGGAAGAAACCAAGCAAGAAATACCAGGTGAAGTCCCACACTCAGAGCTCATGGGGAGCTCTGGAGAGTCAGTTAACAAGCAGACCAGTAGTCAATGGCTGTTAGTCCTCAGGGAGGGAGTGGTGTTTGTGAACTCTCAACCACTTAGGGCCAACCAAGAAAGTGGCCTTCAACTCCCACTAGTAATTGACCGAGGTAACAGGTATAAACCATTAGCAACAAAGCAGATAAAAACTAGGAGATAAGTGCACAAAGCTGGTAAAAGGTCACCCACAGTGTCCCCTCCATTGGAGATTTAATTTGCAATTATAATTGCTATTGCAATTATTTATTGCAGAGAATATTGCAATACTTTTGCTACTGAAAATAATAGTAAACATTTTTGGACCTGAATCTTTTTTATTATCACATTAGGATTGATTGATAGAAGGGGTATTACTGTTCCAATAGATAGATACATTATTAAGATTATTTATGCGTACTAGGGATTGCCTTTAAAAAAGATTTTTAAAAAATCAATTTACATTTCTAACACTTGACACTCATTTTTTAATTGGCAAGAATCCAGAGAGTGTTAGTTTCTCGTCTCTGAATTGGAGGCCCATAGGCATATCAGGGTTATTCTAAAGGATCAGAGAAATCATGTTCATGGCCCAGTTTTGATTATAGATTGATAAATAATATCTCAAAATATGATTTCTTAAAATGTATCTAGGTACTGATAAAAAGAATTTGGATTTTATTGACATGTTTAAGAATTCATGGTTGTATTTTATGTATTTTTACCAATACTAAAAACATGGTCATGAACTATGTGTAATATTTTTTATGTCTAAAAAAGGTACTTCCATGTCTCTTGCTGAAGAGAGAAATTAAAAAGGTACTTCCTTGTTTTTAAAGATTGAGAACCATTGGTCAATGTCACTATAATGTCTTGGGTCACCTCTTGGTTGCTGGATTAGGAAATCAGCCATTTGGACCATTACGTCTTAAAGACATATCAAAAAGAAAAGTCTATAGGACTTGATACATAGGTAAACCAGATTTAATGATCTGAGTCAGCAGACCGAAAAACATATCTCAGCACTATTAAAGGTTTTCTGGGACATACTCACCCCTCCCCCTCCATTCCCACAGTAATGGACCCCTCAGTTCTCTTACAGAGACGGCAAAACGCACCAGCATTGTCTTAATTTATTTCTGAGTCTTAAATAGTCTAAGGAAGTTATAAAGATACAGACAAGGCTTTATCAAGGTAGCAGTGTTTGACTGTTTTCTTAGCTTGATCCTTGAGACTTTCTAAATGGTTGCTGAAATACAAATCAGAGTATTTCAGGTCTTGAGCATTGAAGAGGACCAGAAGAAGAGAGCCAGCATTTACTGAACACTTGCTCTGAGCCAGGTATTAGGCTGGTTACTATGTCTTTCAGTTTGCACCTATTGAATTTCCATGGCCACCCTTGAGATATGATTTCTAATATGGCAGAGGACAAAGCTAAGACGGATGAAGATTGTGACTTGCCTTGGATCTCTTGGTTAATGGGTAGTAGGATTGGAATTTGAACTTTAGGTGAATTTTCCCGGAAACTTAGAGGAAAATAGAATGAATATCCTGTAATCTTGAATTTTAAAAGACAGACTGCTAACAAAGCTCTAATCCCCTCCTTCCCCCTAGCCTTTTCCCATCAACCCAAAGAGATTTCAGAATGGATAATATATGGATAAAAGGCACTTGATGTCAGAGTGTACTTTATAATAAAATATGTGTCTTTTCATTGAAGGGACCATTTGGATGTTGCTGCCATACTTTTCAGCGGCTGAAAAGGTATTTCCTAAACATTTTTAGGTTCCTTTTTGGCCAAATTAATTAGTGTCATAGAATGAGCATACACTTTGAAGGCAGACAAAAATTTAAGAAAAAATTCAGATGTCTCTAAGTCTTTCTCCACTAACCTGAAAAACACATTTTAAAACTACCAAGCTGCTGTCCCCTTGATAAGTTGGCATTTCCTGTTTGTTCTCTAAATTTTAAAGATGCTGAGTCATTTTGCTAGTACTTAGTACACTTCCCAAGGATAACCAAGATGTACTTTAGTTTGCTTGTTCACCTGATTTGGTATCATAAGAAAATGTGGTAGATGTTTGGAAAATGAATACAGGTCTTGGTGGACATTATTTCAGTAATGCTTATACAGATTTGAGAGACAGAGACCATATGTGAGGCTTAACCCCGATTACTTGTACATTAACAATTACTGTCATCTTACAGAGACAGCCTTAATCTCCATGGCTCACCTCCTGAAGAGTTTCTAGAATGCCTCTTGCCAAACACCGTTGAGTGTTGGCAAAGTACTGATGAGAAATGTTTGGTCTGAATGCTGGACAGCACGATTTTACTTAAGGCCATTCAGAAGTCTCAGTTTGGCAGCCACAAACCTTGCCTGTACATTTGTTTTGTTGTTGTTTTTTTTTTGAGACAGAGTCTCACTCTGTCACCTGGGCTGGAGTGCAGTAGCACAATCTCGGCTCACTGCAGCCTCCACCTCCTGGGTTCAAGCGATTCCCACACCTCAGCCTCTGGAGTAGCTGGGATTATAGGCATGTGCTACCACACCCAGCTGATTTTTGTATTTCTAATAGAGACAGGGTTAAGCCATGTTGGCCAGGCTGGTTTCGAACTCCTGGCCTCAAGCACTCTGCCCACCTCGGCCTTCCAAAGTGCTGGGGTTACGGGCTTGAGCCACCGTGCCCGGCCTGTACATTTATTTCTTTGGGAAGCCCTGGCAGGAAAAGCTGTTGAGAGATGTCATGATTCGGACAAAACATACCTGCTGTTTTTCTCTACCTGCTGTAGCCCCTGTAGATTAATAAGGGGCCTTAGGTTCCAAGAACCAGGATCCTAGCAACACAGAGACTAGAAGGATGGCGAGACTTTCCCAGTGCCTGAGAAGGTGTCAGCTTTCACTGAGGGGCGGGGAGGGGAGAGGCTGAGATAAATCCGGGGACTCACCTTGCCGTGCTGTGTGTCGGTTGTTTGTCGCTGGCATCTGCACTGTTAGGATTCCATTTTTAGGCTGGGCTTGATTCAGGAGGCTCGCTGCTGTCACACGAGGGCAATCCACTTTGATTCTCCCAGCCCAGCTTTTAATGCCCAGCAGACTCCTTTATCTTGTCATCATCCAGCGAGCCTCCCTCGGTCTAGATGGCCATGGGAGGCAAACCCGTTCAGTGTCAGCAGCTGGTCTTTCATAATTTGATTTTCCAGTGATGTTTGAGCCATCGGTGTGAAACAGTCACCAGTCTGGCTCTCATAATTTGAATTTCAGTATTTGGATATATTCCAGAGAGTGGTGTAAATGGACTTTGGATTTTCCTTATCACTGTTGCTCAGCATTTCCACAGTTTAAAACATTTAGGGTTTATTAGATAAGGGTGCTCAGTGCTACTGTTTCTCACTAAAAGGAACCAGAGCTCCCTGGAGAAGTGGCTGATTCCATCTGGAACAGAAGATGTATAAAATGAGCCTAAACATCTAGTCAAACCGGAAAGCAAGGAGGCTAACAAGACTGTAGGGTTGTATCAGAAGGTTTAAGAACGAGTGTGAAGAGGCTCATTTTGAGCACCAATAAGAATAAATTTGCAGTGGATCGAGACCCTTAAAGTATGTTGAAAAACACGAGTTTATAGTGATACAGAAAATAGAACCCTCTGGTCAATCAACCTATTTTGAATTATTTTGAAAACTGTTGGATATGGGAAATGAATGAAGAATTTGTCCTGCCCTTGTAACACAAAATAAACCTCAGGGCAACCAAGTAGTTGATTATGGAAAACTTCTTTTTATATAAATATTCTAATTAATAAGTGAGGGAGGAAAGTTAGAATTATAACAGCACCCACATTTGGTAACTCTTAATAAAACAGTGCACTTAGGCGGTCATCATAAGTAGCTTGCTAACACCACAAAAAGAGACAGTCAGCTACCGTCTACTGATTTCACCACCCTCTACGGCACCTCTACAAAATATTCTTACAAAAAGAGAAAATTGACTTGAATCTGATCAGTCCCTACAGCTGGGGTCAGCAGGCTTTTCACGTAGAGGGCCACATAATAACTGTTTTTGGCTTTGCAGGCTATACCGTCTCTCTTGCAGCCGGGCACCTCTGCTCAGCTCCCTATCATAGCACAGATGCAGCCATAAACAAAGAAAAAAGCGTGGCCAGATCTGGCCCATGGGCCGTAGCTTGCAGACCCCTGCTCTAGCTCTAACAGTTTACAGGAAGGACAGAAGACAGAGAAACTTGTTGAACAGCATGACATTAATGCAGTTAGCAAAATCTACCCTGGGGAAACTCTACAGGGCAAATAACCTGTTTTTTTCAACAGAAAAAATTCCAAGGTTAAAAATGAAGCAACTAGTGGAAGATGAAACAAACAAACAACCAAAAAAACAAAGGCAAGAGGTGTAACCAGTTGCAATGTATGGAGCTTACTTAGATCGTAATTCAAATATACTATAAAAAATGCGAACATGGACTAGATATTTGACATGTTAAGGAGTTATTTTGCGGTGTGATAATGATGTCATGGATATCTATTTTAAATCCTTAGGCTGAGTCTATATGTTGAAATTATTTTGAATGATATTATATGATGTCTGCAGTTAACTCCAAAATCATCTTTGATTTGAGTAGAAATAAACCAAGCCGTGAGTTAATAATTGTTTTTTCTGGATGTTGAGTATGGGGGGGAGTATTAAATATTTGCATATGTTTGATATTTCCCATGATATAATGTTTTTAAAAATATATGTATGTTTTATAAAACATGATCACTTTAAACCTTTTATAGAGAATGAGAGAGCATGGAGAACTTTTCCTTCATTAGACGCTTCTGTGTCCTCCCAAAATAGGTGTGCACCATCCAGCTATGAATGGACCCAGAAGAGTCTTTCCAGTGGTTTTTCCCACCAAGCTGTCTGCCTACAACTTACTTATTATGCTACATAGAGCAGACTAGTGTCATATTATTTATCATTTGTTCATGCACTATATGTAAACTTTTATTTCATAAAAAGAATTTATTAGGTAGAAAATGAGCTTCATGTTTTGTGTCTGGCTATCCTAGTTGCCACTGTTCAGTTGTTCAGCACTGGTTCCAGGCTAAGGGGTCTCGTCACAGGTGCTCACACAGCCTGGAGAGGTGATGGCAGTGGCGGCCATGGCAGGGTGTGAGGCAGCAGGGAGCAGCGGGAGCGAGGCACGCTGGAAAGTGGGTGCCCAGCCCATAAGGGGTGGCGTCTGTGCAGAACATTTGCCATGGGGGTGAGGGTCCAGTAGTACTAGAACGTCCACTCTTTTTCATTTTTCCTGAGAATAACCCTAATCTAGACTTGTGACATTTTTTGACTTTTAGTTGCTAAAAATATTTTTAGAATACTCTGTATTGCACATCAAACACTTGCTGGATTAGTCCCACGGGTCAACCTCTGATTTTGTGTCTACCAATGAATGGTAAGGCCCTAAACTGACCCTGTGGGCACCAGGAGTCTACAGTCCCTGCTTTCCGTGAGCTTCCAGTCTACTTGCGAGGAAAGAAAACATACTTGGAAAACAACTAAAATGAGACAGGCAAATAGGAAATGCTATAGGAATTCAAAGAAGAGAATAAAGAACCTCATCTTTAACAATCAGGAAAAACATCACACACACCGTGGAAGGAGTTGGGTAGAAGTGTCACTGTTGCTAGGTGGAGGCTAAGGGAGAGAAGCAGAGGCTCGGGCTTGGGTAAGCAAGCTCTTTCAACAGAAACTATGATTCTTGAAAAAGAGAAGAGTTGGTAGATTTTTGGAGACTAGTACCCCTCCCCACCAGTGGATAATTTTTCTGAACGATCAAGTGAAAACAGGTAGCAAACTGTTGAAAGTATAGCACTGCAATTCAGCAGAGAGTTTGAGGATTTGAGCTGCATATTTGAGCATCACCTGTGTAGAAGAGATGGTTGACGCCATTGGGTCTATAGAGAGTGGGTTCCTCTAATGTCTGCTATTGGCAAGCAGTCTATTTATAAATGTTAGGGTTATATTTTGAGTCTGGCATTTGCAAAACTACCATCCCATTATTTACTACGTTAAATCATGGTTAAAACTCAAAGCAGTACCCAGCTATTTCATAAACATTCCCCGTATTGGAAAGGAGAAAGGTTTGAAGTAAGAGAAACTAGAAGAACATAGGGAAGGAGATACCTGGCATTTGGAAGGATATGCCTGTGGCGATGGCTCTACTGATGGGCTTATGATCTTCCCTCCAATGATGGCCTAGAGACCTATTTTTACTGTTGTGAAACAATATTCAAGCAAATGATAATCTTCCATCTTGTTGCTATGCAGTACATTTGGGCAGCACTCTTATTTCTCTCTGATTTGAAAGTTTAAAGTGTAATTTCTCTTAAAAAGGAAAATAAACAGGAGGTTTCTATGTACTTCCCATTATGGCATCTGCTTGTTCCAGAGATCAAGCATTTCAAAGCTTGAGAACTCCAAGTTACTTCATGTAAACGATTGTCTATTTGGACATGAGTGTGTTTCATTGTTAGGAATTATGCAGGCCTAAAGTAATTTATAGATCAACACCCACTCTCCTGGCTACTGAACTTTGGAGAAAAATGAAAGCTTATTCTTAGACACGTATATAAGCCAGGTGAGTTTAGACGAGTGAGCATTTGGCCTAGGAAACCAAGGCCAAGGAGAAGTTCTGCCCAGCACATCAATCAAAAATAGCTCTGATTCCAAGTTCTGCACAGCTCTAACACTGTCCCAGTGCACTTTTATGAAACTGTACATAGACAGCTCTCAAAAACTTCCCAAGTCCAAGAAACCCAGAAAAACACCCATAACAGCTTTCTTCCGTGTCATAGGAAAACTGTTCTTTTAGCGAAAATTTATAATGAAGCAGAATTCTGCTAAATAAGATGGCTGTTTATTTGGGAGACTGTCCTTGTGACTTTAAGACATTGGAGCTGTTAGATTTCTCACTGTCACTGATCCTTTCACCCTGTTTTTACAATGTTTTATATATATATATATATATATATATATATATAATATATATAAAATATATAAAATATATTTATATATTATATAATATAATATATAATACTACATATATATAATATATATGTAGTATTTGAGTCTATCAACTTTAAGCTACCAGAGGCAAAACCAGTTTAATGTTCATGTCTTCTGAATCCAAATTCTAATATTTATTCAAATATTCACTAATCTAGGAGCATTTCTTTGGGGAGGCTTCAGGAGTACAGATTATAGTGGGCCGAATGTAGACACCAGAATAGACTATAATGCAAGAGACAACAATTGAGATGGATGAAGTTGGTCACTGCATTTGGCCATTTGTAAGAAAGATTGTACACAATGTTTTATACTTATGATGACTTTGTGCTATATTAAATTTTAAAGAGGATATTTATTGCTCAAAAGAAAGAAAAGGCAAGAGGGAGGAAGGAAGGGGAGAACACAGTTTCTAGTTTTTAGATGGAATGAATAAAGCTTCCACGGTCATGATTTGGACGCTCTCCAAAGTCCAGTAGGCTCCAGGAAACTCCAGGGATTGTCGTGGCATTAGAGCCAGTCCTAGGTGCCAAAGTCAAAATAGGCCACGCTGGCCCGTTGAGCCCAAGCGGGAGCAGCGTATGTAGGTCACTTACATGTTTTGAATTTAGACGGGCTGAGTTGATACAATTGTTTTACAATGAAGCTCTGGAGAAACACGGAACATTCTAAATCTTTAGAAAAGCGCTTGTTTCACAACATATAAGAAACTTGCAACATCAGCTGGAAGGATGGCCTCAGTGGTTCACAGTGGGGCCCTCTGTGTCGGGGGGCCAGGCAGGGAGTTCTGCGTGTGCCCACAGTCCTTGCTCGATGTGATGGTGGCTCTTCCCTCAGAGAGTGTCTTGAGCTGACCGTGAGGATCAGGATTAAACACAAGCGTTTTCTTAGCCACACTCCATAAACGCTGTTGTGATGCAGGGAAAGATTAATTAATAAAAATAGGAAGTATTTATGAGCCATCGGATTAATCTCACAAGTGTTTATTGAACATCTCCTACGCCCTAGGGTGGGAAGCACAGAAAGTGTGTAGAAAGGAAGGCAAGGAGACACCAAATACGGGGCCAGTTTTGCCTAACACTGTGGTTGTGCCCATGCTTTCCCCCAGAGCACACAGAGACATGATTTCCCCCTCCCTCCAGGTCACCTGTCTCTTAAAAGGCCCCCTTCTGTTTTATTCTCTGCAGTCACCCCTAACCTCCCACACGTAACAACAGAGTGGGACACATTGGCTCCACGGGAGACTGTGCTTAGCAGGAGCTTGGGCCTCTTGGGGAAGAACTGAATTAGCAACATCACGAATGCTGCTTTTGTTTTACCAGCTGCCACTGTTAAGTTCTTACTTAATGAAAGTATTTGCTTTTCCATAAATACATGTAAATTTCCTACCTCTTACTTGTCATAGCCAGAGAAAGCTCTGTGAGTGGTAATTAAGGAAGGAAGCTTCTTTAAAACAAATCACTGTAGTTGAGAACATCCGTGTAAGCAACACCATCCTCAAAATTGATGAATTTACCAATTGTCCTACCCTATTGTAACTTTAAAGCAGTCACTTAAGTTTATTTTAATTAATAATTCTTTAATTTTAAAAGCAGTGTGCTTATGGTAAAAGAATCAAGCGCTTGTGGTTATAAGATAATCAGAGCAACCCGAGGGATTCACTCCCTTGTTTGAAATCCTCCAGGGGTTTCTTGTAACCCTTGGAGTGAAATCCCAGTGCCTTTCCAGGCTCTACAGGACCTTACCAGATCTGAACTCTCCTTCGGCTTCACCCACCTGTCTCCCTTCTTTACGACCTTGATTTCACATCCACACTGGCCTCTAATACACCAAGTTTATTCCCACGTCAGGGCCTCGGCCCTGCTCTCCCTCTGCCCAGCGTACTGTTTACCCATCAGAGTGTGGCTGGCTCCTTCCCCCATTCAGGTCTCATCACGATGTTCCTGCCATAGAGATGGCTCCCTGATCACCCTATCTAATGACCACCCCCCGCACCCTGCCGGCCCCTCATCTGCTCGCATCCCTGTATTTTATCATTGTGCTCTTTATCCTTTTCTGAAAATGCTTTATTGCTTGCTGGCTTATTTTCTGTCTCCCTTCTAGATTGTAAGCTCAGTGCGGGTGAGAGTCTTGTCCATTCAGTTATGTCATATGCCTAACACTTAGAAAAGGGTCCGACACCCAGTGAACCCTCAGTAAATATTGGCTTAATTGGATGAAGGGCACTTATGAGAATTAAATAATGATTAGGCTGAGCATGGTGGCTCACGCCTGTAATCCCAGCATTTTGGGAGGCCGGATCACTTGAGGCCAGACATTCGAGACCAGCCTGGCAAACACAGTGAAACCTCATCTCTACTAAAAAAAAAAAAAAAAAAAAAATTGCCAGACGAGTTGGCGCACACTTGTAATCCCACATATTCAGGAAGCTGAGACGTGAGAATCACTTGAACCCGGGAGGCGGAGGTTGCAGTGAGCCGAGATTGCGCCACTGCACTCCAGCCTGGGCAGCAGAGTGAGACTGTTTCAAAATAAATAAATAAATAAAAATAAAATAACCGAGAATTAAATAATGATTAGTATAGGACCTGGCACATTGTAAGGACCCAAGAGATGGAAGTTTGCTTCCTTTCCCTCCCCACCTCCCCAGGGTGTGTTTTGAAAACTGATTTAATTACACTGTTCTGTCTTAAATATATTCACATGGCATTCAATTATGCTGAGTACAGTCAAGCATACTAGGTGAGTACAAAATGGCCTCGCAGGCCAGGTACAGTGGCTCACACCTGTAATCCCAGCACTTTGGGAGGCTGAGTCAGGCAGATCACTTGAGGTCAGGAGTTTGAGACCAGCCTGGCCAACATGGTGAAATCCCATCTCTACTAAAAATACAAAAATTAGCCGTGTATGGTGGTACACGCCTGTAATTCCAGCTACTCAGGGGGCTGAGGCAGGAGAATTGCTTGAACCCAGGAGGCGGAGGTTGCAGTGAGCTGAGATGGCACCACTTCACTCCAGCCTGGGTGAAAGAACGAGTCTCTATCTGGGGGAAAAAAAAAAAAAGTAGTAAAGTACCCATTTAAGTATAATTTAAATATTTTTTAACTTACTTTTCCAGGTCGTCCTTGGTGGAAGGAACCATGAACTGGCATCTCCCCCTCTTCCTCTTGGCCTCTGTGACGCTGCCTTCCATCTGCTCCCACTTCAATCCTCTGTCTCTCGAGGAACTAGGCTCCAACACGGGGATCCAGGTTTTCAATCAGATTGTGAAGTCGAGGCCTCATGACAACATCGTGATCTCTCCCCATGGGATTGCGTCGGTCCTGGGGATGCTTCAGCTGGGGGCGGACGGCAGGACCAAGAAGCAGCTCGCCATGGTGATGAGATACGGCGTAAATGGTGCGTGTGCACAATTGCTCACTGGCGGAGCCTTTGCCTGAGAGTCTTGTGACAGGAGGGTTTATGGCTTGGTTTTTGCTGACAACCCCAAGAAGCAGAGCAGCCAGAAGGGGATTTGCTGGTGCCACTTGGGGCTTGGGGTCAGTCTCTTCTAAAGAACAAACACTGTGGTGCTGGCAGTTAGGAGAACTAGACTCTGGTCCCTTTTTTGTACTTTTGGAGCTTGGGGTCTGCCACTAGGTCTCCTTTCCCAGGGCTCCAGCCCTCGTTCCAGCGAGGGGGACACTTCCTGGCTTACCGCCTCCATGGCGCCCAGGGTTGAGTTGCGCTGTGATCGTAGATGTGCTTGTGAAGCCTGTGAGAGGAGCTGGGAAGGGGTGGCTGTGGAGGGCCCAGGGGCCTCGTAGTGATGGAGCCATCCTGGGTCTTGATTGTGGTGGTGGCCACACAAATCTGCACAAATGATAAAGTTGCACAGACCCCCCTCCCCAAGCCCACAACAGGAGTGTATGGAAAATGAGTGAAATCTGAATGCACCCTGTGGACTGACCTGATGGAAATTTCCTGATGCAACGACGGTACCACTGGGAAGACTGGGTGAAAGGCACGTGGGACTTCCTTGCATATTGTTTTGCCACTTCCTGTAAATCTATAATTATTTCAAAATATAAAGCTAAGCAAAGACTTGGAACCAACCCGAATGTCCATCAATGATAGACTGGATAAAGAAAATATGGCACATATACACCATGGAATACTATGCAGCCATAAAAAAGAGTGAGTTCATGTCCTTGCAGGGACATGGATGAAGCTGGAAACCATCATTCTCAGCAAACGCAGGAACAGAAAACCAAACACGGCATGTTCTCACTCAAAAGTGGGAGTTGAACAATGAGAACACATGGACACAGGGAGGGGAACATCACACACTGGGGCCTGTCGAGGGGTGGAAGGCAAGGGGAGGGAAAGCATTAGGACAGATACCTAATGCATGTGGGGCTTAAAACCTAGATGACAGGTTGATGGGTGCAGCAAACCACCACGACACATGTGTACCTATGTAATAAACCTACACGTTCTGCACATGTATCCCAGAGCTTAAAGAAAAGATACAGATAGATAGATAGATACGTAGAGAGAGAGAGCGAGCTAAAAAAATTGTTTTAAAGTAAGGCCCAATGAAAAAGATTTAGTTTGAGTTAAAGAAAAACCTTTCTTAAATGACCCATTTAACTGCACGAGCTTCATCCTCTGGCACTGTTTTACTTCAGCTGAGGGGTCTTGCCCAGAGCCATGTCCCACCTGCTGTCTCCATAAATGCAGTGCTCAGGGGAGCAGGACTGGCTCCCCCCCTCTTCCTGGCCACCAGCACCCTCTGTGACCTTGCAAAAGTCACATTCACATCTAGGTCTGCTCCCTTCGTTGGAAACAAGGGAGTCTTCCTGCCCGTGTTCTTCCACCCAGGCTGGCCCGAAAGTTCTGAGAATCTTGACTGCACTGGCGTCGTCAGCTGGAGAGTAAGATCAGTGAGGTGGCGATTTGTGTCCTTCAGTGCCTCGCTCTGCACCCGCCTCCGACTCTGCTCAGCGTGGCCTCCAGGGCTGCCAGCACCAAATGCCTAATCTCACTGCTCTGTTGATGCAGCATTACACTTCTGTACGAGTTTGCAGTTTGTTCACCTGTTGGAAGCATGGAAGGACTAAATACTTGGAACACACTCTTCTGCCCCTTGCTTGGAAGTTCAGAAAACTCCTGGTGATTTATAACTTCATGGTGGATCACTGCTAAAATTTATGACCTTTCCTAGTGTGATCCAGGCTGTGTCGGCCGAGACAGTTCCAAAATAGCAACTGGACTTTTGTTGTTTGTTTTAATGCTGAGCCACACTGATTTTAAGCCATTATTTCTGAAGTTCTAAGAATATTGGCCCGTTGGCCATCCACCACTGCCTCACCCCTACCCCAAAAGGGCCAGGAGCTGGCAGTTGGCCTTGGAATTGTCTTTCAGCCTCCAAAGCCGGCCGTTTTCTTACTTGTAGAATGGGCCTGCACCATAGAACAATTGTAAGGTGTGGTCATGGGCATCTAAGAGAGGGCCATGCACGTTGTAAAGCCCTACACACGCCCCTGTTTGTGGGCCCTGAGAAGACTGCCCCCCTCCCCCGTGTAAAAGGCCTGAAGAGGACGCACATTCAGAGTGACAAATCGGCTCTTTAGAGGACCATCAAGGTGACTCTGGCAGGATGTTTTAGGACAGTGCCATTTTGAAGAGACCCCAAGCGATGAAGAAGGATCTGTAATTTGAGCTCTCTTTAGAAACACATTTCATCCTTATAACTTATTTGCCTCTTTTTCACCCTCTCAAACTAAATGGAGCATGTATGAATGGCTCATGTAAAATAAAGCTTACGTTGCCATAAAATTAATCTCCTTACTCTTTGAGCTTGTTACCAAGTAAAAACCACATTGTTCTGGATGGTGGCCCATGGTAATTTTTTATAGTCTTTCTAATGCTTATTTTATTCATTTTTTTTCCAAAATAGAAAAAAAGAAATTACATTGTTAAATCTTTGGCAAGAAAGGAAGTAGCACTTAATAACGTTAGACAAGAAAGAGAGAAAGCATTAGGAAGTTCCCTTTGATTTGTTCCCCCTTGGCTATAGAACTGAGGACTGTGCCAGCATTCATACTGACCTGGTGCCCAGAAAGGCTACCATGAGAATGAGGTCTGCATTGGGAAGGTGGTGAGAACACCTTGAATATTCCTGTTTTGATGCAGAAGCACAGTTGATTTTTGAGAGCTTCAGTGGTTAGACTTTAACCCCACTCCCTCCTTTTCTTAAGAAATAGGCCCCTGAGAGAACAGAAGACTTAGTTTCTTGCTACTCATAGCTATCCTGTTTATACTGTTCTGTTATTTTTATTTTTGAGACAGGGTCTTGCTTAGTCACCCAGGCTGTATGCAGGGGCCCGATCATGGCTTACTGCAGCCTCGACTTCCCAGGCTCCAGCGATCCTCCCACCTCAGCCTCCTCAAGTAGTTGGTATCACAGGCGTGCCACCACACCCAGTTAATTTTGTATTTTTGGTAGAGACAGGGTTTTGTCATATTACCCAGGTTGTTCTTAAACTCCTGAGCTCAAGCAATCCACCCACCTCAGCCTCTCAAATTGCTGGGATTACAGGTGTGAGCCACTGCACCTGGCCTATACTGTTCTTACTTGCTGCAACATAAAAGATTTTAAAAACTTTTCTAGATTCTTATGGAAGTATTGCTGTATCTTCTGATTTCTCTTTTAGGAGTTGGTAAAATATTAAAGAAGATCAACAAGGCCATCGTCTCCAAGAAGAATAAAGACATTGTGACAGTGGCTAACGCCGTGTTTGTTAAGAATGCCTCTGAAATTGAAGTGCCTTTTGTTACAAGGAACAAAGATGTGTTCCAGTGTGAGGTCCGGAATGTGAACTTTGAGGATCCAGCCTCTGCCTGTGATTCCATCAATGCATGGGTTAAAAATGAAACCAGGGGTGAGTGGCCGCAGTATGTCATTTGATTGCATAGTTTGTGAATGAAGCATGAGTTAGACTCCAGGGTTCAAAGTGGTGTCTGCAAGTCCAATTCAATGGCCTGTGGGTTGAGAAACTCCTGGACCAAGGAAGCTCTATTCAGTCTCCCTCCTTCCCCTTCAATCTGCCATTGCTCACTGTGCTCCTGGGAGGTGTTTCTCCTGTAGTTTGGGCAACAGAACAGAATCCAGCCCCTCCACTGTCTCCTCTCCTTGCCATATCTGGTCTCCAGCATCCTTGCCCACAGGCTCTTGTTGATTTTGAAGGTTTTCTTGCTCATTCCTTCCTGCTTTTGCATCTGCCTCTCCCTTTACCTGGAATGTCCTCCTCATCCTTCCAGGTTGATTGATCTCTTTGCCTTCCATGCCTCTTGCTTCTGCCATTGCCAAAGACATAGGTACCCTGTTGTCCGTTATGATTGGCACATGATTACAACTTTTACACCCCCCCGA
This sequence comes from Homo sapiens, assembly GCF_000001405.40. Lineage (NCBI taxonomy): Eukaryota > Metazoa > Chordata > Mammalia > Primates > Hominidae > Homo > Homo sapiens. The sequence continues at coordinate 223,997,623 of NC_000002.12, read as the reverse complement.
TTACAGCCCTTTCCACATCTCAAAATGATTACTCATTTGTAAGTGTCTCTTCTCCCATTAAATAAAGGAGAGTCTAACGTTGGTGTTTTAAAACTTAATTTGTAGGCCAGGTGCAGTGGCTCACACCTGTAATCCCAGCACTTTGGGAGGCCAAGGTGGGTGGATCACCTGAGGTCAGGAGTTCGAGACCAGCCTGGCCAACATGGTTTATCCCATCTCTACTAAAAATACAAAAATTAGCCAGACATGCTGGCGGGCACCTGTAATCCCAGCTACTTGGGAGGCTGAGGCAGGAGAATCGCTTGAACCTGGGAGGGGGAGATTGCAATGAGCCGAGATTGCAACCCTGCACTCCAGCCTGGGCAACAGAATGAGACTGTGTCTAAAACAACAACAACAAAAAGAAACAAAAAAACAAAAAAACCTTAATTTGTAACGTGGAGGTCCAGTTGGAAACATGCAGGAGGAGCTGTAGGTCTGGAACAACAGGAGAATGTGAAGGATGGGAGTACAGATTTGGGACCTTTTTTTTATTTTTAATTTTTTGGAGACAGGGTCTCACTCTGTCTCTTAGGCTAGAGCGCAGTGGTGCAATCATAGCTCACTGCAGCCTCAACCTCCTGGGCTCAAGTAATCCTCCCACCTCAGCCTTTCCGGTAGCTGGAACTACAGGTGTGCGCCACCATGCCTGGCTAATTTTTTTATTTTTTGAAGAGGTGGGGTCTCACTGTGTTGCCCATGCTGGTCTCGAACTCTTGGGTTCAAGCAGTCCTCTCGCCTCAGCCTCCCAGAGTGCTGGGATTATAGGCATGAGCCCCTGTGCCTGGCTATAGAGCCTTTTTTCATAGAAGGGAGAGAGTCAATAGGAAGAAGAAGCCCAAAGACAAAACCTAGGGAAACTGTCGCCTTTCAGGCTATGTTTCTTAAAAGTGTGGTTACTGGTGTCCCTGCATCAGAATTATCTGGGCTATGTGTTGAGAAGGCAGATCCCTGGAGCCCAGCCCACTGCATTGGAATCGCCGAGGGAGTGGCTGGCAACTCCCAGTCTGCCTCTGCCTCCCATCACCATTCTTACACACCCAGATGTTGGAGACCCATTAGCAGAACTAGTGAAGAGGTGGACAAAGAAGGCTCCAGGGAGGGTGGAGGAGACCCCAGGTGACTTGGGTAAATTCGTGGCGTCCCTTCTCAGTGGGGCCTGGACCATGCAGTCTGGGCGCCCTTCCTAAAACCATAAACCATCGGGAGGTCAGCACACATGAGGGTGTTCAGTGGAGTCTCCAGGTGTCTGGCATCTGTAGGCTTGTGAAGAGTGGTCAGAAGCAGACGCCCTCAGGACTGGTTCTTGGTCCTGACTCTGTGGCTGGAGGCTGTGTGACTGTGACATGTCATTTTGTCCTCTTAGCCGCTGCCTTGATCTGTAGAATGGCAATATTAAACCACATTAGTTAGACCATGTGACAGTCTTCAGAGCACCTGGAGAAAACCCCCACGTGTGCTGGGAAGAAGCATGGAGACTCCTGCAGCACTTTGCAGCCCTGTCAGCCCCAGCTCCTCCGTTTGTAACAAATATTTTTAATACTCTCTTTACTATTCTGAAATGAAATTCATACATCATATTACTCTATGCACACACACAAATTTTTAAAAATTTGAGACAGTGCCAAACTGTAATACAAAGGAAAACAAAAGAAATGTATATATGTAGTTCAATAGGTAAACCCTTGGGTACAACTACACTCAAATACGTAATAAAGTAGTCAGAGTCTCAGAATAATTGTGAATTGACAGCTACAAAAGCAGACAGAGACAGGCATGTTGTCCTGGTGACTCATAAACATGAGCTGTGTTAACTATTGCTGATGCAATTTTTTCTGAAACGGTGCAAGACTTTTGATAAATTTCTGAACAAAACAAAGCACAGGCTCTGCTTGATTTGCGTGGGACTCACATTCCTGGCAAATTCAGCATACATGAAAAGGATGCAAAAACAAAAACAAAAACAAAAACAAAAAACCCAAAACACCCTGTGTTTACACACGAAAAAGAACGAGGTTCTGGGCTCAGATAATTATAAGTAGGTGTCCTACCAATGCAGAGATCCGGTGGGGTATTGAAAAGCCACGGGAGAAGCAGCACAATTCTTCATTGGGTGGGACTGTTTTGAACATTGCAGGACAGATAGCATTTCTGGCCACTGCCCACTCAATTAAAAACATCCCTGCCAAATTCCAAACTGCCTTTACCTGGGGGTGAACTGCCCCCACTGAAAGGTACATGACCACATGGTAGAGCTCAGAAGTGACTTGGAGCTCAACTGTTTGTGTCTGGAAGGTTGCTGGGTCTGTCTCACGGAAATGATAGTTCCTTCCCTACAGAGAGTGGGAGAGCCCAACGCGCAGGCCTTTTGCAGGAGGAGACCCATCAGGGATGGGTCTGGCCTGTTGACCTCTGCAGACTCACTCATCCTTGTACTCTATGTTCCAGCCACACAGGCCTCTTCCTAGTCCCCTTACCCACCATCCTGTCTCCTGTTGGAGAACCGCACACATACACTCCTGCTGCCTTCTCTCCCTCTTCCCTGGTTAAGGCCAACTCATTTCTGTACCATACCATGAGTGGCAGGCATGAACATTAAAAGCACACATTCTGAGTTTGAATCTCGGTTCTGCCACATACTACCTGTATAACCTTGGGCAAGTTATTTAAGCTTGCTTTGCATCAGCATTCTCGTCTGTAAAATGGAGAGATGTAATAGTGATACCTATTCAAATAATTCTAACAACAATTAAGGCTGGTGTGAGGATGTGAATAATACATAGAAAGCATTTAGCAAAGGACTCTGCACTTAGTAAATGTTCAACCAGTGTGAGCTATTTTTATAGCCATTTCTGAGGTACTGTCCATCTCAGACCTCACCAACTAGGTCAGGTCACCTTCTTAGCCCTCCATAGCCTTGAGTAATTCCACTTCCAGATATTTATTTAAATTGCAGCTGTATACTTTTCCAAGTTATTTTATGTCAGCCTGCACCTCTCTCTCATTCGTAGTTTTTGAGACCAGATTTCCTTCTTGGTTTCTTATTTAAGAGAGTACCAGGCACATGGTAGGCAGGTAGGTATCCAAGGATGGATGGATGGATGGACGGACGGATGATAGATGCATGTCTGTGGCAGTTACTGATGGCAGGTTTCCATGTGCCTCTTTGCCTCTAAACTATGCATTTTCTTTTTATTTCTTCATGTCCCCTTATTATATCTTAGTCCTCCCAGGGGCAGTTGGAGGCATTATTTGTCTCTGTAAAAAGGGGCTAAGGACATTTCTACAGACAGTTATTGAGCACTGCCTGTATGCTCCATGTAGTGCTAGGAGTAAGCAAAAAGTGAATGGCAGAGTCTCATGCAGGTCTCAGTGTAGCTGAGGGAGACAGACACATTAAAATTGGCTAGAATAAAATACTGCAGGTGTCATGGTGGGGCCAGGCATTGGGCTTTACAGAAATCGGGAGCAGAGACATCTCTTAGGAGGTGGCGAGGATGATCAGAGAAGATTTAGAAGTCCAGGGGACCATTGAGCTATGTCTTAAAGGCAAGTAGGAATTGAACTGGGTAATGTTCCCAGCAGAGGCAAGAAACAACATTCACTATTAGGAAGTCAATTATGAGCTTGCTAGTGGGATGGCATAAAGTTCTAACTTCGCTCCCACAGGACAGTCTGTTTGCAGCCAGCTTTGTGTTGAGTTGAATGATGTCTGTTTATGGCTTAGATATTTTCCTTCTTTGTCCTGACTTAAGGTGGCGTTAGTGCCCCCTTGTGGAAGTAGTGAGTGGTGATGGAACTGTCTTAGCAGCACGCTGTGGGAAACTTCAGTGTTTATTTATCATGATTTATGTAAACACTTGTTTACTGTACATCAGAATCCTCTTGAGTTTCATTTAAAAGGACTTAATACTCTCACCCCTGAATTAGATATTCTTGCTTCTTCAAAAGCTGTTGGTTTTACTCTCACCATTTAAAGTAGTATAACTTGTATTTATATTATGTATTTATACACATACACACATACACACACACACACACACACACACACACATATATTTGAGCTAATAATGCAGTGAACTAAGTTTTAATAGCTTTGGGCATTACTGATCCCTATTTAAAAACACACATACATACAGACACACACACAACTGAACCTTCAAAGACCTCAGAATAATTGTGAAGCTAACTGTATAATAACTGTATAATAAAAGGAAGCTAACTGGAAGACCAAACCTTCAGCCACAGGTAGCATTTTGGAAGGCTCTTTCAGCCACGGGTAGCATTTTGGAAGCATCCTGAAATGAGAAGAATTGTGTTCACTCCTTCACTCCTGATACAAGTAAGACGGACCATTCCCAACGTCTTGTAAAGAGCATTTTCCTTCAAAATTAGGAGTTCTAGGACAGACCTTAATTTTTTCTGTCTTTTTAAAGATTTATTTTATCTTATTTTTTTTAGAGACAGGGTCTCATTCTGTCACCCAGGCTGGAGTGCAGTGGTGCAGTCATAGCTCAACACAGCCTCGAACTCCTGGGCTCGGGCGACCCTCCCACCTCAGCCTCCCAAGTAGCTGGGATTACAGGTGCATGCCACCATACCCAGCTGGCTAATATGTTTTTAATTTTTATTTTTTCTAGAGATGGGGTCTAGCTATGTTTCCCAGGCTGGTCTCAAACTTCTAGCCTCAAGTGATCCTTCCTCCTCGGCCTCCCAAAGTGCTGGGATTACAGACATAAGCCACTGTGCCTGGGCTTTATTTTATTTTTCATTGACCCATAATAATTGTACATATATGGGGTACAGTGGTAATGCTTTGATACATGTATACAATGTGTAATGATCAAATTAGAGTAATTAACATTTCAGTTACCTCAAACGTTTCTCATTTCTTTATGGTGGGAACATTCAAAATCCTCTCTTCTGTTGTCTCTAATATTAGCACCTTGCTTGATGCCTGACCCATAAACAAAGACACTGATTTTTTGTTTCCTTTCTTCTTTAAGCAGTTAGGAGGCCTTGTGATACCCAGAGATTCCAAAATAATGTTTGATGTTTCTAAAATCTTAAGAGAAATGAAGCATTCACCCTTAATAACATACAGGCTGAAGTGTTTATTTTTGACTGGGATTGAATTAAACCAAGTGGAGCAAAACAAAACAAAATTGTTTATCTTGTACTGACCAGAAACCCTTACTATCAGTCATTTATTGGCAAAAAAAAGAAAAGAAGAAGAAGAAATAATTCATTATCAAATGTAGCTTATTTGGATGAGTAAGATTTTTTTAAAGCCTGGACTTGCAGGGAATTGATAATAAAAGAATTTCTTGATGAAAAGTTTTGTAACCCCTAGCTAGGGGTTTCTAAAGTCTTTTCTGTTTCTCTTTTAACTTCTTTTTAACTTTAATATTTAGTGGGGGAGGGGAACCTAGAAAGTACAAAAGGGTAGTTTAAGAAGATTCTCTTTAACACTCCTTAAAAATCCTTTGATTTTTCAGTCTACCTGATGACAGCTGCCATTTGCCCTCAAGCCGGCCACCAGTCCTGAGGTTATTTTTCCCTTGTTTGTTCTTTGGCTTCACAGATATGATTGACAATCTGCTGTCCCCAGATCTTATTGATGGTGTGCTCACCAGACTGGTCCTCGTCAACGCAGTGTATTTCAAGGGTCTGTGGAAATCACGGTTCCAACCCGAGAACACAAAGAAACGCACTTTCGTGGCAGCCGACGGGAAATCCTATCAAGTGCCAATGCTGGCCCAGCTCTCCGTGTTCCGGTGTGGTGAGTTCATGCTCAGCGAAGCCTGTTCTAGGATGTGCTGGCGGCAGAAAGGCCCTTGAGTGCTTTAACTTAATTCCAGAGCAAATCTAACTTTTCATCTTTTAAAAAACTGGGGAACAGAGCAGGGTGCTGAGAGGCAGGATTTTTATAAAGCTCATGTAAATCTGTGTTATGTACAAAAGTTACCATGCATAGCATAATATGCATAATATATGCATAAGTTATGTACAAAAAGTATTAATGCATGGCGTGTGTAGTAGGCTTTTTGGTTGAAAACTTAAAGATGAAAGGACAATTCATGAAATGAGTATAAGTGAGCATTAAACACAGCAACTCATTAGCAGTCTTACATTACCAAATTAAAAATTGGATTTCTTTTTTTACTTAGCAGATCAGCAAAAATTAAAAACATTGGTAAAATCCTTCGGTGGCTTTGGTGGGGAGGAAGCAGGACCCTTGGGCACTGTTCGTGGCAGGGATCTGTGGTCCGAGGACTTCCTCGGGGTCCTGGCTCCAGCAGTCCCGCTCCAGGGAATTTATACTGTGAACATAAGCACACAATGACAAATAAATAGAAGCCAAATACAAATATACAGTGGAACGTATGTGATCATGAGACTTAGATTTATATAAATGGAAAGATTATGCAATATATGATTGATTTCAGAAAACGAGATATAAAACAGCAGATATCAATCTCGCTTATGTAAAATTCTTTTCTTTATATTCACACGTCAATAGAGATAGGTCTCAGAGGATCTTCAGTAAAAAATATTAATGGTAGGATTTCAGAAAAATTATTTCTGAATTTGAAAAAACTTTTTCGAGATAGAGTCTCACTGTGTTACCCAGGCTAGACTACAGTGGCACAAACATGGCTCACCGCAGCCTCGACCTCTTGGACTCAAGCTATCCTCCCACCTCAGCCTCTCATGTAGCTGGGATCACAGGCATGCACCACCACGGCCAGCTAATTTTTTTACTTTTTGTACAAATGGGGTTTTGCCACGTTGCCCAGGCTAGTCTTGAACTCCTGGGCCTAAGTGATCCACCTGCCTTGGCCTCTCAAACTGCTGGGATTACAGGCATGAGCCACCGCACCAGGCTCAAATGAACTTCTAAAATCACTTTGCCTGGGATATGAGCCGGTGGCCGTGTTAGTGTTTCAATGAAGTGATTTTATTTTAGGTCAATCTTTTGTACACACTTTATAGTCCATAAAAAAATAAAATAAAAAGTGAGGGGGCCCTCATTTACTGTATGTTTCTCTTGCTGAAAAAAAAAACAAGTTAATAGTTCAAGATTAAAATGCAAGGATTCCATTAACATTCCTATGGAAGATTTTAAAATGTTTGTTTTTACAGAAATATAACATGAATTTCTTGAGTAAACAGGCTATTCCCAGAGAGTTACATGTCAGGGTAGCTTTTCATTTGGAAACTGATTTGCCTAGGAATATACATGTGTGTTTTATAGAAAATAATGCACAAATACATTCTTATTGTCAAAGATTTAAACCCTACAGAACCCCCACAGTGTGTTGGTATCTTCCCTCCACTTTCCCCGATTCATGCCTCTCTTCTTTACCCGCTTCCACCCTGCTCTGGGCCCCCTTGCCCTCTCTCTTCTTGCTGGGTTTGCTGCTGGGAGTCTGCAGGCGATAGGAAGGACAGAGGAGAAAGGGGTCAGGGTACTAACTTCCCAAGCCCCCCCTTACAGAGTCATGGGCCAGCTGCATTCCTCTACCAAAGGTTTCAGCTTCTGCCAGGGGGTGTGCCCAAGAGCTCTTTCTCTCTGGGTCACCACCCCTCTCTTCCTCCCTCCCAGCCCAAGGCTAGCCATGGTGCCCACCGTTTCTTGTCCAGGGTACTGTCCATCATGTTTCTCTGTATCCTGTCTATGCTTTACAACTGGTCCTTCATCAAATTCTGCTTAAATGGCCCAATTTGATGTCTTATCTGTTTACTCTCCACCCTGACTGATCTGTACCTAATTCGGACCAGAAAAAGAAAGTCCGCTGCTCACTCCTGTTCTCATTCCCTCACAAGTAAACACGGCGAACAGCTTAGCTCACCCTTCTCACCCTCCTTTCCATGCCTGTCATCAGGTTTCACTGAGGAACCTGGAACTGGATGCGACTCTGTTCTGGGCCATGCAGCAGGGCATGAGAGTGTCATAAGTTCCCTGTTTTCTTGCCTTGGCCAAAACCCAGCTTATCATGATAAGATAGGGAAGGATTGTCTTGACAGGGCTGTGAAGAAAGTACCGCCATTTGTGGTGTCCCCAAGTGGCTGATTGTTTCCATTTCCACAGACTGTCCGTCATTTTCTGCCTGTTTCCTCACTCTGACCTGCAGGAGTGGCCCAGCTCGAGCTGCTGTGTCCAAACTCACAGGGCCCAGGGTGCCACCTGTCGGATGCTTCCTGGGCCTCAGCCACGCCTCACTATTCTGGGTCACTTTGCCAAAACATTGTCATTCAGTTTATCTGCCTTCTTGACTGTTTTCCCCAAGATATCATTAAGAGCTCTGAGAATATTTGCTTGATAACAAAAAGAGAGTGAAAACTAGAAGAGAAGAAAACCCTTCTGATTTATGCCCCATAAAGTAGAAGTACTTCAAGGGTAGAAACTTTTCTATTAAGAAAAAGAGAAGCCTTAAAATCATTTTTAGTAGATTTATATTTCATGCTCATTGCAAAATCCTCAGTATACCTCCATGTACAATATATATGGCAGAAACCAAAAGTTCCCCTAAAATCCTATTTCCTAGGATAAAATTCCCTATTAAGTATCAAGTTTGTCATTTGAGAACCTTTCTAGGTATATGTAAAATATGTCTATGAAACTTTTTACATACATAGGATTGTACTGTAGTTTCTGTTCTATAATCTGCTTTCATTAGAGAGTGGACAACTTTTTGTGCCAATTCATAAGGATTTACTTGATCCTTTTATCAGCCACATAATATTCCATAATACAAATGTATCATGCTATCCTATGGAAAGCCATCTGCTTTTTTCCTATAACAACACTGCAGTGAGTATTCTTGTACATAGGTTTTTCAATATTTGCATCAGTAAATTTCTAAAGGTAATTTCCTGGGATAGGAATAGGAATGGAATAGGAATCTCCAAGTCATAGTTGTTACAAATGTTTTATGGTTATGAATTTAGACATTTGAGACTTTATTTTGGAAAAAAAACATGAAGAATAACAAATTTATATTTCCATCTTCTTTTCTCCTGAGTTTCTAACTCATACCTGTCTGTTCACATTACGTCTTAACTTGGTTGCCTACTAAATTCTAGTTGCATAGATGAAACTCATTTATGCCAAGGCACCATGGCACACACCTGTAATTCCAGCACTTTGGGAAGCTGAGGCAGGAGGATGGCTTGAGCCTGGGAGTTCAAGATGATCCTCGGCAACATAGCGAGACCCTGTCTCTACAAAAAAATGTTTAAAAATTAGCCAGGCATGGTGGTGCTCACCTGTGGTCCCAGCTGTTTGGGAGTCTGAGGTCGGGGGTTCACTTGAGCCCAGGATGTTGAGATGCAGTGAGCCCTGATCACATCACTGCTTTCCAGCCTGGGGAACAGAGCAAGACCCTGTCTCAGTAAATAAATATATGTATTGCCCTTGCCCATTTAGTTCTCAACCCATCGTTCCTTAGCAGCAAATGGCACCAATACTCACCCAGTTACTTACGCCACCCCTCCTTCCCCAGCTACTGTCCCCGAACTCCCTTTGGACTCCAGCCTAGAATGTAGAGTATTGCACACGATGGAGCATTTTGCTGTTGTTTTTCCAAAATATCCATTTCAATTTCTACTAAAGTGCAGTCTAAAAAGTTTCTTAAGTCCTCAGGAAATCCATATTTACTTGTAGTAGAAGGTAATTAGAGGGACTTTCATCTATAAAGGTTTCCTGATATTAAATATTTAAGATACCCTCTTTGATTTTACAGTGTGAGCTCTTAACATTTCAGTGAGCCTAGTTACGTCTTCCCTAGTAGCACTTAAAGTGGAAATCAGATTACTTCAGGGGCTTTCTGGAAAAACTGGGTCACCCAAAACACCACTTAGAGAAAGTTCTAAATCTCCTCCACATTTTTAATGCTTGATTCTTCACTTATTGTCTCCCATTAGAAGTTTTGTTGACCACCATTCATCTAAGAGAAAATCCTTATTTTCTCTTTTTCACCTCCGCTCCTTTTCAGAATGAATCAACCTATTATACTTACGTTTTTATACACTGCAGAAATGACCCTTGTTAAAGAATACTCAGTCTGCCTTCCAGAGGTTAAAGAATAGAGAGCATCGGGTAGGGGATTTTAAAGGGAAAAGCTCTGGGACGATGAGAGGCTCCATGCTCTGACACAAGGCTCCCAAGTCCCCTTCCTTACTTGATTCATTCTGCTTGGGAGTTGTGCTTTTATCAGCTACGTAATATTCCATGTAGTTTACCTGGGTGGGCCGATTTTGTGTTTAGACTGTGAGCAGGGACCTCACATTGCAAGAAGTGAGGTATTTTACAAAGCTTCTTACATCAAAAGACGGCAGTTTTTGCTATGGGCCAGCTTATGCTGAGCACTTTGTATGTGTTGTCTCAATGAATTTTCATAGCTCTGTAAAGTAGGTGCTATTATTGTAGGCTTTTACAGATAAAGAAACTAAGACTTGGAGTCAAGGAACTTGCCAAAGTCTCAGAGCTAGTGTGCTACAAGTGCAGGATTTGAATACAGGTCTTATAACCCCAGATCTCGTGGCTTTGGCACGTGTCCTCTATAAAAGGATGCAGTACTTGAGTGACCAGGTAGAAAGACAGAAAAGGTGTTATTTTATCTCCCAGCTCCTCAAGGCACCAAATAAAGGTAAGCATGCGTATGTCTGATGCACCCTGGCTACCACTGGTCATCAGCTTCTGTGGTCAGAAGCAGAAGGAGTGGGGGGAAATCAGTCATCAAGCAGAGGTGACTGGATGCGGTTCATGGTTATTAATATTACTGATCAGTTAATAATGGGTCCAGCCAAGGATGGATTAACTGGTGAAGCTAGATGATCTCTCTCCTCCCTTGAACACATTCCAGCTCATAACTTTTCATTATTCATTACTTCAATCCTCCTTAACAGAAATAGTAAACATTTCTAGAAGCAGTTAACACCTCCAGGTCCTTATTTCATGCCCTGGAGCAATCACTTATTAACCACTTCCCATATTTCACAGTTTCTGAAAATTAGCTCCGCCAGAATAGAGATTTAATGTTTTCTTCAAGGATTAAAGAGCTCATTAGGAAGTGATTTTTTTCTCACTTTCCCATTGATTTTTCCGTTTCTGCTGAGACCATTTTGTTATGCAGGCTAAGAGTAAAGACGAAGAATCCTCTCTTTCATTCTTAGGTTGCCGCAAGACAGAAGCCAGGCTTGGGTGAGAGTTCAACACACATGGGAGCTGAGGCGAGCTGCACCCGGGTTACTGAACAGCCCTGCAGGAAATGCAGTGTGCTAGGACCAGGAGAGCCCCAGTTCCTCTGCCAGTTCTCTATGTTGTTTCTTCCTTAGGGAAAAACTGTAGTGTCATCCTGTGGTGCCATATATTCTAATAACCTCAGTATTTTTATGATATTTCAGTGTTCATCAAGTACACTCTCTTTCCCTCTCTTGGTATCTTTCTCTTCATCTCTCCCTCTGTCCATCCCTCCCAACCCTGTTCTATGGAGAACTGGCATATTGAAGTTCCCTGTCTCAAAGGCAGTGATTGGCACATGTCATCTCCAAAGAAAAGATCAGTGAAAATCGTGCAAGAAACTTGCTTTCTCTCTTCTTGTTTGCTGAACTCCCTAAGATGTGGAATCTGTTTTGTCTATAGAGCATCTTGCAGGTAGACTGTTCTCCAAATAACATTTGAGAAATGCTGGCTTAAATTATTCTTGGGTTTTCATTAGTAAGTAGAAGTACCATAAAGTATCTAAAACTCCAGTGGTGATTACTGGAATGGGTGAAGAGTGAATAGGGCAGGGTGGTGAAGTAGGAGGAAGACAATCCTTGGCATTAGACTCTCCTGGCTCCTCACTTCTTAGCCGTGCATCCTTTGGAGGTTACTTCATTTCTCTAAAGGTGGCTTTCTCAACTGCAAAATAGCACTGCTTACGCCTACCCCGTGAGGTGCTGTAGATCCTCAGCCTGTTGAAGGGTTGATATGGGCCTGGCACAGAGTGAGCCCTGTGGATGCTCTGTATCCCTGTCTCTCTTCACCTGCACATGTAGGCTTATCCAAAATGAGGACTAGAGGTAATAAAATTGCACCATGTTGGGATTCCTGCTCAATGAGTAAATTTTAGCCGCTCTTGTCCCAAAAACAGCAAAATGGGTAATTATGTGAGATAATGGATATGTTAATTTGCTTTTTCATAGTAACTATTTTACTATCTATATGTATCCCATAACGTCATATTGTGTACCTTAATATACACAATACACTTTATTTAAAAAAAAAAAAAAAAGGAATGATTCTAAGGCAGCTTGAATGTATTCTTTTATTCATGTGAGGGTCAACTTCTTGCAAAGCACTGAATTTTAAGCACTTTGTGATTTAGTTAAATTCTCCTTAACAGAATTAAAGTGATTTCAGTGATTCCCAAAGGCATTCTGTCTAGACTGAAGAAAGGAGAATTCTTCACTGGGGAAGGAAGAAATAATTGTCCTTGTCTTTGTCCTTCTAAGGAAGCTATTTGTGGAAAAGGGAAGTTCTCCAACTGAGTTGCTCTCTGAAGCTATCCCGGTGACCAGCAAGCACTCATCCTGCTTCTAGAAGTCAACAAGGATACACTGAACCTGCTTCTGATTTCTTTAGGGTCGACAAGTGCCCCCAATGATTTATGGTACAACTTCATTGAACTGCCCTACCACGGGGAAAGCATCAGCATGCTGATTGCACTGCCGACTGAGAGCTCCACTCCGCTGTCTGCCATCATCCCACACATCAGCACCAAGACCATAGACAGCTGGATGAGCATCATGGTGCCCAAGAGGGTGCAGGTGATCCTGCCCAAGTAAGTGGCCCCTTCCCCTCAAAGAAAACAGTGGCATTATTCAATCAGCAGGTGTTATGTCGGACACCAGACAACATGAGGCGAAAATATGGCACATCATGAAGCCTGTTCTGTTCTGCAGAAATTTCATGGTGGGATTACGAGGCCGTGCTTTTCTAAACGCTTTTATTCAATGCCTGTGCTTCCTGTATGGTAAGATATGGATCATAAGAAAGGAGAGAGGGCAACCTTGGTCTCTAAACCTCCACATGAGCATAAGCAGTTCATGGTACTGCAGGGGCTTTTTGACATATCTCATTGTATTTAAAAGACTGAAAACACACGTGTGTCATCATAGTATGGATGAAAGTACAGTGAGGTTTAATAGAACTCCATGTGCTTTCATAAGGAGCTTCATTTTAGTTATTTATTTATTTAACTAGAAGTTCATGAAGACCAAGGCAGCCAGTTTTTCTATTATACCCTAAGAGTAAGACAAAGATGGAATTTGAGCTGTTATGACTTGAAGCCATGGGAAAAGTAACCCCAAATCCTGTATGAATCTTCATGTTCTAACAGGTCAGAGAATGCTTTGTCCAGAACTGTGAAGAAGCAATGAATGTTGTTCCCTTTCTATGAACTTTTCAACATTGCTGCCTTCCCACCATCCAGAGCTTTTAACAACCCAGGTCTTGGTGGTAGTGGAGAGTTCTAATAGCTTTTGATTCTTTGGTCACCGAGTTAAGTAATCAGAGTAAGACATTCACAATAAGTATTACTAATTCTCTCAAGATTTTTTTTTTTTGTAAAATAAGCCTTCAAGTAGGCAATGCTTGATATAAATAAATAAATAAGATGGTGGCATCGTAGGCCTCAATGGGTGAAGAACAGGTTCTTTACCATTATAGCCCATCTGTGGTGAGAATCTGCCCACGTCTCCTTAGTGCTCTTCCACAGGATGAGATCAAATCTGATAAAGCATCCTCTGATGACAGTAACTGACATTTACACACACACACACACACACACACACACATATACACACATATATATACGTGTGTGTGTGTGTGTGTGTGTGCATATATCTCCATATATCCCCAAGGCCAAGTAGGTCACAAATATTCAAGAAACCTATATTATACCCAAATATAATACCGTGTCACCTATGCCTAATCTTTGCTCCTGTTTTAATAGTAAAATACTTTCAGAATCTCAAAAGGGGCTGGGCGTGGTGGCTCACACCTGTAATCCCAACACTTTGGGAGGCCGAGGTGGGCGGATCACGAGGTCAGGAGTTCCAGACTAGCCTGGCCAACATGGAAAAACCCCGTCTCTACTAAAAATATAAAAAATTAGCCAGGCATGGTCGTGGGTGCTTGTAATCCCAACTACTTGGGAGGCTGAGGCGGGAGAATTGCTTGAACCCAGGAGGCAGAGGTTGCAGTGAGCCAAGATTGCACCATTGTCCTCTGGCCTGGGCCACAGAGCAAGACTCTGTCTCAAAAAAAAGAATCCCAAAATGAACTATCAGGAATGTTTCTCCTCTCTTTTGACCATCTCCAATCCCAATAAGGATGGCAGGTCTTAGAGCAGCCAAGATGGATATGGAGAACTTTAGTTGGATATGGGGAAGAATAATAGATATTCCAGAGTACTAGGAACTTGTTAACACTCAACCTCCACGTCAGTATAAAAGAAAGTATGTTTGTAGATCTTCCTAAGTATTGGAACAGGGGGCCCATTACACCTGAGGGTGGGAGCGCCTATTCTTGCCGTTAGTACATATGACTCATTTTGCCAGCTAAGTGTTTGAGAGAGGAGTTGTCCTTTACTTATCTGGTATTTAAATTTGGAATTCAAATTTAAGATGCAATTCAGATCGGTATTCAGATATTAACTTTAAAAGAATCAGTTTGTAAACATGCACCGACTCTATCATGTAGCATTTATAGCCTCGTGATTTTTTTTCTCCATTTCTGCTTTCATGCTAGGTTCACAGCTGTAGCACAAACAGATTTGAAGGAGCCGCTGAAAGTTCTTGGCATTACTGACATGTTTGATTCATCAAAGGCAAATTTTGCAAAAATAACAAGTATGTTCAATTTAAAATGTATTTGTATACTTGAAGAAAGTGTTACAAACTGAGACTGATTTGTGCAGAGAAAAAGGATCAGAATTAGGAATGTGTTGCCCTGAAACTGTACAAGGTTTCATTTGATACATTGCCAAATTATGCTATTGGCCTTCGTTTATTTATTGACCTTCATTTATTTATTTTTTCCTTTTATCTTTTTATTTCAATAGTTTTTGGGATACAAGTGGTTTTTGGTTACATGGATCAGTTTATATAGCGATGAAGTCTGAGATTTTAGTACACCCCTCCCCCGAGTAGTATACGTTGTACTCAATATGTATTAATAGATTTTTAGCTCCTCACCAACCCACCCTCCTCCTTCTGAGTCTCCATAATCCATTATACCACTCCGTATGCCTTTGCATACCCGTAGCTTATCTCCCACTTACAAGCGAGAACATACAGTATTTGGTTTTCCATTCTTGAGTTACTTCATTTAGAATAATGGCCTCCAGCTCCATTCAAGTTGCTGCAAAAGATATTATTTCATTCTTTTTATGACTGAGTAGTATTCCATGATGTGTACATACCTCATTTTCTTTATCTAGTCATTGCTCTTGACCTTCATTTAAATCAGCGTCCCCACATTTTGCACGTACATTTCATGGGAAGCCCCAGTGACTACCTAAAGGAGTATTTCATGTATTGCTTTTATGAATATTGGCTCTGACTTAGGTGTTGTCGCTCTGTTTTCAAATGCCAACTTTTTCCTTTTGCTTGAAAAAAAGTCAAGACTGCAGTCATTCACTGTACCCAGATATGTATTTTGGCATTTCATGCTCATTAATATGAAACGATATAAATTCAAATGAATCTGATTAAAACTTTCCTTTGCCAAAGCAATTAAGGCATGCTTTTCATTTGCCAGCAGTATATGTACCTTTTTCTAGAGTTATGTTTGAATGGTCAGTCCTTTGTTCTTTAAATTTAGAACATAGCAATCTTTCCAAGGAAAAGCCATGGCTTGAACATTATTTGCACTCCAGTTTGCAAATAACTTTGAGTGGTAAGAAATTAGCTCATTACCAGCTTCAGTTGCATGCTAGTAAACACCTAGTACCTGTTCTGGGGACAAACATGACTCCCCTGGTGAACCTGCAGCTCCATGGATATTCTGATAGCCGTTCATCCCTCATGACTCAAACTCAGGCCTCCAGCCCAGCAGCATTAGCATCACCCAGGAGCTTGTTTGAAATGCACAATCTTGGGTGTAACCCAGACCCACTGAACCAGAATCCATTTTAACACAGTCCCTCAGCCCAGCAAAGACTGAGAAGCACCATTTTCATCTGCACTTTTCCCTTCAAGGTTGTTCATGGTAGCTGAAATACTAAATGGGGGGTGTTCACAGGAAGAACCAGGTGCCCCAGATTCTCCTGGAAAGTCCTCTTTAACACTGCATGTGACTTGGGCCCTATAAATGTGCATCTCAGTCACAATTTGGTCATATTAGAGCTGGGCATTGGTGCAGATAGTTCACAAGCAGATGACACAAAAAGCACATTTTCCCTTTGCATCCAGACCTATGTCCCATCCAGACTAATATCAACTTAAGTTTTTCATTCTCTGTGAAAGCTACACCCAGTGGGTGTTGCTGGAATGGTCAGAATTTGCTGAGAAGTAAAGTGAGTTCACCAGAATGTCCCTGAGGCACAACTGCATTTACACATCGGCCCTTCCAGGAAAATCTAAACTCTTCTCTTGTTCGACACTCTTCTCTTACTAGCATGCCCATGAGATGAGTGGCTGTTGTGAAGAGCCAGGACTTACTCTGCCACTAACTAGCCGTATGATTGCAGGGAACATTACTTAACGTTCTAGGCCTCAGTTTCCCCATCTGTAAATGCTGTCTGAAATCCCTTCTGCATCTGCATTCTGTAACTGAAAAATAATCTTGTTGCCTTGCTGCTTCCAGAAAACCGGGCTTCCTTTTTAAAGCTCTGCTCTTTTCATTTTTAAAAAACAATTCTAGTGATCAGAATTGAATTGATAGAGGCACTAAATCATTTGAGGGCCTGGGCCCTTCTCCAGAAGTGAGTATCACAGTTCACTTAGCAGGGACTGAAATTCACAAGTAACAGCTGTCTGCAGCCTTCAACACCAGGACTGTCAGAGGTCATGTCTTCTGACACTTTAAAAATTGGAATTTGCCATGGCTTTGAGCTTTGAGGTTACTTCCCCAACCAACCAATGGCCTGCCTATCAAACAAATGCTGATACTGTTTTATTTTCTGGAAGCAGGGTCAGAAAACCTCCATGTTTCTCATATCTTGCAAAAAGCAAAAATTGAAGTCAGTGAAGATGGAACCAAAGCTTCAGCAGCAACAAGTAAGCACTGGGTCACGTGGCAGGGCTTCCTCTAGCAGGGGAGCAAACACATTCCTGTATACTCATTGGTTGAGCAAATATGTAATGCACCCTCTTTCCAGCCAGGCAGTGTGTGTGGGTTAACCCTCAGGAGACAGCAGTGAGTACAGACAGACTGAAGACCTGTAACCACAAAGCTCAGAATCTGTTTCATTAAAGAAAAGCATTTCAGTGAGAGAAATTCCTCTAGGACAGGAGTCAGCAAACTTCTATAAAGAGCCAGGTAGTATGTATTTCAGATTTGTGTGTCATACCATCTCCATTACAGCTTCTTAGCTCTTTCACTGTAGCATGAAAACAGCAATCAACAATACAAGTAAACAGATGTGGCTGTGTTCCAATAAAACTTTATTTATAAAAACAGGATTTGTCCTGGTAGACTTGCCTTGAGGAAAATAGTTTGCTGACCCCTGCTCTCAGGAGGATAAAACATGTTCTGGCTTCTTACTGGCAAAAAAGACCAATCTTCAGATTTGAACATAAAATAAACAACAAGTACTTAAAGGAAAATAGGCAATCAGGTCTATCCAGGATAAACCGAAGAATTCGCCAGCATCTGTTGAATTGCGGCAGGATTGCTGTACAGCCTTCCTTGATAATTAGAACATCCACATCTGCTTCCTCCTCAGTGGTTTACATAATGAAGGAGAAAACAGAACAATCGTAAGTCAGTTTTTTCACCCCTCATTATCCGTAGGAAAATAGATGAATAGATTTGGCCAACTCTGTGAGCCCATAAAGTGAAAATCTTAGCTACACTTGCAGCTGGGTCAAATATCTCTGGTCATTGAAACATACCAGTTATACTCACAATAGATGTGTTATTGCCTTTCTCGAATAAACGTTTTAAAAATTCCTTTAAAGAAGCATTTAAAACAAAGACCCTGAAATAAGAGGGTTGGAAATTTTAAGATGCTTTTTGTCTTTTCTAGGTAATTTTAAGTAACATCTAAAAGTTATTGACCAGTTTTGCTGAGTGTAACTATCAGGACCAGCTACATAGTTTGTGGGGTCCTGTGCCAAATGAAAATATGGAGCCCCTTGTTCAAAATGTATAAGAATTTCAAGATAGCAACAGCAGAGTATTAAACCCAGTGCAGGGCCCCATGTAACCGCCCAGGTCCTCCTGTCTTAGTCCGCCTGGGCTGCCATGACAAAATACCGTTGACTGAGTGGTTTAAACAACAGAACTCACACTTCTGGAGGCTGCGAGTTCAAGATCAAGGTGTTGGTGTTGGCAGGTTTGTTTCTCCTGAGATCTCTGGATCTCCGGAGGTCGCCCCCTCCCTGTGTCCTCACATGGTCTTTTCTCCATGTGACACATCCCTGGTGTCTCTCCCACTTCAAATAAGGGCAACGGTCCTATTAGAATAGAACCCTACTTAACCTTCATTACCTCCTCAAAGGCATTATCTCCAAATACAGTTACGTTAGGGGTTTGGGGCTTCAGCATATGAATTTGGGGGGAGACACATTTCAGTCCATAACACCTGCTATTTAATATTTGTTTTTAATAACCCTGGGTAAAAGGGCTTGCCCCAGCATAACTGCAGCTGTTTCCTTTATAACATCAAGCCCAAGTGTTCAATACTTCATGGGGTTTGAGCAAGAGGACTGAGCTATTGCAACAGGCATGTGGTAGTAATGCCACACACCTACCCTCCCGTGAGGCCCTGGTTCAGGCTTATTAAATGGAAACAAGCCTGGCAGACGAGGAATGGCCAAGACCCATGAGGCTAAAGAAGTTTGCTTTCCAAGTCAGATGCCTACACCTGGTGAGTGGAACAGCAGTATAAGGTAGTAGGTCCCGGATGAGTGGTCTACATTCCAGTGCAGAGGAAACCTAAATAATGTGCCAAAGGAGAAGGCACAGACACAAAAGCTAAGAATTGGACTGGGCCTTTATATACAGAAAAGATTTAGAGAAGCTAAACAGGACCAGGGGTCGGGCGCGGTGGCTCATGCCTGTAATGCCCGCACTTTGGGAGGCTGAGGCAGGTGGATCACTTGAGGTCAGGAGTTCAAAACCAGCGTGACCAACATAGTGAAACCCTGTCTCTAAAAATACAAAAATTAGCCAGGCGTGGTGGTGCATGCCTGTAATCCCAGCTACTCAGGAGGCTGAGGCAGGAGAATCGCTTGAACCCGGGAGGCAAAGGTTGCAGTGAGCCAAGATCGCGCCACTGCACTCCAGCCTGGGTGACAGAGTGAGACTCCATCCCCAAAAAAAAGGACTGGGGGCTTTATCAGCAAAGCAGATGGTGTGAATAAAAAATAGCTAATAACAATAAATATGCATTAGATGTGTTTAGTGGCAAACACTGTTCTAAGAGCTATAATATATCTTATGTCATTTAATTATGTCATTTAATTCTCATCAAAACTCTATGAGGAGTAAGTATGTTTATCAGAGATGGTGCTTGTGTAGAAGACATGAGAGAGTAATGTAAAGGGCCTGGCCCAAGGTAGGCTTAGTAAATGGTGACCATTGAGCCTGTTGTAACATGGCCAGCCTATGGAACAAGCATGAAGTGTGTCTTCAGACACCAGCCTCTGAGGGTCCATGAAGCTAGCTAACTTGCTGGCCTTATGCTTACATGGTCTCATGTAATGTGCACAACACATTTTCCTTTTCTTCCCGTAGCTGCAATTCTCATTGCAAGATCATCGCCTCCCTGGTTTATAGTAGACAGACCTTTTCTGTTTTTCATCCGACATAATCCTACAGGTAAGTGACTCTCCTCTTCCATCATGCCCTCTCTGTTAGAATTTCAAAAGGTATATTGCACTCTTCATTATATCCAACAGTGGTGCCCATAGTCCATTTCCCTAATGTCAATAGTTGCAGACACTTTGAATAATATAACCACCCATGTTAAAGAGATAGGAAAATAAAGGCTGTGTTTACAGATGTGATGGAATCTTTTACACACTGACAGGATTTTAGGTTTTGCGGATTGTTGTTTTTAACAGAGAGGCTCAGCATCCCTTTGGAACACTTTTGACATCTATTGACTTTTCCATATTTATATAAATGTGGTGGTTCAATTTTGCTAGAAGCTATATAACTTCAACTTTTGTGTATTAGTCTGTTCTCACCCTGCTATGAAGAAATACCCTAGAGTGGGTAATTTACAAGGAAAAAGAGGTTTAATTGACTCACAGTTTCACATGGCTAGGGAAGCCTCAGGAACCTCACAATTACGGTGGAAGGCATCACTTCACAGGGCAGCAGGGGAGAGAATGAGAGCCGAGTGAAGTGGGAAACCCCTTATAAAACCATCAGATCTCATGAGAACTCACTCACTATCACAAGAACAGTATGGGGGAAACTGCTCCTATGATTCAGTTTTCTCCACCTGGTCCTGCCCTTGATATATGGGGATTATTAACAATTCGAGGCAAGATTTGAGTGGAGACACAGAGCCAAACCATACCACTTTGTAAGCCCACTCTATTGTTATACCTTGGGAATTGTTAATACAGTAGATTTTTGCTCTGTGAGTCATGGTTCAAACTTGGCTCTGGCCTTAAGCCTCATCTTTAAAATGAGGACAACAGTAGTGCTGACTGCTTATTACAATTATGAA
The DNA here is from genome assembly GCF_000001405.40 of Homo sapiens. Taxonomy (NCBI): domain Eukaryota; kingdom Metazoa; phylum Chordata; class Mammalia; order Primates; family Hominidae; genus Homo; species Homo sapiens. The sequence continues at coordinate 223,976,681 of NC_000002.12, read as the reverse complement.
GTATAAGTTCATCTTTGTAGAGAGGTTGGCTTCTTGTTGGTACAAGAGTAGGCACTAATATATTTTAGCTTTTACTATTTTATTTAATCAGTAATATGAGATAGTTCCTTATTCTCTTATCTCATTGCATCTGTGATGTTCTAATTGGCATGCCCCAGAACTGAGCCAGCCAATGAGGAGCTTCTGGCCACATGTGGCTATTTAACATTAACTTTAAAAATTCAATTTCTGGTTGGGTGCGGTGGCTTATGCCTGTAATCCCAGCACTTTGGGAGGCCAAGGCGGGTGGATCACCTGAGGTCAGGAGTTCGAGACCAGCCTGGCCAACATGGCAAAACCCCATCTCTGTTAGAAATACAAAAAATTGGCTGGCAGTGGTGGTGGGTGCCTGTAATCCCAGCTACTTGGGAGGCTGAGGCAGGAGAATTGCTTGAACCCAGGAGGCGGAAATTGCAGTGAGCCGAGATGGCGCCATTGTACTCCAGCCTGGGTGACAGTGCAAGACTCTGTCTCAAGAAATAAAAAATAAAATTAAAATTCAACTTCTAAGTCACACTAGCCACATTTTAAGCACTCTCTGGCCACATGTGACTAGTGGCTACCATGCTAGACAACAAAGATATAGACCATCTCTACCACTGCAGAAAGTTATACTGGACACTACTGAGCAAGAGGTCAAACATGATTGTTTCCCTTCCCTTAAATAGAATACCTTCCATCTTATTTTAAGGATTATTAATTTACAGAGTCATGCATTGTTTTCTTTTAATTCTGTAGGTGCTGTGTTATTCATGGGGCAGATAAACAAACCCTGAAGAGTATACAAAAGAAACCATGCAAAGCAACGACTACTTTGCTACGAAGAAAGACTCCTTTCCTGCATCTTTCATAGTTCTGTTAAATATTTTTGTACATCGCTTCTTTTTCAAAACTAGTTCTTAGGAACAGACTCGATGCAAGTGTTTCTGTTCTGGGAGGTATTGGAGGGAAAAAACAAGCAGGATGGCTGGAACACTGTACTGAGGAATGAATAGAAAGGCTTCCAGATGTCTAAAAGATTCTTTAAACTACTGAACTGTTACCTAGGTTAACAACCCTGTTGAGTATTTGCTGTTTGTCCAGTTCAGGAATTTTTGTTTTGTTTTGTCTATATGTGCGGCTTTTCAGAAGAAATTTAATCAGTGTGACAGAAAAAAAAATGTTTTATGGTAGCTTTTACTTTTTATGAAAAAAAAATTATTTGCCTTTTAAATTCTTTTCCCCCATCCCCCTCCAAAGTCTTGATAGCAAGCGTTATTTTGGTGGTAGAAACGGTGAAATCTCTAGCCTCTTTGTGTTTTTGTTGTTGTTGTTGTTGTTGTTTTATATAATGCATGTATTCACTAAAATAAAATTTAAAAAACTCCTGTCTTGCTAGACAAGGTTGCTGTTGTGCAGTGTGCCTGTCACTACTGGTCTGTACTCCTTGGATTTGCATTTTTGTATTTTGTACAAAGTAAAAATAAACTGTTATGAGTAGTAAAAATAAAGCTATTTCTCTGCTATTTGAAAATACAATAGAAGAAACTGAGCCTTTTAGACATTCGTCAGCCTCTTCTAATAAACCTTTGTACTATGTAAACATCAGGAAATTCAAAGCTCGGAGACTTTTCCTATTCTTTTCCTCTAGACCTGACAATCAAACACTTCCCCGCTTCAACACATCTCATTTTCTAGATCACTTCAACAGAGTAACTATTACAGTAATCCTAGTTCTACTCTTAGCTACATTCACTCCAGCAATGGCTAAGAATTCTCAGCAAAGAAACGGATTTTGTAGCAAGTGCCGAATGAAGTTGCTGGGTACCATGTATTTTGGAACTCCTGGGGGAACAGGAACTGTTTCGTTTTTGGTGATGATAGGCAGGAGTGTTTTTGAAATGACAGGGTTTTTTTGTTTGTTTTTTGTTTTTTTTTTGTTTTTTTCAAGGTAACTTTCCAAGTTGAACTCAAACATCATAATTCTTTTTTTCCTTTTTCTTTTTACAGAGACATGCCTCGCCATCTTGCCTAGGCTAGTCTTGAACTCCTGACCTCAAGTGATCCACCTGCCTCAGCCCCACAAAGTGCTGGGATTACAGGCATGAGCCACTGGCATTCAGCTTACAAATATCATAATTCTGATTTTACCATTTGCCTGCTTTTTAAAAAACTAATTTCTTAAAGATTTATGCAGTCTAAGCTAAATCAGAATTTAAGTTTAAAACATTTATCAAAACTTAAAAACATTTTTTTATTTTTAGCCCTTGAGTTCTACTTGCCTTAAACTATACATTAAAACCTCACATTCGGCACTCCATCAGTTTGCCATTTGGAATTATTATTTGTCAAGTGGGCTGAGCCTTGCTGTTCCCAACTATGTATGTGTACTTTTTTTTTTTTTCTTTTTTGAGACAGAGTCTTGCTCTGTCACCCAGGCTGGAGTGCAGTGGCGTGATCTCGACTCACTGCAACCTCTGCTTCCTGGGTTCAAGCAATTCTTCTGCCTCAGCCTCCCCAGTAGCTGGGAGTACAGGCACGCACCACTGCGCCTGGCTAATTTTTGTATTTTTAATAGAGACAGGGTTTCACCATGTTGGCCAGATTGGTCTCGAACTCCTGACCTCAGGTGATCCCCCTGCCTCGGCCTCCCAAAGTGCTGGGATGACAGGCTTGAGCTACCGCGCCCGGACTACATTTTGATATCTTTAAGTCAATGATCTGTAGGCCTTGTCTTACTTCAAAATGATCAAATTTATGGAACCTCCTTTCCCTGAGGGAAATTGAAATAAATTTAGACTTAGAGACTGCCACAAAAATTACAGGCCTGTGATAGATCATTTTTGCTGTGTAGACATGTTTTTTTTTTCCTAAAACTTTTTTTGAGAAATTTAAAATTCCATTTCCATTTTGACACCTAATAATTTTTTTTTTTTTTTTTTAGAGATAGGGTCTCAGTATGTTGCCTAGGTTGCCCAGGCTGGTCTCAAACCCTTGGACCTCCCAAAATATAGGGATTATAGGAGTGAGCCACTGCACCAGGCCTCTAATCATAATGTTATCTGCAAACATTAACAATGTATTTGGTGTGATGCAGAATGGTGATTTCTCATTTTGCAAATTTCTCATTTAAGTCATACCATCACTCCAAGGTCTCTCAGTTGCCCAGGCTGTAATGCAGTGGTATGATCATGGCTCACTGCAGCCTTGAACTCCTGGGCTCAAGCAGCCCTTCTGCCTCAGCCTCCCGAATAGCTAGGACTTATAGGCACGTACCACCACACCTGGCTAATTTTTTTTAAAAAATTTTTTTGTAGAGATGGGGGTCTTTGCTGTGTTACCCAGGCTACTCTCAAATTCCTGGCCTCAGGCAGTCCTCCAGCCCCAGTATATGGACATGTTTGAGCAAATAATGTATCTTATAGATTAGATGTCACACTGAGTTTGAACAAGAGAGAGGCTGCAGTTTTCCTAAAGTAACAAAATGATAGACGTTTGTTAAAACTGAGACAAACCATCAGTGTAGTCACTCTTTTGACAGGTCATGAGATGGGTACTTCCGATTCTGCCTTGGTCACTGTGGAGGAAGAGAGTAGGTACCGACCCAAATACACTGAAAGCTCTGACTTAGCTGGCCTTTCACTCTGTCCTAAAAAGGAGAGGTGACAGGAAATTTTGAAGCAAAAGAAAATCCCAATCACAACAGAAGTTTACAAAGAGGCCCAAGGGAGTGGCCTTTGTACCGGGAGTGCTGTTTTCTGAAAATGAAAAACTGAATAATACATGAGATTCACATGCAGGGCGGGTACGAAAGAGCAGGGATGCAGGCGTTTCCCCTGGGCCAGCAGAGTAGCAATTGCCCACTTCCTAAGAGTGATCAGTGGTGACAGCTGGGAGAGAGGTGAGAGCTCGGTAAGCTGGGAAGTGACTTCTATGTCCTTGACCTCCTGTGAATGTTGAAAGACACTGTGTCATTTGCCTACTGAGAGTCGGCTTTGGGAGGCCCAAGAGTGGAAGACACTACTGGCTTTAAAGCTCCATTTCTCTGGGGATTCCCAAACTGTGCCTTCGACCATCTCTTAAATCTTGAAGAAAAAGAGAGATGTGATTTAAATGAGAAATTTGCAAAATGAGAAATAGCTGTTCTTCATCACACCAAATGCATTGTTAGTGTTTTCAGATAAAATTATTATTAGGTAGCAAAATGGAAGTGAAATTTTTGATTTCTTGGTGCCATACCTCCTTCATCTAAGTTTATGATCCCACCTTGACCCTCTCTTGAATCTTGAAGATAAAAATAGAGATGGTGTGATTTAAATGAGAAATTTGCAAGATAAGAAATCACCGTTCTTCACACCAAGTACATTGTTAATGTTTGCAGATAACATTATTATTAGGGGCCTGGTGCAGTGGCTCACTCCTATAATCCCAATACTTTGGGAGGCCCAAGGGTTTGAGACCAGCCTGGGCAACCTACTGAGACCCTATCTCTTAAAAAAAAAAAAAAATTATTAGGTGGCAAAATGAAAATGAAATTTTAAATTTCTTAGTGCTATACCCCCTTCATCTGAAGTTTATAATCTCTTGCCAAAGGTAAAGTGAAGAATGGCGGGCCTCCATGCCTATCCTTCCTAGACAAAAAACAATAAAAAAATCCCAGGACCAAGAATTGAGTCCTGGTGGCGGACTGCCAGGAGCCTCATGAACATCACTGTCAAGTCAGTTCATCTGATGACGCTCAGCTGATTTTTTTTTTTTTTTTTTACTAGATTTGTCTTATTAACTGTGTAAGTCTATTGCTAAACGTCTCCTGGCCCTTACTGATATGTCTTCATGTGAAGATGCTGACATCAATAGTTTATGTACAGGAAACATTGTCAGAAAGTCAAACTCTTCCCCTCTCGGAAATATCCTTCTCTGTCAATGACCTCTTTACTCATGTCTTCTGCAAAAAAGAGGATCAGAATAGAACAAACTGAGTTCATTTGAAATTTGAAAAATAAAATAGGGACAGGGTCTTGCTATGCATCACAGCTGGTCTCACTCCTGAGCTCAAGCAATCCTCTTACCTTGGCCTCCCAAAGTGCTGAGATTACAAGCATAAGTCTCCATGCCAGGCCTTCATTTGCAATTTTAATACACAACAGCTCAGGTGAAAAGATACTCCTTGAACTCCTCTGAATAATCAAATAATGTCGTTCTTCCTCAATTGAAGAAGGAATAAGTTAATGTTTTCAACTTTCCCAATTGTTTTTCTCCCAGAAAGTTTTCTTAAACCATTAGTCTTCTGTATTAGTAAACACTAATAGGCAGGCAGATAAATGAACAACAAATAGTCATGGAAAGCACAAAGACCACCAATGCCAAAACAGCTTTCTTTTTTCAGGAGCATGTGTGATTGTGATTTTTGATTGTATAAGTTCCAGGAAAAATTGTTATTAGTTTGCATGATGGGATTAGATCTAGCAATCATTCTTGGTATTATACAGAGAGAACCATGGCTTTCAAGTAAGTGCTCTGATACTCAACCAAAGTTAAGAGACTCTAGGTCCCAGAGGACAATAGTTGAGGGACTTTGCAAACTAAGGCTGGGGGAAATGGAACAGGGATGAACTGAGGGGAAGAAAAACAAAGTGGGCTTAGGATGAAGAACGTGGGCAGCATGCTGGCAGCTGAGCATCCTCAGTGCATACCCCTCTGCTGAGGGCTGCTGTGAGCTGGCCACCCTGATGGGAAGACTGTCTACGTCTGGCTTCAGGAACTGTCCCGATGGACACAGGATTCCCTTGCCTCCGCAGTGCATCTTCTCCTATCAACAAAAGGAAGTAGGAAGAAAGAAACACCAAGAAGAGGCCTGCAAAAAGGTCTTCTAAAAGTTTTATCTATGGCAGCCCTGCACTCTTCCTTCTTTCCGGTGAATAGAAAAGAGCTCAAAAATCCATACCTTCACATCTCAGGTGAATTGTTCATACATCAAATTCTTGTAACATCCAAAGGCGAGGGAAGAACAAGGTGAGCTGGCTCCTGAAGAAGTATTCATGGAATATTAGAGCCGAAAGGGGCCTTGAAAAGTCATATTTCATGGTAATCCTGTGCCATATAGACATAATCTTTCCTGTATCGGTAGAAAATAGGTTCCCCATAATGGCCAATTCACATACTAAATTGTGCAATAGGATTACAGCACCATCTTGTGGCCAAAATCAGTACAGCTCTGAACACAAAAAGCTCCAATTTGTTCCATTCTTACTTGGAGTTTAGTGTTAGTTTCCAGTTTACTTTCTTGTGACCACATACAACACTTTGAGAAAAATATTCCTCATTATACATATGCATATAATAAAGAGTATGAATTTAAAAGAATAGGGGTTATGTAATTAAGTCTGTAGACATTAATGTTACATTTTTGGCTAGAGGATTTTTTTGGTACAATTATACTTTGGGCACAGGGAACTGGAGAGTGGGAAAAGGTGGAAAAAGTCAGAATTTCAAAGTAAATGACTAATGTCTTCCTCTGGTGTGAACCTAAATTCAAATGTCAGTGCTTCCAGTCTTATGACTGTCTTCTCAACATGGACGAGGCATTAGTCAAAGAGCTAGTCCTTCACATGGTCACTGAATGCTCTTGGTCACATGCACCATTTGATGACATTCTTGTACCCACATGTTCCTTCTACCCACATATCATACTTATGCAGTTAGGCTCATAGGACAAATAGCTACTCAGAGACTGGTTCCAAATTTCAAGCTATATTTGATATGCAATTGAAAATGTATGTCAATTTTTCTAAATTTTCTACATTTCTACCCTATTTTAGAGGGTGCTTTTAAAAAGTACAACAATTTAAGTTCAAAGAAGGCTTTACTTAGAAATATGTTGAAATTACATTCTACATAAGGCATATGGATCTCTACTTGCAAAGTAGTTTTATGAACTAGAGCCAGACTTGTCCCACATGTAAATTTGGAAGCATTCAAAGTTTAAAAGTTTGAAAACCTAAAAGGATAGTTCCCCTCTAAGCTTGCAGGGTAAGGTCCTGCAAACTCCCCTGAGCAGGAGAAATTTGGGAACGCACAATCAGCACTATTTAGCGGGGGGGGGGGGGGGGCGGGGAGGGGGAAGAAAAGGATTACTGGGTTTGCAAATGAATTCCCTAGACTTTCTTAATGTTTACCTTAAAAAAAATTAGAATCATACCACAGCTAGATTCTGCCATCTCACAGATGCTGGATAAGTGGTCAGAAGACATGTCTTTTGCTTTCCAGAAAAGTTTGTCATATAATCTCTTTTCTCCTACAGTGCCAATGAGATGCTTATCAAATCATGTTTACTTGTGAGTAACACATATAAATGGCATTTTACCACTGGTTTTGGTCCTCTATCCTTGTGTTCCATTACTAGGAGTTGAAGTTAACTCTGAAAAAAAGGTAAAATATAGTTGACCCTTGAACAATGCAGGGATTAGGGATGTTGACCCCTCATGTAGCAGTAAATCTGTATATTAACTTTAAACTTCCCAAAAACTTAACTCCTAATAACCTATGGCTGACTGGAAGCCTTACTGATGATATATTAATAAATAATCAATTAACACATATTTTATTATATAGATTATAAACCTTATTCTTACAACAAAGCTAAAAATATTAAAGAAATCAAAGAAAATATATTTACTATTCATTAAGTGGACACGGATGATCAAAAAGGTCTTCATCCTTGTCTTCACGCTGAGTAGGCTAAAGAGGAGGAGGAAAAGGGGGATGGTCTTGCTGTCTCACGTTGGCAGAAGCAGAAGAAAATCTGCATATATATACTGATCTGCACAATTCGAACCCACGTTGTTCGAGGGTCAACTTTAACTCACTTTTAACCTGCCAATTCAGTCAACTAGTTAATTTTTCAAATTTTCCCCTCCAAAAAGTCTCTGCTTTACCTTTGGGAGCTATAAACCCTGTAAGATAACTCAAGTTCCACTTTCCTAGCCAGGCTCAGGAAAGGCATTTCAAAGTTCCTTCATCTTTCTTTATAAAAAAATGTCAGGCCGGGCACAGTGGCTCACGCCTGTAATCCCAGCACTTTGGGAGGCCGAGGTGGATGGATCACGAGGTCAGGAGATTGAGACCGCCCTGGCCAACATGGTGAAACCCCGTCTCTACTAAAATACAAAAAAAATTAGCTGGGTGTGGTAGCACGCACCTATAGTCCCAGCTACTCGGAAGGCTGAGGCAGGAGAATCGCTTGAACTCAGGAGGCGAAAGTTGCAGTGAGCTGAGATCGCGCCACTGCACTCCAGCTTGGGCAACAGAGCGAGACTCTGTCTAATAAATAAATAAATTCATGGCAAATGTACTGTTGGTTTTAACATTTTACCTCTTTTCTATTCTCAACTCGTAGGTCCTGCTATTCTTGTTAACCCCTGGGAGTGACTAATGGAAGACTCAAACTAAAAATTACTGTTGCCAAAGTTTTTAACAAATGATAAATCAAAAGGAATTTGCAGTTAGGGGATTATTGAACTGACCACAAAGGATTAGAAAACCAAAACCTCTCTACTGAATTAAATGTGTTCCAATACTTACAACACTGCTTGGTACATACTATTATTATGACTAGAATACTAAATTGAACTAATACTGGCTTTATTTTCCCTTCACCATTAACATTTTAAGCTGTTTTTGAGTTTCAACTTCTTAGAAAAGGCAATTTCTGAAAAGCATAAATTTGCCTTTTCCTGCTATTTATAATAGAAATTGAATAAGAAACATACTAGAAGTATACATAATTTTAAACTTAGAATTTAGGGATCATGTAAATAGCTGCCTACTTATAATCTGTACTATGCATTTCCCAAAGAGTTTTAACATTACTATTTTAGTTAAAATTGTATTACAGAAGCGAAGTTCATCAACCTCCTGCCATTACTGGGTATATCAAATTAAAATGCAATGTTAACATGTGGAGAAAAAAAACTTTATTGGTATTACAGCAAAAAATTCACATAAGATACATAAATTATGATACCTCAAAGCTAGACGCAAATAAAATACACCTAATTATACAAATTCTATACAATTAAATCAAGAACATTAGGAAAATTTTTTTGCAAAAATGTCAAAAAAAGATTTGATCTGGTCGGGTATAGTGGCTCACACCTGTAATCCCAGCACTTTGGGAGGCCAAGGCGGGTGGATCACCTGAGGTCAGGAGTTCAAGACTAGCCTAGCCAACTTGGTGAAACCCCATGTCTACCAAAAATACAAAAATTAGCCAGGTATGGTGGTGTGTGCCTGTAATCCCAGCTACTAGGGAGGCTGAGCCACGAGAATCGCTTGAACCTGTGAGGTGGAGGTTGCAGTGAGCCGAGATCGCACCACTGCAGTCCAGCCTGGGCGACAGAGTAAGACTCCATCTCAAGAGAAAAAAAAAAAGATTTGATCAAACCAAGATTTCAGAAAAACAAAACCAAAAACACTGTGACTTGGTTAACACTTATTTAATTTTGGGAACACAGTAAAAAACAGAAACAAAACATCTATTTCTTCACAATTGTGAAAATGTCTGGCTTGAAACACCTTTGACATTTATCTCACTTTCGCTCTCAAGTTTCAGGCTGCTGCATCCATGGCGGCTAGCTGGCAGTGATGCTCTTTTCTGCTCTCAAGGTTTCTTTGGGCTTGGAATAGTTCCACGGCCGTCTATTTTCTGTGAATCCATAAAGTTTTCTAAGGGCCACTCGAGCAGCCTCTTCTTCTGCAACCAATACTGTTTCCCCAGGTCCTTCTGCAATCAACTTTTTATCACTAGAAAGAGAACAAACAGTAGTCTTAAATTACATGGAATATTGTAAGACAGTACACAAAGCAGTTATAAAGCAATTATGCCTTCTACATCTATTTCAATAATACCCATTAGAAGTAACACAATAGCTCTGATAGATCATCTTTTGGATTTTAACTAGATTTGTTGCAAGTTCATTACATATGGTAATTAGACAAAGATACACTTACGTTTCCTTAGAAATATATACAACTCTGTCAAGTCAAAAAAGCAAGTCGTATCTAGGTTTTCAATTGTTGATGAGAGAATTGGAAGAATATGTAAATAAATATCTCCCTACAAAAACCTGAAACTAGTAAAAATATTATCAGGAATTATGACTATTTTTATTTTTAATGTGTGATATAACTTGGGAAAAATAAATATCTCCTTACAAAAACCTGAAACTAGTAAAAATATTATCAGGAATTATGACTATTTTTATTTTTAATGTGTGATATAACTTGGGAAAAGATTCTGTTGAAAAAATTATGCCTTTTGAGTCTGTCATTTAAACTTTAACACAAATAAGAAACCAGAAACCAGCTCTATATTTCAAATTAAGAACTTTAGGCTGGGCATGATGGCTCACACTTTTTTTTTTTTTTTTTGAGACTGAGTCTCACTCTGTCGCCCAGGCTGTAGTGCAGTGGCACGATCTTGGCTCACTGCAGGCTCCGCCTCCTGGGTTCGCGCCATTCTCCTGCCTCAGCCTCCTGAGTAGCTGGGACTACAGGTGCCCGCCAACGCACCCGCCAACACGCCCAGCTAGTTTTTTGTATTTTTAGTAGAGACGGGGGTTTCACCGTAGCCAGGATGGTCTCGATCTGACCTCAAGATCCGCCCGCCTTGGCCTCCCAGTGGCTCACAGCTTTAACACCAACACTTTGGGAGACCAAAGCAGGAGGACTGCTTGAGCCCAGGAGTTAGGGATCAGACTAGGCAACATAGTGAGACCTCTGAAAAAAAAAGAAAAAAGAAAGAAGATAAATAGTAATTAAATAAAAAGGAAAAAAAAAGAGCTTCAAAACAGGCTCAGATTTTTAAATCATTTTATATATTTCTAATCCACTCTAATTTATTCCCAAGTGAGGTAACACTCAATGTTGGCTATGAGTATTCTATCGATAAATCTAATGTAGGTATTCCTCTGCTTTACTGGTATTTCTATATCATAACCATTTATCTTCTTTAAAAATGTAAAATGTTCCTTCAAGGGAGCAAAGAATGTAGAATGTGCACATCAAATAACTATAATCCTATTTGTTTTGCTACTTCTGAAATATATTTAACTACTTCCTGGAAATTTTCTGACCTAAAATTTCATCTGTGCAATTCAAAGAAGCATCTCCTGAAAGTTTAATGCATAGCAACTGCATTTACTAAATCAGATTCAATCGGCAACTGCATTTACTAAGTCAGATTCAATATAAGCTGATTTGAAAGTGAAGACCGAAACCAAATTAAAGAAAAACTAGTGAAGCTACACAAATAAAACAACAACAATATGAAATAAATTTGCTAAAAAACATCTGTTATGACAATAATTGGAAATGAAACAAAGGTTCTATTAAGTTAAACTTTATAATAATAAACACATACAAATTTGCACAAAGTTTGAGAATCAGAAAAAGTCATCTTGAAGTGAATAACAAGCACAGAATTTTGTTTTTAGTCTAATGTTGCTGGTTTTATCACTGATCACGTTTTAAAAAGTCATTATGTAAAATCTACAAAAACACTACTATCCAATAGTAATCACTGTAGTGATATGGCAAATTACTTCTTACATTTTTTTTTTTAGATAAAAGATCATTCTCCAAAATGTCCCAATCTCATTAAAAATTCTTTTAAAATGTCGCCTGTAATAGCTGTACTATATTCCATCATGTATACGTATCATTTCCCTCTTGTGGAATATCAAATTTATTTCTAATTGTTTTTTAGTTCAACAACTATTTACTGACCACCATGTCCCAGCAACTGTTCAAAGTATGGAGCATAAAGAGGTAAACAACAAACGTCTTTGTTCACAAAATTTGCCTGTAAATCTAAGGCAAACAACCCAAAGTTGAAATACCAAAATCAAAGAACATAAAAAATTTTAAGATGCTTGGCATTTTGTCAAAATTATTCACAGAAATATGGTACATTTTTTTCCTACCAGCAGTATATAAACTGATGATAAAAGATATGTTTAAAAGGTTTGCCAATCAGGTAAGTAACAAAGAGTATCTCACTGTTTTTGCATTTCAATAGATAAAACTTTATACAACACTATCCATTTTCCCCATGTGGTAACTTCTATTTCTTTTATACTTATAAAGTCTTTCGTGATACAAGGATTAGAAAAATATTTACCTAAATTTTAATCTAGCTATCTTAAATATTCAATATTTACATTTAACACTTTAATCTTAACATCTGAGATTAATTTGGGGCAAGTCAACTTTTTACTAACAAAACTAAAAAGCTCTCAACATGGGTTGATTTACACATTTTGATGGATAACTAAGGCCCTTCCTTTTCCAGTTCTAGGCTCAGTTGAAGCTACTGACAAGAATGGATTAAGGTTGAATCTCTAACACGAACAAGTCAACATTTGTACTTCTACACAGAAAAATTTAAGATAACACACTGAAAGTCTATAGCAAATAGTTGGCTGACAAAAGCTATTAGCAAAACTCAGATTCTTCCTAAGCATAACTAGCGGGAAGGGAAGTAGTAAATAATAACCATGGGGAAGAGATTTTTAAAAAATCTTTTCATGCAATTAGAAGTTACGTTAAGGAATCTGAAGAGGTTATGTTAACATTCCTTATGGAATGTGAAGAGTGTTTTTAAGGCTTTGTGAGGAGTCTGTTTTTAGGATTTCCTCAAAGTTATAAAGTTAAGATTAAAATTTCACTAACCAGTATAAGCCAACAAAATACAAAGGCAAAGCTGTGGTGCCACCAGACTGCCTAGTAAGTCTTGATTCAGGAGCTGAAACATTCCTTTTCTTCAGTTCTTCTACCAATAGCCCCATGGGATTTATTATCTTCCACATCTCAAAGAGCTCTTTTCCAGTCATTTGAGTAATTAAGAAGTCCTGCATATAAAAATATAATTTATACATTTTAATTAGTAGAAAGAACATTAGGACAATTCAAAATACATTTTTTACACTTTTTAAATTAGAGAAGCCACAGAGTACATTTTTAACAGAAATTTAAAACTTAATGGGAAACGAAAGACAAAAATGTACTATTCTTTTTCATTCCCACAGTTTTTACACTAATTTTATTGCAAAAATCATAGTTGGATTAAAAAAATTTGCAAGCCCGAGAAACCTATTTCAAGCAGTATGATCTACCAAAATTCCACAGAAGGTAGAATCCTATAATTTTTTTTTTCTTTTTTGAGACAGGGCTTCACTCTATTGCCTAGGCTAGAGGTGCAGAGGCGTGATCACAAGTAGACTGAAACCTCGACCTCCTGGGCTCAAGCAATCCTCCTAGCTCAGCCTCTTCAGCAGCTGAGACTACAGGTGCACACCACCATACTCGGCTAGCTTTTAAATTTTTTATAGAGATGAGGTCTCCATAAGTTGCCCAGCCTAGTCTCGACTCCTGGCCTCAAAGGATCCTCCTGCCTTGGCTTCTCAAAGTATTGGAATTACAGGCATTAGTCACCGTACCCTGCCCTATCTTATAATTTAGAATTATATTCCTACTAGTAAGAAAAAAATTATTTAAAGAATTAACGAATAAAAAGTAGTAACTTCTCATAGAAACTCATGTAAAATGGCACTCAGGGCCTCTAAATAACAATACTTCCTCCATTAATAATGTTTTTAAAAACTCTGCCAGGTGAGGTGGCTCACACCTGTAATCCCGGCACTTTGGGAGGCCAAGGCAGGCAGATCACTTGAGGCCAGGAGTTCGAGAGTAGCCTGGCCAACATGGTGAAACCCTGTCACTACTAAAAATACAAAAATTAGCCAGGCGTGATGCTGCACGCCTGTAAACCCAGCTACAAGGGAGACTAAGGCACAAGAATTGCTTGAACCTGGGAGGTGGAGGTTGCAGTGAGCCAAGATCATGCTACCACTACACTCCAGCCTGGGCAACACGGCAAGACTCTGTCTCAAAAAATAATAAAAAATAATTTAAAAAAATCTTTTAATAATTTCACATAAACTTTTAAAACTGTAGCATACTAGTAATTATTTATATGACGAAGATAACTGAGAAATTATGAACATTCAAAGCAGAATTGATTTTGCCAGTAAAAAGTATTATGTTGTATAGAAACTATGGAAGCAAACATTAATTTCCACAGCAATTTACATATTCCAATTAACTTGTATTAACAAACATTAGTAATATGATAACAGGATGGATGGATGGATGGATGGATGGATGGAGGCAGAGGGAAGAAATTTAAAAAGATCACTTAGTTCATGAAATGAAGTCAATTCATTACAACACTCCTCCAAGCACCAGAACACTTTCAGCTTCATTAATAAAAAATATTAGGCCAGGCGTGGTGGCTGATACCTATAATCCCAGCACTTTGGGAGGCTGAGGTGGGAGGATCACTTGAAATCAGGAGTTCAAGACCAGCTTGAACACCATAATGAGACCACGGCTCTACAGAAAAAATTTAGCTGGGCATAGTGACACATGCCTGTGGTCCCAGCTACTAGGGAGGCTAATATAGGAGGATGGCTTGAGCACAGGAAGTCGAGGCTGCAGTGAGCTGTGATTGTGCCACTGCACTCCAGCATGGACAACAGAGATGCTGCCTCGAAAAAAAAACTTACATCCACTCTCAGTAGGGGATTTTGAAATGTTTTAATGTACAGAGGTAGATATGCCTTATGGGATACGTATATACACATATATAAAAATCACTGAACTGCTATCTGTCATATAGAATAACCAAGTGTAAGGTTAGGAAACACAGCTCTTTCCCATCATCTAAGATATTAGTAGGAATATAGAAAGAAAGCTCAATTTTTCTTAAGTGATTACCTTCTATCGCCTCCTTCTATTTTTTGCTATTTGCTCCTGGTCTTAATAATTAGAGCTTTCTAGTAGGGTTTGAGTTGAATACTCCAATCTCATCTCCCCAGAATAGGGAAGCAGTATGAAGAAATGATGTTTCTAAAATGCACATTTGATCATTAAAAACCTCCCACTTAGAACAACTCCAGCTGTCGCTACACAAGACCATCAAAATACATACGCTGTAGCATGGCTAAGAGTGCCGTTCTAATTTCCAGATGCAGAGATATCACCTGGAGAGCTAGTTAAAATACAAATTCCTAGGCCCTACTCCCAGAGATTATGTACTCTGAGGGGGTGCCTGAGAATTTGCATTTCTATCAAGTTCTCCAGTGATGCTGATACTGATGCCCAAACCACTTTCTTAGTAATACTGTTAGCTCTTCTGTACACTGGCTCTTAAAGGTCCAGACTTATCTCTGATCACTTTGCCAAACGCAATATGATCCAGCCACAAAAAAATTAACTGTAGTTCCCAAGCACAAGCTCATCCTTGACACTGTCTTCCCAAAACATCCTTTTAAGGGGCACAAATCACTTCTGTAAAACCTTTTCTAGCCTTACTAAAGTTGGCTGTTGCCTCCTCTAAGTTCACTCTGCACCTTAACACCTCTAGGAAAGCACTTCCACATTGCATTCCATCTGAATAATGAGCTGTGAGTAGCATCAAATCCTATTTAGATAGCGGCTTCAGAGCTCAGCAGAGTGCCTGGCCCATAGTAAGGCACTCAACATTAAGTGGATGAACAAATGAAACAGGACAATACAAACCTGTCAATTCTACTATAAGAGACATCAAAGCTCAACTTAGACACAGATATTTGAATTATCTATGTTTCATAAGATCTTTACTTGGAACTGTTAAGACGCATTACAATATGGTAAATATTTCCAACATAGTTTCATGACTACCTTGTAGAATTTCAAAATGGTGACCAAAAATTATTTAGAGTTTTAAAACTTACTCCACAGAGTTATAGTTTGGAAATCAAAAAGGACTTTGTCAGAATTTCTATAGAAAAAACTAACTGGGGGGAGAAAGATAGGTCTTACCTATGAACAAAGCCTGAAGTGTCAGTAAATACAGATATTCTCTAACAAAATTATCAAACTTGGTATCAAAACTAAATGAACAGATTCCAACAGCAGGTTTAAAGACTGAATGTCAGTCAGATAGGTGCCTGAATCAAGACTGTTTTTATGACTTAAAGTGATTGTGTGGACTCTCTATTATCAAAAAGTGAACAAAACCTCATGTTTTCATCCAATGGCAGAGGATAAAACTTCTCCCAGTTAATAAATTATAAAAGGACAGTGGGAGTCAAGTTGTACCAATTACATAAGAATCTGAATTAGCTAAGCCACTAGCTAACAAAGAGTTTTACATTAGAGGGACTTGAAATCCAACATTTCATCACTTGGAAGAGCAGACAGCAGCTGGTACTGAAGCACAGGCCTCTGCATAGTGTCCTTTGACTTCACTCATTCACCAAACATCTACTGAGTATCTCTCATGCAGGCAGTATCCTTGGCCCTAAGGATGTAAACTTAAAGATGATATGGCTTGTGGTCCTTCAGAAATCACAACCCACAATTTAATATTCACTTCTGATGATATCCATAATAAGAGACAACTGGAATAATTACAGCCCTTCCATAAAAAACCTTTAGGTCTTTCTCAGTTTTTCTTGGGAGAAAAATTCACTTCCAAGGTGATATATCAAAGAAGTGAATTACAAAAGAATATTTTCCCTTCTGTCTATCTCAAGCATGTCCAATTAATAGTTACGTACCCTGATGAAAAGTGCAGTCCTCTCAGGTCCACTGCTCTGTAACAGGGCTCCAATAACTGCAAAGAAAGTCTGCTGTAACACAGCTGGGGGCACTGGGAATTCTTCACTCAGTGTTAACTGCTCCACAGCCAAGTTTCTAGCCACGTGACACACGACTTCCTCACCAGTGAGAAAGTCAACAAGATTTTTTATGCCTTCAGTGGGCATGTCTGGGTACTCGTCTTCAAGAAACTGTGTAAGGCAAGTCTGTGAAAAAGATGTCCCTTGTTCGGATAGTTCTTGATTACTTTTAAGATTCAGAAGAACAGCTTCTTTCTCTATCCCAAGTTGTTGGCGTTTGGCCTCCTCACTTTTAATATAGCAGCTATTAACAAATGCAGTTTTGAGAAGATCTAAGGAAAAGTTTTCCTGTAACCGATGTCCAAAAGCTTGTATTTCTGCATGGTAATCCCAGTTCGGCTTCTCTGAACTGAAAATGTAAAGACAGTAAGAGATGGTAAAGAGAACAACCTGTTACTGTGATATAAAAATTGTTCACTGTGTTGTAATGTTATTAATTATATAAAGGAAATGAAAGAAGGTTATATTTCTTTTTAATGCCAGGTTGATATTCTAAATGTTAAGACTAAAGTCAGATAAATACTGGCAGTCCTTTGCTATATTCTACATATATGACTGGATTAATTTTCCCTTTGATCCAATTGTCACATGAAATTGGTTCTTCAATATAAAAGACCAAGCCATTAGCCTAACTTTTAGGTTCCTTATTTCTGCTCTAACCATGATACTATGTTTTATACCTAAGTATGAAGCATAAATGTTAATTTCACAGATTCAAGCCATAAACACTAGTATGTTATATTTGCAGTCATCCCTCAATATCTGTAGGGGATTGGTTCCAAGGACTCTCCTGGATACTGAAATTCATGGATGCTCAAGTCTCTCATATAAATGGTGTAGTACAGGCACACTTCGTTTCACTGTACTTCGGTCTATTGTGCTTCACAGATTTATTGCATTTTATTTTTACAAACTGAAGGTCTGTAGCAATTCTGCATGTGCTCACTTTGTGTCTCTGTGTTACCATTTTTTAGCAATAAAGTATTTTAAATTAAGGTACATATATTGCTTTTTAGACACTACTACTGTACACTTAATAAACTACAGAATAGTATAAACATAACTTAGGTATACACTGGGAAACTAAAAAAGTCATGTGACTCGTTTTATTGTCGTGGTCTAGAACCAACCCTACAATATGTATGAGGTATACCTGTATCTGCATATAACCTATGCACATCCTCCTGTATACTTTAAGTCATCTCTGGATTACTTATACGTAACACAATATAAAACCCCTTTAAGAAACAAAGGGAAGCAAAGTATGAAAACCTAGGTTGAAAGTCGTAAGATATACATATAACATATACACCTATATAATCTGTCCAACCCATAAAGTTTCTTCCACCTTTGAGAGCCTAAAATACTTAATCTTATAATAAACAAGGGAATGGGAATTAAGAAGAGATTTTATTTTTTGCTATAATCTTCTCTGTTAGAAGACCGTTCCTACTGGTAGGAGTACAAAGTGGATCAACATTTTTTGGAGGGCAATGTTAAAGTACTAATAGCTTTCAAAATTTCATACTACACATGCGTCCCCTTTACGCGCTGTTACATAGGTTTTAATGGCAATAATATGGAGCTCATAGGCCCATATATACAGAGCCATAAAAAAGAGTGAGGTACATATCTTTGTAATACCATGACAACATGTCAAACACACATTATTAAAGAGAAAAAGCAAGATGAAGGAATTTAAATTATGTAAAGTATGATCTGGTTTGAAGCTATAAAAACCTGTGTCTCTCTCTGCCAAACCTGTTACCAGAACAGCATTAATTAGGGCAAAAATCTAAAGCTAACTTTTTTTCCTTTTACTCTAGACAGCAGAATTCAGGTTGTAGATTAATTTTTTTTCTCCTTAATTTACGATGCTGTGGGCTGCTTTCTTCCCGCTTATCGGAATTCTCAGGCATTACAAACGGGGACTACAACATCCAAGTCCACATAAGGAAGACCCTCCAGTTAGCCCCATTTCTCCCAATTTTCAGTAGCCAAAATCCTAAATGGTAGTTTCAAAACGTCGGGAACAGCCCGAAGCTCTACCGCCCGCGGCACAAATCCATTTTTTTTGCCTCAGGCCCCGCGCCCACAGCTCACGGGTGTCTCCATCGCAAACTTCCTAAGGCTTAACCCAGGGGCGCATCAGCCGCAGACACGACGCCGCGGGAAGAAGACCCAGTGTCTGCGACCGCCACCCTGAGACCTCTTCCCGAGGTGGCTCCTACCGGCGCACGGGCGGCGGCGGGCACCGCAGAAGGCGCTGCCGCTCTAACTCCTTCTGGAAGCGGAAGGCGGCGCGGAATCCCTTCTTCACTCCCCGAACCGGAGGGACCAGCTTGGGGGCGACTGGAGCCAGGAGGCAGCGATGTCCCTGCTGCAGCAATCTTACCAGCCCGGACGCCATTGCACGAGAGAAAACGATGGAAGACGGAACGAAAGTAGTCGGGCCAGTGTCCCCGTAACACACTTCCCCCGGAACCCGGAACGCGGAACGCGAAGAGAAGGCTGGGGCGGAGACAGCCCCCGGGGCGGGGCGACTGAGAGAGGGCAGGGGCGGAGACAGCCCCGGGGCGGGGTGATTGCGGCCGCCTTGAGGCTACGCTTGCGCTAGTTCTCTCCTCTCTTCGAGTTACTTTCCAATGATCCGGACTTGAGGGCGTTTGCGCCCAAAAGTTTCTGGGAGAAGTTGCTTCACCCTGTCACTCTCTTGTTCCTTCCTCTCTCGTTACAGCAAAACAAACAAAAATCTGTTTCGCTTTCAGGTTAAGGAAACATTTAAATCCTCAAAAAAAGAAAACATTTTTAATTTATATTTAGTGTTCTAGGCCACTACTGAGCAAGTATTTACCGAGCTTCTATTTTTGACCCAGCACGCCTCCAAAAGCCTTAGTTTTGGAAACCCTAGACTCAGAAATGTTGGCTTATCCAAAATTAAAATTTTTCTTTAAAAGCAATCTAATAGTACATATTTTTAAACATCCGGAAAATGACTGGAAAAAAACATAAAACGGTAATAGGGGAATTACAGTTTCTTCCTTCTTTATGTTAACACTCTTTAACAATGTAATTCTATTGCTTTCCTACCAAACTGTTAATACAGTACAATTTTTAAAAGAACATATTAAGTCACAAAGGGAGGCTTGTTTGAATTCCCAGTTTTGAGTTGCCTGCTGAACATCTAGACCCTCAAAGGGGCAATGCTTTCTGTGATCTCTTTGTTAAAGGCATCTGTGTCCCCAGCAGTCACCCAGATTGAACTCCTATGTCTTTGATTGTTTTTGTTTCGACAAACCCCCTCTTCGGTGCAGTTTCCACCAAGTGCTTTTTCCATTTATTTCCACTGCAGGTACCTGGTGGCTCTCCTCACCTCTTTCCGTGGTTAGTGTAATTGGCCTGGTACCTTCCTCCCTTCCCCAGACACAGCTCACCTACATTCATCTCTCTGAAACACAGACCACAAAGCATGTTATGACTTAGCCCGAGAATCTTCAGTGCCAGGATCATAGAACTCAATTTGGGTTTCTCAGCTTGACCATTTCAAAAGGGAGAATCTAAATGGTTCATCTCAGCTTATAAAAGGGTTCCCTTTGGGGAGGGAGAGAGCAAAAGAGGGGCTGAGCACACACCAAAAAACAAACTGATGGATTTCTGGTTGAAGGAAATTCTCCAAGAAGGGGTGAAAGGAGGTTACGATTGACCTTCTTGTTTCAATGTATGTAAAGTATTGAAAATTCATGGAACATCAATCCAATAAATGGATTAGGAGAAAATGCAGGGAACTGTCATTTCTGTAGAATTTCATTTATTAGGAAAAATAATCTAAGCCAGTTGTAGCACAATCATGTTAAGTTAAAATGAGGTGTCTCTGTGTTGAGAGTTTCTCAGTCATACAACAACGAGAGCATCATTTGCAGATTAAAAAAATGTAGGTCCTCAAAAGATTTCTTCTACTAATGCCCTTCATGGAACTTAGGAATTAACCAGTTTTTTAAAATCTGCTCATACATTTGTCTATTTATTCAATAAACACATAATAGGAGGAGGACTTGGTTCCAGGATCCAGGCTCAGAAAACTTTAAGGAAGAAAAAGGCCAATGTGTTTTTCAGCCCTCAAAAACCTGATTTTTCCTTTAACC
The DNA here is from genome assembly GCF_000001405.40 of Homo sapiens. Classification (NCBI taxonomy): domain Eukaryota; kingdom Metazoa; phylum Chordata; class Mammalia; order Primates; family Hominidae; genus Homo; species Homo sapiens. Next base: position 223,955,740 of record NC_000002.12, on the reverse strand, counting down.
TGCTGTTAGCCCTAATTTGATCAAAGCTCACAGATGTCAACAACTTTCGAGTTTTCATTGGGTTAAGGTCAGGTGGAAGGGTGGGGAAAAGTCACACTTAGGAAGAGGAGGTGAGGCGATTGAGGGTTCACTTTAACCCTTGGGGAACACAACCTTTTGTGTTTTGATGCCAGGGATATTGCTTATATATTCCTTCAATGATGGTGAAGGCAGCTGGAATACGGGGCACAGAAAGATGGATAACAAAGTTAGTAAGCTCTGCTATAGGACCTTCCTGAACAATCAAGCAATTCTGAACCACCTGGGATTACTCACCACTACTTCATAGATTAGCTAAGGAATAACTACCAAATAGTGGCCTTTAATCCAACTCACAAGGAAAATTACAGACAGAAATAATTACCATAGAATGAAAATTACTATAGTTAAAACTGTTCAAAATACAAAATTGGAGTTACTGATAAATATCGATATAGAATCAGTCTTCACCAAAGTTACATCTGTTCAACCTAGCTTTGGAAAATTTGACTTGATGGAAAATTTGACTTGATAGATCTAAAAGCTGCAACAGAAAACTCATGATAGTAAAACTGATTAGCAAAAAGCCTTAGTAAACCTGAGCAACAAATAACATCTTAGGAAATAAATGTGGAAAAAAATTCATGAAAATACATTAAGCAATAGAAACATGAAAATACAATTAGAAATAGGATACTTGTGCTGTATAGAAAATTGATCAAGAAATTTAATTGGTTTCATGGAGCTTATTCCAGAAAACATTTTCTCAAAAAAAATGCATCAATGTTAGTATAATTCTGTTATAAACACTTTAATTCATAATTATGGAAGCAAAACTTTTTTGGTGTGTTAGCGGCCAGCAAGATGGCTCTCAACAAGCCCCACCTCCTGGTACTTACACCCTTGTACATTCCCCTCTCACATTGTGCTGGGATTAGTCTGTGTAACCAATAGACCATGGATGTTTTTATCAATTCTGGGGTTAGGTAATAAAATACATCATAGCTTCCATTTTGGTCAGATACCTTGTATTTCTTGGATTAGTCTCCTGTCAGGAAGTCAGCTGCTATGTTATGATGTTGCCTAAGAAACTATGTGGAAAGGCTTATGTGATGAGTAGCTGAGGCCTCCCGCTAACAGCCATGTGAATGAATGAGCTGTCTTAGAATTGGATCCTCCACTCCCAGTCAGACTTTCAGATGACTGCCTACTGGCCAGCGCTTTGACTGCATCCTCATGAGAGACCCTCAGCCAGAATCACCCAGCTAAACTGCTCCCAAACTCCTGGCCCTCAGGAAATGTATGAGAAAATAAACGTTTGTTGCTTTATGCCACTAAGTTCTGGAGTAATTTGTTACATAGCAACAGATAATTAATACACATAGGGTCAAATCAATTGGATGAAAATGGCAAAATAAAAAATGCTCTATATTCATGAGACTTAGGGGATGGCCTCAGAGTGCTGGTTCTAGATGGAAGCGTGGATTTTGCTAGATGCAGAAGAGATGGAAAGGAGGATCAACATTCCATAACATGCACAAAGTCGTCAGGAATGATGATGACTTAGTAAATTCCGCTCCAAAAAGTGAAAGCTGCCTGACCCTTTAACCCCTGTAGGTATAGATCCCCTTTCCTGTCATTAAGGATACTTTTGAGAAACAAGTTCAGGAAATATCAGAGAAGATGTCAAGCACAGGGTTTCCACTTTACGTGTTCCTTGATGTTTCTGCTAAACTGAGCAATGTTTGGATCTGAGAGAGGGATACCTATTACAGGAAAAGGAATATTTTAAAGGGTTATAAAAATAAGTAAAAACTTGTAATGAGAGGGAAAGTAGAGATATTAGACCACTATGACTATAATATTGAAACTTCACACTTTTGTTTTGCTTTTTAAATAAAGCATTGTAAAAGTGGTTTGAGATTTTTGCAGTGTGATTATTATGCTGGCCTGCAGTGTAAAACTGGGGTAAAATCCAGAGAATGGGTTAAAAGAACTCCTGGCAAAACTACTGAACAAAATTACCAAGTCTTCTTTCCTCTCTGGGATGAAACTGTGTCTCCAGATCTTTTGGCAAGGCCCAAGGAGACGAAGCATGTCCAAAAGCAATAAATCACTGTAGACTTCTTTTTCAGTCTGTCCCACAGATTTAACATGTACTGAACAGATAAACATTGATTAGGTATACATTATAACAACTGCTGAAAGACACTGAAAAGTTTTATAAGTATTTCCTCTTGATTAGAGTTAACCAGATTATAGCCATTAAAAGTTATAAATTTAAAAATCTGGGCTGGCACGGTGGCTCATGCCTGTAATCCCAGCACTTTGGGAGGCCGAGGCAGGCGGATCATGAGGTCAGGAGTTCAAGACCAGCCTGGCCAACATGGTGAAACCTCATCTCTACTAAAAATACAAAAATTATCTGGACATGGTGGTGTGTGCCTGTAGTCCCAGCTACTCGAGAGGCTGAGACAGGAGAATTGCTTGAATCTGGGAGTTAGAGGTTGCAGTGAGCCAAGATAGCACCACTGCACTCGAGCCTGGGTGACAGAGCCAGACTCTGTCTCGGAAAAAAAAAAAAAAAAGAATCTGGATAATCTGGATACTGCATACGAATAAGTTATTCTTTATGAGACTATCATTTCTATCATTATATGGTTTATATCTATTTTTGAAAATACTCAATTACTGAAATATTGCCTTATAATTTACATATGTAACGTCATATTCTCAGTAAGTTATGTCCTACAATCCTCATGATGGCTTTAAAAGACAAACCTTAGACAAATTAAATTTAAGAGTTTAACTGATCAAACAATGATGAATCAGGCAGCCCCCAGAACCAGAACACGTTCAGAAAGACTCCAGGACTGCCACATGGTCAGATAACATTTATGGACAGTAAAAGGAAAAAGTATGTACAGAAAATGCAAATGAGGGACAGAAACAGCTGGTGTCTGCTTTATTTGAATAGGGCTGCCTGTGGTTGGATGAGACTCGGCTACTTTTACAAGAGCAGGTGACAGTCTTTTACACATCAAGTTAGGTTACATATCAAGTTAGGTTCACTGTGTACTGAAAAACCTTTAGGCCAAAATTAAAATATGTACAACGGAGGCTTTAGTCCAAACTTAATTTAACAGTACTACAAGTTAAGTATCAGTATTGCCATAATTGTATCAGTCAGGGTCTTACCAAGAGAACAAAGGCACACCAGATGGTTCCAAGAAAGAAACCGAATACAAAGAACTAGTTACAAAGGTGTTAGAACTGAAAGGCCTAAGAGATTAGGGACAGCAAAACTGGAGAGACAAAGGGAACAGATGGTACCAGAGCACAAGAGTTAGGTGAGCCGAATGGGACCAAGAACCCACAGAGACTGCCTGTTGAGGGCTGCGACAAAAGAGGGAAGCTATAGCCAGTGGGGACTGGAGCCACAGAGAAGGCATACTCCCTAAGCAGAAAGAGTGGAGGAGAAATACCCTGGTTTCTTCTTTCCTTCTACCTTCCAATGTCCCACCACTGCCTCCACCATACAAACTTATCAGGAAGCAAGTCGGTTAGGGAGTCTGGGACATGTAGTTTGCAGAAGTCAACCCCCTGCAATACAGACCAAGCAAGGTACACATAAAGTGGATCTGATAGCAATAGGCAAACGGCTAGCCTGTGATTACACTTAGAGTATCTGAAATGTGAAGAGTAGAAAGTCAAGGCCACATTAGAATGCTGACCCATTAAGCTAACATACCTTACTTCATCCAAATGTTAAAGGTAAGAACTTATTACAATAAATAATATTGGCATTTATGATTATCATCATTATCATTCTTACAGTACAACTATAAAATACTCCCTCAAGGAAGTCTAGCATGACACAGGTATTTAGAGTCAGAGGAGGTGATGGCGGGATAGACATTTAGAGATCAAGGTCCAAGGTAAGGGGCCAGACACAGTGGCTCAAGCCTGTAATCCCAGCACTTTGGGAAGCTGAGGTGGGTGGATCACTTGAGGTCAGGAGTTCGAGACCAGCCTGGCCAACATGGTGAAAACCCATCTCTACTAAAAATACAAAAATTAGCCTGGCGTTCTGGCATGTACCTGTAATCCCAGCTTTTCTGGAGGCTGAGGCAGGAGAATCATTTGAACCAGGGAGGCAGACGTTTCAGTGAGCCGAGAACGTGCCACTGCACTCCAGCCTGGCCACAGAGCGAGACTCTGTCTGAAAAAAAAAAAAAAAAAAACTCCAAGGTAAGAAGCATGAGTTAACAATAAATACTACACATTATCTCTGCTTCCTACATCACCATTAAAAGGTAACATTATTATTCTCACTTTAGAAATGCAAGAAATCACCACAAAATTTCTTATCCATGTAGCCAAACACCACCTGTTCCTCAAAAGCCATTGATATAAAAAAATAAATAATTTCTCTTTGTGTACCTAGAGTCTAGCAGTTCCAAGAGGCTGTGCTAAGGCTCTTCTATCACCACTTGAACTCACTTCAATCAGGTTTTACCCCTGGCATTCATGGAAACTTGCAGTCATTTCATTTGCTTGATCTGCAGCATTTGACACAGTCGATCACTTCCTCCTCCTTAGAACACCTTCTTCCTTTGTCTTCAGGACAATACACACAATATCCATTTTCCTCCTACCTCATAGAGTCAGGGGGAAGGGGAGCAGGGGGAGGTTGGCTCCTCTCCAGTCTTTTTTTCTGGTTCCTCCCTTTCTTCCAGACCTGTTGATGTTTCCAAGGCTTCTGTCCTTGTACCTCTTCGTTATTTACACACATACTTCCTCTTGGACTTCATGTACTCTTATGGCTGTAAATGCTATATGCATACTCTATAAAATCATTTTGTGTTTAAGCACTGATTTTACAAAATGTATAAAGGTGAGTTAAATTTAGAGCTTAATTTGTTTATGTAAATTGCCTTCAAAATGTGTTACAGCTGAGATGTTTTCCATGTGTTTTGGAAGAAATCACACAGAGTAGCTGCTTTTGCAATAAACTGGATCAATGTTACATCTTTGGGTCAGTTCATTGTCAGTGTGCAAGGTGAGAGTTATGTGGGCCTTACCTTATTGTTCACATTGAACCATTCTGGGTGATGATTCATCTTATTTGTAAGACAACTCAATACGTAAGGCCTGTTACAAAGGTAAACCAGGCCAGGCACAGTGGCTCTCACCTGTACCAGCATTTTGGGAGGCTGAGACAGTTGGATCACTTGAGCTCAGGAGTTCAACACCAGCCTGGGCAATAGTAGAGAACCATGTCTCTACTAAAAATACAAAAATTAGCCAGGCATGGTGGTGCTTGCCTACTCCCAGCTACTGCAGTGGCTGAGGCAGGAGAATTGCTTGAACCCAGGAGGCAGAGGCTGCAGTGAGCTGAGATTGTGCCACTGCCCCCAACCTGGGTGACAGAGTGAGATCCTGACTGAAAAAAAAAAAAAAAAAGAGGGCTGGGCACAGTGGTTCACGCCTGTAATCCTCACAATTTGGGATGCTGAAGCTGATGGATCACTTAAGGCCAGGAGTTCGAGACCAGCCTGGCCAACATGGTAAAACCCCACATCTGCTAAAAATACAAAAATTACCAGGGCATGATCGGCACACACCTGTAGTTCTAGCTACTCAGGAGGCTGAGGCACAAGAGTTGCTTGAACCGGGGAGGCAGAGGTTGCAGTGAGCTGAGATCCCAGCAGTACACTGAAGTCTGGGTGACAGAGTAGTAACACTCTGTCTCAAGAAAAAAAAAAAAAAGGTAAACCAAGGCACAATAATATTTTAAAGGGCTTATTTGTGTAAACAGCAATTCATGAATCGGACAGCTCTAAACCGGAAGTGTTTCCAGGGCTCTGTTGGAGAAGCATAAGGGTCAAACTTGGAAGAGTGAATGCAGAAATAATGCAAAGAAAATAATTGATTACAGTTATAAAGTGGCTTTATTTGGTCTATCCTGTGGGAAAATCCCTAGTTATTTAATTGTAAGTCTGTTGACTGCTTCTGAATGGTTGAGCTTAAGTTTTGTTTTTCTTTAATACAGGCATTTACAAGAAATAGTTCAAGTTAAGTTTCACTTATGTTTGCAAATCAAGCAAGGTTAAGATCACTTAGGAGGACTGACTGGCTTTGTCTCTTCGGGGAGTCTTCAGCCCTGGTTTCCATTTTAATTTAGTTTAACAGGCGAATCCCTGATTAAAATTTTTGAACAAGTATTTGTAGAGGGCCTTTCTCTCACTTAGTTTTGACCATCCTGCTGCCTTAAGATCAAGCATAAACTTGGCTCCTGAACTCTACCACCACCCAGTGAGCATCTGCTGACCCTGCAGAGGGTGGCACAGCAGGTTCCATCACTGTGCATTTAACTCCCAGAGTAATGGCTGCAGTCCAGACCTCTCTACTATTCAGTAGCATATACAAAACTCCTATATTCAGGCTGGTCATGGTGGCTCACGCCTGTAATCCCAGCACCTTGGGAGGCTGAGGCAGGTGGATCACCTGAGGTCAGGAGTTCGAAACCAGCCTGGCCAACATGGCAAAACCCCGTCTCTACTAAAAATACAAAAATTAGTCAGGCATAGTGGCACACGCCTGTAATCCCGGCTGCTGGGGAGGCTGAGACAGGATAATTGCTTCAACCAAGGAGGTGGAGGTTGCAGTGAGCCAAGATCGCACCACTGCACTCCAGCCTGGGCAACAGAGCAAGACTCCATCTCAAAAAAAAAACAAAAAAAACAAAAACAAACAAACAAACAAACAAAAACCTCCTGTATTCAACTGCCTACTCAGCCCCTTCACTTGGAGACCTAATACTCGTCTCAAGCTTCCTATGTCCAAAACTGAATTCTCCTTCTTCCCTTCCAAACCTGCTCCTCCTACATTTTCCACAGATCAGTAACTGGCAGCTCCACTTTTCCAGTTGCTCAGCCCACAAATCTTGGTATCATTCTTAACTATCTCATATTCAATATTCAACAAATTTCACTGGTACTACCTTCTACATAAGTCTAGAATCTGATGTCCTCTCACCACCAGCACCCTTAGAAAGCCACATCATTTCTCAATTACCCTGTTAATTTCTCAAATAACTTCCTGACTGACACCTTGCTTCTATTCTTGCCTTTTAAAATTGAAGGCAGATTAGCCCAGGCGCAGTGGCTCATGCCTATAATAATCCCAGCACTTTGGGAGGCCAAAGTGGGTGGATCACCTGGGGTTGGGAGTTCGAAACCAGCTTGGCCAACATGGTGACACCCTCTCTACTAAAAGTACAAAAATTAGCTGGGTGTGGTGGCACGTGCCTGTAGTCCCAGCTACTTGAGAAGCTGAGGCACGAGAATCACTTGAACCCAGGAGGTGGAGGTTGCAGTGAGCCAGGATCGCACCACTGCACTCCAGCCTGGACGACAGAGTGAGACTTCGTCTCGAAAAATAAATGAATACAAATTTAAAAACTTGAAGGCAGATTAAACCAGCCTTCTGTTCGAAACTCTCCAATGGCTTCCTATCTCATTTGAAGTAAAAACCAAAGCCCTTATCAATGGTCTCTGGGCTCAACATGGTCTGTCTGGTGACCTGTCTGTGCTGTTTTTCTCTGAGCACTCCCTCACTCACTCTGCTCCAGCCTCACGGGGTGCCTGGCTGTCTCTACAAAACCCCTGGCATGTGCTCACCTCAATGCCTTAACACGTGCTCTTTTCTTTTCCAGAAAAGTATTTGGCCCACATTTCCACATGGCTTACTCCCTCCTCTCCTTCTTGGCTCAAAATGTAACTTTACAATGAGGCTTTTACTTGTCTCAGGTTGCATTCTCCAGCAGCAGATACGGTGATAGAGGTTGGCTCAGAGGGTGTTTATTAGGAATCAATGCCTGTGAAGGGAGGGGGAGGTACCAGGATTAGGCAGGAGAAGTCAGCTGCAGTACACGCCTTACAAAGCCTTGTCCAATCTAGGAGAGAGTTCTAGAGCAAGTGTTGCTCATCGGTCTGTCTTGATGGTCAGGCCTTTATCCTCCTATCTTGTTCAGTTACTGAATGTGGGCTTCCCTGTGAAGGGAACAACTGAGACCCAGTGGTTCTCAGCAGCTGGGGCAGTCCCTGAAGGAGCTGAAGGCTAGAGGCTCTCTGCTGACCACTGTTCTTCCCTGAAAGCAGATCTGTGCAGTGTATTCCTGAATCTATCACACCATCTATTTAAAATCGCAACATCCCCTAGAGTCCCTATCACCCTTCCCTGCTTTATTTTCTCCATAGCATTTAATAGCATTGAACATCTTCTAATATATTATATAATTTAGTTTACTATCTGTTTCCTTCACTGGGATGTAAGTTCTAACAGCAGAGGGATTTTTGTCTCTCTTGAGCACTGCTGCATTTAGAATGGCACCTGGCTCACAGCAGGCACTTGGGAGATGTTGGTTGATTAAACAAAGTTGTTCAGTAGCGTGTCTAGTCATTACACTGTACAGCCTCACAAAAACCATGTCTTATTAATCTCATCAGCAACAGCATATAGTAAGTGTGCGATATATGTCTGTTGAATATAGGAATAAATAAATTCATGAATGTTTGTTAATAACTTCATCATGAGAAAGTATTAGTACAATGGTGGCTCCTGCCCGTAATCCCAGCATTTTGGGAGGCTGAGGTGGGCAGATGATTTGAGGGCAGAAGTTTGAGACCAGCCTGGTCAACATGGTGAAACCCTGTCTCTAGTAAAAATACAAAATTAGCCAGGCATGGTGGTAGGTGCTTGTAATCCCAGCTACTCGGGAAGCTGAGACAGGTGAATCCCTTTAACCTGGGAGGCGGAGGTTGCCGTAAACCGAGATCGCACCACTGCACTCCAGCCTGGGTGACGGAGTGAGTTCGTCTCAAAAAACTAAAACAAAACAAAACAAAAACAAAAAGAAAGTTCTAGTAAATCACTGTACATAGAAGTACCATCTGATTCACATCCATAATTTAAAGTTTTTATTAGCTACCTTAAAAAAATAAGCAGGTCATATTAATTTTAATAGTATCTAACTCAATATATCCAAAATAGTATCATTTCAACATGTAATCATTGTAACAATTATTGATGAACTATATTACATCTTTTTTGTTTTGTGCTAAGTCTATAAAATCTTGTAGTATTTTGCACTTGTACTACATCTCAGTTTGGACAAGCCACATTTCAAGTGCTCTATAGTCATGTGGATAGTACGGTTCTAATGCAATTCTGCAATTCAGGTGTCAGAATAATATAGTGGGGCAGAAGTTTGGAGTCATTGACTTCCTGAGTCCAAATTTTGGCTCTTGAACTTACTGGTTGTCAATGACCTCTAGCCAAAAACCACCAGGAACAAATGGGGTTGATTGCTTGTTGGAGGGAGAAGACACACCATTGGGAATGGTGAGGTGTCTGGGTAAAGGGATGTTCGGACAGTTTTATTATAGGATTTGTGTTTGTGTTAGGTGACCTGGGAGAGCTTAAGGAAGAGAGGCTCTCCTGTGGACTGGATGTTGTCAGGAAATGCGTATAATTCTAAGGTTGCATATCTTAATAAATCTTATCTAAATGGAGGAAGACTAGATAGCGGTTAACATTATAATTAATAAAGAAATAAGAGTCACTCATATTAGCCAGGATAGGGGGATGTTTGGTAATTTCTGTGGCTTGTACATCGCTCATATTTTGGCCGTGTTTAGATGTGATTATGGAGTGGCCTCGTCTGATGTTTATGTTCCACAGGAAGCAAACACTTCCTAGCAACACCAAAGCTCAGCTGATAGTACCAGGCAGCTCCTGGAGATCAAGGGCTGCTTTTCTCCCTCTCATAGCTGTGCAACCTTAAGGTAGTGATCAAACTTCTCTGGTTGTTTTCTCATCTCTAAAATGGGAATACAAGAGCATCTATTTCATCTCTTAAAATTATCAGTATTAAATGAGATGCAAAGACACTGAGTTAATGCCTGGTATATGGTCACCACTCAGTGCTATCTATTGTAGTTCAAAGATTCTAAGATGCACTATATTTTTTCACATTTTAACATTTCTGAAAGTGTGTGCCTTTCAAACAATGGCTTCTTCAAATGGATGAAATGTAGTATTGTAATTTCTGAAATCTCTGGTTTGGGGGACAATTCCTTGTCCCCTCCAGGTGCTCAATTTATTCCTGGGTGAATGGCTTTACTTTTAAACCTTCCTTACTTTCCCCATTTCTCCGCAGGCGCCCCGTGGCATCCTCTCCCAGCCACAGACTTTCAGCTTGCGCGGCATCCCCAGGCAATACGGGCGGTGCGGCGGCAGCACTCGGGGGCTTACGGCGGCGCGGCGCCCAAGAGGCCCCAGCAGCCGAAGGGAAACCGGCGCGTCCCCCGCCCGCCCAGGCGTCAGCTGATGGGCTGCCTGCCGAGGAGGCCGCAGCAGTCGCCGCGCGAACATGGCGGCCGAAATCCACTCCAGGCCGCAGAGCAGCCGCCCGGTGCTGCTGAGCAAGATCGAGGGGCACCAGGACGCCGTCACGGCCGCGCTGCTCATCCCCAAGGAGGACGGCGTGATCACGGCCAGCGAGGACAGGTAGGGCCCGGGCGCAGCCGGGGCGGCCCGAACTCCGCGACGACGGGGTGTGGGGGCGGTGGGGTCCGCGGCCCCGGTCCTTCCTGCGTGAGGGGGCTCCCCCGGCAGCACGGCCCCACCCCCACTCTGCGCCCCTTAGCTCCGCCGGGTTCCCGGTTCCCTCCCGCCGGTCCTCCAGCCTCGACTTGCACCTTTCCAGCCTGGGACCCCGGTCTCGCCGCGCCCCTCCAGCCCGGATCCCCTGTCCCACCGCGCCCCTCCAGCCCGGGAACTCCGTCTCACCGCGCCGCCCAAGCCCGGGACCCTTGTTCCAACGTGTCTTTCCAGCCCAGGACCCCTGTTCCAGTGCGCCCTACCGCGCCCCTCCCAGCCCACCTCGCCCCTCCTGCTCAGGACCCCTGTTCCAATGCTCCCCAACGCGCCCCTCCAGTCCGGGACCCTTGTCCCACTGCGCCCGTCCATCCCGGGAGCTCCGTCCCACCGCGCCCCTCTAGCCCGGATCTTCTGTCCCACTGCGCCCCTCCAGCCCGGGAACTCTGTCCCACCGCGCCACTCAAGCCCGGGACCCCGGTTCCAGTGCGCCCCAACGCACCTCTCCAGCCCAGGACCTCTGTCTCACCGCGCCCCTCCAGCGCGGGAACTCTGTCTCACCGCGCTGCTCAAGCCGGGGACCCCTGTTCCAGTGCGCACCAACGCGCCCCTCCCAGCCCACCGCGCTCCTCCAACCAGGGAACCCCGACCTGCGGTGTCGCACTAGCCTGGGACCTTCGTCCCGGTCTCTCTCCCTGGCGGGGTTTAGCCTGGTACTCGGAAGGTGTTTCTTGGCCCTCCCGGGTCAGTTCCAAATCGTCTCCTCTGGAAGCGTGGAGGACCGGCGGCTGGTCACTGCGGACCCTGGTGCCCGGGGCTTGCTTCTTTGCGAGGAACTCCAGCCGCCTTCGCTCTCTTCCTCCCCCTGTACTCAGGGATTTCACGCCACGCCAGGCCTCTAGATCAGTTATTTTTGCCACGGCTGCTAGAATCACCTGAACTCTTATTTACTAAATAGGTTTTTGTGAAAGTGACTCATTTTTAAAAATATTTGGATGCATTTATTTTAAAAGGAAATCTTATTTATTAGGAAAACTAACATTACTCACCAGACAGAGTAAACTAATAACTAAAACATGTTAATTGGCATGCACACAGAGTCCTCTCTTGCACTGTGACATCTTGCATTGGACGCCCACCATGCTTTTGGGAAACACTGATTGGGTCCAGTTTTCTCATTTCTCCTAAGAGGAAGCCGAGGCTGGTGGAGGTGTAGCTTGCTGCTAAGTTACAGAGATACTGGTGAAGCCGGAAATGCAATCCAGAACTCCCACCAGCTCTGGGCCTGAGTGATTGGATTGGAACAGTATTTATGATTCGACTTTAAACTTTAGCGTCTTTCAAATCCTAAAGGTTTACAATGTCAGTAGCTTTCCGGTGGGAATTTGAAGGAAATGACTGATGTTTATTGAATGAAACTGTGTTTCCTTGATGCAATGAGCCGTCTTAAATAGGGATAGTCCACAAGTCCAAAAGCTTTCTGGAGGATGGAAGGTACTGCTATTCTCTTAAAGCTGAAGGCGTGGTCTCTAGCCTTTTGTAATTATACCTTTTGAAGTGACATTGACCCTATCCTGAATGGGAAGAAAAAGCCTGAAGCCCCCAACTCCTGTTGGTCCTTTGGATTTTGCTTTTGAGTGAGCTTGTGCCTTTTTCCTCAATTAGATAATGAGCTGATTGTGAGCAGGCAGTGGCCTCTCCCTGCTGGTTCACCTGTAGCTGACTTCCAACAAGGAGGGGAGTGATTGGCAGGACCTGGCTGTGGGTCTGTAAAGCAGAAAGGAGTGAGAGAGATCGAGTGCATGAGACCTGGGGAGAAGGTGGGGACCTGAAAAAGGCAAGGACAGAATAATGACTTTTTTTTTTTTTTTTTAAGATGGAGGCTTGCTCTGTCACCCAGGCTGGATGGAGTGCAGTGGCATCATCTTGGCTCACTGCAACCTCCGCCTCCCAGGTTCAAGCGATTCTCCTGCCTCAACCTCCTGAGTAGCTGGGACTATAGGCGCCTGCCACCACGCCCAGCTAATTTTTCTATTTTTAGTAGAGACAGGGTTTCACCATGTTGGTCAGGATGGTCTCGATCTCCTGACCTCGTGATCCACCCGCCTTGGCCTCCCGAAGTGTTGGGATTACAAGCATGATCCACTGGTGTCCGGCCAGAATAATGACTCTTGCATGATGTGAACGTAGATGCAGACAACACTCTTTAAAAGTTAGCCTTTGGGCCGGGCGCGGTGGCTCACGCCTGTAATCCCAGCACTTTGGGAGGCCGAGGCGGGTGGATCATGAGGTCAGGAGATCGAGACCATCCTGGCTAACAAGGTGAAACCCCGTCTCTACTAAAAATACAAAAAATTAGCCGGGCGCGGTGGCGGGCGCCTGTAGTCCCAGCTACTGGGGAGGCTGAGGCAGGAGAATGGCGTGAACCCGGGAAGCGGAGCTTGCAGTGAGCCGAGATTGCGCCACTGCAGTCCGCAGTCCGGCCTGGGCGACAGAGCGAGACTCCGTCTCAAAAAAAAAAAAAAAAAAAGTTAGCCTTTGGCCAGGCGCAGTGGCTCATGCCTGTAATCCCAGCACTTTGGGAGGCCGAGGCGGGTGGATAACAAGGTCAGGAGGTCGAGACCATCCTGGCTAACACGGCGAAACCCAGTCTCTACTAAAAATTCAAAAATTAGCCAGGTGTGGTGGCAGGCGCCTGTAGTCCCAGCTACTCGGGAAGCTGAGGCAGGAGAATGGCGTGAACCTGGGAGGCAGAGCTTGCAGTGAGCCAAGATTGTGCCACTGCACTCCAGCCTGGGCGATAGAGCCAGACTCCGTATCAAAAAAAAAAAAAAGTTAGCAGCCTTTATTCGGTCAAATATTTTATTCATGAATCATGCGTTTTGGGTAAGTTGCTAAATATTTGAGATTGCTGGTCAGGAGCAGTGCTGATAAATGTTTTTGGAAAGTGATTACTAAGCTGCTCTGGGACTGAAACGTTCTGGGGGAGCTTGCATCTGCTCACTTTTTCACTCGTGCACCACTGTTATTGCAGAGCCCAGGTAGATGACTGGACCAGGATGGGGTTGGCGTTTGAGGTTTCTGTTGTGTTCAGGCTCTTGCAACTTCCTTGAAGGGAGAACAACCTTTTTAGTAGGTGCTACACTTCATGAGATGTAATGAAAGCACATGGGCGTGGGTTTTTTCTTGGTGTTAGCCATGGTGGTTTGTTTTCACATTGTCATAAATACGTGTCACGTTCTTCACTCATTTACTCATTCATTTAGAAAAAGCTTTTTTATTGAGTGTCAGGCCCTGAGGACACAACAGGGGTCAAAAGCCACACTACCTTGGCCAGGCAAGGTGGCTCACGCCTGTAATCCCAGCACGTGTGTGGGGCCCATGCTAGACCTGTGGGGGAGAGACAGCTGACAGCTAAGTTGCTCTTTCCCAAGGGCTGAACAGTCTAGTGAAGAGATGGCCCCTATGTATTCAGCATCCAGTGCTGGGAAGACACAGGAAGAGGAGGCTCTTTGGGCTGGGGCCGGGGTTTGGGGACAGCCTCCTAGAGAAGGTCGTTGAGCTGGTCTTCATGGATAGAGGAGTGGCATCTAGAAAGGAAGGAGGGATGCACCCTCATCCCAGGCAGAGGAAGGAGGAAAGGACAGGAGGGAATTGTAAGAGGGAAAGAACCATAGCTATTTCTAAGTGACCAGAGCAAAAGGTGGGCAGTGACAATAGCAACAGAGAAGACTGAGAGCTAGAAGGACCCAGTGTCCGGTTTTGTTTTGTTTTTTAAATTAAAAAAAAAAAGTTTTTGGGGGCCAAGTGCGGTGGCTCACGACTGTAATCCCAGCACTTTGGGAGGCCAAGGCAGGCAGATCACCTGAGGTTAGGAGTTCAAGAACAGCCTGGCCAACATGGTGAAACCCCATCTCTACTATAAATACAAAAATTGGCTGGGTGCAGTGGCTCACACTTGTAATTCCAGCACTTTGGGAGGCCGAGGCGGGTGGATCACCTGAGGTCAGGAGTTTGAGACCAGCCTGACCAACATGGAGAAACCCCATCTCTACTAAAAATACAAAATTAGCTGGGCGTGGTGGCACATGCCTGTAATCCCAGCTACTTGGGAGGCTGAGGCAGGAGAATCACTTGAACCCAGGAAGCAGAGGTTGAAGTGAGCCGAGATCATGCCATTGCCCTCCAGCCTGTGCAACAAGAGTGAAACTCTGTCTCAAAAAACAAAAACAAAAAAACCCACAAAAATTAGCTGGGCATGGTGGCACACACCTGTGGTCCCAGCTACTTGGGAGGCTGAGACAGGAGAATCACTTGAACCTGGGAGGCGGAGGTTGCAGTGAGCTGAGATCACGCCACTGCACTCCAGCCTGGGCAACAAGAACAAAACTTTGTCTCAAAAAAAAAAAAAAGAAAGAAATAAGGAATTTGGACCTTATTTTGCAGGCAGTGTAGAACCATCAAAGAGTTCAAAACAAGCAAATGATATGATCGGAATTTGTAATTTAGAAATAACAATAGCTAACCTGTTGAAAGTCCCTTTTCTCTACGAGTACAGAATTGGACCTTATGTGTTATTGGATCCAATCCTCACACTTCCTCCCTATAAGGTAGGTACAGTCACCTTCTCTTATCAGCAGTTCCAAAATTTAGTGCATTCTAAACGTCAGAAGTGTGTATGTGTGTGTGTAAATTGGACCTGAAAACTCGTTTGGTGCTAAAATTTGGCCTGAACAAATGAGACTGTTTGTAATCTTTATTTACTGCATGCATCACAGTGGCATGATCTTGGCTCACTGCAACCTCTGCCTCCCAGGTTCAAGCGATTCTCCTGCTTCAGCCTCCCGAGTAGCTGGGATTACAGGCACCCGCCACCACACCCAGCTAACTTTTGTATTTTTAGTAGAGACAGGGTTTCACCGTCTTGGCCAGGCTGGTCTTGAACTCCAAACCTCGTGATCCACCCGCCTCGGCCTCCCAAAGTACTGGGATTACAGGCATGAGCCAGTAGCTTTTTACATTTAAAGTAGGGTCCAGCTGAAGTGAATTCATTTTACAAACGCTAAAAGCAGTGAGAACTAGCTGAGAGCATTTTGAGAAGAAAAGTGAAAGGTATGAAGGTTTTCCTGAAGTTAGTATCCACTTTTGTAAAATCTAGGCCAGTGGTTCTGGGCCAGGGGTGGTTTTCCCACCCAGGGAACATTTGGTAATATCTGGAGACATTTTTGGTTGTCATGATGTGGGGGAGGTGATATGGTTTGGCTGTGTCCCCACCCAAATCTTATCTTGAATTGTAGCTCCCATAATTCCCATGTGTTGTGGGAGGGACCCAGTGGGAAATAATTGAATCATGAGGGCAGTTTCCCCCATACTGTTCTCGTGGCAGTGAGTAAGTCTCAGGAGATCTGATGGTTTTACAAGGGAAAACCCCTTTGGCTTGGTTCCTATTTCTCTCTTGTCTGCTACCATGTAAGACATGTCTTCTGCCTTCCACCATGATTGTGAGGCTTCCCTAGCCACATGGAACTGTGAGTCCATTGAATCTCATTTTGTTTATAATTACCTAGTTTCTGGCATGTGTTTATCAGCAGTGTGAAAACGGACTAATACTGTATGTAACTAATACTGGCATCTAGGTAGAGGGTAGGGATGCATCTCAGTATCCTGTTATGCCCCACACCAAAGGATTATTGAGCCCCAAATGTCAATAGTGCTGATATTGAGAAACCCCAGTCCGGGCTTCATGTACTTATCTGGCCTCTCTAGAACACTGGTTCCTTAACTTGAATGTGCATCAGAATCACCTGGGGGTCTTGTTGAAATTCGGGTTGCTGGACCCCACCCCCAGAGTTTCTGATTTGGAAAGTCAGGTGGGGCCTGAGAGTTGGCATTTCTGCCAAGTTTCCAGGTGACGTTGATGCTGATGCTGCTAGTCCAGGGACCACACTTAGAACCACGGCTCTACAAGAAAGGAGGGTTATTTGTCACTGTGCTTGCCTATGTACAACCACCAAGAAAGAATACTGAATACAGAAATTAGCCAGGCATGGTAGTGTGCACCTGTAATCCTAGCTACTTGGGAGACTGAGACGGGAGGATCACTTGAGCCCGGTAGGCGGAGGTTGAGGTGAGCTGAGATCGTGCCACTGCACTCCAGCCTGGGTGACAGACCAAAACCCTGTCTCAAAAAAAAAAAAAAAATACTGCTTACATTTTATCCTCTTTTTTTTTGTCACCTTCTGGGATATATTTACCTGGGGTCATTCACAGATAGCCACCTAGTTCACTGTAATCAAACTGCATATGACAAAGCTAGATACGGTCAGCACTCCAAAGAGTATTAAGCCAATGTGGAATATCAAAGCTTAATGCCATTACACCTGGGAGTCACAGGTCATTAGTGGTTTGGGTGGTCAGCTTAGGGTTCTGCTTAGAAACCTTTATGGATTAATGTCTCGTGAATGGTTAATAGAAAATGGTACTACTTCTTGTATGAAGTCATTAGTATTTTGCTGAAGTAATAATTACCTTAAGCTCTTTAATTTAAATTTAAGTTTAAGAATTTGAACTACAGTGGTGACTTTCCTGGTAGGGGAAACAGAAAATAAGACTCTGCTTTCAGAGCGGAACTAAAATGGTGAGACAGTAGGAACCAGTATGTTTGCTTTTTGGACTTTTTTGCTGTGGACTGCACCAAAAATGTAGACAGTCAGTTGATTGAATGATACAATTTTTAAAAGGTAAAAGCTTTATAAAGCCTTATAAATAAGTTAAGGCTATAGGCCTACTGTCTTCACTTTTGAGAAATAGAGTTTGTGGATGGACGTACTTATACTGTTGCATTAGGGGCTCGTAGGCCAAGATTGGTTTCTGCAGGAAACTCAATTTTGTTTGTCCCAAGTTAAAGATAAATCTCATGTGATTTAAAATGTTTTGAGATGTTGCACTTAGGCTGGGAAAGAGTAAAGATTACAGAAAACCAACTTTTAGATGTTTTTTAGCATTTTCCTTTTTTAAAAATTATACCAAATATGTAATATATTTGCTTCCACTTAGATATATCTAAGTTTATTAAGATGGTTTGGGGAAAAATTTGTGTATTTACCAATTGTTCACATAGAAACAATCTTAAATAAATAACTTGATTTTTAAGTGTTATGCCTGGGAGGAAGGCTGGCATAGCTGGAATTCATTAGTTAATACAGAAAACCAGGATGTTAACTGCTGTATTTTCATTGTCATGCAGAGCCTAAAAGTAGACTTTAATTTGTGTTATAAAATAAACTGAAGACTTGAGAAGGCAGGAAGCCTGGGTGGCCACCCCACACATTTACTCCTGTATTGTTAGGGTGATCCTTCATTGTTACAATCATTTTCTTTTTATAGCATAGTTAAGAACAAAGGCTTGGGAGCCAGAATGCCTCAGTTTGAATCCCAGCCCTGTGATCTTAGACAAGTTATTTAACCTCACTGTATCACAGTTTTCTCATGTGCAAAATGGACATGAGTCCGTTTTGTACCTGCTTTACAGAGTTTTGTGAGGATTAGGTGAATTAAACCACGTGGAACAGTGCCTAGCACAGAGAAAACATTATGCAAGTGTTAGTTGTTATTGTTTTCATTCCCATTTATTTTCCATTTAATTGCTTTAATCTTAAAGACTGGGACAGAGAAAGCACTATACAAGTGTTAGCTATTATTATTTTCATTTCCACTTATTTTGCATTTTGTTACTTTAATCTTACGAAAGAGTAATATGTTTCTACTTTGTATGCATGTTTGTGTGTGCACGTGAATAAGTGAAAATAAAAAAATTTTTCCTGTTTGAATAGGACAATACCATTTGAGGGGTTATTTACAATCCTAAATTCTTAGAACTGCCTTTGAGTCATGCCTTTTCTTTATTTCCATATTTGGTTACTTGCAGGTCATGTCAGTGATTAGTTTCACTTAGACATCTTTCCCCTGCTATATTTGAGATCCTCAAGATCGGGTTCATTGATTCACTAGAAAGATTGACACATTATAGTCATACGCATGGCTGTGATTTATCATAGCCAAAAGACGCAAAACAAAATCAGCACATGGGGTGAAATCCAGAGGAAACCAGACACAAGGCTTCCAAGAGTCCTCTTCCTGTGGAGTCACAGGACAGGCTAATTCAGATTGAATTAAGACAACATGTGTGAAATATTGTTTATCAGGGAAGCTCCTTAGAGACTTTATTCAGTGTTAGAGGCTGGTCATGTAGGTGCCCTTGGCTAATGTTCCAAAATTCCAAACTCTCAGAAGGAAGGTAGGTGGTCAACATAAACCACATATTTTATACAGGCATGAAGCACAGTGAGCCATTCTTAGGAGTTAGGGAATGGTGAGGTCCCCTCTGGATAAACAAGGTCCCAGACACCTGCCAAGGGCCAACCTTGCAAGCAAGACTTTCTAAGGACAGCAGCAGCAGGCCTGCTGTGGGAACTCTTTTCTGCCCACCTGCCCATAATTACCCTAGTGTTTGTCCTCATCATCTTTTAAACCTCATTTTTCAAAGCCTATTAACTGGCTTCCCTGAGTTCCAGCATACTGTACTTGGATCTGTCCCACTAATCTCCTATCTTTAACTAGGCTTTTATTGTGTCTTTTTCCTGCTCATGACCTTTCATTAGCTCCTTATTTAATCATGTCTGTAAAAGGACTTTGGGGGCCGGGCGCAGTGGCTCATGCCTGTAATCACAGAACATGGGGAAGCTGAGGCAGGCAGATTGCTTGAGGCCAGGAGTTAGAGACCAGCCTGGCCAACATAGTCAAACTCTGTCTCTACTAAAAATACAAAAATTAGCCAGGTGTAGGGGCTCATGCCTGTAATCCTCCCAAGAAGCTGGGCTGAGGCACGAGAATTGCTTGAACCCAAGGGGCATAGGTTGCAGTGAGCCAAGATCATGCTGCTGCCCTCCAGCTTGGGCAATAAAGCAAGACTCTGTCCCCAAAAAAAAAAAAAAAAAAAAGGACTTTGGGAACCCCATAACTGCTCCCTGCTAAGCTTTATTTCCACCTTCTATCTCTCATTTATTATGGTTCTTTTGTGTCCAGTGAAGTCAGTGTGTGTTCTGTCCCACTCACACCTGGTACATTTCCCACCTGGGTGCCTTTGCCTCCCTCACCAGGAACCTCACTTGCCCTCTCTCCTGTATTCAGACCCTCCTTCATCTCCTAGATCCACTTCAAGTTCCACCTCCTCCATTGAATAATTCTTCCCAGCCCATCATTCTCTGTCCTTTCTGAGCTTCCTTCAACACTCCTAGTATATTACTGATGATGCCTAGTTAATTACAATCAGGTATTAGTTCCTGTTGCTTTGTGTTTATTCATCTTATCTTCCCACATAGTCTGTACTCCACCAGGTACTGCATAACTAGCTACTGGTTGAATGATACAGACTTAACCATTTCTGCACAGTAGACATTTCCTCTGCTGTGTTTAGCTTTAATAATCTGCTAGTTCTTTCCTAAGAAGCAGATGGTAATATAATGAATGATACTTGTTTCTAGAATTTAGGTATTCATCTTCCCTCTCTACAAAGTATGCTCAGCAAATCTTTCTGAGAGTTGTTAAGACATTATTAGCACATATATACTGATTTCATGATGTATTTTTGTCATACTTCATGGTGAAATAATCTCTTTATTCATTTTTCTTTGTCAACCACATACTACTTTGCTCAAAACACTTCCCTTCAAGGTCAAGGTGAATCTACAGCAGATCACCGTCAAAGAAATTTTAAGTAAAAAGTCGCCTGTGTGGATTTTTTTTCTCTTTCTCCTCGTCTTTATACTTGATTTAGACACTTAGCGTCAGTAGAGTCCAGTTGCAAAGGTTAATGGGGAGATGAGGGTGCTTATAGTGCAACCAGTATTGATGGGGGCATTTTTGGTTTCTAGGTTATGGTTTATAGAAAATACAGCCTAGTATGGAATTCCTGGGATACCTGCAGTGTCCCATAGAGGCTTCGTCCTGCTGTGCTGTTCCCTCGCCGAAACCCTCTTCTCAGTTTCATTTGCTTGATTAACTCCTTCTCATCCATTAGGACTTCTTGTGCGATGTTTGCCAAATCCCCCAACCCACTATACCACCATTCCCACTCCCTAACATTAATCTACCCTTTTTCTGTCCTCATAGCTCTTACCACATTATATTGTTACTGTTACTCATTTACATATTTGTCTTTACTAATTAAACTTTTTCTGGCTGGGCGCAATGGCTCATGCCTGTAACCCCAGCACTTTGGGAGGCCGAGGCAGGTGGATCACCTGAGGTCAGGAGTTGGAGACCAGCCTGGCCAACATGGTGAAACCCCATCTCTACTAAAAATACAAAGATTAGCCAGGCATGGTGGCAGATGCCTGTAATCCCAGCTACTGGGGAGGTCGAGGCAGGAGAATCACTTGAACCCGGGAGGTGGAGGTTGCACTGGGCTGAGATAGTACCATTGCACTCCAGCTTGGGTGACAAGAGTGAGACTCTGTCTCAAAAATTAAAAAAATAAAATAAAATTTTTCTAACATGAAAAACAGTGTAAAGCTTATAGTAATGTCTCAAGTGTTAGTTTGATTGAATCAGTCAACAAATCTGTTAGGGAAAAAGAAGCATGGAACGTAATCTAAAAATAGGCCACTGTCTGGGTGTGGTGGCTCACGCCTGTAATCCCAGCACTTTGCGGGGCCGAGGTGGGTGAATCACTTAAGGTCAGGAGTTTGACACCAGCCTGGCCAATGTGGTGAGACACCCCATCTCTACTAAAAATACAAAAATTAGCTGGGTGAGGTGTTGTGCGCCTGTAGTCCCAGCTACTCGGTAGGCTAAGGCAGGAGAATTGCTTGAACTTGGGAAGCGGAGGTTGCAGTGAGCTGAGATTGTGCCACTTTACTCCAGCCTGGGTGACAGAGTGAGATTCTCTTTCTCAAAAAAAAAAAAAAAAAAAAAAAGAAAAGAAAAAGGCTGCTATTCCTTATTAGAAACTGTGCTTCTTTGTGATTCCTTTAATTTGTGTTTTAAGACTTCTAGGCCATGGATAGGGTTCGAGACTTTTTTTTTTTTTTTTTTTTGAGGCAGGGTCTCACTCTGTCTCCCAGGCTGGTGTGCAGTGGCACAATCAGAGCTCACTGTAGCCTCCACCTCCTGGGCTCAAACGATCCTTCCACCTCAGCCTCCTGAGTTTGAGACCACAGACATGTACCACCACTCCTTGCTAATTTTTGATTTTTTTTTGTAGAGATGGGGGGGGGTCTCACTATGTTGCCCAGGCTGGTCTTGAACTCGTGGGCTCAAGTGATCCTCCAGCCTCAGTCTGCCAAGTAGCTGGGATAACAGACGTGTGCCACCATGCCCAGCTAATTTATTTTTATTTTTTGTAGAGACAGGGTATTGGTATGTTGCCAGGCTGGTCTCAAGCCCCTAGGCTCAAGTGATCCTCCCACCTCAGCCTCCCAGAGTACTGGGATTACAGGTCTGAGCCACTGTGCCTGGCCAGACTTTGTAATGTAAGAAAGTGTTGCCTAGATCCTCCATGGACTCCAGCCTGTCTAGATTATTCCTGCTCTTCAGTGATTAGAGTGGTTTCTAGGCTTCTTGATGGCACAAGGATCACAAAAAATTATTTTTATGCTAACAGTGAAAAGATTACAGCAAGAATGGTTTGGAGTAAAAAAAAAAAAAAAAAATCTGCAGGTTTTCAGCCAATCTGGCTTCTGGAAGGGTGATATTTGTTTAAAGGGGGTGCAAATGCTGGGGCCACCCAGTGGCTTCTTCCCTGGATAAAATCTGCCTGTGGTGACATCAGCAGTCTAATTCTTGGTCACAGACCCTTGAAGCTGTCCTGTGGGAGGGGATGGAAATTTCTGTTTTTCTCAGCCAATCTAATTCTCCTCTACAAAATGAGGCTGGTTTCTCTGCCTTTTAATTTAGAGAATAAATTCAATAACAATCTAACATTTTCTCTCCCTGTTACCAAAGGAGAAAGACTTCTTTTTGCAGCAAGAATGAACAGGGCAGAATTCCAGAGACTCGTTGGAAGGAAATTGCTATTTATTCGATAAAAACAGATGGCAATGATAGCTATGTTGTTCGTTCCCCCTTTCAGGCAAACGTCTTAATGTTATAGAAACCATCTAGCATGCCAGAAGTACACTTTTTTTTTTTCCTGTATCCCCTGGAGGTACTGTCAGACTAGGAAAAAATATCCTTTGCTATAGGTGACAGAAATGTTCACAGATTTACCAAGATTTGAAATAGTATCAGCATCCCTAAGAATGACCAGAAAATCAGATTTTCTCAGAATTACTGTTTGCCCAGAGTTTAAAAGAAATCAGGACCTTGGACTTAATTTGTAACATATAGTATGCCCTTTTAAAATGATTAATTGAATGATCTCTTTTTATCAGTTTAGAATTTAAGGATGGTTAAATTGCTTTAATTTAGCTGTTTTTGGAGTGATTAGGGTGTGTTTTTGAGAAAGTTTAAAAAAGATATTCAGTTTCAGAGATATTGCTGTTTCAGGCCAGGTAGAACTTGGTGTGATTTTGTAGAAATAATTATGTGCTAGTTGAGTCTGCTTATTAAAGTCTGGACATCAATTTCAAGGTAATCGACCCGGCGCCATGGCTCATGCCTGTAATCCCAGCACTTTGGGAGGCCGAGGTGGGCGAATCACAATGTCAGGAGATCGAGACCATCCTGGCTAACACGGTGAAACCCTGTCTCTACTAAAAATACAAAAAATTAGCCAGGCGTGGTGGCAGGCACCTGTAGTCCCAGCTGCTCGGGAGGCTGAGGCAGGAGAATGGCGTGAACCCAGGAGGTGGAGCTTGCAGTGAGCCGAGATTGCACCACTGCACTCCAGCCTGGGTGACAGAGCGAGACTTCGTCTCAAAAAAAAAAAAAAAAAAAAAAAGGTACTCATACTGGTAATACATACTAGAAAATATGTATTGAACCCAAATGTATACCCTTATGGAATTACAGGTTTAAAAATATTTCCAGTGCCCTTTCTGGTATGGGGAAAAAAAAAAAATTAGACCAATTAGGCCAGGTGCAGTGGCTCACGCCTGTAATCCCAGCACTTTGGGAGGCCGAGGTAGGTGGACCACTTGAGGCCAGGAGTTCAAGACCAGCCTGGCCAACATGGCGAAACCCTGTCTGTACTAAAAATACAAAAATTAGCTGGGTGTGGTAGTGCATGCCTGTAGTCCCAGCTACTTGGGAAGCTGAGGCAAGAGAATTGCTTGAACCCGGGAGGCAGAGGCTGCAGTGAGCTGAGATCACGCCACTGCCTCCAACCTGTGCAACAGAGCAAGACTCTGTCTCAAAAAAAAAAAAAAAAAAGAAAGAAAAATATTAATGACTCCTGCAAGATGCCTCCTGGTTTGTGAGCCAGTGCTTTTCAGAGGAAAAAATTGTACCTTGAATCTATCTTTGCTCCTACTGTATTGTGGCTTAAATAGATGAGGCTTTCAAGACTTAGTGATTCCCTTAAGTGTATTTTAACCTTATTTTTAATTGGCTCTTTGATAGAGTTTAACAGTAGAAATAAAAAGGAATCCTTCTACTTATTATGATCATCAGGCATATCTTTCAGCAGATCAAAGATTAATCTCCCTGGAATAAACACTTTATTCTTAATCATAACTGTGGTTATAACTCCACTTTTCATATATCTACTATAGGAAGGTAAAGCATACAGAAGTTTTATCCTTGGTAGACAGGATAACAAACATTACTATATGATATTTAAGAGTAATAACTTTATTTTGTACTTCAGTGACTGCTTCCATTTTTAAGGATTCAAATTAGCACTTTTGCAAAATGGGAATCCTGTATTTCAATTAAGAGTTGAAATGGAGTTATTCGTACTATCTACTTTAAAATCCTTGGCATTCAATAAATGCCAAATGCTTTTTATTTTTAATTTTAACCTCAGATTCCTATGGTTCTTAAAGGTATATTATTTATTTGGAACAGAAAGCATGGTGTCAGTTAGCTCGTGCTACATAACAAACTACCTCAAAACTCAGTGGCTTAAAACAGCAGGGATTTGTCATTGTTCATGAGCCTACAGGTCACCTAGGCAGTGCTTCTGGCCTCAGCCAGGCTCACTCATGCTTGTGGCCAGCCGTGGGCCAGCTCTGCTGAGCTTAGCTGGACTCTTTCTCATGCCTGGGAGTGAGCTTGCTACAGGCGGGCCGAGGATGGCTTCAGCTAGGACAGTTGAGCTCTCTCCCATGTCGTCATTTGTCCTCTGGTAGGCTGGCCCCTGTGGTTCATGTGACGTGGCAGTCTTCCAAGACACAGAGTGAGAGCAAACCAGGCCTCAGGACCCAGTACTAGCACCCCATTCAGCCACATTTTTTTAAACATAGCGTCACTAGCCAACCCATATTCAAGGCTCAGAGAAATAGGCAAGGCACGGCAGTTCATGCCTGGGAGGCCAAGGAGGGCGGATCACGTGAGGTCAGGAATTCGAGACCAGTATGGTCAACATGGTGAAACCCCGTCTCTACTAAAAATACACAAACTTAGCCTGGCGTGGTGGCGCATGCCTGTAATCCCAGCTACTCAGGAGGCTGAGGCAAGAGAATCGCCTGAACCCGGTAGGCGGAGGTTGCAGTGAGCCGAGATCAAGCCATTGCACTCCAGCCTGGGTGACAGAACCGGACTCCGTCTCAAAACAAAAACAAGGCTCAGAGAAATATATTCCATCTCTTGATGGAAAGAGCTGCAAAATGGCTGATTGTAAGGAGCGTGGATGCAGGGAGGAGTAAAGAATTGAGCACATTGTTTTTTAAATTGTTTCACCACAGGCACTTACATACAATATCGCACGCTGTAGCTAGATTGGGCTAAATCTAGAGCTGGAGGTAGTGAGAGACTTTGTTGGAATCACCACTCGTATTTAGCACAGAGGTCAGTATTTCTTTGAACCAAGTGAGCTTTGAAGTTAGACCTGAACTTTTCCATACTCTGATTTATTTGGGGGGAAAAAGTAATTTACTGCTTCTTGTTTCCTTATTGTTTAGGAATTACTGCTTTGGAGGATAAAGTGTGGATTTCTAAAAAGCCTTTAAAAAAGTTTTACTTACTTACCACATAAGGCTGCTTTGCTTTGAATTGTTTACTTTGATAATGTTTTAAAGATGAACTTTCACCATCTTGATAAGAGAGAAAGTTGGTCAAACAACTAAATGAAGTCAGTCTGATGCAGTGCTGCTGTTGGTTTGTGTGATTTTCAGATCGTATCTCTCCTTGCTTCTGCTTCCTTAAGTGTAAAATGAAGGCAGAAGCGCCTGTCATCCCTGCCATCAGGATGTGGCACCTCGTTCTCAACAGACCACAAGCTTTTCATGAATCTTTATTTTTTTAAATTTTTTTTAGAGAAGGTGGTAGAGGGAAGTTCAGGGAGGTGCAGGGAGGTGGGAAATCACAGAGTTGCTTTTCACGAATCTTGATGTGTGTCTAGAATGCAGGAACATTCTTGTGTGTGCCACAACAGTTCAGTGTTGTGAGCTTGCAGGAAGTTAAGCAGGAGGCTGGGCACGGTGGCTCATGCCTGTAATCCCAGCACTTTGGGAGATCGAGGTGGGCAGATCACCTGAGGTCAGGAGTTCAAGACCAGCCTGACCAACATGGTGAAACCCCATCTCTACTAAAAATACAAAAATTAGCTGGGCATGGTGGTGGGTGCCTGTAATCCCAGCTACTAGCGGGGCTGAGGCAGGAGAATCGCTTGAACCCGGGAGGCGGAGGTTGCAGTGAGAAGAGATCTCACCATCACACTCCAGCCTGGGCATAAAGAGCAAAACTCTGTCTCAAAAAAAAAAAAAAACAAAAAACAGAAAGAAAAAAAAAAAGAAGTTAGACAGGGACACATGCTGATGGAGAGGCACAGTTTATTGCCTTATAACTTTCAGGCCCAAGAGCTAGGTGCCTTTTGGGAGCATCTTCTCCTTCACTGTCCTTCTGCATCTGATGTCTTGGCCAGCTCTGCTGGCTCTGCCTTCTGCTCACTGCTCCTTTGGGAACGATGCTATCAAGGCCCCTGGCTACCCAGGCACCTCTAGTCTGGTGTCCAGGTCCATGTCTCCTTTTTGGTCCTGGGGCTCTCTCACCCCCCCTGCAATAACATCTGCAGACACGTTGAATCCACTAATAGACTCACTGGGGGCAGATGGTGCTCCAGAATCCCAAGCCTGACCCAAGGCACAAGTTCATTTGAAGGCCAGCATAGGCCAGGGTGAGTGTACTCAGCGATGGACAACTGAAGCCTCTGGCATCTGCCTTATGGAAAAAAGGAAAGTTGTGCCACTATATTTGAAATTGCTTCGGATTCCAATGACTTCTGTTTTTGCTTTTGGTGGGGACAGCAATTTAAAGGATAGACTCTTAGGGAGTGGAACATTTTAACATGTAGAATTTTAGGTAGCCACTCTTGAAAACCACATAAAATAAGTCCCTAAGTGCCTCAAGGCTCATTGCGCAAAATGTTTAATTGTGGCTCACTGGGGAGGTCGGTCAGCAGGTATCCTGCTGTTCTGCCAGAACTCAGCCTCCGTATCTTTTCTCTGGGGTTCTCACAAGGAGCCCAGGACATTGTCTGCCTTGGAGGTGGGTTCTCTTCTCCTCCCCTTCTCCTGTCCTTTATCAGCCTCCCTACCTGCCCTGCCCAGCCTGATGTAGTGTGGTTGCATAATTTAGTTATATGATTTGATACAAGCATACCTTGTTTTATTGTGCTTCTCAGATACTGCATTTTGTACACATTGAAGGTTTATGGCAACCATGCACCAGGCAAGTCTATCTGTGCCATTTTTCCAATACATTGTGCTCACTTTGTGTCTCTGTGTCACATTTTGGTAATTCTTGCAATATTCCAAACTTTATTATTATATCTGTTGTGGTGGTCTGTGTTCAGTGATCTTTGATATTACTATTGTAATTGTTTTGGGGAGCCACAAACTGTGCCCACATAAGATGGCAAACTTAAATGATAGTGTGTGTGATCTGAATACTCCATCAACGGGCTGTTACCCTATGTCTGTCTGTCTCTCTCTCTCTCCCTCCCTCTTTCCCTGCCTCCCTCCTTTCCCCCTTTCCCCCCAGGCCTCCTTATTCCCTGAGACACAACAATATTGAAATTAGGCCAGTGAATAACCCTACAATAGCCTCTGAGTGTTCAAGTGAAAGGAAGAGTCACATATCTCTAACTTTAAATCAAACGTTAGAAATGATTAAGCTTAGTGAGGAAGGCACATCAAAAGCTGAGACAGGCCGAAAGCTAGGCCTTTTGCACCAAACAGCCAAGTTATGGATGCAAATGAAAAGTTCTTGAAGGAAATTAAAAGTGCTAATCTAGTGAAAACATGAATAAGAAAGCAAAACAGCCTTATTGATGATACGGAGAAAGGTTTAGTGATCTGAATAGAAGATCAGACCAGCCACAACATTCTCTTAAGCCAAAGCCTCATCCAGAGCAAGGCCTTAATCCTCTTCGATTTTATGAAGCCTGAGAGGGGTGAGGAAGCTACAGAAGAAAAGTTTGAAGCTAGCAGAATTGGCACATTAGGTTTAAGGAAAGAAGCAGTCTACATAACATAAAAGTGCAAAGTGAAGCATCAAGTGCTAATGTAGAAGCTGCAGCAAGTTATCCAGAAGATCTAGTGAAGATAATTGGCAAAAGCAATTACATTAAACAATAGATTTTCAATGCAGACCAAACAATTCTTTTGGAAGAAGATGCCATCTAGGACTTTCATAGCTAGTAGAGAAGTCAGTGCCTGGCTTCAAAGCTCCAAAAGATAGGTTGACTTTCTTCTGTGGCTAATGCAGCTGGTAACTTTAAGTTGAAGTCATTGCTCATTAACCATTCCAAAAATCCTAAGACCATTAAGAATTATGTTAAGTCTACTTTGCCATGTGCTCTATAAATGGAACAACAAAGCCTGGATGACAACATGTGTGTTGACAGCATGGTTTACTGAATATTTTAGGCCCATTGTTGAGACCTACTGCTCAGAAAAAAAGATTCCTTTCAAAATATTATTGCTTGTTGGCCGGAAACGGTGGCTGACACCTGTAATACCAGCACTTTGGGAGGCCGAAGCAGACAGATCACTTGAGGTCAGGAGTTCGACACCAGCCTGGCCAACATGGCAAAATCCCGGCTCTACTAAAAATACAAAAATTAGCCAGGCACAGTTTTGCACATCTGTAAGTCCAGCTGCTCAGGAGGCTGAAGCATGAGAATCGCTTGAGCCTAGGAGGCAGAGGTTTCAGTGAGCTGAGATTGTGCCACTGCACTCCAGCCTGGGTGATGGAGTGAGACTCTGTTTCAAAAATACACATACACACACACACACACACACACGCACATATTTGTATATATATGAAATACACACACATATATATGTAAATGTATGTATATTTGCTTATTGAAAATGCACCTAGTCACCCAAGAACTCTGAGGATGGAGACATACCATGAGATTAATGTTGTTTTTCATGCCTGCTAATACAACACTCATTCTGTAGCTCATGGATCAAGGAGTAATTTCAACTTTCAAGTTTTGTGATTTAAAAAATACACTTTTGCTGGGCATACTGGCTCATGCTTGTAGTCTCAGCACTTTGGGAGGCTGAGGTGGCAGGATCACTTGAGTGACCAGCCTGGGCAGTAGAATGAGACTTTATAAAAGCCTTAAAAAAGTTAGCCAGGTGTCGTGGTGTGTGCCTGTAGTCCCAGTTACTGGGGAACCTGAGGTGGGAGGATCCCTGGAGCCTGGGAAGCATAGGTTGCAGTGAGCCTTGATTGTGCTACTGCACTCCAGCCTGAGTAACCGAGGGAGACCCTGTCTCAAAAGAAAATTTTTTTATAAGGCTATAACTGCCGTAGATAGTGCCTCTGATAGATCTGGGCAAAGTAAGTTGAAAACCTTCTGGAAAGGATTCACCATTCTAGATGTCATTGAGAACATTCATGATTCTTGAGAGAAGGTTAAACTGTCAGTATTAATAGGAATTTGGAAGAAGTTGATTCCAGCCCTCATGGATAACTTTGAGGGGTTCAAGCCTTCAGTAACTGCAGATGTGGAAATAGCAAGAGAATTAGAATTAGAAGTGGAACATATAGATGTGACTGAATTGTTGTAATCTCATGATAAAAGCTGAATGTTTAAAGAGTTTCATATGGATGAGCAAAGAAAGTGGTTTCTTGAGATGGAATCAACATCTAATGAAGATGCGGTGAACATTGTTGAAATGGCAGCAAAAGATTTAGAATATTCCATAAACTTAGGTGATGGAGGAGCAGCAGGCATTAAGAAGATTGACTCCACTTTTGAAAGAAGTTCTATTATGGGTAAAATGCTATTAAATTGCATT
This sequence comes from Homo sapiens, assembly GCF_000001405.40. Taxonomy (NCBI): domain Eukaryota; kingdom Metazoa; phylum Chordata; class Mammalia; order Primates; family Hominidae; genus Homo; species Homo sapiens. The sequence goes on along the minus strand of NC_000002.12, from coordinate 223,925,639 downwards.
GCATGCTACAGAGAAGTCTTTTGGGAAAGGAAGAGTCAATCGATGCAACAAACTTCTTGGTTGTCTTATTTTAAGAAGTTGCCACAGCCACGCCAACCTTCATCAACAACCATCCTGATGGATCAGCAGCATCAACATTGAGGCAGGACCCTCCACCAGCAAAATGATTACCCCTCGCTGAAGGTTCAGATGATCGTTAACTTTTTTTTAGCAATAAAGTATTTTAAAACTAAGGTATGTACATTGATTTTTAGATGTAATGCTACTGCACACTTAACAGACTATAGTGTAACTACAGCTTGCATATGGGAAACCAAAAATTTGTGTGACTCACTTTGTTGCGACATTTGCTTTATTGTGATAAACCTGCAATATCTCTGAGGGTTATAATAATCTCTGTGTTATGCTTTTTTTTTTTTTTTTTAGGAACAAAAAAGCTGACCATTTCATAAACATTTTATTGGGGCTCCAGGACTTCATAACTATTTGTAATGATTATATAAGCTATTGAATTACTCTATCATTAACCCATTTCATTCTTTAACATATTTTCCCCATTTTTACTCCTTGGATAAAGCTTATATGAAGTTTTTTAAATTTGTAGTTCCTTTTTTATTCTATTAAATGATTTCTATAGAACCAATTTCCAAGCCTGGAATTCCTTAATCAAAGTTTATCATTAGTGTTGTTGTCATTATTATTGGGCAGGTGTATTTGTTTCTCTCTATATTGGAGCAAAATTCTTGCCAAATAGTTCTAATTTACAATTCTGACAAAGAAGTATGAGAGCCCTAGAAGTGGCATTTTGTTATTGTTTTGAGTTGTTCCTTTGCTTTCCCTGCACAGCAGTACATTTTAAAAACATTTTAATCTGAAACATTTAGCATAAAAAAGAATCAATTTTGGAATTTTATTTACTTGGAAAATAAATGAATCATCTACAGTGCTGAACAATGATAAACAAATAAAGTCATGGGGCCAGGTGCGGTGGCTCACACCTGTAATCCCAGCACTTTGGGAGGCCGAGGCGGGCAGATCACTTGAGGCCAGGAGTCCAAGACCAGCCTGGCCAACATGGTGAAACCCTGTCTGTACTAAAAATACAAAAATTAGCCAGGCATGGTGACACATGCCTGTAATCTCAGCTGCTGGGGAGGCTGAGGCATGAGAATCGCTTGAACCCAGGAGGCAGAGGTTACAGTGAGCTGAACTTGTGCCATACCGCTCCAGCCTGGGTGATGGAGTGAGACTCTGTTTAATAAATAAATAAAGTGATGGTAGTGGCGTGCATACCCTGTAAGTTATATATGTATAACATAGTCATATATGGAGATACCTTTTCTCATCTGTTCCTGGAAGATATTGCAGCTATATGCAAGTCCTTGCTTCTCTAAAAGTGCAGAGGAGATAGATGGTAGAAGCCCTCCACAGGAATGGTAGCATGGAGAAGTTTGGAAAAGATTTATTAGGCTCTGAAAGCAATGACACATTTCCTTTCTAAGGATCTTTTGGAAAAATATCAGACTATTGTTTTAAAACAACTTAAAAATAGAGCTTGGAAAAGAATGAACACGTTTCTAAGGTTGTGGTTTTAAGGAAAGATTTCTTTTCCCCAGATTGATGTGGTCCTGGAATATAAAAGAAAATCCAGCCATTAGAAAAATGGGCAGAATAAGCAGCAGGAAAAACATAAGATGAGTTTATGTGGGTGTAAAATTGTCAAAATATTAAAGGAAAACATAAGCTGTTTTATCTTAGTGGAGAGAGTGGTTTAGACATTCAATCTAGACAGAAAATATTGTGATTTATACAAAAAATAATACCATCTGATCTTGACACTTCAGTGATTAGACGGTTTATTTATTTATTTTTTTTTTTTGAGACGGAGTCTTGCTCTGTCGCCCAGGCTGGAGTGCAGTGGCGCGATCTCGGCTCACTGCAAGCTCCGCCTCCCAGGTTCATGCCATTCTCTTGCCTCAGCCTCCCGAGTAGCTGGGACTACAGGTGCCCGCCACCACGCCTGGCTAATTTTTTGTATTTTTAGTAGAGACAGGGTTTCACCATGTTAGCCAGGATGGTCTCGATCTCCTGACCTTGTGATCCACCCGCCTCGGCCTCCCAAAGTGCTGGGATTACAGTTTATTAATATTATCCTAGACTTTGAAATAGTTTGCTCCTGTAAATATTACTAAACTATTATTATGTTGCTTTCAACTTACTGAATAGTAGATTTTACTTCCAATTTACTGGATAGTAATTTTTTAGTCTGGAATTTGTTGTATTTTAAATAAGTGGCCCAACTTAAAACTATTTTTACAACCATTTGGTAAATATTCTGGACATAATACAAAATACATTCGTATATTACTCATAGAAATGAGCATCTCTGTTTAATAGGTTCTTGGGGTACAATAGTGTTAAGGGTTAAACTTTGGTTTGATTTAGTCTTGGAAGAGGAAGGGTCTGGTTTGAAAAGAGATGGAAGGGAATGCCAGATGAAGGTGTAAAGACAAAGGTAGCGCCAACCATCCAGGCCAGTTGCCTCATTTGGAACCTGATTCCCAGACAAGGAGGGCCTTCTCTCAGCTGGGATGTGACCGACAGTTTTCAAACAAAAAGCCTAAGAGATCGTGGAAGTCTTGACAATTTCCTAGTTTATTAGATGGGTCCCAGCATAGGTCCAATTTGTGCCAACCAAACTATATGCTGATGTTTGTCTTCCAAAGGAAGTAATACTGTGTTCAAAATGCTGGAATCTAAGTAGGTTCGATTTTGACTTTGGGCTAGTTTAAGTATTCTAAAGCTGTATGAAATTAACATTAGACTTTTCCAGGTTAAATACTTGGTTGGAAGAGACAACCTTTAAGATTTTCTCCTCCCAGCAGAGTTCTCTGATTTCTGAATTGTGCCCTTCTTTCCATGAGCACTGAGCAAGAGCACATGCCACTAGATCCTTTGAGCCACCTACACATTCATGACCTAAGATTGCTGGAATTGATTTGAAGAGTTTTAGAACATGTCAGCATTCTGTTCTTCCTTTGACCTAAGAAACCCGAACACACAGGCAGCTGGCAGGTTTACTTTGTGATTGTACGAATGAAGCCTGTGAGTGTGAAGTGCTGCTGCATGAATCCTTGATCTCCAGGTGCCTTGGCCTTTGTCACTGTGTGTTTGGAGGTGGAGGAGAATCCTTGAACAGAGTTAATGCTTAGCAGGAAGTTGGCCTCTTGTTTATTTCAATGGTTTTGGCTTCATCCCCTATGTCGGAATGTATCCATAAACATTCTGATTTAAGTAATATGGAATATAGTCAACTCACTGCAATAATATATTGGCTGTTCATGTTTAAGGATCATCATTGGATAGAAGCATCCACTGATTCTTTTAGATGAAGAAGTTATGCTGAAATGGCATCCATCCTGTGATCTGCTCAGAAAACACTGTCTGGAGAGAAGAGTTCTTGGTAGGGTGGGGAGGAAGGTGGATTTAGGGCATAACCTGAGCTGGACGTATTCAGGGAATGTGAGGATGACAGCTCACTGGGATGCAGGCTCTGGGATGGGGAGTCATAGGCGCTAAGGTTGTCAGTTGAATCTGGATTTGAGATAACCACTGGTGGGTTCTGAGCATAGGGGCACTGTGATCCAGGCGGCTCCTTGGGAGAGGTAGCTGGGGGTCAGCACACTGGAGGTGGAGCAGAGGGAGGCAAGAGTCCACTACTCCTGTGAGAGCAGGCCTACTGCTGTGTGAAAGATGGGACCTAGACTGTGGTAGTCACGCTGAGGATGACAAATGAGGATGGCAAACGTGATATATGGGAATTATCGTTTAATTCTTAAAAAACAAACAGCGACACCATTAACACACCCAAAGGAATGAGCAACAGCCAGGTGTGGTGGTACACGTCTGTAGTCCCAGCTGCTCAGGAGGCTGAGGTGGGAGGATCGCTTGAGCCCAGGAGTTCGAGGCTTCAGTGAGCTGTGATCACACCACTGCACTCCACCCTGGGTGACGGAGCGAAACCCTGTCAAAAAAAAAAAAATCTTTAAAATATCCTCAAATATCTATACATATCTTTTAGTTTGAATTAGGATTTAAGTAAGTCTACCTATTTTAATTGCTGGATAGACCTCTAAAATCTCTTTAATCATAGGTTTGTTCTTCCTCTCTATTTTTTTTTCCCTTGCAAATTATTTGTAGAAGAAAGTGAGTCATTTCTCTATGGAGTTTCCTGCAGTCTTGACTTTGCTGAATGGTGCTCAGTATGTTCCCATGTCCTCTGTATTTCCTATCAATTGGTTGGTGGATCTAAAGGATTAATCCAGTTGTGTTAGCCCTAAGGCTTGTTTCTATCCAGTTCACATACAGAATAGCATTAATCTCACTGTGGTGCTAGGTCATCTTATTTGTTTGGATAAATAAAGACCAACTACTAGTTTTACTTTTAATCATATATAATAGTGTGTACAGATCTTGGGTAGAGTTGGACAGGTTCTAACAAATACATATATCCATGGTTACCAACACCCGGAGCCTTGATGTTCCCCTAGAAAGTTTTCTCTCTTCTGATTGCATTCAGTCCTCCTCTTACCCCAGAAGCAACCACTATTCTGATTGTCCCTCTGGTCTCTGATCAGTTTGACTTGTATTTTTTGTCGTTGTTTTACATCAGTGATTTTAATAAAGAAAAACAGACTTCTGAGGGAAGGTAACCAGGCCCACTGGTCCGCAGTCCTGTAAACAAAGCGATGTGATGCTTAGCTGAAGGCGAGGATAGCCACTGTCGAGAGTACCTTGTCTTCCGTACGGTTCAGCCACTCTCTGTTTTAAGCAAAGATAAGCCTTGCCCATCTTTTTCCCTTGAGGAGGGATGCATCCACTGAGGCAAGGGCCAAACTCCATTTTTCACGAGATGGTTTTACTTTGAGCTCCATTTTCTCCTCAGGATCGTGCACCAGCCATGCCTGGTGAGACTTTGTTTTATTGCAAGGTTTCCTGCAAGGTTTCCCACAGCCGGCGTGTTCACACACAACAGGGCACTCTTACTCCTGAAAGGAGACTGTGGCTCTGGAGGTTACATACAGCTGTGCAGGTTCCACCCTGTTCTTCTCTTGGGCAGCAACCCATGTCTCTTTCTTGGATATGTTTTCATGTGCTGCTGAAAATCATCTTTCCATGTAAATATTTCCTGGCATACTGCACATGTTATTAATATTTCCTTCTTAGGAGTTTCTCTCATGTTTCAGAAGTTCTATGTTTTGGCCACCAGGGAACATCCCTTTGCTATATACTGTGCAGCCCTCATGGGCCTGGCCGCGTGGGCCCAGCCTGCTGGGTGCAGTGGGTGCTTCCTGATCCCCCTGGGCACACTTGAGCAGCGGGTCACTGGTGTGCTGGCCCTGGTGGATGTCCAGCTGCTGATGCTTCTTAAAGATCTTCTGACAGCCTTCAAATCGCATACCTGTTGTCTTTGTGCATTTTCAAGTTTGCATTGAAAATATTTCTTCAAGTTTGATTTTGTGTTGAATTTGTGCTTATAGCCACCAGCCGCACAGCTTTCCTCCAGTGTGAATGAGGACGTGGGGACTCAGGTGGGAGTCCCTGACGAAGGTCTTATCATGCCCTTCATTGCCACAAACAAATGGTTTCTGCCTTGTGCTTGCATGGGTCTGGCTTGCAGGCCTTGTGGTAATTGGCACTGTGTCGAGGAGAGTGGATGAACCTCCTGGGAAGTGCTATGGTCAGGGTGTGTGAGGGTCTCCCTGGTCTCAAGGGTCAGGGAGGACGCTGCCTCCAGGACACGCTGCCTATGCATCCCACCACCCAGTTTTACTTGTCTAGGCCTCAAAACTGGAAACATATGGTATCAATATTTAGGCTTCATGTATTTTAGGTTAAGGGTGTAAGCATTTATTCAGCTCCTACTTATGCCAGAATCTACATTGCCGTTAGAAATACAAAAATGGGTCACGTGTGGTGGCTCATGCCTCTAATACCAGCACCTTGGGGTCCTGAGGTGGGAGGATTGCTTGAGTCTGGGAAGTCAAGGCTGCTATGAGCCGTGATTGCACCACTGCACTCCAGCCTGGGCCACAGAGCAAGACTGCATCTTAAAAAATAATAAATAAGGGCCGAGTGTGATGATTCACGCCTGTAATCCCAGCACTTTGGAAGGCCAAGGCAGGCGGATCACTTGAGGTCAGGAGTTAGTGACCAGCCTGGCCAACATAATGAAACCCCATCTCTACTAAAAATACAAAAATTAGCTGGGTGTGGTGGCGTGCGCCTGTAATCCCAGCTACTTGAGAGGCTGAGGCAGGAGAATCCCTTGAACCCGGGAGGTGGCGGTTGCAGTGAGCCGAGATCGTGCCACTGCGCTCCAACCTGGGTGACAGAGTGAGACACTGTCCCATAAATAAATAATGAATGAGAAACATAAAAGTGATTGTCACCGAGTTGGCAGTGGGGACAGTAAGGTGGTTATGAGTAACTACAGAGGCAGAGCAGGGCGATCACCTGTGGAATCCCCGGTGTCCTAGGGATGCAGGAGATGGAGAGGCCTGGCGCCCAGAGGCCCTGAGAGTGCAGGAGCAGGAACTGCAGGACTCCCATTGTTTCTCTGAGGTCATAAACCTGAATATTAAACTTTGGCTATTTTGGTCGTTTGTCATTTTCCTGCATGGGCACAGGATTTCCTCATCACCCTGTGCATGTTCCGATGAAAGAGGGCCCCAGAGATGTGGTGTGGAATGATTTCCTCTGGGGAGCAGAAGGCAGAATTGCCATGCCCAAGCCCGAGCCTGCTGTGTGCTCCTGGTGTGCGTGGCGCCCCTCTCCATGCCACTCCTCCATGAGCCTCTTCCCACTCACAGCCACCGCCTTCCTCTCGGCCCAGACGGTCAACCACCAAGTGCACATAATTTGTTTTTACCAAGAAAAGCAGTTAACAGTTCTGTTTTCTTTCTATGTCATTTTGTAATGAACATTTGTTTTTCTTTTTTTTTTTTTTGAGACAGAGTCTCACTCTGTAGCCCAGGCTGGAGTGCAGTGGCGCAATCTCGGCTCACTGTAAGCTCTGCCTCCCGGGTTCATGCCATTCTTCTGCCTCAGGCTCCTGAGTAGCTGGGACTACAGGTGCCCGCCACCATGCCCAGTTAAATGTTTTTTGTATTTTTAGTAGACACGGGGTTTCATCATGTTAGCCAAGATGGTCTTGATCTCCTGACCTCGTGATCCGCCTGCCTCGGCCTCCCAGTGTGCTGGGATTATAGGCGTGAGCCACCGCGCCTGGCCGAACATTTTCATATTATTGAAATGATTTGAAATCCTGACTCCTAGGTACTGCATAACTTACCTTATATCATCATACTTTATGTGACTATATATAGTATGTATATGTATATGGTGTGCATATACAATATGCTATATATGTATCTGTATATAATATATATGTTATATACTATATATGTATGTGTACATGTATGTATATATTTGTCCAGTTTGTCCAGTTAGTTTTATAAGGTCAGTTAGGAAATAGTGTTAAACAAATTTTAAAAATTAAGTTCTCATGGAACACAAAAGATAAAATTACTAAAACCTACTCTATTTTTTCTTTTCTTTTCTCCACAGAACCATCCGGGTATGGCTGAAAAGAGACAGTGGTCAATACTGGCCCAGCATTTACCACACAATGGCCTGTAAGTAGCTGAACTGTTCCATTTGAGAGAAATGTCTCTAATGTTTTTGATGATTTAAATTTCAAAATGTCGGCTGAGCATGGTGGCTCACACCTGTAATCCCAGCACTTTGAGAGGCCAAGGCGGGTAGATCACCTGGGGTCAGGAGTTTGAGACCAGACTGACCAACATGGTGAAAGCCCGTCTCTACTAAAAATACAAAATTAGCTGGGCGTGGTGGTGTGCGCCTGTAATCCCAGCTACTTGGGAGGCTGAGGCAGGAGAATCACTTAAATCTGGAGTTGGAGGTTGCAATGGGTCAAGGTTGCTCCACCGCACTCCAGCCTGGGCGACAGAGCGAGACTCCATCTCAAAAAAAAAATAAGTAAGTTTCAAAATGTCTGATTAAATATTGCTGCTAGATTTCAAAATGAGTTTCTTAGTTGCCTAATACCTCTGACAGGCTGTAATAAACTGCAGGAAAAGTCCTTTTCTTTTGCAAAGGAAGTTGAGTCTCTGGCTTAACTGAAGCAGACTTGAGCAAAACTGAAAAAAAAATAGGAAAATGAACATGTTCTCCTCAGTTTTTCTTTGTCTTAATTTGGCCAACTTACATTAGTAGTAACTTTGTCCTTTATGGTAGCCGATATCAACACTAAAAAAGGACTGTGCCCTCCATAGCGTCATGACTACCTTTGCCCAACCTTTTCACCAACCTCTGGACCTATTGAGAGACATGGTCCAAGGTACAACACATTCTAAATAGAGAATTTTCTCAGCAGTCAGGTATGTTCTATAAATAAATCTGGACGATGAATCTTCTGCTTTGAGACTTCAAAGCAGCCCTGGAGGCCGGGCTTGGTGGCTCATGCCCGTAATCCCAGCACTTTGGGAGGCCAAGGCGGGCGGATCACCTGAGGTTGGGAGTTCGAGACCAGCCTGGCCAACATGATGAAACCCCATCTCTACTAAAAATACAAAATTAGCCGGGCATGGTGGCACATGCCTGTAATCCCAGCTACTCAAGAGGCTGAGGCAGGAGAATCGCTTCAATCCGGGAAGCAGAGGTTGTGGTGAGCTGAAATCACACCACTGCACTCCAGCCTGGGCAACAAGAGCGAAACTCCGTATCAAAAAAAAAAAAAAAAGCAGCCCTGGGATATACCAACATAAGATGACACATAAACTTTAGCCCTTCATGTGAATCTAAGCAGCGTCACCATCCTTGTCTCCCACTTCCTTTCTTCAACCTTTCCTGAAAAGAAAGCCCTGTAGAGAATGCCTGGATGTCATCAAAGTTCAAATGGGGAGTCAACTCCGTTATGCCAAGTAGCCAGACAGGAGGCCTCTGTAGCTGCTAATTTCCTTGAGGTTTCGTCCTTAATCAGTGATTTTCTTCAGTTAAGGGTTTTAATACACAGAGGACAACCCCCTAAGAAAAGAAAAAAGGCTTTAGTGCATGCGTGATGATTTGTTACTGAAGACCATTATCAAGTTTTCCAAAGAAGAGCTCTTGACAGTGGTTGCAGATGCTGCTGATGCTGTCCACTGCTTTCTTAAGAGGTATTCCAGGGCTGTGGAGTTTGTTATAAAGACAGAGCAGCCAGTTATTCAGCAAACTGCATCTCATCAGCTTGAGTCATCCTTTCAGGCACCTCTCTCCTCTGGTAGCACTTTCTCCTTTATACCTATTTCATTGTGCATGCAGCATTTAGATTCTGTAATAATTTTCACAAAAAGTTAGTAGTTTATTAGGATTTTTTATTTTTCTGCCTTCTACCAACAGCCTGGGCAGGCTGGCCAGCTTCTTTGTCTTGGTAGTCATTCAGTGAAATTGAGAGAGACCTTTTGGAACCCTGGTATAAAGATAACTATTATGAAAGGAAGAGTAAAGGCTTATAATACATAAGACATTTGAAGACTTCTTGAAAACCTGATCATAATTTATTGTGCCAAGCAGTGGCATCTCTTCTGTTACCCATGTCTGCATGTACTGTGGATGCGTAACCTTGGTTCTCACACTAAATTCTCACCTTGAGATATGAAGTAACCAATGTCTTAGTGAAGGTGCTTATGGAGCCTGTCTGATAAATTTACTTTGGAAATTTTGGCAGCAGGGCAGAGATAGGTGGGACATCCTGGGTCTCTGAGCCCACCTGTTACCCAACCTGCCCCAGTCTCCCAAAAAGACTTCTGTTAGGCTAACTCCTTACTTTCCAGTGGCCCAGAGATAGATCTGAGAGTTGGAAGTAGCAACAGCCTGAGGAACGCGTATCAGTGCTGGGAAATGTTTTGTCATCATTGGGGAAAATTTTGTTAATACTATGGCTCTTATGCTTCCCACTCTTCCCTTCCTCCATCATTAGCATTTTGGTCATAGCTTAATCTCCCTGAGTCCTTAACCTTGAAATTCATGCTCATTAGAATAGAGACAGAGACTAGAGGGATTTTGTCCCATATTTGGTTCAGTTACTCCTTGACTTGCATTTCCCCCAAATAGTACAACTTTGTAATTAATTTCTCTCCCAGGACACCAAAACCTAGCAGTAGAAATGTGTGTGTTCTCTTGGCTGTTAGATCTCGGGCAAGTGGCAGTGGATCTCTCTGTCTTCAGCCTTTTCTAACTTGGCTTAACTGTCCCCTCCTGAAGGAGCTTCTAGCTCAAGAAGGAGGAACTTGAAAGAACAGACACAGCTTCGCAGTGGGTGGTCGACACCTACATGTTTGTATCTGCACATGTTCAGTGTGTTACTTCTAGATGCTTCTTTATTGCTTCTATTTGGACCTGTATCTGCTGATAAAACTGCAGATACACCACAAGAAGAAAACAGAGTGAATGCATTGTGAGAAATAACTGCATGTCTGTTTTAGAATGACTTTTTATTTCAAAATTAAATTTAGGATACAAAAAGAAGGATGCCATGTTAGTTCTAAAAGCTATCCGCAGATTATCCAATTTAGGATGTCTTAGTGGTTATATCCACCAATTTAAACTTTTTCCTGTGACTTGACAGAGTGATCAATAAGCCAAGCCTTAGTATATTGCTATATGCAGTCCAATTGTGTTCTATAACATTACCTCACATAAAAAAAAAACTTTCAGAATCTGCTTTAGCTGAAGAAAAATGGTAACTCTTGGCTTCTATCTTTACTGTGTACTTCATGCCTTTTTTTGGTAATATAATTTTATGAAACCATCACAACAGCTATGCAAGGCAGATAATATTTTTACCATTTTGTGAATAAGCAAGCTGAGGTTAGAAGGGTTGATTGCTTGTCATTGGAATTCCAATCCATGCTCATCTATGACTCCAAACCTATGCTTCTCACCACAGTGATGGGTAGGTCTACAAACTTTTTATGCAAAGGGCCAGACAGTAAACATTTGGACTATGTGGGCCAATCTCTGTGGCACTTACTCAATTCTGCCTTCCTATCATGCAAGGAGTCATAAACAAGACATAAATATTGCATGTGAGCAATCATAAGTTATATATAAATGTAGCATGCAAGCAATCATAAATGAAAGGGTTTATGTTCCAAAGGAAAAAAAAACTATTTATTAACAAAACATGCAGTCAGCTGAATTTGGCCTTCTGGTGTGATCCAAAGTTTTAAACATTTGATTTTGGACTGCAGTGATGGCTTTTTAAAAGTTCATTGACTTGGCTGGGCATGGTGGCTCATGCCTGTATTCCCAGCACTTTGGGAAGCCGAGGCAGGCTGATCATTTGAGGTCAGGAGTTCGAGACTGGCCTGGCCAACATGGTGAAACCCTGTCTATACTAAAAATACAAGAATTAGCCTGGTGTGGTGGTGGCTGCCTGTAATCCTAGCTACTCAGGAGGCTGAGACAGGAGAATCGCTTGAACCCAAGTGGCGGAGGTTGCAGTGAGCTGAGATTGCGCCACTGCACTCCAGCCTGGGTGACAGCAAGACACCATCTCAAAAAAAAAAAAAAAAAAAAAAAGCTAACTGATTTGAAAGATGATTCCTATTTTGCTTTATATCCAACCCCTCCCCTTCTACATTAAATTTATATTGCTTATCTCAGTTAGAAACCTCCTTTCTAGGGAGAGAGCCAGGATATTACTATATAATACAAAACAAACTAAGGAAGCCTTTTTTTTCTTTTTGAAATGTTATAGTTGTCTAGCTTCATAAAATTACCCAGCACTTTGTAATTTTTACACAAAAGAGGGATTTTACATATTTATGTTGTTTGTTATAGGGTTGGGCATTAAAAAAATTGAAAAGAAGCTTAAAACTAATGCATTTAGTGCCAGCTAGAAAGCAAGCAAAAATGATGACAGTGAATCTCTGAACGCATCAAAGCATGATTTGATTTGTCAAAGATAAGTGTATGCATGGTTTATTAAAGAACATTTTGATTGTATAAAGATATGTATATATATCTTTGTGGTCATAATACTTGATCGTTCTTTTAATCTCAAACATCACTGTGTCAGATAAGGGTATACAGGCTCATAGTCAATTCTAATTGTTTTGTGCACAATTTCAGTACGTACCTTTCAGAGCCAACTACATAGTTCTTGGATGCAACTGAAACAGTCTCTATGGTCTGATCATGCAGTTAGCTATGTTTTTGCTTTGGGGTACGATCCAGTATTATAGTTTACTTCCTTCCTTTGGTGAGGATATCACCCTACTAGAGAGAGAGAACTTTATATTCAAATGGTGACTTCATTTAAAAGACGTTTTTTCTTTTATCTTTTTTTTTTTTTTTTTTTGAGATGGAGTTTCACTGTGTTGTCCAGGCTGATCTCAACTCCTGGCCTCAAGCAATCCTCCTGCCTTGGCCTCCCAAAGTGCTGAGATTACAGGCATGAGCCACCCTACCCACCCGTCTTTTATGAGAAGTTTTATTCCAAAGTGAATTCAAATTTGTTTGTTTTGTTTTGTTTTTCCCTAGCATGCATTTCCTTGTTTTGGTTCTTCCATTGCTAATTAAAATTCCTTAGGCTGAAACAAACCCACATTTTTTTTCCAAATGTTCCAATTTATAAATCACTTTAATTCTAATTTTTGGTAAAAGACAATTTAGAATTTCTCCTTTCTGAAACTCATTCTCTAGCCTGTGATTTCTGGAAGAGGGTAGGGTAGAACATGGAAGGAGGACAAGGAAACCTGTCTGCACTTCACAACTCACATATGCCATATATCTGCACCTCACATATGCTCACTTATGCCATAGAATGGGAATTCTGGTGCTGGGAACCCATCTTTGCACAGCTACTCTTTGACATTTGATGGGAAGGGTGGCAGGGGCGGGATGACCTCCTGAGCTTTTGGGCAGCAGGTCACACACTACAAGCACTGGTCCCCAAGGCTTGCCAGACTACAGGTAGTACTTTCAGTCAGATGAAGCTTCATGCTGGCTCACTTCACCCAGCATTATAGAAACAACTGAGAAGATTTGTGAAATCAAGGTTTTAAACTAAGACAACAGAGAGAACTTTAATAACATTTTCAATTTACGTAATTTGTATAAAACGTTTTTACCCTCTTTCTGTGAACCTAAATTATATAGTTCTTATCATATAGTTCTTAATCACTTTGAAGAACAACTTAAAGTGCTTAGCTTTGCTGGTAATGTGGTCTTTGTCTTTCTGGCAGCTCCTTGCTCTGCTATGGCTTACCATCATGACAGCAGACGGATATTTGTGGGCCAGGATAATGGAGCTGTAATGGTAGGTAGCTTTTAGAATGTATTTATTGTATTCTTTATATTATATTCTTTATATTGACCTCCCATGTCCCATATTGGCCAGTTAACTTTGGATTAACAATGGATGCTCGATTGTTTGGCATGAAAAATGTTTAATTTAGGCCAAGCACAGTGGCTCACATCTGTAATCCCAGCACTTTAGGAGGCTGAGGCGGGCGGATCGCTTGAGCCCAGGAGTTTGAGACCAGCCTGGGTAACATAGTGAGACCTCATCTCAACGAAAAATCAAAAAAATTAATTGGTAGTGGTGCATGCCTGTGGTCCCAGCTGCTTAGGAGACTGAGGTGGGAGGATGGCTTGAGCCCAGGAGGTCAAGGCTGACAGCTAGCTGAGATTGCACCACTGCACTTTCGCCTGGGCAGCAGAGGGAAACCATGTCTCAAAAAAAAAAAAAAAGTTTAATTCAGTATAGATATTAGGTCAAAAATGGATTAAATTATTGCTTAATTTTAAACTAGTTCCTTGGAGCTCAGAATGCTGTCGTAATTGATAGCTGGGTGCTCGGGCTGACCCACAGATCATAGCCTTCATAGAGTGAATACGTCACCTATAGCAGCCCCCATCCCTTAGCCGTGATGGTGGAGAGCCTCTGTCACTCTGTGTGTGTGTGTGTGTGTGTGTGTGTGTGTGTGTGTGTGTGTGTGTGTGGTCATTCAGCTAGCAACTCACAGAACTCTTTAAGGCAATACTTCTCAAACTATCTTTGGCAAAGGACCTGATATTCAAGTTTCTAGTCTGTTATAGACTGGCATTTTTGTGCGTCAAATTGTATGCATACATTTGTTTTTTCTTAATTGAAATATAACTTAAATAACATAATTATATTTACCATTTTAAAGTATATAATTGTGTGGTCTTGTAGCATATTCATAAGATTGTGCAACCATTACCACCATTCTCTAATTCCAGAATATTTTCATCACCCCTCCCTGCAAAAAAATCCCATACCCATTAGCAGTCACTCTCCATTGCCCCTTCCCCCAGCTCCTGGAAATCACTAATTTACTGAATCCAAGGATTTGCCTATTTTAGACACTTTATATAAATAGACTCATACAATATGTGTGGCCTTTTATGTCTGTCTTTCACTTAACATAATGTTTTCAAGGTTCATGCCTGTTTGAATTAATTAATTATTTTTGCAGTGGAATAGCATTCTATACTGCATTTGGTTGATCCGTTTATTAGTTGATAGACATTTGGGTTGTTTTCACTTTTTGGCTATTATCAATAACGTTGCTATGAAAATTCATGTACATGTTTTTGCATGGACATATTTTTTTCTATTCTCTTGGGTATGTATACCTAGGAGTGGAATTGCTGGGTCATATGGTGACTATATTGAACTTGTAAGCAACTATGAAACTGTTTTCCATAGTGGCTGCACCATTTACATTCTCACCAGCAACACGCAAGGTTTCCGGCTCTCCAAATCCTTGCTAACACTTGTTATTTTCTGCTTGTTTTGTTTTGCTTTGTTTTTGTTATGGTCATCCTGGGGGGTGTGAAATGGTACCAGATTGTGGTTTTGATTCGCGTTTTCCTAATGACTAGTGATGTTGAGGATCTTCTTAGGTACTTGTTGGTCATTTATATCTTCTTTGGAGAAATATCTATTGAAGTCCTTTGCCCATTTTTAATAGAGTATTTTTTAATTGTTGAGTTGTAAGAGTTTTTTTCTGTATGTTAGATACTAGACCCTTATCAGATATATGATCTGCAAATATCTTCTCCTAAGAGCTGCCTTTTTACTTTTTTTTTTTTTTTAAGTTTGGTGAAGTCCAATTTATCTTTTTTGTTTTTGGCTACTTAAGCTTTAGATACCATATCTAAGAAACTATTGCCTAATCCAAGGTCATTTATATCTGTAAAGATAGGTGTAAATCAAGATTTACACCTGTATTTTCTTCTGAGAGTTTTATAGTTTAGCTTTACATTTAGATCTTTGATTTATTGTAAGTTAATTCCTATAGTGGTATCAGGGAGGGGTTCCACATTTATTCTTCTGTATGTGGACATCCAGTTATCCCAGCACCAATTGTTTAAAAGACTATTTTTTTTCCCCCATTTAAGTTTTTTGGCATCTTTGTCACAGAGCCAGCCAGGCAGAGAGCCAGGGAAGAGTTTCCAGAAGTCAATGTTATAGTGGCTTGATGGTGCAGGGCTATATAGGGAGGGCACCCTAGGGCGATTGGAGAATTGGGCAGAGGCCGGGTCATGCAAGGTCTTGTAGGTCTGGGTAAAGCTTTAAATTTTATTGTAATTGCAGTGAGAAGCTGTTAAAGTGTTTTCAGCAGATGAATAGCATGATGTAATTTACATTTTTCGAAGATCACCCTAGCTACTGGGTAGAGAACAGATTGAGGCACGGCCAGAGTGGCGGTGGGAGAATCAGATTGTTTTAGCGGCCTGGGTGAAGGGACAGTGGCCATGAAGAAGGACAAATGGATGGACTTGAGTTGAGATAAGTCTTGGAGACATCTGAGATAAGTTGGCTGTGTAGAGGAGAGGAAGAGAAGTCAGATGACAGCCAGGTTTTTGGCTTGAGCAGCTGGGTAGGAAGTAGTATTGTTCGCTGAGAAGGGTAAGGCTGGGTGGGGGAGGCAGTTGGAGGGAGAGGGGACAGTGAGAGCCAGCCTAGTTTAAGATACCAGTGAGCTTCCAACTGGCCATGTGAAGTTGGCACAGGATAAACAAAACGAGTCCCGGAGAGGTCTGGGCAGAGGGCATCATCATCAGGTCATTTTTCAAGCCACAAGAATGACTGTGAGTAGCTGGGGAGGGAATGAAAGAAGTCAGGGCCCAGACCTGCTGCCTAAATAATGACACTGTTTTGGAGTGGGGTCAAAGGGGAGGCCAGCCAGGGAGGAGGGGAAATGATGATCCTTGAGTGTGACTTTAAGGGGCCCAGACCACGTTATGTAAGCTGAATTTCCTGACCTTGCATAGTCACGCCAATCATTGAGGGAACTTACTAAAATACAGATTCCCCGGCTCTATGCCAGACCTAGAGCTTCGGAATCACTAGGGAGGGGCCTGGGGATCTGTACAATAAGTAGCAAGTCCTCTAGATGAACCCTAGGGTCAAGTGCTTTAGGGAAACTACATGGTTTTGCTAAAACCTCTGAGGAGCAGGAGCAGGTTTCTGGTTTTTGTGAGCTCAGAAATTTGTAGCAGGCTTTGAAGGGACAAGGCTGAAAGTGCAGGTGCCAGTTAGGAGGCTGCCTCCGGACCCCAGTGTGAAATCATGAAATACTGGGGTGGTGATGGAGAAGAGGCTGTGGCCTCAAGAACTGTCCGGGAAGCAGGGCTGGGTGTGTGAATAAAGGTGTGTGTTGAAATAGGGAGCAGCTTTAAGATGACTTTCAGGTTTCTAGCCAGGAATTAGCTGTCTTCAGAGACAGAAAAGATGCTGATCTTTTTTGGGGAAAGGTGATGAGTTCAGTTTTGAGAACCGACCTTGGGTGTGTGTGCTGGAACCTCAGGGTTTGGTCTGGGCAGGGGTTGGGAGTTCCCTGAACATAGACGTCAGTGGAAACTACAACGGTGGCTGCCGTGAACTAGAGAGAGCAGGTACATTGAGAAAAGCAGAGGGCCAAGGTCACATTCCTAGGGAAATGTCAATATTTAAAGAAAAGCCAGAGGACTGGGAGCCTAAAGGAGAGACAGGAAGAATGGGCAAAGTGGGAGGAGAGCCAGCCAGGACAGTGCAGCCACGGAAGCTGGAGGGCAGTGAGTTTCAGGGAGGAGGTGAGTAAAGGTGTCAAGGGCAGGAGGGAGAGGATGAAATTGGGCCTGGCTAGTGCCTTTGGGATGGCACGTAGAAGACAGCTGCTGATAACAAGAAGAGCCTTTCCATGCAGTGGGGTAGCCCTGGTGAGCCATGGACTGAAGTGTGACTGGGAGATGTGGGAGCCAGAGAGCCTGAGGGTAACCAGAGTGGTCTGGTCATTAGAGAAGCTTTTGGCTGAGAAGGGGTCAAGGAAAGTAGAAGTATAGTTATGAGAGTTTCATTGTTTTTATTTATGTATTTATTTTTTAATGAAAGAAGCAGCCTTGGACCAGGTGTGGTGGCTCATGCCAATAATCTCAGCACTTTGGGAGGCTTAGGCAGGAGGATTGAGCCCAGGAGTTAGAGACCAGCCTGGGCAATATTAGTGAGACCTCATCTCTACAAAAAATAAAAAAATTAGCTTAGTGTGGTGGCATACCCATATAGCCCCACTACTCAAGAGGCTGAGGTGGGAGGATCACTTGAGCCTGGGAAGTGGAGGTTACAGTGAGCAGAGATTGCACCACTGCACTCCAGCCTGGATGGCAGAACAAGACCCTGTCTCAAAAGAAAGAGAAAAAAAAAAAAATAGCAGCAGCAGCCTTGATGTAAGGGCCGAGAAGAAAGATCCAGTGGAAGGGACAGGCTCCCTGCCCATGCAGTTCACACAGCAGCAGGCGGCAGGTGAGGGTGCTGGAAATGCATGACACAGTAGTGAATGCTGAAGCTCTCCGTTTTAGCTTTCAGAAAATTTTATAGGAATATCATCATGTGCATACACACATATAATGAGAAGCCACTAAGTACAAGCTTCATATAGTGCAGTGGTGCAGTGTTGGTGCATTTATCTCCCTAGGGACCCTTCTTGTGGCCTTCAGTTCAAGGGGAGACTGTCATTATAGGATGGCACATAAGAACTGTTACAGTTGTTCAATGGAAAGGGGCAATGCAAATCCAATTTAGCATTAGTTAGCAATTGATCAATTGCTCTTCCACTGAATACAGATTAATATATACAGTGCTGATACATTTTTTCTACTTTACAAAAACAAGATGGAAAACAAGAAATCTGTATTCTTTTGTGTGCTTTTTTCCCCCCTCACTCTGGTCTGTCAGCAATTCATAATATCCATGTCAATTTAGCATTGATCAATAATAGTATTCTTGGCTGGGCACGGTGGCTCATGCCTGTAATCCCAGCACTTTGGGAGGCCAAGGGGGGTGGATCACTTGAGGCTGTGAGTTCAAGACCAGGCTGGCCAACATGGTGAAACCCTGTCTGTACTAAAAATACAAAAAAATTAGCCGGGTGTGGTGGCATGCACCTTTAGTCCCAGTTACTCAGGACTCTGAGGCACAAGAATCGCTTGAACCCAGGAGGCAGAGGTTACAGTGAGCTGAGATTGCATCACTGTACTCCAGCCTGGGTGACAGAGCGAGACTCTGTCTCAAAATAATATAATAATAATAATAATAATAATAATAATGGTAGTAGTAATTCGTGATTTTTCTTTAGAGTTTTATCTTCATAGCTTTAGTTGAGGTTGATTTTTTTGCAATAAAACACATGTACTTTAAATTTCTTTTCCAAGTTATAAAGTATTACATCTATAGAAAGTTTGGGGCCAGGTGCAGTGGCTCACGCCTGTAATCCCAGCACTTTGGGAGGCTAAGGTGGGTGGATCACCTGAGGTCAGGAGTTCGAGACCATCCTAGCCAACATGGTGAAACCCCATCTCTATTAAAAATACAAAATTTAGCTGGGTGTGGTGGTGCACTTCTGTAATCCCAGCTACTTGGGAGGCTGAGGCAGGAGAATCACTTGAACCCAGGAGGCAGAGGTTGCAGTGAGCCGAGGAAGCAACAAGAGCGAAACTCTGTCTCTAAATAAATAAATAAATAAATAAAATTTGGAAAATATGGGATCATAAAAAGACAAAAACCACCCACAATCTCAAAATTTCTCTTTTGTTGTTGTTGTGTTTGTATATTAAATAGGTGTACTTTCCCCCACTAAATTGCTGAGCTACCCAGTGCCCTGTTTTTACTGTAGCTGAGAGCTCTGTTAGTGAGGGGTCTTTGCAGTTTTGCTTTAATATGCAGTGTCTTGAGGGATTTTTTGTGTCACTAAGAGAATAAAGTTTTGTAGTAGGAGGGAGAAGGAATATGGAGTGCTGATCTGGGCAGGAAGAAGTGGACACAAATCCCATGCTGATCAGCAGCACTTACTTTATTCAATTCGGTCTGTTCTCCCAAACAATGTTGGCCTGAGGACAGGTCTGGTGAAAGAAGCAATTCATATCATTCCTAAATAACTCGCCTTAAGTCCTAGGTCTTGTGATAATCATTTTTGGATTTTACTTCATTTTTGAAAGTCAAGTTTCTGTTGTTTTTTAAAACCATAACTCTTTTAATTTTTTATTTTGTGCATTTGCTTTTAGGAATTTCACGTTTCTGAAGATTTTAATAAAATGAACTTTATCAAGACCTACCCAGGTAATTATAATACACATTATCTTGCGTACACATACATGTAGACATACACAAAACTAGAACATCATCTCTTATGATGAAAATTAGATTTTCACATTAACTTTTTAGTTTTGTTACCCCCACTATGCAAGAGACTTGTCTTTTAGTGATATTTCAGCTTTTTCTTGCTCATTAACATTTAAAATTTTGTATATCAGGCACATGTATCAGATTTAATTAACCATTCTTTTATTATTGGATATGTGTACTGCTTCCATTTTTTTTTTGATAACACACACTACTCTTCATACATGTATGTGTGTGTATATAACTGAGTGTACAATTTTTTGATATGTGTATACACATTGTGTGTGTGTATTGAATAAGTATATACACGTGTGTGTGTGTGGGTATTCTCCACTGTTATTCTGACTCTAATCCTATAATTCATTGTTTCTATTTTATTTTGTTTTGTTTAAATGGAGACGAGGTCTCAGTATGTAGCCCAAGCTGGTCTCGAACTCCTGACCTTAAGTGACCCTCCCACCTCAGTCTCCCAAAGTGCTAGAATTCAGGTGTGAACCACCACACCTGTCCAAATTCTATAATTCCGATTATTTAAGACAAATCCCTAGGTGCTCAGTGAGGAATTTTTTTTTTAAGACAAATTCCTACAAAGTGGAATAACCGGGTCAGACATTAAAAAGTTTTTTAAGTGCCCTAGATTTATTTTGCAGACTGCTTCACAGCAATAGTGCAAGTTTTTACAGTCTGCGAATGGCAGCTGAGAATACCTGTTCATGAAGTCTTCACAACATGGCTGCCTCATAATTTCTTTTTCCTGTTTTATAGTCAAGAAAGTTCTCAATTTGAAAATGATTTAAGCTTTATTTAATGTTGACCATTTGTTGTCTTTTCTGAATGTCCGTTTATGATTTTACGCATATTCCCAGGGAGCTGGAGTGTTTTCTAACTGAATTGTAAGCACTTTTCACTACAAAGCTATCAATACTTTGTGGCATCTGTGACATATACCTTTTTTTCAGTTTTTACTTTATTTTGTAAATTTCAATATTTTAAAACTTAACAAAAGCAAGATCCCAATGACAACTTCAGATTGAAGTTGCAAAACTAAAGCATTTTGATTAAGTTGTGGATTCCCATCAGAGCAATTAGCTGATTCCCAGAAACTTCACCAGAGGACATGACATTTAGCCTCATTTTATTCACTCTATATTTCTAAAATTTTATACTTAATGCTTGTGGATAAAGGTAAAAATTAGAGTGTAGATGTTTTACGTATGTGTTGTTCATCTTGGTGAAATGTGGTCTAATAATAGGATACTTTAATAAGAAGGCCAAATTGCTTTTCCCTACATATTGTTTCACCTGTTCCAAATTTAAAATAGGAGAAAAGCATCCAGGCACGGTGACTCACCCCTGTAATCCCAGCACTTTGGGAGCCTGAGGCAGGTACATCACTTGAGGTCAGGAGTTTGAGGCCAGCCTGGCCAACATGGTGAAAACCCGTCTCTACTAAAAATAACAAAAATTAGCTGGACCTGGTGACACATGCCTGTAGTCCCAGCTACTTAGGAGGCTGAGGCAGGAGAATCGCTTGAACCCGGGAGGCGGAGGTTGCAGGGAACCAAAATCGCACCACTGCACTCCTGCCTGGGCAACAGAGCGAGACTCCTTCTCAAAAATAAATCAATAAATAAAATAGGAGAAAAGTGATATAACAATGACCATACATTTGTCCTTGGAGTATGTTGGTCAGGGAAACTGTTTTGTAACAATGAATGATAACACTTTCCAATCTTGCACTGAGTAATGTACTAGCATTATGGTGTTATTATAACACCAGAAGCAACTTTGAATTCTCAGCCATCATGTGCAGGTTTATCTTTAAAATAATCAAGAATCCGTAAATTCCTTTATGAGGTATATACCTACGAGTTTGGAGACCTTTAAATGCCAGGCTTGGAGACCCTTAAATGCCTGGTCAATGTTTTTGTCAAAAGGCAAATTCCTTAATAAATTATTTCATCTGGACAGTTGTGGTAGCTCCCACCTGTAATCCTAGCACTTTGAGAAGCCAAGGAGTTTGAGACCAGCCTGGGCAACATAGAGAGACCATACTGCTATAAAAATGTAGCCAGCCATGGTGGCACATGCTGTAGTCCCAACTACTTGGGAGGCCGAGGTGGGAGGATCACTTGAGCCCAGGAGTTAGAGATTACAATGAACCATCATCAGACTACTGTACTCCAGCCTGGGCAACAGAGTGAGATCCTGTCCCTTTTTTTAAAAAAAAAAAAACAAAAAACGTGTGTGTGTGTGTATTTTTCATCTTTCATTAAGGATCAAATTATTTCATATTCACATCTCATGTTATTATCTATATTTTGGTTGTCAAAGGTTTTTTTTTGTTTTGTTTTGTTTTTTGAGAAAGAGCCTCACTCTGTTGCCCACACTGGAGTGCAGTGGCACGATCTTGGCTCACTGCAACCTCTGCCTCCTGGGTTCAGTCAATTCTCCTGCCTCAGCCTACCTAGTAGCTGGGATTACAGGTGCGAGCCACCACGGCCAGCTAATTGTTTGTATTTTTAGTAGAGAAGGGGTTTCACCATGTTGGCCAGGCTGGTCTTGAACTCTTGGCCCCAAGTGATCCTCCTGCCTCGGCCTCCCAAAATGCTGGGATTACAGGCATGAGCCACCAAGCCCCGCTGGTTGTCAGAGTTCTTTATGGGCTATAAGGCAGCATAGGTTTCTTGTGCAGTGGTTCTTGGACCTTTATATTTCATTGACTAATAACATTTTAGAAAACATTTGGAGGACTAATATAGGGATTGCTGTATTTTTTATTTTGCCAAGTGAGAGTTTAAAAACTAAAAATGAAGCAAAATAAGCATGACTGTATCTCACCATACTTTCATAAAAGAAAGGATATCAGAAAAAACCAAACAGCAGAAAGGATATAATCTTAGAAATAGGATGGCTCTTCCCAGGAAAAAATAGTTGACTATTCACTACAGCATCTTTACCACAAACTAGTTTAAACCCTATGACTGTTTGGCCCGAGTTTAACAACTACAGATTTAGTGGAAAAAGTGTTTTGAGTGAGACAGACCAAATTAATCTATCACTTATTAGACTTTAGGCGTATATTAATATTTATATTTAATATATATTTATAAATATTTTATAAATAATATTTGCATTTCAGTTTTCTTATCTGAAAATCAGTATAATAATACACACCCTGTAAGTATTTATGGAAATTAAATATCATTAAAACAGAAAAAGCATTAGGCTCCACATCAGACGCTGAGACAGATCTTATGAGATATGGCCTACTCAAATTTAACATTATTTTCAGTTTTAAATTTTTATTTTTTAATTAGAGACAGGGTCTCGCTGTCTTACCCAGGCTGGAGTGCAGTGGTGCAATCATAGCTCAATGTAACCTCCAACTCCTGGGCTCAAGGGATCCTCCCATCTCAGCCTGCTGAGTAGCTAGGACTCCAGGCAAGTGCCACCATGCCCAGCTGGTTTTAAAAAATTTTCTGTAGAGGTGGGGTCTTGCTTTGTTGCCCAGGCTGGTCTCCAACTCCTGGCCTCAAACAATCCTCCTGCCTCGGCCTCCCAAAAGTGCTGGGATTATAGGTGTGAGCCACTGTGCCCAGCTGAATTTAAGATTAATAGCTATCATAGCATCCTTTAAGTTTCAGAATCCTTCATGAGTATTTAATTGTTCAGTGTAACCTTTTAGCAGTGGATGAATCTGACCTGCACGTAGACTTTTGGGGAGAGTCCCTCAGTTCTTCCTAAGCAGTCTGTACAGCTGAGAGCAAGGTCAGCAGTTTCTCTGTCAGGCCTTTGACTTCATTCATCAGACTGGATGCTTATTAAACATCTACTACATGCAAAGTTCTGTACCAGATGAAGTTGAAGGCAGGTTACACTGCCCCGGTGTGGCTTATAATTGACCTGGAAATATTTCCAGAGTTAGGTAACAGACAGAATACCTTCCTCATTCTCAGCTGTTATTTTGGAACAGAGAACTTTACAAAAGCTTTGTCTTTGTAAATAATAAAATGTTACACACTGATAAAAAGTATTCCAGAAACCAAACACATAACACCATTTTTTAATTTTAGAAAACTGCCATTGCTCTTACTTAGAATGCCAGTGTTTTCTGAAGGTTCAAAACACTGAAGTTACAGACGATTAAAACATTGCACTGTTACAACTGCTGCTTTCCACATGGTTCTTGTTCATACAGTTTTTTAGAGCAAAGTAAAAATGTTCTCTTGAGCATAGCAAAAAAAAAAAAAAATCTGTTCTCTAATCTATTATTTGATTTCTCCTTGAGCGTTACTCTTTAATGATTCCTAGCTTCTGGTGGCCATGCCTGTGGGGAGCAGAGGGCACCGCCTTGGAGAGAGCCTGTGCTAGTGAGTTGTTGAGCTGGGGCGGGTTGTCTGAAATATACTCACAGAGGACAGGCATTTCCAGTACACTCTTGTACACAGCTGTGCCCTGGCTGAGCAGATTGAGAGGTTGAGCCTCAGTTCTTCCCCATAGAGTGCTGTTTCTGGAGATGACATCTGTTCACCTTTCTGTTCCTGCAGCTCATCAGAACCGGGTGTCTGCGATTATCTTCAGCTTGGCCACAGAGTGGGTGATCAGTACCGGCCACGACAAGTGTGTGAGCTGGATGTGCACGCGGAGCGGGAACATGCTCGGGAGGCACTTCTTCACGTCCTGGGCTTCGTGTCTGCAGTATCCTTCAGAGCCACGGACCTCTCCTTCCCCTGGCCTCTGCTTCTCAGTGTTTGGTTCTGAATCTCATCCCAAATGGCTGAGATCTAAAGACTGAATGAAACCTATTTAAGTTTGTGCAAAAGTAATTGCATTTTTTTTTTTACCATGGAAAGTAATTGCAAAAATTGCAATTACTTTTGCACCAACCTAATACATATTTCACTGAAAATCCGAGAACTTCCGTAAGTTTGCTGTAAATTGGGTTTATTAAAAATAATGAAATGAATTGTTCTGTGCTGGGAGGTGCTATAGGTTTTTAATTCAAAATTGTGGAAAACCCAAGCCCATTAATGCAAACCCTTCCTCTCATGTCTTTGTGTTTCTAATGGAAAGACTTTTTATTGTGTGAAGGAAGGAAAAAAGGAACTTGTCTTCTAGTAATTGGTTATTTGCAGACTCTGTAAGTATATGTACTGAACATTAAGGGTTTATAGCCCTGGGGTTTGTTCCTAAATGGGCTACAAGGAGTTTTACACAAAACTTTTGCTTAATGCTTTTTTTTGTGTGGAGAGGACCCATAATCCTTATAATACTCTCAAAGATGGCTCAGGATCCCCCAAAATGCTAAAAATCACGGCCTAAAAAATTCCTGCTACTACATGGAATTTGCTTCATGTAGAGCTCGCCCTTACCTAAGGATACCTCTGCCTGCTGTGTATCTTAGTGATGGCAAGATCAAGGTTATCAACAACAGGCAGACACCCCGCAGTAGTTTCTCTCTCAGAGTTGAATGTCTGGCTTAGTAAAATTCTGTCCATTGAAAGCCTTTCTTTAAAATGTTTGCTACAAATGAATGCACAGCATGAGATATTTAAAATAGTATCATATACTTTAGGATCAAACAAGCAAAAAATACTCTGATATAGTATGTGCTACATAAGCGTTTTTGTTACGTGCTAGGCCTCTCAAAATGGATTTGTAGAAAATGACACAGAATCACAGTTCATGCCCTAGTTTACGGTGCTCTTTTTGACCCGTGTTTTGGAAGAGTGATAGTTATCCTACTGTAAATAGCTTTCCTATTACAAATAGTAGTTAACATGTCGTGTATAAATTTCTGGTTTTCCACAAATATCTATGACCACAAATCGAGAAAGTAATGAGTTGTGACCAATAGTTAATATATTTTCTAAATTTAAATGTACTACCGCCACAAATAACTGCGTTTTGGATTATTAAACTATCCACAGTAATTTAAAGTGAATCATCCTCTTCATTTATAGCTAAATTCTCTAGGCCAAAAGAAACATGGATTCATGTCTTGTATTTACTGTCAGATTTACATTATTTTCAGAGATATTTCATAAATAACCATTACGTTTCAGAGCTTTCTTGCTGTTTTCAGTAGTTAGCAATTTCTTTTTCTTTTCTTTCCTTTTTTTTTCTTTTTTTGAGAAAGAGTCTTGCACTGTCACCCAGGCTGGAGTGGTACAGTGGCACCATCTCAGCTCACTGCAGCCTCTGCCTCCTGGGTTCAAGCTGTTCTCTTGTCTCAGCCTCCTGAGTAACTGGGATTACAGGCGTGTGCCACCACGCCCAGCTAATTTTTTGTGTTTTTAGTAGAGACGGGGTTTCACCATGTTGGCCAGGTTGGTCTTGAACTCCTGACCTCAAGTGATCTGCCCGCCTCAGCCTCCCAAAGTGCTGAGATTACAGGCATGAGCCACTGCAGCCAGCCCAGTAGTTATCAGTTTTACTCTTTGACACTTTATTGTACTTGATTATATCTACTTGTTTTCGTGTGTGTCTGCCCTACCAGCTCTTTTTTTATTGCCAGTTCCTGGGATCTTGCTTGATATAGTAACAGGCACTCAATGAGTTCCTGTTGAATGAATGAATATAAACTTTCTCAGTAATAACAGCTGTTTTAATTTTTACCTTCAATATTTACATATTGCATGCTTTTCAGTTGGGTGTTTCCTTTCTTGTTATAGTTTTACGTGTATGCTTATTCTCTTTAAAATGCATGTTTTCTAACTTTGAAAACTAACTTTGACTAATGCTGGTATCTCTCTTATGAGAGGACTTTCAGGTGATTTCTGTTCTACATCCTTGACTGCTTCTCCTCAGATATGACTTTGACACTCAGTATGCTTTCGTTGGTGATTATTCTGGGCAGATCACCCTGCTGAAGCTTGAACAGAACACGTGTTCAGTCATCACAACCCTCAAAGGACATGAAGGTAGGCTATATTATCACCCAAGAGTTTTTTTTGCCTAACTTGGACATCCAAATTCAGTTCTCTACTATGTGGATTCATGAATGCTGTGTTCCTCATGATCTGTCAGATTTCATTTTGATTGGCCAGATATGGGATTTAGAGTGAAAACTAAGTGAAGGTGGGGTGATGGGTTCATTTCATATTGTCGAAATCCCTTCTAAATTGCTTGTGTGGATAATACTTTCTACGTTGCTTACCTTTTTAAATTAAGTTATGGCTGGCACATTGGTTCACACCTGTAATCCCAGCACTTTGGGGGCCGAATTAGGTGTACCACTTGAGGCCAGGAGTTCGAGACCAGCCTGGCCAACACAGCAAAACTGCCTCTCTACTAAGAATACAAAAATTAGCCAGGCATGGTGGCGCATACCTGTAATTCCACCCCTAGCTACTCGGAAGGCTGAGGCAGGAGAATCACTTGAACCTGGGGGGCAGAGGTTGCAGTGAGCCGAGATTACAGCACTACACTCCTGCCTGGGTGACAGAGTGAGACTCTGTCTCAAAAAAATAGAAATAAAAATAAAATAAGTTATTGTGCTGGGAAGACCTTTAAAATTACTTCTAACTGGTAAAAACCTTTTGGAAGAATTGTTGTTATTACTTTAAAAAAATTTGTCAGTTTCTAAGCCCCTGAGCAAGACCTGATAAATACAATTAGAAGAAATGTGTGGGCTGGTTCAGCCTCTGCTTGGGAAACATACCCTGTGTAGGGACTGAGGGAAAAGAATTACTGGGTGGAATTTCATTTCTGTAGTGCAGTGGGTTGGTGAAGCTCTGTGGAGGGGTTTTTAAAGTCCATTGATTGTATTGAGTGACTCGCCACATACACATGTGTAATAAAGAGGTTTCATTAGATGCTGTATTGGGCCATTCTTGCATTGCAGTAAAGAAATATCTAAGACTGGGTAATTTATAAAGAAAAGAGGTTTAATTGGTTCGTGGATCTACAGGCTGTACAGGAAGCATGGTGCCGGCATGCTTCTGGTGAGGG
Organism: Homo sapiens; assembly: GCF_000001405.40. NCBI lineage: Eukaryota > Metazoa > Chordata > Mammalia > Primates > Hominidae > Homo > Homo sapiens. The sequence continues at coordinate 223,897,927 of NC_000002.12, read as the reverse complement.
CCTTAGGAAGCTTACAGTCATAGCAGAAGGTGAGGTGTGAACAGGCACATCACATGACAAAAGCAGGAGTGGGGGTGTGGGGGTGCCACACACTTTTAAACAACCATATCTCAAGGGAGCTCATTTACTGACTCAAGGAGAGCACCAAGGGGATGGCACTAAACCATTCGTGAGAAATCCACCCCCATGAGCCAACTACCAAGCCCCACCTGCAACATTGGGGATTACAGTTTAACATGAAATTTAGAGGCTGGGCCCGTTGGCTTACACCTGTAATCCCAGCACTTTGGGAGGCTGAGTTGGGCAGATCACTTGAGGTCAGGAGTTTGAGACCAGCCTGGCAACATGGCGAAACCCCATCTCTACTAAAAATACAAAAAACATTAGCTGGACGTTGGCAGGTGCCTGTAGTCCCAGCTACTCAGGGAGGCTGAGGCAGGAGAATCTCTTGAACCCGGGAGGCAGAGGTTGCAGTGAGCCAAGATCATGCCATTGCACTCCAACCTGGGTGACAGAGAGAGACTCCGTCTTAAAAAATATATATATATATATATATATATATATATATATATATATGCGAAATTTAGAGGGGACACATGTCTAAACTATGTCAGATGCTAAGCTGTAATGGATTGCAGTTTTCATACAGATCACAAGATCACATTCTGATATATGTCACAAAGTACAAGCTTTGAGGCCATCTGGTTTATGGAGAACTGGGGAGTTGCTGAAAGAATCAATGATGGACTTATTTATGACCATAGTAAGCGTTTCAGTTGTAACAAGTTATAATAAATGTACACTATGCTTTCTATGTAATCTATTTAGGTGAAATGGAGTATATCAAATCAAGGACCCTGTAGGGGAAAAGAAGAAAAGAGAACAGCAAGTTAAAATAGCTTTGGGCAGGAAAGCAGAGGCCCGTGAAGAAACCACTTTCTGTTTATGACTAATTCTCTCATGACCCCCAGGCTCGCCAGTTTTTTCAGGGTTGCTAAAGGCAGAATGGGTTCTAGTAACTACCAGAATGGGTACTGGTTTTCATGCTGAAAGACCGTATTTATCTGCTCTTAAGCCTCTAACTGAAATGGATGGCACATAGATTACACAGGGTCGAAAGTCATGTGAAAGTAACCCCTGAAGCCTTTGCAGAATATTTGTTTCTACTTTTGTTCTGTTTTTGGAAAGTGTATGTGATAAAGTAGTTTCTGTTTGCTTTTGAATATGGCATCATTAATTTTCTATATACCTACCAAAATTATTATTAGCTTGTGTGGCTGGTTCAGTTTTACTAAGTTGATTAATGTTTCTTCTAGACAAACAGCAGTCGATGAACAAGGAAAGGACCTACTGAAAGATATACCTGTAGAAAGAAAGATTTCCCCAAGGGTTTCAAATTTGATAAGTTAGCCAATATAAAGTATGAAATGTGAAGTTCAGATTTTTCACATAAATTACTTGGCATAATTATGTAGTGTACAACAGACTTTTTTCTGTGGTACTTAATGTAATTTGCTTAAACATAGACATCTTGGGGTAAAACACCTGCCATGTCCCAGAGACCCAGAATAATCTAGATTTTTTATCTTGTGTAGGTTGGACACAGTAAACTTTACTGGTTTTTGTCACTAAATATTAGTAGCAATTTTTTTCTTCATTCTGAACATTTTGTATGTAAGCTACTTTGTAATTTTTGTCACAGAAGAACGAAAAACTTCTTTAAAAATCTTTGTATTACAAGCAGTTTTTTTTTTTTTTTTTTTTTTTTTTTTGAGACAGAGTCTCACTCTGTCACCCAGGCTGGAGCGCAGTGGTGCTATCTTGGCTCACTGCAACTTCCACCTCCTGGGTTCAAGCAATTCTCCCACCTTAGCCTCCCGAGTAGCTGGGATTACAGGCGCCTGCCACCATGCCTGGCTAATTTGTTTTTTTGGAGAGATAGGGTTTCACCATGTTGGCCAGGCCTAGTCTTGAACTCCTGGCTTCAAGTGATTCGCCCTCCTTGGCCTCCCAAAGTGCTGGGATTACAAGTGTGAGTCACCATGCCCGGCCCAAAGTAGTTTGATGCATAATTGAAAATTGTAATCTTATGACTGTGGATAATGGTGCTGTGTCTTCTGTATGACTCATGATAGCATGGTTGAATGACCCGTTGTACACCATGAAGATACCTTTTTGCTTAAAGACTCAGCTGCTCCTAGTTTGGTCTTCAGCTGTCAAATGTATACGTCCTGATGTAGAGTTATATTTTACTTCTCCCCTGCCTCCCTCTCTCTCTCTCTCTCACAAATCCCTAGGTAGTGTCGCCTGCCTCTGGTGGGACCCTATTCAGCGGTTACTCTTCTCAGGAGCATCTGACAACAGCATCATCATGTGGGACATCGGAGGAAGGAAAGGCCGGACGCTGTTACTTCAGGGCCATCAGTGCGTGACCACTTGTGGGGGTGGGGAAAGAATCCGAGTTAGTGGGGAGCTAGTGAAAGGCATTAATAGTCTGATACCACTTTCTGCAAACCCCACGTTCTAAGATGGCAATTATCATTGATAGGGCTCAGTTCACTTTTAACTGCTTTCTGTCAGCCCCGAGTGTCTGATGTTTAGTAGCAAAAAACTAAACAAAACAAACAAACAAACAAAAAAACAAATGCAGGGCTTTCTTCCTCCTTAGTCCAAAGAGCACTTGCCACTTTTTCTCTCAAGGAGTCACCCTGTTGAAATATCTGATTAAGGCAGGCATAGGATAGAGATGCAGGTGAGGACTTTGACCATGGAAGGTTGCATGTAACATGATACTAAGCTGTTGTTGAGCTGGGAGCCTAACTTGTTTTTTGTTCTTTGTTTTTTTATTCTAAAAGATATTAAATTAAGAAATGTTGTCTAGTTTGACAGTGGAATTCACCTGAGTGATACCATTGTATATTTAGGATCTTGCCCTGTAGCCCTGAAAGAAAAAGAAATACATCTTCACCTTGCTTTCTTTTCTTTCCTTTTTGGCTAGGCTGCAGCTGTTACTATAATCACAGTCAAGCTGAAAATTAGCTGAGGAAACATATTATACACAAGTATAACAGGCCAAGAGCTTGTTTCCTTGGGCATCCTAAGGGGTAGTATGACAGGCATGCAGGAGGGACAGAGGTCTTTACCCCATCTGTGTGTGTCTGTGTGTGTTTGTGTGTGCACACTAGTGATCTTTGTGGTGTTTGACTCCTTGTTCATATGAATTGTGGTCAGTAGGGGAGTTATACCTCCTTCGTTCTTGTTTCTGAACAAGTAGGTAAATCTTATGCATCTGAAAGGGAAATCATGTTGATTGGTCCCAAAAACCATAGCCCTCATCAAATCTCTGGCCTACAATTCTTAATGACCGATTTGAAAGTAGTCATATATTTTATAGAAAGTATCATTCTGTATTATGAGTTATAAAATGCCAAGTAAAGTTTATACTAGAATTCATTTTACCATGCTAAATAGTCAGTGGTAAAATACCACTTGCTGATTTTAATGAGGAGAGCAATTTGAGCCTAAATGAAGACAGTTCCTGTGTTTTTCCGCATGGAGACAAGTGACTGTTGTGTGTGCTGTTTGCAGTGACAAGGTGCAGTCGCTGTGCTACCTTCAGCTCACCAGGCAGCTCGTCTCCTGTTCCTCGGACGGCGGAATTGCAGTGTGGAACATGGATGTTAGCAGAGAAGAGGTAAGAGACAAGGGCAAGTCCAGGCTGATCGGGGGAGACCCCCAGGAACCTGGCTTCTTCTTGGCTTTTCACCCCGCAAGCTGTAAATGCTGGTCCAGGTGCAGACAGTCCCAGCTTCCCCTTCTGCTAATGGGTTATTTCTGACAAGGTCCTTTGTGTCATTTTGCATTGCTTCCTCTGCTCATTTGAGAGTTTCTACCAATGACATGCAGTATATACAATCAGCGTTTAGGCTGGTTCTCAGCCTTGAGCAATACACTGAGATAACACTTTGAGACAGATTTCTGGCATATCCAGTGATTTGGACTGCATAGAGGTCCTCCGAAGCACCATTGTGGTCCCGTAGCATTCCTGTAGGAAACCCTGAGAGATGCATCAGTGACTGCTGTCAGGGACATAGCTAAACACTTGACAGGTTTCTGGGAAAATATATTTCCATTTCTCTGCTTTTACTTCCCATTGAGTTCTAGTTCACTGAGGCCATGTCGACATAGTATTCTTTTCAGGTGACCTAATTTCTAACTTGGTTCGGCCACTAACTAGTTGTGAGACCTTATTTGGTTAAGTGCCTTAATTTCTCTAAGTATCTGTTCCCTCCTACATAAAGTGGAATTGTGGAATGAAATGACTTCTCAGTTGTCTTCCAGTTCTTTAGACAGACAGTCTAATTGTCTAAACAATCTCTCTCTCTCTTTTTTTTTTTTGAGACAGGGTCTTGCTTTGTCACCCAGGCTGGAGTGCAGTGGCATGATCTTGGCTCTCTGCAGCCTCAACCTCCCAGGCTTAAGCGATCCTCCCACTTCAGCTTCCTGAGTAGCTGGGGCTACAGGCATACACTACCATGCACAGCTTATTTTTCAATTTTTTTTTTTTTTTTTTGGTAGAGACAGGGTCTTGCTGTATCGTCTAGGCTGGTCTCAAACTCCTGGGCTCAAGCAATCCTCCTGCCTCAGTCTCCCAAATTGCTGGGATTATAGGCATGAGGCACTGTGTACATTCTCTTTTTTAAATATTTTGAAGAATGCTGCAGTGAATATTCTTGACCTTGTCATTGTGTGATTGATCAATTATTTATTTCAGACAAATTTCTGGAAATAGACCTTCTGGGTCCAAGGATATATACATTCTTAAGGCTTTTTATAGATGTCGTCAAATGATTTCCAATCAAGGTTTCCATTCTCATCTCTGCCTGTACTGTCATTATCTTTCTTTTCTAAGTGACATCTACAACTTACGATGTTGTTAGCAAAAAAGTTGATTCCAGAGAAGATTTTAGATCATGAGGGATGTTAATGACTTATAGTTTAACTTCAGAAATATTTGTTGGGCACCTACAGGGTGTCCTTACAGTCGGGAAACTCAAGTGAATGTATTTAATAAATGGCTTATTGATATTGCATTGCAGTACCTACTGTGTTGCATGACATCACATGATCTGTTCAGTATCCTGTCCTTTATGGCAATATGTTGTTCAGTGTGCTGTGCACCATTGTAATAGACATTATGCGTTGATGCAGAATTCCCACCAGTCCCTGCACATGTGTCTGCTTTGTGTTGTCTCTGATTCTTTGTGAGTCTGATTCTCACTGATTAAACCTTCATTTTTAGCATATTCCAGTAGAAGTGATCAAGGGGCTTTCATCTATTTTTTTTTTAAATGGTGACATTACTCATTTCCAGACTTTATGGCTACTGTACACAAAGATACTTGCCCACAAGAAATGTGTAATCTAGTGGAAGAAATAGACTACCCTATAAATAATAAAATGCAATCCATAATACAGAGACGTACTGATTGTGAGATTTTTTGGTAACTTTGTAAGACAAGTCAGATAGAGGAAATTTGGATTACATGTCTGCTGGTTAATTTCTCTTTTTGAATTTTCTAAAAATTATTTGGTAAGGCTTAGAATATTTTATTATTAAACACAGATACATTGGCTCAATAGTATAGGATGTGGCCAGCGCAGTGGCTCATGCCTGTAATCCCAGCGCTTTGGGAGGCTGAGGTGGGTGGATCACCTGAGGTCAGGAGTTGGAGTCCAGCCTGGCCAACATGGTGAAACCCAGTCTCTACTAAAAAATATAAAAATTAGCCAGGCATGGTGGCAGGTGCCTATAATCCCAGCTACTTGGGAGGCTGAGGCAGGAGAATCACTTGAACCCAGGAGGCAGAGGTTGCAGTGAGCCAAGCTTGCACCACTGCGCTCCAACCTGGGCGACGAGCAAAACTCCATCTAAAAAATATGTATATATATATATAAATTATAGGATGCATAATACTATATTTGCAAAGATTTATTCGAACTGTGTTTTACGTTTATCAGCTACTAGTTATATGCAGCAAGAAAAGCTAGTAAACTGTTCTTGGCTCTTGGCCTATTATTTTTCAGTCTTATTCTGAGAGAGCGGAAAACTCAGAGAAAGGCTGTATTCCCTGGATGATGAGGGGAGGAGACTGTTGGTGCCCAGCACTGCTGGTGGCTTTCCCGAGGGTTTCACAACTTAGATTTTAACCTGCTCTTTTTATCGTTGGTAAATTCTTTTAGAAAAAGTACTTAGAAAGTAGAAGTGGGATTCCTACCGTCAAAGTGCATCACTGTGGAGTGTATTTCTCTATCTAGGGAAAGAAAAAATAGTCCCATCAATCAAGGCATTTCCTGTGTGCACAATTCACTGCGTCTGTAGAAGAGACAGGAAGGCAAATTGTGTCAAAAAGATGCATTATTTTTAGTGGGTTTTTTTGTTTGTTTGTTTTTTAATAACTGAGAAAATGTATTGCAAGGATAAACAGGCTATAATCTATAAGGTTCTGACCCTGCCTTAGGATTTTTGGGCTTTTTTTTTTTTTGAGACGGAGTCTAGCTCTGTCACTCAGGCTGGAGTGCAGTGGTGCGATCTCGGCTCACTGCAACCTTCGCATCCTAGTTTCAAGTGATTCTCCCACCTCAGCCTCCCAGGTATCTGGGGTGACAGGCTTATGCCACCATACCTGTACCTGGCTAATATTTTATATTTTTAGTAGAGACAGGGTTTCACCATGTTGACCAGGCTGGTCACGAGCCCCTGACCTCAAGTGATCCGCCCGCCTCAGCTTCCCAAAGTGCTGGGATTACAGGCATGAGCCACCGTGCCTGGCCTTTAGGGTTTTATAGGACTTTCTTAGACCAGGGCATAGAGGATTGATCCCAGATCCTCTAGCTCTGCAATGCTTGCCTGGAATTTCTCTCCAAGTCCCCTGTCAATACTAACTGGAGCATTTACTACCCACTGTGGCTTCAACCACTACGCTGTCGAGTTGGAAGCAGATTTGCTTCCCTGCCAGATCATAATGAGAAGGGATCCTTTTTTGGAAGTAGGCACAAAATATAAATGAGGAAGTAACAATAATTAGAATGAATCTTCTTGAAAAGAGAACTTTATTTTAAAACTAGTAGGTTACAGAATGTATAGCATTTTATATACTAGTGCAGTGTGACGAGTGCAGCAGTTAGTGGCAGTAGAGCAATGGAATTTATTCTTGCCATATCTTTGTTCAGATTTGGCAGGTGCAAAAAGATGGAGAAAAGAGAGTGAAGCAATTATAATAACTGATTAATACTCTCTCTTGCTCTTCTCAGCACAAAACGAAAGCTTCTTCTTAGATAATAAGTATAAGGATGGCTCATGTTAGCTTACAGTGTAATGCTATATTCTGAGTATTAAGTGAAATAAAGTTAGGGGTATCTCTTATATTAAAATATGTTCTAAAAAGCTATTTGTTTCTGATTTTGATTTTAATTTGTTATCTCAAATTTTTTTAAGCATATATTTTTGTCACTGCAACCTCTGCCTCCTGGGCTCAAGCGATTCTCGTGCCTCGGTCACCTGAGTAGCTGGGACTGCAGACATGTGCCACCATGCCTGGCTAATATCTGTATTTCTAGTAGAGACAGGGTTTCACCATGTTGGCCAGGCTGGTCTCGAACTCCTGGCCTCAAGTGATCCACCTGCCTCAGCCTCCCAAAGTGCTGGGATTACAGATGTGAGCAACTGCGCCCAGCCAAAGTAATATTCTTTCTTAAACCTGTAAACAGAATCATGCTCCCTGAGGCAAGAGCTCAGATCTGTAGGTTGCCCTAGCCCAGGACCATGTTTGGAGACCCCCATAGGTAGAAGTGGATAGGCCTCATATACAGAGGCTGTGTGGAGCATAGGGATACACAGAGAGAGGCAGGCTGGACTCCTGGATCTGCCCAGGATCTGCGTGTACTCATTGACAGTTGCTTTAATCTCTGAGCCAGTTTCTTTGCCTGTAAAATAGGGATAGTGTTGCTCGGTATCTCCTAGGACATAATGAAAATTAAGTAGAATAAAAAAACATGAAACACTTGGCACATTGCCTGGACTTAGATGTCACTTATTGTATGCCACGTAGTATTCTGAACACTTCCCAAATATTAACTCACTTAATCCTCACAACCTTATGAGGTATATACTACTGTTATCCCATTTTACAGATGTATTAGTCCATTCTCAGGCTGCTAATAAAGATATGCCTGAGACTGGGTAATTTATAAAGGAAAGAGGTTTAATGGACTTACAATTCCACATGGCTGGGGAGGCGTCACAATCATGGTGGAAGGTGAAGGAGGAGCAAAGTCATGTCTTACATGGAAGGCAAGAGGGCATGTGCAGGGGAACTCCCCTTTGTAAAACCATCAGATATTGTGAGACTTACTCACTACCAGGAGAATAGCATGGGAAAAACCCACCCCCATGATTCAATTACATCCTACTGGGTCCCTCCCATGACACATGGGGATTATTACAATTCTAAGTGAGATGTGGGTAGGGACACAGAGCCAGACCATAACAGTGGATAAGGAAACCTAGGCACAGAGAAGTTGAGTCACGTGCCTGAGGACACTGCTGACAAGTGGCAGAGCCAGGATTGGAAGGCAAGAGATCTGACTCCTAGACTTTGTGACGACTTGCTACGAACCACTTGCTATGAACCACTTGCTATGACTATTAGAAATGAATTGAGAGGCCAGACACCGTGATTCATGCCTGTAATCCCAGCATTTTAGGAGGCTGAGACAGGTGAATCCCCTGAGGTCAGGAGTTCGAGACCAGCCTGGCCAACATGGTGAAATCCCAACCCTACTAAAAATACAAAAAATAGCCAGGCATGGTGGCAGACACCTGTAATCTCAGCTACTTGGGAGGCTGAGGCAGGAGAATCACTTGAACCCAGGAGGCGGAGGTTGCAGTGAGCCAAGATCACGCCATTGCATTCCAGCCTGGGTGACAGAGCGAGGCTCCATCTCAAAAAAAAAAAAAAAAAAAAGAGTTGAGAATTTAGGCCAGGCACGGTGACTCACGCCTGTAATCCCAGCACTTTGGGAGGCTGAGGCGGGCAGATCACTTGAGGTCAGGAGTTTGAGACCAGCCTAACCAACATGGTGAAACCCCATCTCTACTAAAAATACAAAAAAATAGCTGGGTGTGGTGGTGGGCACCTGTAATCCCAGCTACTCAGGAGACTGAGGCAGGAGAATTGCTTGAACCCGGGAGGCAGAGGTTGCAGTGAGCCGAGATCATGCCAACGCACTCCAGCCTGGGCAACAAAGCAAGGCTCTGTCTCAAAAAAAAAAAAAAAAAATTGAGAATTTAAAAATGGCTTATCTGTATTTATTTTTAAAATCCTTGCTTGAAATTGAATCACTTGAAAACATTAAAATATTAGGAAATCCATTGATGTACTGCTTAACAGACATTGCTGGAGATAGAGGCCTTTTGTGTTAAAGGAATGCTCTGGGTAATTGAAACATAATTCAAATGCCAGCCCCTTATGAAGACAATCACTTTGATGAAAATGTACAGCTGGGCACAGTGGCTCACGCCTGTAATCCCAGCACTTTGGGAAGCTGAGGCAGGCAGATCACTTGAGCCCAGGAGTTCAGCCTGAGCAGCTTGGAGAAACCCTCTTTGTACAAAAAATTTGCTGGGTGTGGTGGTACATATCTCTAGTCCCAACTACTAGGGCAGCTGAGAGGAGGGAGGATCGCATGAGACAGAGGTTGAGGCTGCAGTGAGCCATGATTGTGCCCCTGCAGTCCAGTCTGTGTGACAAAGCGAGACCCTGTCTCAAAAAAAAAAGTGTAAATTTAATGTAATTTACTAATTTCTTGATGATGCAGTTTCACCATTCTGACCACAAATGTTGCATGTGTGTTTCATGGTAATACAATTTTGTATTTGTGTAGAAAACTATTTCATGTAGGACTGAGAACGTTTTTCCTGAAACTATGTTCTTGCCTTCAATTCTACCCACCTTAGTCCCTTTAATCTGTTATGTCCTAGGAAACAAATTTTAAAAATTTGTGGATCAAACCAGGCCAATAATGTCATAAATGAGAGGCTAAGGGGGGAAAATGCAGACATTTCATTCAGTGATTTTTCTTTATTTTTTTTAACCAAATTTTAACTCAAGAAAAATAGAAAATTTAATCCTCCCTCTGTTTTGGTTGAGAGCGAGATTTCTGAATTCCAGACCAGTAAAGTTTAAGATTTTTATTTTAAGTAATACTTAATAGACACTGTGTGTTCAAGGAAAATAGAAAATCCAGCCATTAACTGTAGACAAAAGAAAGAAGTGAATTTCTAAAGCACTGAGCAATAATGGGCAAGTTTGCAAGTCAGGTCTTTTTTACACTTAATGTTTTTGTGCACTAAATTAAACATCGAATTCCCTGCTGCTAAGTATGGAAAGTATAAACGGGAACAAACTTTCATCTATTAGTCTGTTTCCATTAAAGCCTTCATTGTGTCGTCCTTAAAGCATATTAGCCCTTACTGAAGTTGTTTGGAGATGGCTTAGTGAATACATTTTTGTGCTGCTTTTTGGTCCATGTGACTGTGGTTTTGCAAGAGTTACGCTTGGGCATGTCCCAGACATAAGAACTTTCCTTCTTCCGGCAATTAAATACCCTGTGCCATTGGCAGCACAGCCTGCTGTGTCTCTCTTAGGGACAGTGTCCCCAGGTAGTATCCCCACACATCACCAGCCTCCATCACCACCTGCCTTGCATTGATCACAGAAACAAAGAAGTAATTCCATATCAAGAAAATAATCTTTCTCACATAGATACACATCTCTTTATTCTTCTTTCATCCCTTCTCATCTCCAACATTCCCCAGTTATTTAAGGAAACCTTTCTTCTATCTCAGCCTATTTCAGTCTACTTGTGAGTGCCTTCTGCACCCCCACCTCAAAAAAAGGCCTTTCTAATGTCTGTTATATGTAGAAATATTTCTAGTGACCGATCTAAAATAAGAAATAGGAAGGCCAAAAGTTTTGATGCAATAGGAGAGAAAATGAAGAACTAGGGGCACCCATCGTTCAAACCACCAAATATATTAATATATATTTTAGAAAAAATATTTTCTACTATTTTTGTTGCACATATATAATGTTAAGTGATTGGGGTTAAACAGGCTTTTTTTTTTTTTTTTTTTTAGACGGAGTTTCACTCTTGTCGCCTAGGCTGGAGTGCCGTGGTGCAATCTCTGCTCACTGCAACCTCCACCTCCCAGTTTCAAGCGATTTTCTCTCCTCAGCCTCCTGAGTAGCTGGGATTATAGGCATAGGCATGTGCCACCACGCCTGGCTAATTTTGTGTTTTTAGTAGAGATGGGGTTTCACTACATTGGCCAAGCTGGTCTTGAACTCCTGACCTCAGGTAATCCGCCTGCCTTGGCCTCCCAAAGTGCTGGGATTACAGGTGTGAGCCACTGCGCCCGGCCTAAACAGGCTTTTAGCAGGTTTGTCTTAGAATTGAGTATAGTTTGTAATTTTTTGTTTAGAGAAATATTTTCTAAGTTTTTATTTTGTTTTGTTTTGTTTTTTGAGACAGAGTCTTGCTCTTGTCGCCCAGACTAGGGTGCAATGGCATGATCTTGGCTCACTGCAACCTCCGCCTCCTGGGTTCAAGTGATTCTTCTGCCTCAGCCTCCCAAGTAGCTGGGATTACAGGTGTGTGCCACCACACCCGGCTAATTTTTGTATTTTTAATAAAGACGGGGTTTCACCGTGTTGGCCAGGCTTGAACTCCTGACCTCAGGTGATCCATCTGCCTCGGCCTCCCAAAGTGCTGAGATGACAGGCGTGAGCCACCACACCTGGCCTATTTTCTAAGTTTTTTAACAAATTAATTTTGAGACTGCTTCCTCTGTTTCAACAAAAATGCATTAAAAACCTACTGTGTGACAGGCTGTGGCTAGATCAAGATGAATAATACCAAAAAGTAACTCATTGGTTAGAGGGGAGAAGAAACGTGCACCAAGAGTTCCAGTACCAGAGCTTGCTGCTCAGTGAAGCTGCAGGATGCCTGTGTGGCCCCAGGAGGGAGGGACGTGCTGCTGTGGCTGGGAAGGGAAGGGGGGCAAATCTGCCGGCATAGTCCCTACCCAGAGCAACTAGGTGATGGGGTTTTGTCAGATCTCTTCTGTTAGTCACCTGTGACCCCGCAAGCCTTTCCAAGTGGTAGGTCACCAGATTCTGCTGCATGCACTGGGTTTCTACTCAACTGGATTTAGAGTTCAAACATCTTTGGCATAAAAAAGAAATACATAAAGACAACCCTTAAGGGTTCACAATAAAAACTGATTTACTCCCTCCTATCTATAGATTACAAATTGAACACCCTGTAACCATGGCTAAAATTGCCATGATTACTCGGCACACAGTTAAGGCTGGGCGCAGTGGCTCGTGACTGTAATCCCAGTGCTTTGTGGGGCTGAGGCAGAAGGATTATTTGAAGCCAGGAGTTCAAAACAAGCCTGGGAAATATAGTGAGATCCTGTCTCTACAAAAAAATAAAAATAAAAAATTAGCTGGGCATGGTGACACTCACCTGTGGTCCCAGCTATTCGGGAGGCTGAGGCAGGAGGATCATTTGAGCCTGAGAGATCAAGCTTGCAGTGAGCCATGTTCACGACACTGCACTCGAGCCTGAGTGACAGAGTGAGACCCTGTCTCAAAAAAGACCCCCCCCCACACACAATTAAACATAATATTGAATATGACAACTAGCTAGAATATTTCGTGGAATTAAAAAGAAATGCTAACTGGCCGGGCATGGTTGCTCATGCTTATAATCCCAGCACTTTGGGAGGTCAGGAGTTTGAGACCAGCCTGGCCAACATGGCAAAACCCCATGTCTACTAAAAATACAGAAATTAGCCTGGAGTGGTAGTGCATGCCTGTAGTCCCAGCCACTTGGGAGCCTGAGGCAGGAGAGTCACTTGAATCCAGGAGGCAGAGGTTGCAGTGAGCCAAGATCACACATACTGCACTCCAGCCTGGGAGACCAAAAAAAAAAAAAAAAGAAGAAAAGAAATACTAACCTTGGCAAGGTCTAGAACTGTTGTATTAATTTTGAAACATGGGAGTAAATATAGACACACTGATGGTGGCTTTGACTTTCTGCTCCCCCAGGCTCCTCAGTGGTTGGAAAGTGATTCTTGTCAGAAATGTGAGCAGCCATTTTTCTGGAACATAAAGCAGATGTGGGACACCAAGACGCTGGGGCTAAGACAAGTGAGTAGCCACTGTCGAGTCATCTCTGGCTTGATTGTGTATTTCACTATTTGCATACTTAATCTGGGGTTTTTTTGAAACACACTTTGTTTTTGCAAATGCTATTAATTCCTACATTTTCTATGTCTTTATCATTGTGTGACTAACAATGAGGAAGACCTTTCCCAGGGCCAGTGAGACTGTTACCTCACTTTTCCATTGCTTGTCCTGTATTGGAAAGGCAGGGGTGCGTAGAAAATCCTGAGAGCCTATTTTTAAACAGATAAAAGATCTTTCAGTTTAAGACTATTACTTATTAAAGTCAGTGTTTTATGCTAGCCAAGAACAAAATTAGAATAAAGTCATACAGTTATATACCTTATGCTGTCACAAACAGATAAAAAGTAATAATTTAGTCCTCACTTGAATGCCTGACCCTATGAGTTTTAGATTATTTTAAATTGTTCCCTTATAAGCATACCTGGAATATTTTTATTAAGCATGTTTTGAGTACTGTTTTTTAAATTTTTTAATTAAAGAAATATGTTCCAAATAGCCTGTAGATTTTAAAGGTGCTGTTAAAGGATTCTTGTAATACTAAAGTTCTACAAAAAAAAAAAAAAGCAGGTAAGTAAAAAAGAATGCTGATTTTATTCCTTTTATTATTGGTTGCATCTCTATGAGCGATTAGCCTAAAGTTTGTATGTGTTAATAAACTTTTTTGGCCCTGCATGGTGGCTCAGGCCTGTAATCCCTGCACTTTGGGAGGCCGAGGCAGGTGGATCACCCGAGGTCAGGAGTTTGAGACCAGCCTGGCTAACATGGCGAAACCCTGTCTCTCCTAAAAATACAAAAATTAGCTGGGTGTGGTGGCGGACGCCTGTAATCCCAGCTACTCGGGAGGCTGAGGCAGGAGAATCACTTGAACCCAGGAAGCGGAGGTTGCGGTGAGCCAAGATCACGCCACTGCACTCCAGCCTAAGTGACAGAGCGAGACTCCATCTCAAAAAATAAATTAATTAATAAATAAAATCTAAAAAATTTTACTCAGAGATACTCCACAGTAAGGTCTCATATGAGACTGGCAGGCAAGAAGGGAATTATTAGTGCTCAGACCATTATAAAGCTCTGAAATAGCACCTGAGTTCTGTCTGTCATTAGCCAAGTTCTCACAATGCATGGCTGATGGTAATTAGTGCAGTATAATTAATAGGTGAAGTATTCCCTACTTCTAAAGGAAACACAGAGAAATGGATTTTACTTCCATTTATTAACAGTTAACAGAAGAGAGAAGAGGTGCTGGTCACTAAACTTTTGGCGGTAAAAGAATATGTCAAAATCAGTAATAATAATTGGACTATTTTGTAATGTTCTTGAGGCTTATTTCCAGAATCACAGTTTGAGAGATTTTAGAAAATAGCAAAATACATGATTATGGGCATTAGTTTCTTAATGAGAGCATAGTGCATTTAAAACTTATTTTAGACCGGGTATGATGGCTTATGCCTGTAATCCCAGCATTTTGGGAGGCCAATGTGGAAGGGTGGCTTAAGCCCAGGAGTTTGAAACCAGCCTGAGCAACATGATGAGACCCCGTCTCTATAAAAATAAATAAATAAAACTTATTTTAAAACCCTTTAGGCTGGGCATGGTGGCTCACACCTGTAATCCTAGCACTTTGGGAGGCCGAGGCAGGAGGATCACTTGAGCCTAGGTGTTCAAGACCAGCCTGGACAACATAGCAAGACCCTGTCTCTGCAAAAAAATCAAAAAATTAGCCAGACATGGTGGCAGACACGTGTAGTGCCAGCTACTTGGAAGGCTGAGGTGGGAGGATCGCTTGAGTCTGGGAGGTCAAGGCCGCAGTGAGCTGTATGCCATTGCACCTTTGCATTCCAGTCTAGGTGACAGAATGAGACCCTGTCTCTGAAAAAAAAAATAATAATAATGCCTTTTTTATGATGGAGGAATAAATTTTTCTTTCCCTAAATCTACAGTGATTAGGCTCCTAAATGAACTAAATTTGTTGTTAATAATATTGTTTGTTAACATGTAGACAGATAATATGAATGAATGAAAAGCAACATTTGACCAGTACAGCAAAGTTTTTTGGAAATCCTTGACTAGTGTCAGAATTGTCTATCTTGTGAGTGTTAATTGATACATTGAATTGGGGTGATTGCAATTCAAGGCATATCCTCCCCGCTCCTGTTGCCCTACTTTAGAGGGAAACCATGTGCTTTAAAGCAAAAGCTAGGCCAGGCGCAGTGGCTCACGCCTGTAATCCCAGCACTTTGGGAGGCTGAGGCAGGTGGATCATGAGGTCAGGAGTTCGAGACCAGCCTGACCAAGATGGTGAAATCCCATCTCTACTAAAAATACAAAAATTAGTCAGGCGTGGTGACAGGCACCTGTAATCCCAGCTACTTGGGAGGCTGAGGCAGGAGAATTGGTAGAACCCGGGCGCCAGAGGTTGCAGTGAGCCGAGATCACGCCACTGCACTCCAGCCTGGGTGACAGAGTGAGACTCTGTCTCAAAACAAAACAAAAAGCGAAAGCTAACACCCTGTTTTCCTCCTCCCGGTCACCTGTGAAGCATCACTGCAGGAAATGCGGGCAGGCTGTCTGCGGGAAGTGCAGCAGCAAGCGCTCAAGTTACCCAGTCATGGGCTTCGAGTTCCAAGTCCGGGTTTGTGATTCTTGTTACGACTCCATCAAAGATGAAGAGTGAGTGTTTGCATATTTTTGTCTCATTGCCTCTTATTACATCTGTCTAATGGTTCTCTGAAATGTGAAGAGCTTCAGAAGTGATAGGATATGTTTAGCCATGTGTTTGTTTCTCCTGAATTTCCTAAGCCATTTTATTTGTTGTTTGTTTTTTGAGACAGAGTCTTGCTCTGTCACCCATGCTGGAGTGCAGTGGCGTGATCTCGGCCCACTGCAACCTCTGCCTCCCGGGTTCAAGCGATTCTCCTGCCTCAGCCACCCGAGTAGCTGGGATTACAGGCGCCCCCCACCACCTGGCTAATTTTTGTAGTTTTAGTAGAGATGGAGTTTCACCATGTTGGCCAGGCTGGTCTCGAACTCCTGACCTCAAGTGATCTACCCACCTTGGCCTCTCAAAGTGCCAGGATTACAGGCGCGAGCCACCGTGCCTGGCCCCTAAGCCATTTTTGAAGAGAGGACCTGCCCTAGCTTTATGACTTAAGACCATGACTATGCATCTTAAGTTGCCCCTCTGACTGGGCAGCTTTCTCCTGAACACAGTGAGGAATGCTAAGTTACATGGTCCAGTAACTGAGTGGATACCCTGAGCCTCTGCATCCCACTGGCTGCTATGCAGGGATAAGTCCATGCACCTGTGGATGGCAGTGGTTGAGCTGGTTCTCTATAAAAGTATCCAGTGCCCAGACCTTTGTTCACACATGCATGTAAATTTACTGGGAAAACTCTAGAGACCAATGTTCTTTCTTCCACAGAAATCTGGCCTAGCAGTCTATTCTTAAATTGCTCTTTGTGTGTAAGACACATCTGTTTGATACCCCACTCTGCCCTGACTTTTAGGCAAATCCGTTAGGACAGAACCACTATTTTCTTTCCTTCCCTTTGAATCATCTTTTAAAGCAGCAGAGGCAAATGTTGGCAGAGGTCCACATTGGAAAGCTAGTGCATCACGACTGGTGTTGGTAAATGAACTAGTGATGGGATTGGGGCAGCTGGGCTTTGAAGCGGGTGCTGTAAGAGGCACTGCTCCTGTGCATGGCAGAGGTTTCAGGGAAAACGGCAGCTCTCTGATGTTTTGCCCATGCTGTATGATTTTATTCAATGCAGTTCTTCTTTTATATTGAAGATTCTTGTTTTTATATCTAGGAATGTATCAGCCTTTCCAGTAAAAAAAAAAAATCAGTTATTTTGGGAATTTTATAAAACAATCTTGTGATTTAACATGCTTTCTGTCATCATTAAATTATAAGGTTAGTTTTCAAAACCATAGCCACAATTTTAGGAGCAAATTTTAACACTATTATCATAAGCATTTACTTTTTTTTTTTTTTTTTTTTTGAGACTGAGTCTTGGTTGATCACCTGGGCTGGAGTGCAGTGGTACAATCTCGGCTCACTGCAGCCCCCACCTCCCAGGTTCAAGCGATTCTCCTGCCTCAGCCTCCCGAGTAGCTGGGATTACAGGCGTGTGCCACCACACAGAGCTAATTTTTATATTTTTAGTAGAGACGGGGTTTCACCATGTTGACCAGGCTGGTCTTGAACCCCTGACCTCAAGTGATCCACCCGTCTCGGCCTCCCAAAGTGCTGGGGGTACAGACATGAGCCACTGCACCTGGCCATATTTGCTTATTTTATGTTGCTAAAAAAGCTTACCCCACTAGCTCTAGGTACAGTCAAGTAAATTTTCAGTGATCTCTTTTCTCTTGTTAGTCGGACTTCTCTAGCGACCTTTCATGAAGGAAAACATAACATTTCCCACATGTCCATGGACATTGCCAGGGGACTGATGGTGACCTGTGGGACCGACCGCATTGTAAAGGTAAGCTGGCTAATTGTCTGTCAGCATCTCAGTTGAGATTGCCTATTACCATGCTG
Organism: Homo sapiens; assembly: GCF_000001405.40. NCBI lineage: Eukaryota > Metazoa > Chordata > Mammalia > Primates > Hominidae > Homo > Homo sapiens. The sequence goes on along the minus strand of NC_000002.12, from coordinate 223,880,067 downwards.
TGAATGTGCAGGAGACAGTCACTCTTTCTGACTGGCAAGCTTTATAAGCAAATGATTGCCAGTTTAAAACCTTGAGTAACAAATTGCTTGCCTCTGAGTTTCCATGCATTCATTGGTGGTCAGTCCCAGTGGCACCTCCCTCTGCAGTGTCTGTCTGGCAGAGTGAGTCTGGCACCCTGTATATCCCTATGGGTGGAGTTGACCTCTGGGTTCTCCCTTGCTGGCCTGGGTCCTCACCCCTGACCCATCTCAAGACATTCCTACGCTTGCCAATGTTCCTTTTCATCCTGGGCAGAATGCGTCCTCAGTATAAGGAATAACCACACATTTTAACAATTAAATCCCTGGGTCACTAACACATAAATTGAAATGAAGTGTTTTATACTTAGTACCACTCTTTTTTTTTTTTGAGATGGGTCTTGCTCTGTTGTCCAGGCTGGAGTGCAGTGGCACAGTCACTACTCACTGCGGCCTTCACCTTCCAGGCTCAAGCAATCTTCCCACCTCAGCCTTCCAAAGTAGCTAGAACTACAAGTGCCTGCCACCAGGCTTGGCTAATTTTGGGGGGATTTTTCATAGAGATTGGGTCCTACTATGTTGCCCAGGCTGGTCTCAAACTCCTCGGCTCAAGCGATCCTCCCATCTCAGGCTCCCAAAGTACTGGGATTATAGGCATGATCCACCATGCATGGCCTAAGTACCACTCTTCAGTGGTGAAACTGAGATATTCTATATTCCTGATGGGCTTTTCTAAAAAAAAAATTGAATTTATACTAAAACATTATTATGATTTAATTTTTATGTGTAAAGACACTACCTATATGCTTTATTCACATTTTAGTGAACTACATTGTTTTATCTTTCTGAAAATCTTTTTGTTTGAGACAAGGTCTCGCTCTGTCACCCAGACTGTAGTGTAGTGGTGTGACCTCGGTTCAGTGCAACCTCTGCCTTCTGGGCTCAGGTGATCCTCCCACCTCAGCCTCTTGAGTGGCTGGGACCACAGGCATGTGCCACCACACCAGGCTAATTTCTGTATTTTTTTTGGTAGAGACAAGGTTTTGCCACGTTGGCCAGGCTGGTCTTGAACTCCTGGGCTCAAGTGCTACACCCGCCTCGGTCTCCCAAAGTGTTGGGATTACAGGCGTGAGCCACCGTGCCCAGCCACCTGGCCTCTTTCTATAAATCTTAAGGAGGTGTTATGAAAGAGGAGAATGAGAAAATTCATTAATTTGACACCTTTTCAGGTTTAACAGTCGTTTGTTTGTCTGTGTTGACTCTTGCCGTTAGACCTGGTTATCACTGCTGCCTTTTCTGCGTTTCTTCCTTCCTTGTAGATCTGGGACATGACACCTGTGGTGGGCTGCAGTCTGGCGACTGGGTTTTCTCCGCACTGATCTGAGAGCTGGGCGGCGTCCACACCTAAGAACAGCAGCTCCACCAAATGAAGTCCCTCTCACGCAGCTCCACAGCGCTGTCTCGTGAATGGACAGTAGCCACTTACAAACAAATCAACATTTTTAAAAAGAAAATGTAAAGGTGTGTTTTGGGGCATTTGTGGAACTTACCCATGGGGACTAATATGGAAAAGGTCTGTCCATAGTGGTTCCCTGAAGACTGGAATTACTTCAGCAAAACTTCCCCATGAACAGCTAATGTGTAGTGAAAGAATGAGCTAGCAAATGAGTTTTAGCGGGGACAAAAAATCAAACAAAAAAGTGAATGCTTAGAACCTTCTCAAAGCAGTCACAAGTACAGACACTTCACTTAGCCTAGGGGGCCTTCCAGGGTTCTTGTGGCTGTTGTCAGAGCAGGAGCTGGGGGAGGGAAGACTTGTTCTCTCTTTCTTGAGGGGTGGCATTAGGAACTTACGAAACCAGAGACCTTTCCCTATGACTTGGCAGTATGTGAATATCCTCTACACTTAGTTATTGATAAACTTCTTAAAGAGATCTGTTATTTTCAGGTAGTGCCATAATCTGCACTTAGCATTGGCTTGCTTCAGTTGTTTCTCTTCCCAGCCAGTATGCCACAGGTGAACTTTCGGGGTTGTCATTAAGTAAGTTGTGAAATTTCTGTAATAACAAAGGCAGTCCGCATTCTTCCCTTTCCCCCAAATTCCTAGGGCAAAACTTTTTTATGGTGCTGTTAACATGGGAGTCACACAAGCCGCCTGACTTTTTCTCATTGCCATTAGTAATGACTGATGGAAAACCCAGCCACCACTGTGATGCGAAATGATCAGTCTGTTGCCTGAAACAGCCCAGTCCTCTTAACTGAAACAGCATTCTACTTCTTGTTCCAAGATGAGCCTCTGCAATATTCTGGCAATTTAATATACCCCCTACAAAAGCACTCCACAGCTTTTACACTATTTTGACTTTGAGTTATAACTAGTATTATTCATGTTTTCATAAAAAGAAGTTAGTGACCCAGAGCTATAATCATCCATCAAGTCTTCCACAATAATTCCCAACTCATAAATTGCTTTCCTAACAACTAGCAAAAGCTATTGTTCATAATGGCATTTCTAAAGCTTTTGGGCACTGTGTACCAGGATGAGGAAGAGAAGAAATGAGGAGCCTGTCTTTTAATATTCCAGTATTTGTGTGTTTGATTTTTTTTGACAACAGTACATATATCTATTTCTCTAGGGATATGGAAGTAAGTGGAGAAGGGCCTACCTTTTTAAAGGACAAATATAAAAATAGCAACAGTATCTTTGCTAATCTTACTAATAGATATTGATTAAAAAAAAAAAACCTCAGTACTGCATCACTGTGTTGGGATCATACCAGGACAATAGGGTCATTCCATATGATAAAACTAAAGGACTAAATTTGTTTTATAATGATGTCTTAGAGGGACTGAAAGGTTTAAGGAGGCGATCAAACTAAAATGTCTTAATGGCTGTGTGACACACGTAAGGAAAGGAAAGGGGGTCACGCACATCATGTACTGGAATGATCTGCATTAAACATAGACTTGTCTTCAGAAATAAGACTGAAGGGTTTTGTTGTTCCTTAGAGTTTTCGTGTTACATCACCTAAAGAGATTTCTTTTAAAAACTTTCTAGACTCTTTGCAAAATGTATATTACTAACATAGTTTGGAAGAAAAATTGAGTAGTGGTAAGTTTTGTTCAAGCACAATGTTGAATGTTAAGCTTCCTGTATTAATTTTAGTTCAGTTAATGGTTCAGCCCATACAAAGGTGCTATCCTAGGGATTTTATGAATTCCTGAAAGGAAAATAGAATATGATCAATTCCTTGCCCTGTGGAAGAGTGCAGAACTGTGGTTTTGTTTTCCTTTGACTTCTGTAAAATGTGACCGTTTGACATCTGTGGTAGATTGAACGGAATATCACAGCTGCTGAGTTTACTCCATAGCTTTCAAACCTTTTTTATTTTAAGAAATTCTTGAAAAACCCTATGTTCCATGGGAACATAAAGTTATTATAGTGCCTCCTAAGGGGTTAATATAAATCAAGGAGGAAGTTTATATTTAAGGAAGAATTGGAGTGACGTATCTTAGAAAAGGAAAGGCTGATGTTTCCATATAGCTTGCTCTCCACCAGGCCTATCATTTTTCTTTTTAGAGACAAACGTGACAGGCTAGTCTTGTCTCTCTCATATGCTAGGTAGCAAATGGGGTGATATTTTTATAGAAGTGGGCAAAAATTATTTTCTCAATTTTACTGAGTAGGCACAGAAGAAAAGTACAGATAGGCTGATGGTTATTGCCTTATTTTGACTGCATTTCTCTTAAATGGATCATTTAAATTAGTTCTTCAAGTAACAGTTTACTGGTTGTTCCATTCCTGAATATGCAGGCTAATTTGTACAGATAGGGATTAAGGAATACAGACTATTAGAGAAGATCCTTATATTTACATCTAGTATATATGTGGTAAGGAAATGCCGATTCTTCATTATAAACAAGTTTTAAAATTGTTCTTTCTTAGTTCAAATGATAGCAATACCCCTATAGCATTAGGTAGAAACAAATTATTCATTACATCGTAAATCTCTTTACTATGTCCTAGCTCTGTCCTGCTACCTAAAGGATATAAAGAAATACTATTGCTCTAGAATGTATTACTTTGTTCTCCCATGAAAGAATTCAGTTTGTTAGTACCTATATTTTTAAACTGGTGAAACTGACCCAAATATGTAATAAATACCATAGTAGCTCAGACCCAAGGAGATATTTTTCTAAAATCAGTTTTCGTTAAAGTACTTCTACTTCCGTTATTGGATATGGTATCTCCTAAAGTGTAAAAAAAATCTGTTACTATATAGTGATAAACCATCTGCTCATCGTAAGTGTAAGGCTTAACAAATAAGTAATACATGCTATATTTATTCAAGTGTCTATTGCTTAATTGTTAATTGTGAGCAGATTTATTGAATGCCTATTCTATTTTCTGCAGTTTACAATACAATAACTCTTTGAGTAAGTTGAAGTTTAATTGTGCAACAAATTTGTATTAGAGTACAATTTAAAGTGTTTTTCTCTATAGCCTTTTTTGACTGGGGAAGCAAGGGGTAATGTTAATTAGTACACTTTGTTCTTGTACTAGCTATGTTTCTATAAGATATGGTGCCCTGTGTATCCCAGAGATGCTAGAAAACTGTTCTTTGCTCCTATTTGTGGGTTCTGTTTTTGTGGGTTTTTTTTTTTGAGAAAATGTACACAATAAAACATTCCTTGCTTGTTACTGTGTTTGCCTAATATCACTTTTGTTGTAGTCAGCCTGGACGTAGGGCAATAACAGTAGCAACCATTTATTCAGCACCCTCTGTGTGCTGGGTGCTTTCACTACATTATCTTACTCAATCCTGGCAACACTTGGGCAAGGCATCATTCCTCCCATTTTACAGATGAGAAAACCAAGAGAATGTGTGTTATTAAGTCTGCCTTTCTGTCTTGAAAACACATGCCTTCTTCCTGCCTCTGGCCTGAATGTGCTAGCATGTCATTTGTGCTGTCTGTAAGGGTGGTGGGTATTACTGTCTCTGCCGCTTGAGGTAGCAGTCAGCATAGTGCAGGATATTTAGGCGCTCTGACTACACAGAGCTATCTAGTGATAACAAGATCAAGCTCTACTTCTCCTCAGCAGCTCAGTTTTGTGAGTGAACACGTGTGGTTCAGACCCAGAAGAACTGATACCTCAACTAAACCAGAGATTGATTTAGAAACCAGAAAGGCAGTGAATAGTATGTTTTTCAAAATAAATATGGCTTTCTTTTCTCTCATCATCAAAATATTATCTTATTATAATAAAAAGAAAAGGAAGCTGGGCGCGGTGGCTCACGTTTGTAATCCCAGCACTTTCGGAGGCTGAGGTGGATCACGAGGTCAGGAGTTCCAGACCAGCCTGGCCAAGATGGTGAAACCCTGTCTCTACTAAAAATACAAAAAATTAGCCAGGCATGGTAGCAGGCGCCTGTAATCCCAGCTACTCAGGAGGCGAGGCAGGAGAATCGCTTGAACTCGGGAGGCGGAGGTTGCAGTGAGCTGAGATCGTGCCACTGCACTCTAGCCTGGGCAACAAGAGCGTGACTCCATCTCAATAAAATAATAATAATAAAAAAGGAAAAGAAAAAGATAGAACCAAAAAGTATAAAACAAGTTGTTTTTAAAATCATCTCATCCCACCACCTGGAGAAAACACCATTAAACTTATCCTGTATATCTTTCCAATGTTTTTATAAATGTCTCCTTACATATGTAACACACACTTAGAGATACATTGTTTTAATGGGACCATACTTGTTTTCCCACTTGATACATTATGGATAGTTTGCCCGTGTCAAAAAGTAGAACTCCATGTTAGTATTTTTTATGGCTGTGTAGTTGCAGTAGACATTTGCTCCTGCCATCATCTGGACACATGTTGGGATCCCACGTCTCCATTTGAGGTCAAGAAAGGCCCTTGTAACTTGCTTTAGCAAATGAAACGTGGGCAGAAGCTCTTTACTGCAGGTGAGCCTCTGGTACCATGACACTTTCTTCCATGCCCCTCATGAAGCATGTGTTGGTGAAGTGTGACGCTAAGCCATTCTACAGATCACAACCGCTCTAGGACTGCAGTGGACTTTGCATGATCGAGAAATAAATCATTGTTTTAGCCCACTGTGGTAGGGGTGTGTGGTGTGTGTGTCAGGGATGGGAGAGTGGCTAGGGATTTGTGTGTGTGTGTCTTACAGCATAATACTAGCATGTATAGCAGTATCCCATTGTCCTATGTGGCTAAGCCATCATGCATTTTACCAATCTCATAAAATTAGATTATATATGTTTAGATTATCATTGTAATTAAAACACTAAATATTTTTCAAATTTTTACATTTAAAAATATACAAGCTCAGCATGCTTATATGTTTATCTTGCCCACTTTTCCAATTATTTTCTGAGGATAAAGTCTTAAAAAGTGGGAATTGCTAGGTCAGAATATGCATGTTATTAAGTGTTTTATTGTTATTGATAATATCCTCACACTATTGCCAAGATTTGAATTTGTGTTTTTGGATAGGCGATAAAAAGGTATCTCTTATTGTCTGAATTTATGGAATGGCAGTTACTTTACAGTGAAAATAATATCAATTTCCCAAGTAGAAAACTGGAAATTCTGAGGCCAAAGTCCAACCTCCTTTTCTAGTAACCCCGTATTGCAAACCAATTATTTACTTCCTATATTCTCTAAAGACCAGTGATTCTTAGTTAGTGTTTTATGATACCGTATTTTCTTTATTTTGAAATTTTTTAAAAAAATTATGCTTTAAGTTCTGGGATACATGTGCAGAACATGCAGGCCTGTTACATAGGTATACACGTGCCATGGTGGTTTGCTGTACCCATCAACCCATCATCTACATGAGTTATTTCTCCTAATGCTATCCCTTCCCTAGCCCCCCACTCCCCGACAGGCCCCAGTGTGTGATGTTCCCCTCCCTGTGTCCATGTGTTCTCATTGTTCAACTCCCACTTATGAGTGAGAACATGCAGTGTTTAGTTTGCTGTTCCTGCATTAGTTTGCTGAGAATGATGGTTTCTAGCTTCATCCATGTCCCTGCAAAGGACATGAACTCATCCTTTTTTATGGTTGCATAGTATTCCATTGTGTATATATCCCACATTTTCTTTATTCAGTCTACCATTGATGAGCATTTGGGTTGGTTCCAAGTCTTTGCTACTGTGAACAGTGCTGCAATAAACATACGTGTGCATGTGTCTTAATTCTTTCTAGAAAGTACATTTTATTTTTTATTTTTTGAGATGAAGTCTGACTGTCACCCAGGCTGGAGAGCAGTGGCGTGATCTCAGCTCACTTCAAATTCTGCCTCCCGGGTTTAAGTGATTCTCCTACCTCAGCCTCCTGAGTAGCTGGGACTACAGGCGCATGCCACCATGCCTGGCTAATTTTTATATTTTTAGTAGAGACAAAGTTTCACCATGTTGGCCAGGCTGGTCTTGTGATCTAACCTCAAGTGATCTGCCCGCCTTGGCCTCCCAAAGTGCTGGGATTACAGGCATGAGCCACCACCCCGGCCTAATTTTTATCCAAAATAGATTAACATTAATGCACAGCAAGGAATGGAGGGGTGTCCCAAAATTGAGCTAATAAATTTGAAAGAACTTGGGACTCAGTCTTCTAGAGTATGGCTGTTAAACCTATGATGCTCTTAAAGGACTTTGTTACTTAAATCCTCCTAATAGGGATATTATCTCTTCCTATAATATTGAGAATAGCCAATAGCTTTGCAGACTCTACCATGAAAATCAAACACAACTAATAAAAGTTACAAAACAATCACATGATTTTAGTATTTCAAAACTCCAGGTATCATTCATTTATTAAATAAATGTGATATTGAGTTTTGGCAAGATAATAGCAAACAACCAGATTTTTTAATAGCTGTAGATTTCTTTGGTTAATTCTGTGATATTAAGTTTTGCAGGCTTGCATAATTTGTTGAATTCAAAATACCTTAACTCGACCAGGCACGGTGCTTCACGCCTGTAATCCCAGCACTTTGGAAGGCCGAGGTGGGCAGATCACCTGAGGTCAGGAGTTCAAGACCAGCCTGGCCAACATGTTGAAACCCCGTCTCTGCAAAAATACAAAAATTAGCTGGGCATGATGACGGGTGCCTGCAATCCCAGCTACTCAGAAGGCTGAGGCGGGAGAATCACTTGAACCCCGGAAGCGGAGGTTGCAGTAAGCTGAGATTGTGCCACTGCACTTCAGCCGGGGTGACAGTGCGACACTCGGTCTCAAAGCAAACAAACCTTAACTCAGAGAAAGAAAAATTGTTTTTGAACAACTTCACATTTATTTAAATGATTCTTCTAGATCCACCACATGCTTAAACTCTTGTGAGACTCGACCCATGCATGATAATGGCCTGTAACCTGCATTTCTGCTCTAGCTTGGAAGCCTCTGGAAGACAGGGGCTGGTCTTATCCTCAGTGTCCATCACACAAGACCTGCTCAGTCCCTGATCTTTAGACCTTTGATTTAGATCTTGTTTTCATTTATTCCACAGATTGGAGAGCAAAACTTGATATGTTTCTTCTCATGCTTTGAAAATGCCACTTTAGGCTGAATGTGTGGAAAGTTCTGTTGTGCAATTTTCCTCAAGCTGTTGGGGATAGAGGAACTCATTAAAGAGCAACTTTTATAATTAGGAACATCTGGTTGAATGAACCCACTGTGGTGTTAGGAAGAAAGGGAGGGGAGAAAGAAAACATATGGTCAGGCAGAAATTTGTTCATTTCTGGAGTTACCTGTATAAAAACAATTCTTTGCTCAGGTGATTTGAGGACTTTATTTCTAAGTTATTCATGTACTTTATTTTTTATTTATTTATTTATTTTTGAGACAGAGTCTCACCCTTTTGCTCAGGCTGGAATGCAATGGCGCAATCTTGGCTCACTGCAGTCTCCACCTCCTGGGGTCAAACGATTCTCTAGCCTCAGCCTCCTGAGTAGCTGGGATTACGGGCATGTGCCACCACATCTGGCTAGTTTTTATATTTTTAGTAGAGATAGGGTTTCACCATACTTGCCAAGCTGGTCTTGAAATCCTGACCTCAAGTAATCCACCCGTCTCAGCCTCCCAAAGCGCTAGGATTACAGGCGTGAGCCACCACGCTTGGCCTATTCATGTACTTTCATATTTCTTGTATTGTCAGGTATATATTATCTGTTATCTGAGGGAGTCATATCAGCCGTTATCTGTCCAACGAATATCAAGTTGCAACTGTGCGCCGACAACATAGGCGAGCTTGCCAACATCAACCTCGGCACAGGCCTAAGGGCACTACCTTCCAATAGACCCTCAGAACAGCCGCTTCTCACCATTCTGCTGCTACTACCATGGGGCAGCCCACACTCATCTATTCCGGCAGCCCCCTGGATTAGTCAGGGTTCTTTAGAGGGACAGAACTAATAGGATCGATAAATATATGAAGGGGAGTTGACTCACACGATCACAAGGCGAAGTCCCATCATGGGCCGTAATAGGTCTGCAAGCTGAGGAGCCAGGAAGCCAGTCCAAGTCCCAACCTCAGAAGTAGGGAAGCCGACAGAGCAGCCTTCAGTCTGTTGCTGCAGGCCCGAGAGCCCTGGCAAATCACTGGTGTAAGTCCAAGAGTTCAAAAGCTGAAGAACTTGGAGTCTGATGTTCGAGGGCAGGAGGCATCTGGCACGGGAGAAAGACAGAGGCCAGAAGATTCAGGCAGTCTAGGCCTTTCATGTTCCTCTGCCCGCTTTTATTCTAGCCATGCTGGCAGCTGATTAGATGGTGCCCACCCAGACTGAGGGTGGGTCTGCCTCTCCCAGTCCACTGACTCAAAGTTACCCTCCTTTGGCAACACCCTCACAGACACACCCAGGATCAGTACTTTGCATCCTTCAATCAAGTTGACAATATTAACCATCAGCCGGGCATGGTGGCTCATGCCTGTAATCCCAGCCCTTTGGGAGGCTGAGGTGGGTGGATCACGAGGTCAGGAGTTTGAGACCAGCCAGGCCAACATGGTGAAACCCCGTCTCTACTAAAAATACAAAAATTAGCCGGGTGTGGTGGTGTGCACTTGTAATCCCAGCTACTTAGGAGGCTGAGGCAGGAGAATCGCTTGAACCTGGGAGGTGGAGGTTGCAGTGAGCCGAGACCACACCATTGCACTCTAGCCTGGGCAACAGAGCAAGACTCTGTCTCAAAAAAAAAAAAAAAAAATTAACCATCACACCCCCTAACCAGTCTCCTTGTTCCTGCCCCTGCCACTATCAGCTTGTTCTCAATGCTGCTACCAAAACGTGACTCAAATCATGCCATTCCTGTACCAAAAAAAACCTTCACAGCTCCCATCCCATTCATAGTGGAAGTTCCAGTTCTAAAATGTCCGTCATTCTCTCTCTGGCATCTCTCACTAGTCTCCCTGCTGACTCCTATCAAGCCACATAGTTCTCCGTGTTATCCTCCCTCTAACTTCTATAAGGACAGGGAATTTGTGCCTACAACAACATGAGCACAGTGTCAGGCACATAGTAGGCACTTAATACATAATACTGCTTGTATATGTAGAATTTGGGTGCTATATGCATAAATGAAAAGGAAATTATGTGGATTTGCTTAGGGAGTGAGCCTGTAGTGAAAGTTTTGAATGGCTGTTCCCCCACCATGATTATTCCTACCCATCCCACTACACCTGCCAAGCTATTGTCCCAATCTCCAAATGCGGAAAGGAGCATTTAAAGGAAGGTTTAGGAGAGATTATAAAGGATAAATACATGACGGATGTGATGAGATTTTTCTTGTCTTTCTAAAACATCAGACTCCAGTTCTGAGGGGTCTGTTCATCATTAAGCTTTCTTTAAGACAACTCCACTTTGCAGCTTATGTTTGTGTGTGTGGTGTGTTGGTTTTAAAATATTTCTGCAAATGTCTATTTTTTATTTTTTGAGGCAGGGTTTTGCTCTGTCACACAGGCTGGAATGCAGTGATATGATTATAGCTCACTGCAGCCTCAAATTCCTGGACTCAAGTGATCCTCCTGTATCAGCCTCCCATGTAGTTGGGACTAGAGGGATGCACAACCACACTCAGCTTTAAAAAAAAAAAAAAAAATTTGTGGAGACAAGGTCTCACTGTGTTGATAAGGCTGGTCTCAAATGCCTGGACTCAGCTATTCTACTGCCTCAGTCTCCCAAAGTGTTGGGATTACAGGCGTGAGCCATCACACCCAGCTCTGCACAGTTCTTATTTATTTATTTATTTTTGAGACGGAGTCTGGCTCTGTCACCCAGGCTGGAGTGCAGTGGTGCAATCTTGGCTCACTGCAAGCTCCACCTCCCAGGTTCATGCCATTCTCCTGCCTCAGCCTCCCGAGTAGCTGGGACTACAGGCGCCCACCACCACGCCTGGTTAATTTTTTTTTTTTTTTTTTTTTTGTATTTTTAGTACAGACGGGGTTTCACCGTGTTAGCCAGGATGGTCTCGATCTCCTGACCTTGTGATCCGCCTGCCTCACCCTCCCAAAGTGCTGGGATTACAGGTGTGAGCCACTGTGCCTGGCCTAGCCCTGCACATTTTCAGACCTTCCTTCCACCTACTGAGTGGTGGGGTCTGTGTGTCCCTCCCCTTGAATTGGGGCTAATAATCACTCATAGAATCACTAACAGAATATGGCAAAACTGACACTGTGCGATGTCTGAGGCTAGATTAGAATATGTCATGCAGTTTCTATCTGGCTGTCTATGGGAAGCCAGCTGCCTGAGACCACCAGGTGTTCTGGTTGACAGCTGAGCTGAGTTCCCAGCCAACCACCAGCAGCATCAACTACCAGCCATGTGAGTGTGCCATCTGGACATCCAGCCCCACTGAGCTTGCAGTGTGGTTGCAGATCCAGCCGGCAATGGTTGCAGATTTCACACAACAGCATGAAAGGCCCCAGGCGAGGATAGCCCAGCTGAGCTCTTGAATTCCTGACACACAAAATAGTGATCAAAATAAAATGGCTGTTTTAAATCACTAAGTTTTGGAGTGATTTGTTACACAGCGATACTAACCTGAACAATAGGCCCCTGGTCTCTTAATTCCTCATCTTGGGGGCAGAGGGCAGAGCAGTTTTCCAAGCAGAAAAAGTGATGTGGTTAAGGAACCTGCCCAACCTACTCAGTATGGAGCCAGGATTCAATTCCAGCCCTTATTGGCTCCAGCGTGTGCTTATTCTTTCTGCTAGAGCACTCTAGAAACATTCTTTCTCAACTGGAAGCTAATATGCTGGCATTCTTAGTATTTGCTGCTTTTGTTTTGTTTTGTTTTGTTTTGTTTTGAGTTGGTGCTTCCACTCTGTCACCCAGGCTGGAGTGCAATGGTGCAATCATGGCTCACTGCAGCCTCAAGTGATCCTCCTGCCTCAGCCTCCCACATAGCTGGGACTACAGGCGTGCACCACATGCCCAGCTAATTTTTGTATATTTTGTAGAGACAGGGCCTCCCTGTGTTGCCCAGGCTGGTCTTGAGCTCCTAATTTCAAGTAATCTTCACAGCTGGCCTCCCAAAGTGCTGGGATTACAGGTGTGAGCCATGGTGCCCAGCCTGCTTCTTTCTTATATTTATTGCTGTCTCTATTTAAGTCAGAATTAACCGTTGCTTAATGGATGTCACTGCCTTCTGAATTTCTCCTCTTCCATATCAATAGATATTTCAATATCTTTATATCCACAGTCCACTTAATTCATTTACCCATTTATTCAGTTTGAATGGTCTCTGTTCTTGTTGTTTATTGTCTGGTATAGCTTGAACACATTGCTACTTAAAACTGTTAAAGCCAGGTTGCTTTTTGGTGCTAACTATAATTTTTAAATTGTAGATAAATAATTTCTAACTATAAGTATTTAAATATCTATGGTTTCCAAGTATTGGCGTGTAAATGACCAACCTGTAGTTTATCTGTATTTTTGCTGTGTTGACTTCTGAACCATTATATTTATTTTTTACATTTTTTACATTTTTACATTTATTTTTACATTAATAGCACCAGATGTTCTGTTAATCAGGAATGCCAGATAAAATATGTTTTTACATCTTGCTAGACTTCTATTAATATTACATGGACATATTTAATAGAACAAAGATATTGATGAAATGTGGAAATGCGAGCAGCTTAGGCCACATGAATGAATGCCTTCTGCTAACATCTTCAGCCTTGAGCATGTGGGGTGTGGGGTGGGGGAACTAGTCTGAAATACTTGGTTAGATGCCTTTATTGTCTATTGAGAAGAGGGGCTACAGACATTTTATTATCCCATTGTGGAAAGCCATACCAAATATTTTATTTTAGAAGGGTGGAATGTGGGCTGAGTGCGGTGGCTCATGCTTATAATCCCAGCACTTTGGGAGGCTGGGGAGGGAGGATGGCTTGACTCCTGGAGGTTGAGGCTGCAATAAGCCTAGATTACACCACTGCAGTCCAGCATGGGTGACAGAGTGAGACCCTGTCTCAAATTTTAAAAGAAAAGAAAAGAAAAGAAAAAGAAAGAAAAAGAGAAAGGAAGGGAAGAAAGAAAGAAAGAAGGAAGGAAGGAAGGAAAGAAAAGGAAGAAAGAAAGAAAGAAAGAGAAAGAAAGAAAGGAAGAAAGAAAAGAGTAAATAGAAGAGTGACATTGTCCACTGAGAGCTCTGTGATTAAGAAAGCCAGTAAGTATAGTACTTCCTTTGGCATGTGGGCTATGTGCAAATTACAACGGCTTCAGAAAACCTCAAGGCTTTTCAACCTTGGCTTTTTAGTTTCAATTACAACTTAAATTCAGTGGAATCCTGTTCACCTTCAGTCACTCTCTGGTATCATCAAATGGTGCAAAATTTAAGGAGGCTCTGACTCTCAGGATCCTGCAAGAGCAGGATTGATATCCCTCAGCCTTGACTCATTAAATTCTCCACCCTAATGGCCAGGCTTTCCTCACCTTAATCCCAACCCTGAGTCACATTACCCTGATTTGCTTAGTATTTATCACAGTCTGAAACCACCCTGTTCGTTTATTTACAAATATCAGTAAATTATTTGAGATGGAGTCTCCCTATGTTGTCCAAGCTGGTCTCCAACTCCTAGACTCAAGGGATCCTCCTGCCTTGGTCTCCCAAAGTGCTGGGATAACAGATGTGAGCCACCATGTTTAGCCCATAGTCTTTTATTTTATTTCATTTTGAGATAGAGTCTTGCTCTGTCACCCAGGCTGCAGTGCAGTGCACAATCATGGCTTACTGTAGCCTCGACCTCCAGGGCTCAAGGCATCTCCTGACATCAGCCTCCCAAGGAGCTGGGCCTATAGGCACATGCCACCATGCTTGGTGATTTTCTAATTCCAGCATCCTTCTACATATATTAGCTGCTTTCTACTGTAAGAAGAGCTTTTTCTTTACCTCATCTGTTTGCTTGTTTATTTATAAATAAATAAATCCATATTGACCCATGAGTTTTTATTTTGCTCTGTAGGTTATAATGCTTAACTATTACTATGTATTTTGTTGCTCAAATTGTTCCAAATTTTGCCAGTGGGAGCCCTTTCAGGCTGGTTCCCTTGTCCTCTTGACCTGTCACTCTCATTCTTTGCGCACTTCCTTGCTTTCTAGCACAGGGAGACATTTCAGATTTTTTTGATACTCTCCCTCGTGTCAGCTGTGGTATCTGCCATTTCTTCAAAAAGCTGTGGTTCCTTTCATGGTAATTAGAAACCGGATCTGGGTGCTGGGTGTGTTCATGATGCTTCTGTGGTGTGCCTACTTCTAGGCCTTCTCAATGGAGAGAGCTTAGGAACTATTAATAGGTGTATATCTCTACACACACAGATAGACTTACACACACGTATACCTACATACCTGCACACACAGATGTGTATTTCTGTACCTCTATTCTGCATTCTTCATGATAACTTCAATTCCAATCCAACACTACAGGGCTCATATATCATCCTCCCCTTTCTAGATTTATAACTCCCTTCCACAACTGTGAGAAACCTATCTCCCATTATTCATAATAAATCTGTTTATTTGTTGAATCCTAGAATATACAGAAAATAGTTTCAGATTTCCTAATGCACACCTCCAGGAAGAAGAGGTGGAGGAAGAGGAAGGAAGAAGTGGAGGAGGAGGAGGGGGATAAACAAGAAGTTGTTTCCTAATTCAAGTTCAATATTTAAGAGTTATTCATCGTGGCCGGGTGCAGTGGCTCACACCTGTAATCCCAGCACTTTGGGAGGCTAAGGCAGGTGGATCGCCTGAGGTCAGGAGTTCGAGACCAGCCTGGTCATCATGGTGAAAGAAAAGATGGAGGTTGCAGTGAGCAAAGATCATGCCACTGCACTCCAGCCTGGTGACAGAGTAAGATTCTGTCTCAAAAAAAAAGAAAGAAAGAAAGAAAGAAATGTACATTTTAAGGTAGGGTTATTTAACATCTTTTTTTTTTTTTTTTTTTGAGGCAGGGTCTCGCTCTATAGCCCAGGCTGGAGTTAAGTGGCATGATCTTGGCTCACTGCAACCTCCACCTCCTGGGCTCAAGTGATCCTCCTGCCTTAGCCTCCTGAGTAGCTAGGACTATAGGCAAGTGCCACCACATCCAACTAATTCTTTGTATTTTTTGTAGAGACGGGCTTTTGCCATGTTGCCCAAGCTGGTCTTGAACTTCTGAGCTCAAGCGATCCACCTGTCTCGGCCTCCCAAAGTGCTGGGATTACAGGCATGTGACACTGTGCTTGGGCCTTCTTATTTAATTATGATGAAAATACTAAGTCCTAATTATACAATGATGTAAAATGTGTGCCTGGTATCTGAGCATGTGAGGTATATATCATTCACATGGCTCCTTACAAATTTTTTAGAAAAATTTTAAACATTGTTTTACAAAGACAGATTATACTTGTGTGAACAAACCATTTAAAACTGTGGTAACGTAATGGATGAAGAGTAAGAAGAAACTTTTATATATTTTTTTAGATTTCAAATCTTCAAAGCCAGTAGACAAAGGTAGTTTTTTTAAAAAAATTGAATGTCTTTTTTAAAAAAACTAAAAAAATTTTTTTAATCTAGTGTTTTATATGTTAAAATGTATTAACTAAGGATAGTACACAATTAAGCACCTAATTGTGTTGAAAATGCAATTGCACATTTAGAAAAATTGTCCCTAGTTTATGAAGTTGTTTCTGTGCTCTAATAATCATTTCAATTGCTGTTTAATCTCTCTATTTAAACTATGTGTCTGCATCTTAATGAATCCAGTGGAAGCTTCTAATTAAGTACATAGTGCTGGATTTATTTACACCGATTGCCTAAGTCTCAAAACCAAGTCACAGCAGGATCCAGGGAAGCAGTTACATCTCAGAGAATAAAACACCATTACAGAATTTATTCCCGTGTTTACACTAGTGTCTAGAAGCCAAATACTGAAAAGAACATAAAAGGAAGTGTGTGTGCTTTGAGTAAGTCTTGAAGCTACTTAACTTTTTTTTTTTTTTCCCCCATCAGGGCCCTTATTAGAGTTAATTTAATGAACAACAAAAAAACATGATTCGGCCGGGCGCAGTGGCTCATGCCTGTAATCCCAGCACTTTGGGAGGCTGAGGTGGGCAGATCATGAGGTCAGGAGATCGAGACCATCCTGGCTAATATGGTGAAACTCTGTCTCTACAAAACATAAAAAAATTAGCCAGGCGTGGTGGCACGCACCTCTAGTCCCAGTTACTTGGGAAGCTGAGGCAGGAGAATCTCTTAAACCCGGGAGGTGGAGGTTGCAGTGAGCCCGGCCTCCGTAAATTTCTTAAGGAAGAATGCCTGGGAGATGATTATGTTTTTAGTCTGTGATATGGTTAAGCTTTTTGTCCCCACCCAAATCTCATCTGAATTGTAATCCCTGTAATTCCCACATGTCTCGGAAGAGACCAGGTGGAGGTAATTGGATCATGAGCGTGGTTTCCCCATGCTGTTTTTGTGATAGTGAGTGAGTTCTCACGAGATCGGATGGCTTTATAAGGGGCTCTTCCTCCTCCGCTTGGCATTTCTCCTTCCTGCCACCTTGTGGAAATATCCAGCTACAAGTAGTTCTTTATAACAGTATGAAAATGGACTAATACTGGCCAGGCGCTGTGGCTCACGCCTGTAATCCCAGCACTTTGGAAGGCCAAGGCAGGTGGATCACCTGAGGTCAGGAGTTCCAGACCAGCCTGACCAACATGGAGAAACCCCTGTCTCTACTAAAAATACTAAATTAGCCAGGCATGGTGACGTGTGCCTGTAATCCCAGCTACTTGGGAGGCTGAGGCAGGAGAATCTCTTGAACCTGGGAGGCAGAGGTTGCAGTGAGCCAAGATTGTGCCATTGCACTCCAGCCTGGGCAACAAGAGTGAAACTCCGTCTCAAAAAAAGAAAAAGAAAAGAAAGAGAAAGACAATGGACTAATACAGTCTGTGTGTGTCAGAAATATTTTCCATTGCATATTAAAAAATAAATGACTAGCCAGGTATGGTGGCACATGCCTGTGATCCCAGCTACATGGGAGGCCGAGGCACAAGAATCGCTTGAATCCGGGAGGCAGAGGCTGCAGTGAGCCAAGATTGTGCCACTGCACTCTAGCCTGGACAACAGAGTGTGACAGAATCTCTCTCAAAAAATAAAATACAATAAATAAAATAAAATAAATAAAAAGGCCAGGTACGGTGGCTTATGCCTGTAATCCTAGCACTTTGGGAGGCTGAGGCAGGCGAATCACATGAGGTCGGGAGTTTGAGACCAGCCTGACCAACATGGTGAAACCCTGTCTCTACTAAAAATACAATAATTAGCCAGGCATAGTAGCAGTCACCTGTAATCTCAGCTACTTGGGAGGCTGAGGCAGGAGAATCTCCTGAACTTGGGAGGTGGAGGTTGCAGTGAGCCAAGATCGTGCCATTGCACTCCAGCTGGGTGACAAGAGCGAAACTCTGTCTCAAAAATATATATATATATATTTGCTGTCAGCCTATGATTTTAGGTTGTGTTCCTTTGAGGCCAAGCCTGTCTGGATACAAAGTTGGTCACCTTTCTTTACAAGCAGGCTGCTCTCTCCTTTTCCAAATGGCCTAGTGTTACTGCTTTTATTGTGTGAGCACCTGAGTCCAGAGAGGGCAGAGAAGGTAAAGGTGATAGAGGGGGAGAAGAATTCCCAATATACATTGTTTTTCTTTTCCAATCAAAGTACTAAATTCTTTACCTGGATTATTTTATTTAATCCTTTTAAGAACTCCTTGAAATAGGAATTTATTTTTATTCCCATTTTATAGGTGAAAAAATGGTCCTCAAATTCTACTTTTTCCCTTTCCCAAACACATCCTTTTATTGCCTGCCCAGCAATTCTGAGCTCCCAGAGGTGGCCAAAAGGAGGGGCTAAGGAACATGTTCATGACAGCCTAGGGTAGAAAGAGCTTGGACTTTGGCCTCAGACTTATCTTGGTTTGAATTCCAGTGTTGCTACTCACTAGTCATGTTAACACTTGCAAGTTATGCAAACATTGTGGACATTCACTGGTTTTATTTTCTGTAAAATCAAAACCAGTGTGCAATAATATAATGTATGTAAAGATTAAGACATGTAAAGTAGCTAGTCTAGTATCCACGGTGGATAATAAATATGGGTTTCTTTCTGCTTCCTTCTTTCAACTGGAGATAATGGGGATGAACTGGAGCTTGAAGCTGCCCTGTGGAAGGAGATGGAGGAGAAGGAGCCTTTGTGGGAAGTGACCGGGAAGGCAAAGCTCACCCCGCAGTGGCAAGTTGCCATATGTAGACTGGTTGTTGCATCCTGAGTTCCTGGTTTGTGGCCTAAAAAGAATGTAGGGTGAGGCTGGGCACAGTGGCTCACACCAGTACTCCCAACATTTTGGGAGGCTGAGGTGGTAGGATTGCTTGAGTCCAGGAGTTTGAGACCAGCGTGTGCAACATAACGAGATGTCATCTCTACAAAAAATACAAAAATTAGCCTGGTGTAATGGTGCATGCCTATAGTTCCACCTTCTCAGGAGGCTGAGGCAGGAGGATCACTTGAGCCTGGGAGACTGAGGCTGCAGTGAGCAAGATCAAGCCACTGCACTCCAGCCTGGGCAATGAAGTGAGACCCTGTCTCAAAAAAGAAAAGAAAAGAATGTAAGGTGTTTTTACAAAAGGCTAGTACTGGGTGGTGCCAGTCAGTTATCTGACCCAGCCCTTAGAATACTTGTTACCCCCTAGTTTCCTGGAAGAAGGAACTATAAAGACTGAATGAGCAGGGTTGGAGGTGTGGATGAGGCCCCACTCTCCAAGGGTGGCCAGGATGGCTCAGCATGGGGGACACCCTCCAATGGAGCTGCGGGCCTGAGAATCAAGGTCCAGAAAGGAAGAGTATCTGGAACCCAGGAACATTCCTCAGGGGGATCTTTTTTTTTTTCTTTTTTTGAGATGGAGTCTCACTCTGTCGCCCAGGCTGGAGTGCAGTGGTGTGATCTTGGCTCGCTTCAACCTCCGCCTCCCAGGTTCAAGCGATTTTCCTGCCTCAGCCTCCCGAGTAGCTGGGACTACAGGTATTTTGTATTTTTAGTAGAGGCGGGGCGGAGTGAGACTCTGTCTCAAAAAAAAAAAAAAAAAATAGAAATGTTTGGAAAGGCATCAACAAAATATACTTACAGAATGAATTAATGAAGTTTCTAAGAACTTCATTCATAACCCTGGTTCATAAAGAACATTTTCCCACATAATGCCTTCTATTTTCTCTAGGTCAGAGGGTGGGGAAAGGCTCTTACTGGTAGCTATTACTCAAAATGAACACAGGAGGTCTCCACTGCCATGCCTTGGCCTAAAATGGCCTTGGTTTTCCTTGGAAGTCATCTGCATCTGCCTCTCGTAAGACTATTAACTTAGTACTTAAGGTCCAGAACAAAAATAGAAAATGTTTATGTGGGCCGGGCGTGGTGGCTCACACCTGTAATCCCAGCACTTTGGGAGGCTGAGGCGGGCGAGTCACATGAGGTTGGGAGTTTGAGACCAGCCTGACCAACATGGTGAAACCCCGTCTCTACTAAATATACAAAATTAGCCGGACGTGGTGGTGCTTGCCTGTAATCCCAGCTATTTGGGAGGCTGAGGCAGGAGATTGCTTGAACCCGGGAAGGGGAGGTTGCGGTGAGCCGAGATCGCGCCATTGTACTCCAGCCTGAGCAACAAGAGTGAAACTCCGTCTCAGGAAAAAAAGAAAACATTTATGTGGTGCTCTGGGAGATTCATTTTGACCAGATATCCAACTCTGAGCATTCAGACTCTCATTTTGCCTGAAAGTGTAGATTTTATGCCAGAGAACCATCTAGTCAAATGTTCAATGAAGACTAAATGGGAGAAATGGAAAATGTAAGACATTCCCAGCCACCTCCCAAGGAAAATGATTTCCTGTGTTGCACAGGGAGGCTCGGGTAAGCAAGCACCCCACTGCCATGGCCTGGGAGGGGGGACATCATTTGAGAAAGGATTCAAAGAGAAAAGAATGAGACTGGG
This sequence comes from Homo sapiens, assembly GCF_000001405.40. Taxonomy (NCBI): domain Eukaryota; kingdom Metazoa; phylum Chordata; class Mammalia; order Primates; family Hominidae; genus Homo; species Homo sapiens. The sequence goes on along the minus strand of NC_000002.12, from coordinate 223,859,510 downwards.
CGTGGTGGCTTATGCCTGTAATCCCCGCACTTGGAGAGGCTGAGGCAGGAAGATCACTTGAGCCCAGGAATTTGAGACCAGCCTGGACAACATGGTGAGGCTCTGTCTTTACAAAAAATAGAAAACTTAGCTGGGCATGGTGGTGTACGCCTGTGGTTTCAGCTACTTGGGGGGCTGAGTTAGGAGGACCCTTTCAGTGCAGGAAGTTGAGGCTGCGGTGAGCTATATAATTGCACCACTGCACTCCAGTCTAGGTGACAGAGTGAGAACCTGTCTCAAAAGAGGGAGAGAGAGAGAGGAAGGAACAGGGTCCTGTTCACGAGTTCTTTATTGATGAGGACTAATGAGGTTTGGGTGCCATTCTGCACAATAAGCTAAAAGAAAGAGGTTGTTTTCTAATAAAATTCCATCTCTGTATCAGCCCAGCAGGCCTGCCTCCCCTGGATCTCCTCTCACCTGCTCCTGCCTCCATTCAGTCTCAGGCACTCTCTGTCTCTCCCACACCCTTCACCTGGCTGGTCTCCTTTCAGGCTTCAGGTTAAAGGTTTCTTCCTCAGAGAGTCTCTCCCAGAATTCCCCCATCTCAGTAGATTTCCCCATTATTCTCTATCACTGGCCCCTGGTTTTATCCATCAGAGAACTTTTATTATTTTTATTTTATTTTATTTCATTTTATTTTTTGAGACGGAGTCTTGCTCTTGTCGCCCAGCCTAGAGTGCAATGGTGCGATCTCGGCTCACTGCAACCTCCGCCTCCCCGCAAACTTCACCTCCTGGGTTCAAGCAATTCTCCTGCCTCAGCCTCCTGAATAGTTGGGATTACAGGTGCATGCCACCACGCCCGGTTAAGTTTTGTATAAACTCAGCTAGGGCAGGAGTACCATCTGTTTCATTCACTGGTGCATACTGTTAAAGGGAAAACTTCAGCTGAATTAAATTTAAAGAAGCTTAATTGAGCAATGAACGATTTGCGAATCGGGCAGACCCCAGAATCACAGCGGATTCACAGAGACTCCAGGGATGCCTCATGGTCAGAACAAATTTATAGACAAAAAAGGGAAGCAATGAACAGAAATCAGCAGTGAGGTACAGAAACAGCTGGATTGGTTACAGGTTGGCATTTGCCTTATTTGAACACAGCTCGAATACTCAGCAGTCTATGCGTGGTTGAAGAATGGCCACTGGGATTGACTCAGGTGTTGTTACAGGTGCATGCTCCCAAGTGAGGTTTTCAATCTTGCCTGCCTATTAAGCCAGGTTACAGTTTATCTACAAGGATTCAAATATAGAAGTATGGAGTCCTTCTCAGGCCGTCTTTAGTTTGCTTTAACAATGTGTACCTAGCACAGCACCTAGCACATAGTAGGTACTTAATGTAGAATGGCTGAATCGAGCTTAATAAGGAAATAACTAATGGTGGGTGAATGAGGTGCTTGTGAATAAGGAAAGTGGCACGAGGAGCCTCTAATCATTTAATAATTATTAATAAATTAATAGACAATTAATGCAATTCCCCAGTCATTTATTAAATGTTATGTTAAAAAGTGAGTTATGTTATCTGCTTTAAATCTGGTATTCTCTACCTAGACAGCCTTCAAGGCTTCACTTGTGATGGGGGAACTGGGTATGAAGCAAGTCATTGGGAGTTTGGGGCTGAAGAGAACAGAAAAATAATTCACTCTGAAGCCTGTGGAATGTGTTTCTCATGGGCAGAGAGAGAGAGTCGGAACTCTAACGCCTCTACTGGTCTTGGGGCAGATGTGGTCCAAGTAAGTTCTTTGTGTTTGCCTAGGACAGTGGTTCACAAATTTTGGTATCAACAAGAACAGTTAACTTTTATTTATTTATTTATAATAGATGGGCTATGCACCCTGAAGGAGGAGAGAGGAGATTGAAAGTTCAGGAATACAACAAGATGAAAACAAAATTTTTGTTTTGAGACAGGGTCTCATGGCTGGGTGTGGTAGCTCACACCTGTAATCCCAGCACTTTGGGAGGCCGAGGCAAGTGGATCACAAGGTCAGGAGATCGAGACCATCCTGGCCAACATGGTGAAATCCCATCTCAACTAAAATACAAAAAATTAGCCGGGCATGGTGGTGCACGCCTGTAGTCCCAGCTACTCAGGAGGCTGAGGCAGGGGAATCGCTTGAACCCAGGAGGTGGAGATTGCAGTGAGCCGAGACCACGCCACTGCACTCCAGCCTGGCAACAGAGTGAGACTCCGTCTCAAAAACAAAACAAAACAAAACAAAAAACAGACAAGGTCTCACTCTGTTGCCCAGGCTGGAGCACAGTGGCTTTATCTTGGCTCACTGCAGCCTCAACCTCCCGGGCTCAAGTGATCCTCTCACCTCAGCCTCCCGAGTAGCTGGGACTGCAGGCATGCGCCACCATGCCGAGCTAATTTTTTTTAACTTTTATTTTTAGTAGAGATGGGGTTTTGTCATGTTGTGCAGGCTGGTCTTGAACTCTTGAGCTCAAGCAATCCACCCACTTCAGCTGTCCAAAGTGCTGGGATTACAGGCATGAGCCACTGTGCCTGGCTAGAACAGTGAACTTTTATCAAGCATTTACTAGGTACCAGGCATCATGCTAAACACTTTTCAGGTAATTATTGTGGTTAATTCTCACAAGAAAACTATGAGTTGGGTACTAATATTATTTCCACTTACTGATGAGGAAACTGAAGCACGGAGAGGTGCTGTAATTAGTCCAAGCTTGCTGTGGTTTTAGCGCGTTGCTTCAGTGACTCTCTGCACACCAAGCCTGGGGCCACTTCTCTGGATGAAGTTTCCATGGCTTCCCTGAGGCCTCAGCAGGACTTGGCCCATGGTTGTTTGAGTTCTGTCTTTGAATCCGTGGAACCTTGGCCCACATCCAGGGTGGCAACTCCATACCTCAGGCTGGATGAAGAGAACGTGGTGTGCAGGACAGGGGGCACTCTTCAGAATTTTGCCCACAAACATCCAAGGTTTGGGTAGAATAAATGTAGCTAAATGAGTGGAGAATGAAGGACAGGCATAAAGGAAAACTCTAAGTCCAGATACAAACTGGAGGCTGCAAGAATAAGGGCAGTGGAAAGACCATGGGCTTGAGAGCCAAGATAACCCAAATTTGAATGCCAGTGCTTTGCTAGTGAGATGATCTTAACAAGTTACTTACTCATTCTGAGTCTGTTTTCCTTTCTGATAAAAGAGGGATAATAACCTACACAGAGGACCTGGAACTATCTCAGTGCTTTCTAAAATATGTTAGGAAAGAGGAAACAAGTGTCAAGGACAAGAATGTGTTTTAAGAAAAAAGATAAAAGGAGGATGAGTTTGCAGAGAAAACCTCCGTGCTGAAAGAATTCCTGGCAATTGATTGCTTCACCCACGCCTAACAACTCTAGGTCAAAGGGGCAGAATGTTTGACTTAAAGGTAAGATGACCAGCCAGGACCTATTACCAATTTAACACTGTTTTTAGACCCACATCAGAAAAAGCCAACATGTAACTACATTCTTAAGGTGGCATAATATCATAAGGACAGAAATTAGAAAGTAAAGTACTTGATTGCCTAATTTTTTTTTTTACTATTATTTTTTAAACAGAGATGGGGTCTTGCCAGGTCTTGGCCAGGCTGGTCTTGAACTCCCGGACTCAAGCAACTCTCCTGACTTGGCCTCCCAAAGTGTTGGAATTACAGGCATGAGCCACTGCAGTAGCCCTGATTGTTTTAAATAGAAGAAGGTAAAGTATTTTCTCACATAAATTTCTGAATGTGGGAGGCAGCCTACTGACATTGCTTCACGTAACAATCTCCACTTTACAGATCCACCAAATACCAGTATGCTTTTATATTCCTTACCCTGCAGAATCCTATGCATGTGACCGCACAGAGCCTGCTTCTGTGTGCGATGACTGTTCTGCTTGTTTGTTGAGTTTCATGTGAAATTCGAGTGGGGCTCACACTGCTGGTGATATTCCAAGGCATCTCACTCAGCTCTCATCATTGCTTTTATTTATTTATTTATTTGAGACAGAGTCTTTCTCTCTCGCCCTGGTTGGACTGCAATGGTGCAATCTCAGCTCATTGCAACCTCTACCTCCTAGATTCAAATGATACTCGAGCCTCAGCCTCCTGAGTGCTGGGATTACAGGTGCCCACCACCACACCCGGCTAATTTCTTTGTATTTTTAGTAGAGACAGGGTTTCACCATGTTGGCCAGGCTGGTCTCAAACTCCTGGCCTCAAGTGATCCACCCACCTCAGCCTCTCAAAGTGTTGGGATTACAGGCATGAGCCACCATGCCCGGCCCACCATTGCTTTTAAACATGCTCATAAGACTGCACCATCTTCACCTGCTTTGGCAAAAGGTATTTTGAGCAGTGTGTATGCAAGGCAGCTTTTTCATGCTGAATTTTATAATTTTAATTAACAATAGTTAACATTTACCACTAGTGTTACCAGAAAGGGGTCCCTATCCAGACCCCAAGAGCAGATTCTTGAACCTTGCGTGGGAAAGAATTCAGGGCAAGTCCATAGAGTAAAAGTGAAAGCAAGTTAATTCGAGAAGTAGAGAAACAAAAGAATGACTGCTTCATAGACAGAGCAGCAGTATGGGCTGCTTAACTGAGTATACTTATAGTTATTTCTTGATTATGTGCTAAACAAGGGGTGGATTATTCATGAGTTTTCTGGGGAAAGGGCAGAGATTTCCCAGAACTGAGGGAACAGACTATATAGGGTAACTTCTATATAGGGTTTTTTAGAGTATATAGCCTATAGTTTTTTAGACTATATATAGGATAACTTCTATATAGGGTAACTTTACAAATGCCATGGTACTTGTAAACTGTCATAGCACTGGTGGGAGTTTTTTAGCATGTTAATGTAATTGGGATGTAATGAGCAGTAAGGATGACAAGAGGTCACTTTCATCACCATCTTGGTTTGGGTTGGTGTTGGCCAGCTTCCTTACTGCATCCTGTTTAATCAGCAGGGTCTTTGTGACCTGTATCACATGCCAACCTCCTATCTTATCCTGAGACTAAGAATGTCTAACCTTCTGGGAATGCAGCCCAGGAGGTCTCAGCCTTATTTTCCCAGCCCCTATTCAAGATGGAGTCACTTGGGTTCAAACATCTCTGATGGATGGGCATGGTGGCTCACGCCTGTAATCCCAGCATTTTGGGAGGCCAAGGCAGGCGGATCACCTGAGGTCAGGAGTTCGAGACCAGACTGGCCAACATGGCGAAACCCCGTCTCTACTAAAAATAAAAAAATTAGCAGAGCATGGTGCCATGTGCCTGTAATCCCAGCTATTCAAGAGGCTTAGGCAGGAGAACCAGTTGAACTCAGGAGGCAGAGGTTGCAGTGAGCCCAGATTATGCCACTGCACTCCAGCCTGGGCAACAGAGTGAGACTCTGTCTTAAAAAACAAACAAACAAAAAACAACAAAAAAACACCTCTGATACTAGTAGTAATAATAGCTATACTTACTGAGTACTGACTAATCCTACCAGCATCTTTAGGAGACATAGGAATTATTATCTTCATTTTACAGATTAGGAAACTGAGGCACAATGAAGTGAAGTATCTTGCCCAAAGTCACTTGACTGGTAGGAGAAGAAGCTGGACCAGTGCTCAAGGCTTCTGGCTGCAGATGCTTCTCTCCTTCTGTAAGACAATCCAGGACTCAGCACAGGACTATGAATCCACAATACCCTGGGTAGGGCTTAGCTCTCAAACGTTTCCCTTTCCAACTCACTTGAGGGCTAGGTAACTGATTGTTCTCCATCCTTCCCAACCCTCCAAGCCCCCAACTATTCTATGGATTTTGAATCACTGTCCTTGAGGTTTGTTCGGTCCCTTGCCCAATATATATATTTACCTAGTGACTTCACTTATGCTGAACCTACACATGGTCATAGGATTACACAGGGAGTTCACCTAAAAGCTACAAAACCAAAGATTACTCATCAGGAGCACCAGGGCTAACTAACGATTCTCTGGCTGATGTTGACATTTAACACCAACTATGGAGTTCAGTATGTTGGATAGGGGGTTGGCAATGTGTGATACCATTAAGCTTCAGACCAAACAAAGACCTTTCATATATGAAGCTCTGTTCTACACAGCTCTAAACATGGCCCCAAACATCACTTTGTTGTATTGAGCAATTGCCTATACCTTCTCCTGGAGTTCTAGGCCACTGGATATGTCAGATAGCCGTAAGCACCTTTTTTCTTTTTCTTTTCTTTCTTTTCTTTTTCTTTTTTTTTTTTTTGAGATGGAGTCTCACTCTGTCACCCAGGCTAGAGTGCAGTGGCACGATCTCAGCTCACTGCAACTTCCACCTCCTGAGTTCAAGCAATTCTCATGCCCCAGCCTCCTGAGTAGCTGGAACTAGAGGCGCATGCCAACACTCCTGGCTAATTTTTGTATTTTTTGGTAGAGACAGGGTTTCACCATGTTGGGCTGGGCAGGCTGGTCTCAAACTCCTGACCTCAAGTGATCCACCTGCCTTGGCCTCCCAAAGTGCTGGGATTACAGGCGTGAGCCACTGGGCTTGGCCTGAGCACTTTTTATAGTGTAGCAATTATTTGAGCATTCAGATTTCTAAAGTAGGATGCATGTGGATGGTGAGTAAATGGTAGCAGAACTCAGATAAGAGTGGGATGCAGCAGTCAGGAATGACACCCATTCTTTTAAACCAAGACCCTGAGTGGGGAAGGCAAGTCAACCAACACTGACTGTAGGATCAACTCAAAAGCTGGTCTTTACATGGGAACACATTCTGGTTACTCTAATGGCTTTAAGTCTTAGCAACCATTACTCCGACATATACTGCGTTTTTGACTGTGACTATAACTGCCAGCCCATATCTAAGGTGCATTTGCATACCATACCTTTTCCTTTTTGATGTAGCCGTGATAACCATCAGCATGCTTTGCTCAAGTACTTCATATTCAGTAGGACTTACCAGATAAGAAACTCAGGAGCTGCTCCTCTCTGAGCCAATGAGAAACTCAGTTGCTGCTCCTCCCAGGGGCACTTATCTTTAGTTGAGTTAGCCTTTAATCAGATTGCCATTATAACTGGGCTCTGTTCTGAAAGAAAGACCTGATAAATCTTGTTTGATGATGCCAAGTAAGTCATGTCTATTTGCAGATTTCAAAGATTATTGCTAAGAATTCAGGCTGGGTGCAGTGGCTCATGCCTGTAATCCCAGCACTTTGGGAGTCCAAGATGGGCAAATTACTCTAGCCCAGGAATTGAGACCAGCCTGGACAACATGGTGAAACGCATCTCTACAAAAAAAAAAAAAAAAAAAAAAAGAGGAGCCAGGTGTGGTGTTGGGTGCCTGTTACCAGCTACTCAGGAGGCTGAGGTCAGAGGATTACCTGAGCCCAGGAGGTCGAGGCCGCAGTGAACCAAGATTGCATCACTGCACCCCAGCCCAGATGACAGAGTAAGACACTGTCTCAAAAAAGAAAATAAAATAATTTAATAGCAATTAGGGCAGGCTTTGCATAATCACATAGACAAAAATGTACTCTTTTGCTGGGCATGGGGGCTCACACCTGTAATCTCAGTTTTGGGAGGCCGAGGTGGGCGGATCACCTGAGGTCAGGAGTTTGAGACCAGCCTGAGCAACATGGTAAAACCCCATCTCTACTAAAAATACAAAAAACTAGCAGGATGTGGTGAATCATGTGGTGTGGTCCCTGCTACTTAGGAGGCTGAGGCATGAGAATCACTTGAACATGAGAGGCAGAGGCTGCAGTGAGCTGAGACTGCACCACTGTACTCCAGCCTGGGCAACAAAGCCAGACTCCATTCCACCCCCCTGCCCCCCTAAAAAAGTCCTCTTTTCCTTTGAATATACACTCTTTTTTTTTTGTAAAGACAATCTAGCATTTTATATTACTCTGTTCTCATGCTGCTAATAAACACATACCCAAGACTGGGTATTTTATAAAGGAAAGAAGTTTAATTGACTCACAGTTCCACATGGCTGGGGAGGCCTCACATTTGTGGTGGAAGGCAAAGGAGGAGCAAAGTCATGTCTTGCATGGCAGCAGGCAAGACAGAATGAGAGCCAAGTGAAAGGGGGAGCCCCTTATAAAAACAACAGATCTTGAGAGATTTATTCACTACCATGTGAACACTATGGGGGAACCTCCCCCATGATTCAATTATCTCCCACTGGGTCCCTCCCACAACACATAGGAATTATGGGAGCCACAATTCAAGGTGAGATTTGGGTGGGGACACAGCCAAACCATATCATTCCACCTCAGCCGCTGCCAAAGCTCATGCCTTCACATTTCAAAACCAATCATGCCTTCCTAATAGTCCCCCAAAGTCTTAACTCATTTCAGCATTAACTCAAAAGTCCATAGTCCAAAGTCTCATCTGAGATAAGGGAAGTTCCTTCCACCTATGAGCCTGTAAAATCAAAAGCAAGTTAGTTACTTCCTAGATATAATGGGGGTACAGGAATTGGATAAATACACCCATTCCAAACAGGAGAAATTGGTCAAAATGAAGAGGCTAAAGGCCCCATGCAAATCCAAAATGCAGCAGGGCAGTCAAATCTTAAAGCTCCAAAATGATCTCCTTTGACTCCATGTCTCACATCCAGGTCACGCTGATGCAAGAGGTGGGTTCCCATGGTCTTGGGCAGCTCCACCCCTGTGGCTTTGTAGGATACAGCCTCCCTCCCAGCTGCTTTCACAGGCTGGCATAGAGTGTCTGTGGCTTTTCCAGGCACACAGTGCACGCTGTGAGTGGATCTTTCATTCTGGGGTCTGGAGGCTGGTGGCCCTCTTCTAACAGCTCCACTAGACAGTGCCCCAGTGGGGACTTTTTGTCGGGGCTTCTACCCCACATTTTCCTTCCTCACTGCTCTAGCAGAGGTTCTCCATGAGGGCCCCACCCCTGCAGCAAGCTTTTGCCTGGACATCCAGACATTTCCATACATCCTCTGAAATCTAGGCAGAGGTTCCCAAACCTCAGTTCTTGACTTCTGTGCACCCACAGGCTCAACACCATGTGGAAGCTGCCAAGGCTTGGGGCTTGCACCCTCTGAAGCCATGGCCTGAGCTGTATCTTGGCCCCTTTTAGCCATGGCTGAAGTGGCTGGGACACAGGGCACCAAGACCCTAGGCTGCACATAGCAGGGGGGCCCTGGACATGGCCAGGAAACCATTTTTTCCTTCTAGGCCTGAGGGCCTATGATGGGAGGGGCTGCCTCAAATGTCTCTGACATGCCCTGGAGACATTTTCCCTATTATCTTGCCAATTAACATTTAGCTCCTCATTACTTATGCAAATTTCTGCAGCTGGCTTGAATTTCTCCTTGGAAAATTGGATTTTCTTTTCTATCACATGGCATCATCAGGCTGCAAATTTTCCAAACTTTTATGCTCTGTTTCCCTTTTAAAACTGAATGTTCTTAATAGCACCTAAGTCATCACTTGAATGCTTTGCTGCTTAGCAATTTTTTTCTGTCAGATGCCCTAAATCATCTTCCTCAAGTTCAAAGTTCCACGAACCTAGGGCAGGGGCAAAATGCCACCAGTCTCTTTGCTAAAACGTAGCAAGAGTCACCTTTACTCCAGTTTCCAACAAGTTCCTCATCTCCATCTGAGAGCACCTCAGCCTGGACTTCATTGTCCGTATCACTATCAGCATTTTTGTCAAGGCCACATTTTCCTGTCTTCTTCTGAGCCCTCCAAACTCTTCCAACCTCTGCCTGTTACCCAGTTCCAAAGTCGCTTCCGCATTTTCGGGTATCTTTATAGCAGCGCCCCACTCTATCAGTACCAATTTACTGTATTAGTCTGTTCTCACATTGCTAATAAAGACATACCTGAGACTGCATAATTTATAAGGAAAGAGGTTTAATTGACTCACAATTCCACGTGGCTGGTGAGGCCTCACAATCATGGTGGAAGGCAAAGGAGGAGCAAAGTCAAGTCTTGCATGGCAGCAGGCAAGGGAGAATGAGAGCCAAGTGAAAGGGGAAACCTCGTATAAAAACATCAGATCTCACGGACTTAACTCATTACAAGGAGAACAGTATGGGGAAACCAACCCCACGTTTCAATTATCTCCCACTGGGTCCTTTCTGTGACACATGGGAATTATGGGAGTTACAATTCAGGATGAGATTTAGGTGGCGACACAGGCAAACCATATAAAATTTATAGTGTGATAACATTTGAATAGTATTAATTAGTAGATATAGGTGATATGGTTTGGCTGTGTCCCCACCCAAATCTCATCTTGATTGTAATTCCCACGATTCCCACATGTTGTGGGAGAAACCTAATGGGAGGTGATTGAATTATGGGGGTGGGTCTTTCCTGCGGTGTTCTCATGATAGTGAATGAGTCTCACAAGATCTGATGGCTTTAAAAGGGGCGTTTCCCTGCACAAGCTCTCTTCTCTTGTCTGCCGCCATGTGAAACATGGCTTTCGCCTTCCACCTTGATTGTGAGGCCTTCCTGGCCACATGGAACTCTAAGTCCATTAAACCTCTTTCTTTTGTAAATTGCCCAGTCTCGGGTATGTCTTTATCAGCAACGTGAAAATGGACTAATATGATAGGTCATCTGGATTAAGATGCCATTAAACCCCTAGTGCAGAAGATGAAAGTGACTCTAGGTATATTTGCCTCATTCTTTAATAATTTTACATTCTCACAGTTTCACATTGTGCTGTGTCTACACAAATCCTAAGGATGTCATGAACAAACAATAAGGCAGACCAACCCTTGGTGATATGTATGTAGCTATGTTTTGTTTCATTTTAATGAATTTGTGGTCTTTAGAGATAATGGACAAAAGTAATTTATGGATGGACCTGGGGCCTGGAAGTCCAAGCCTTTTCCTGAAGAGGGAGGGGCCTACTCAAGGCATCCACTGTGGAGGACATCCCTGGTGACTGTAAACCTGTGGCATCTGGCTTGCTGGCTTTTGCCCTTTCCTTAGGGATCTGTCTGGCACCCACCATGGCTCTGGCTCTGGACTCATACCCCTCTTTTCATAAACCCTAACTGCATGGAAAGCATGTTGTAAACATGCTCATGTAGAAATGGAAACAACTCGAGAATTTGTATACTGGCCTTCCCTGGTGATTAATTTCAATTGGCAATAAAAGCCACAACCTAAAGGAACTGAATGTTTGAGGAATTCAAAGAGTCATTTCTATGGGGGCATGTGTGTGTGTACATGCACACATGTCTATGAATTAAGTTATACACAGACTTTGAATTTCACGGCCAGATGACCAGATTCTTCTCAAATCTGAAAAAAAAATACATTTAAAGTCTCACCCAATTGGGCACGCAGCTCTTTGAACAGTTTCTTCCAGCATTATGTCCCTATGCCCTGCAGCCTAATACCTTCTCAAGTTGATCTCCCCCCAGGCACAGCCTTGTTCCAGCCACACATTAACCCCTTGCCCTGTACTCTGCCCCCATCATCCTCATCCTGACTGAGAACTAAGCTCTGATTTTTTTAATCTTGCCCAAATTCCTATCTAAGGGGTCTGGAGGGTCATGCCCTATAAACCATAAATTCTCATCAGATGGGTTTTATTTAGCTCTATATATCATGAGTTACTTTGCAACCTGACTCTGGCATAACATTACAAGACAAGGAAGAAAATAAAAATATTTTACCCCAAAACATGTTTCTTTGCCATATCTTGAAATGGCCCTGCAAAGCTGTCCTTTGTGGGGGAAAATTTGCATCTGCGGAGAATCTCCATTAACATAGCTGGATCTTTTTCTTCCAGGTACCCCCGTGCCATCCCCCGCAATAGTAAAGATATTAACTAAAAGTCTAGCACCTTTTAAAGATCTGAATAGGAAACATGTGTCATCGGTTGTCTCTAAGGGCAGCCACTTCAAAAAGAACCTTGTTCTCCACAATCTTTTATCTTAACCTGAGCATTTCCTTTCTATCCATCCCAGGTCTTTAGACAAACTCAACCAATTGTCAACCAGAAAATGTTGGAAGTTCCCTCCTACCCCGCCCGCCTTTGAGTTGTCCGGCCTTTCTGGACCTAACCAATGTATTTCTTAAATATATTTGATTGATGTCTCATGGCTCTTTAAATGTATAAAAGCAAGTTGTGCCCCAACCCCGGCCACCTTGGGCACATGTTCTCAGGACCTCCTGAGGACTGTGTCCACAGGCCATGGTCACTTATATTTGGCTCAGAATAAATCTTTTAAAATATTTTACAGAGTTTGACTCTTTTCATCAACACGACTCAAAACCCTGTGACAAATCTTCCTTGTCTAAATTATTTGGCATAAGTTGTCTTCAAAGTATTGGTCTTAACCTACACTAGCAGCTTTAAAACACCCACTTTCCTAACTTTCTCCATGTTCCAGCTAAACTACGGGGTAAGTGTGAAGACGAGAGCTATCCAAAGACTGAACTTGGGTATGACAACATGTAGAGGTTTGGGAGATGAGGGGGATTCAACAATAACAAAGGGACATGGCCAATGAAGGAGAAGGAGAGCCCAGAGAGGGGTGCTGTAGAGGCCAAGAAAGCAGTTTTTCTTCCTGGAGAGGGACAGGAGCAGTGTGGTCTAATGCTGCTGATGTGTGAAATGAGATGAAGGCTGAGTGTTGCCCATTGGATCAGACAGTACAAGCTCATGGTGATCTCATTGGTAATCTTATAAAAGTAGCTTGGTGGAGTGTGAGGGCAGAAGCCTAATGAGAATGGATTGAAAGAATGTGGAATGAGATCATACCACACCCAGCAGGAACTTATTCTTAACTCAAGAATCACATGAGTTGTCCTTACTGATAGGAATTGGTGAAACAGAGACTCTCATATACTCCGTACAATCTTTCTTGATGAATACATAGATAGTGATGCAATGAGCCATGATTGTGTGTGATTGCATTTCATCCTGGGCAACAAAGCAAGACCCTGTTTAAAAAAAAAAAACCCTAAACAACAACAACAAAAACAAACACACACACAAAACCCTTTATGAATTTATCCTGATATAACCAGAAGCTTGGACACAAATTTTATGCACAGGACTTCTGTTGTAGTATTTGTAAAATGACAACTGGAAACAATCTCTGTATTTTGTTTTAAGAACATAGACTCCAGGAATTGTATTACTTATCCAATTGTACGGAAATAGAAAATGAGTAGCCCAAAATGGCCTATTAAATGTCCTTTAAGTATCGTGGATTTTTTTTCTTTTTTTTTTTTAAGTTAGAAATTGGCCGGTGTGGTGGCTCATGCCTGTAATCCCAGCACTTTAGGAAACTGAGGTGGGTGGATCACTTGAGGTGAGGAGTTCGAGACCAGCCTAGCCAACATAGCGAAACCCCCCATCTCTACTAAAAATACAAAAAATTAGCCGGGTGTGGTGGCACACGCCTGTAATCCCAGTGACTCCAGAGGCTGAGGCAGGAGAATCGCTTGAACCCGGGGAGACGGAGGTTGCAGAGAGCCGAGATCACACCACTGCACTCCAGCCTGGGTGACAGAGTGAAACTCTGTCTGAAAAAAAAAAAAAAGCTAGAAATTGATATTGGGAGATTCTCATGTATAATAAGTGAAAAGTCCACTATGACTATCCTGGTTGAAGCCACCATATCATCTCTCACTTGAAATGTTATACCTCTTAACAAATCTCCTTGCATTGTCTCTCTTCTGCCACGGTTCTATTCTCGACACTGCAGCAAATAGGATTATGGAATTATTTATTATTATTATTTATTTATTTTAGACAAAGTCTTGCTCTGTTGTCCAGGCTGGAGTGCAATGGCGTGATCTTGGCTCACTGCAACCTCTGCCTCCCGGGTGCAACCGATTCTCCTGCCTCAGCCTCCTGAATAGCTGGGATTACAGGCATGCGCCACCACGCCTGGCTAAGTTTTGTATTTTTAGTAGAGATGGGGTTTCACCATGTCGGCCAGGCTGGTCTTGAATGCCTGACCTCAAGTGATCCACCCGCCTTGGCCTCCCAAAGTGCTGGGATTATAGGCGTGAGCCATTGCAACCAGCCAGATTATGGAATTACTAATAAACATCTCTAAAGCGTGATCTTGCCACTTCACTGCTTGTGTAAGCCTTAAATGATCTCCATTTCTTGGTCTCCCATTCTGAATCCTTAATGAGACCTCCAAGGACCTGCGTGATCCACCCCCTTCCTGAACTCTGGCTTTCTTGCTGCCATATTCTGTGGCCACTCCCACTCCAGGTCTCTTGCTCATGACCAGGCTGTCTCCTCTGCTTCAATTGCTTTTTGTATTTCATTTCTGCTCCAGGCCAGCTTAACTCTCGCTCATTCCTCAGGCCCAAGTTTATACTTCTGTTCCCTGACTCTTTTATGTCCTGAATCAACTTGGTCACAAGTGAACCCAAATTGGTTCAGGTAACTGCAAAGTCCAGGGGTTAGCATCAGGTTTGATGTAGGCCTCAAAAAGTGTCACTAGGACCTGTGTGTCTCTCCACCTCTTAGTCCAATCCTTGGTGTTGGCTCCATAGAGAAGCTCAGCCTTCATGGTGCTAAACTGGCTGCAGCAGCTGCAGCTTCTGCCTTCACATTCAAGCCTAACAGGAAGAGTGGATGCACTCCAAGAGGGTTCCACAAAATGTCCCAGAATTTAGTCTTTTTTTTTTTTTTTCTGAGACAGAGTCTCACTCTGTCGCTTAGGCTGAAGTGCAATGGTGCAATCTCAGCTCACTGCAACTTCTGCCTCCCAGGTTCAAGTGATTCTCCTGCCTCAGCCTCCTGAGTAGTTGGAATTACAGGTGCCCACCACCATGCCCAGCTAATTTTTGTGTTTTTAGTAGAGATGGGGTTTTGCCATTTTGGTCAGGCGGGTCTCGAACTCCTGACCTCAGGTGATCCGTCCGCCTCGGCCTCCCAAAATGCTGGGATGACAGGCGTGAGCCACCGCGCCCAGCCCAGAATTTAGTCTTATTGGCTTGAATTATTTGACTCTGGGAATATGCTTATTTTAGAACCAATCATTATTGCTGTGGGAAAGCAATATTCTGATTGGCCAGGAGAGCATCATGTGCCACCCCTAAAGTTAAGAGTCTATGTGTGGGTTGGCTCCCCAAACCCAAACTGAAAATTACAGGAAGCAGGGGAATGGATGCTGGAGAGGCAAACAGGAAATGTCCACCAGCAATTTCTTTGTTGCATGTTTGCTGGCATCTTATCCTTTCCTTTCAGAGCATTCATGATAATTAAACATTTATGTATGTTATTATTTATTTCATATTTGTCTTCCCCCATAACACTGTACATCCACCCTGAGAGGGACCACGACTCCTCTCTTCACTGTTCTATGCCCAGTGCGAAGCACAGTTCTTATCACAGAGTAGATGTTCAAACAATATTTGTTCCATAACTATGCTACTACAAGAAACCCAGTAGGATGCAAAAGAGTACATACAGTAGGTGTCTCAGTCCGTTCATGCTGCTATAACAGAATGCCTGAGACTGGATAATTTATAAGGAATAGAAATTGATTTATCACCGAGCATGGTGGCTCATGCCTGTAATCTCAGCAATTTGGGAGGCTGAGGCGGGCGGATCACGAGGTCAGGAGATCGAGACTATCCTGGCCAACATGGTGAAACCCCATCTCTACTAAAAAAATACAAAAATTAGCTGGGCATGGTGGCACGCCTTTGTAATCCCAGCTACTTGGGAAGCTGAGGCAGGGGAATCCCTTGAACCCGGGAGGCGGAGGTTGCAGTGAGCCAAGATTGCACCACTGCACACCAGCCTGGTGACAGAGCAAGACTCTTGCTCAAAAAAAAAAAAAAAAAAAAAAATTGATTTCTCACAGTTCTGGAGGAGGCTGGAAGTCCAAGATCAAGGCATCAGCAGGTTCAACGTCTGGTGAGGACTCAGTCTCTATTCCAAGATGGTGCCTTGTTGCTGCATCCTCCAGGGGGGCGAAAGTTGAGTCCTCACGTGGTGGAAGGGATGGAAGGCTAAAAAGGGACTGAGCTAGTTTCCTCCAGCCTTTTGGTAAGGTACTAATCCATTAATCCACTAATCATCACTTCTCCAAAGGCCCCACCTCTTAAAACTACCACAGTGGGGATTAAGTTTCAACATGAAATTTAGAGGGAACTCTCATTCAAACTACAGCAGTAGAATTTCAATTTTGGTTTTAAAAACAAAATTTCAGCTGGGCACGGTGGCTCACGCCTGTAATCCCAGCACTTTGGGAGGCTGAGGCAGGTGGATTGCTTGAGCTCAGGAGTTCAGCACCAGCCTGGGCAACATGGCAAAACCCTGTCTCTAAGAAAAATATAAAGATTAGCCAGGTGTGGTGGTGCATGCCTGTAGTCCCAGCTACATGGGGGGCTGAGGCAGGAAGATCACTTGAACCAGGGAGGTCAAGGCTGCAGTGAGGTGAGATCATGCTATTGCACTCCAGCCTGGGAACCAAAGTGAGACCCTGCACACACACACACACACACACACACACACACACACACACACACACACACACAATCTTTCTGTCCTTTTCTATCTCTATAGAATACAAATATGCAAGGAAATAAACCAAATATAACAATAGTTATTTCTTATTGGTAGAATTAGTATTATTATTATTTGGAGACACAGTCTTGCTCTGTGCCCAGTGGCACAATCTCGGCTCACTGCAACCTCTGCCTCTCGGGTTCAAGCAATTCTCTTGCTTCAGTCTCCTGAGTAGCTGGGATTACAAGCATGCGCCACCACACCCGGCTAATTTTTGTATTTTTAGTAGAGACAGGGTTTCACCATGTTGGCCAGGCTGGTCTCGAACTCCCGACCTCAGGCATCCACCTGCCTCAGCTTCCCAAAGTGCTGGAATTACAGGCGTGAGCCACCTCACCTGGCCTCTTGTTGGCAGAAATAGAGTAAGGTTTTATTTTATTTTTATGTTTTATTTTTTGAGATGGAGCTTTGTTCTTGTTGCCCAGGCTAGAGTGCAATAGCGTGGTCTCAGCTCACTGCAACCCTTGCTTCCTGGGTTCAAGAGATTCTCTTGCCTCAGCCTCCCAAGTAGCTGTGATTACCGGCATCCACCACTATGTCTGGCTAATTTTTGTATTCAGTAGAGATGGGGTTTCACTATGTTGGCCAGGCTAGTCTCGAATTCCTAACCTCAGGTGATCCGCTAGCCTCAGCCTCCCAAAGTGCTGGGATTAGAGGGGTGAGCCACTGTGCCCAGCCTAGAGTGAGGTTTTAAAATAACACTTTTCTGTGTTTTCCAAATCTGCAATGAACCTATATTATTTTATAATTAAAAATTTTCTGAAAATATTCTTTAGAAATATATTAAGTAGAGTTTTTCCATTTGGAATAATAGGCCCTCTTTTGAAAAGTAAAGGGGGTTTCTAAAGAGCATAAGGCCTCATACTAAAAGTTTCACCATGACAAGATGAATTTCTGAATGCTGCAGAAGGGATTACTGGAGATGTTGATTACTTAAGACATTAATAAGAGGGCATTAAAGAACAGCAGGACCAGGCTTCAATTAATGCCTGTGAAGGCACTGCATAAGCCGACTTTGAAGTTGGCCTCTCCTTTGCTTCTTTCAGTTTCTTAAACTCACAGCTTGATCTATCTCAATTTCTGTGAAGTCAGTATTTTGGTTTATAGATTATTATTATTTTACTTTATTATCAGGTCCCTAACTTGCTCTTCTCCCTTGCTGTGGACTTGATGGTGGCTTTTGCTGCATTCTCTCTGCATCTTCTGCTAATATTTAAATATAGAATGATCTGAGAAGTGAAACTCCTAAATCAAGTTGACCAAATGCCAGGGCATTGTTTTATGAGTAAATGTACACACACAGAATCACATGCACCAGCTCATAAACAACCTAACCGGAACCATGTAACACACTGTACTTGTCTTCTAGGACATTAGATTTTGAATCTAAAAGCCTCTTTAGGATCTGACCAGGGAACTCCTCTTTAGACTGGTACATCTTGAGTGATAGGGCCTCTGGGTCCTCCCTGGGGTTTTGCTATTTGTGGGCCACGTGTGGAGTCAGGAGTTTGAACAGAAGCAAAGATGGGATACAGAAGTCAAGACTAAGGCTGGGTGTGGTGTCCCATGCTTGTAATCCCAGCACTTTGGGAGGCCAAGACAGGAGGATCCGTTGAGGCCAGGGATTCTCGAGATCAACCTGGGCAACATAGTAAGATCCCATCTCTACAGAATTTTTTTTTTAAAGGAGAAGTCAAAGCTTAAAAATGCATGTTATTCTTCTGAGACAAATGACTGATGAAATAAACACTGCTTAACTCTCACTGTTGCGTTCTGAGTAGGTCTGTCAGGGGTAGGGCTTTAGGGGGAACCATCTTGAATCTTAGTGCCTTGATTCTAGGCTTATCCCTGCCTCTTATTAGCTTCTTTTTACACTTAGTTTATTATTATTATTTTTAAAATAGAGATGGGGTCTTCCCATGTTGCCCAGACTGATCTCAAACTCCCGAACTTAAGCAGTCCTCCTGCCTCGGCCTCCCAAAGCGCTGGGATTACAAGCCTGAGCCACTGTGCCCGGCCTGCCTCTTATTATTGCTGTTGAGCCTCTGAGCCTCAGGCTTTCATCTGTACCATGGCCACAGTGCTTCCTTTCTTACGGATTGTTTTGGGGGCAGCCAAGATAACCCTGTGAAGTGTCCAGCTCACTGCAGGCCTCCCTCTTCGGTGATTTGGGGTATGGTGTGAGAATCTGGAGGAAAAAACACTGGGTGGCAGAGGCCCCAGAGAGCATCCTCTGCCCATCTCAGCCAGGCCAGGAGGAAAGGCAAAGGACACTAATAATTTTTAAGTTACCTGCCCCCCTCAACCTCTACATCTTTAATTACACCCCCTCCAACCATAAGCCACACAGTAAGGGAAACTTCTCCTGCTTTATTTTTTTTAATTTTTATTTTTTGAGATGTAGTTTAGCTCTTGTTGCCCAGGCTGGAGTGCAATGGCACAATCTCGGCTCACTGCAACCTCCATCTCCCAGGTTCAAGCCATTCTCTTAGCCTCCCAAGTAGCTGGGCTTACAGGCATGTGCCACCATGCCTGGCTAATTTTTTGTATTTAGTAGAGACAGGGTTTCACCATGTTAGTCAGGCTGGTCTCAAACTCCTGACCTCAGGTGATCCACCTGCCTCAGCCTCCCAAAGTGCTGGGATTACAGGCATGAGCCATCGCTCCTGGCCTTTCCTGCTTTAATATTTGACTTAACTGTCATGGCAAGAGCACTGAGATGATTTCTTTAGCTTTTTTTTTTTTTTTTCCTTTTTTCTTCTGCGAGAATCTCGTAGTGTCGTCCAGGCTGGAGTACAGTGGGGATCTCGGCTCACTGCAAACTCCGCCTCCAGGGTTCAAACAATTCTCCTGCCTCAGCCTCCTGAGTAGCTGGGATTATAGGCACCCGCCACCACACCCAGCTAATTTTTGTATTAGGGGTTTCACCATTTTGGCCAGGTTGGTCTTGAACGCCTGACATCAGGTGATCCCCCCGCCTCAGTCTCCCAAAGTCCTGGGGTTACAGGCATGAGCCACGGCGCCTGGCCTGAGATTTCTTTAGCTTTGTAATTCACCTTTAGTAATTCCATTTCTTTCCCACTAGCAAAGAAACCCTTACAGCACAAGGCTCTGGATGGTGGCACAGAGCTGGGCCCTGCCCTGAAGTTACCTAGAAAGGAGGAGAAGCACAAAGATTAGATTCTATCTAGTTAGATAAAGCATGATGTACTGAGAAAGGGAAGGAACAGACCCTGGGGGAAGAACATAGGAGTTAAAAAGTAGCTGTCCTAGATTCACTTTTCTTTCAGGAAGCAAAATCATCCCATCGCCTGGGGTTTAACTGTTGTCAAATAGTCCTCTTCCAATGCCCCCGGCAGAATGCCACAAGTCCAGGTTTGAGAGCTTTGAGGCTGGAGGCTGTGGCTCTCCTGGGGGCTTGCAGTGATGCCCTAATGTAGAGAACACTCATTGCCTCTGGCCCCTGCCCACCTCTAGGCCTCCTGGCACTTAACTCACATAGAGGCCTTTTTTGAAGTGTTTCCAGAAGGACTTTTTTTTCTTCTTCTTCAGAGCGCTGGCTTCTCACATCCAAGTCTTCTGTCACCTCCCCAGGGGGCACTTACCTGACCACTCAGCTAAATCAATGTAGCTTCCCTGTGCCCATCCGAGGAACTCAAATATCTCCTTCTTAGCACTCATCTTAATTTCTTATATTTTATTTACTTGTTTATTATGTGTTGTCCCACAAGAGACGTAAGCTCCAGGAGACAGACCACCTGTTTGTTCCCAGCTGGGTCCCCCAGGCTCCTGTTGTAGGGCCTGGCCTAGAGTGATGAATATTTGCAGTGTGAATGCAGGGGTGGATGGAGTTTCCCATATTTTCAGTCACCTGGGTGGGCCTACATCCCTAGGAAGGTACACAACACATCCTGGGAAGGACTTTCACTGATTTGGGGTTCCAGGGACCACCCAGGAAATGACATTTTTTTTTTCAGACTGAGTCTCACTCTGTTACCTAGGCTGGATGATCTCAGCTCACTGCAACCTTTGTCTCCCGGGTTCAAGCGATTCTCTCCTGCCTCAGCCTCCCTAGTAGCTGGGACTACAGGCGTGTGCCACCACGCCCAGCTAAATTTTGTATTTTTAGTAGAGACGGCGTTTCACCATGTTGGCCAGGCTTGTCTCGAACTTCTGGTCTCAAGCGATCCGCCCACCTGGGCCTCCCAAAGTGTTGGGATTACAGGCATGAACCATCACGCCTGGCCCAGGAAATGATTCTTAACTTTTGCAGGGTCTAGGATCTCTTTAGCTATTTGATAAAACCAGTGGACTCCCTTTCTCAAAAACATGAATATGCATTAAAAACTCTGCTTACATCTAGTCTATCTGGTAAATATAATTAAAAGAAAAAAGAAAAAACTCTGTTTACAGCTTGGGGGTTTAGAGACTCTCAACGCCCTAGATTTAAGAAAAGTCAAGGGGAGGAGAGATTGGAGAACGAACTTTCTACACCACAACTTCTTAGGAGAGACTTCTTAAAAGGGGGTCGTGCTGCCGGGCGCAGTGGCTCATGCCTGTAATCCCAGCACTTTGGGAGGCCGAGGCGGGTGGATCACCCTGAACGCAGGAGGCGGAGGTTGCAGGGAGCCGAGATCGCCCCACTGCACTCCAGACGGGGCGACAGAGCGACACTCCGTCTCTAAATAAATAAATAAATAAATAAATAAATAAATAAATAAATAAATAAATGGGGGCCTGCTTAAAATGATCTTTGCCCTTAGACTGCAGAGCTTACTTTTTAAAAAGTGAAATGGGGGCAGAAGGGGATAAGAAAACGCTTCTAGTTCTTTCTCTTCCAACTGCTCCCTCCCTAGGAGGCTTAGGATAAGGCAGCCCCCGGCACTTTCTGCGAGTGTATCGGAAGTATCTTTGCCAGGTTTGATAAACGTTTGCGGAAGGAATACAGGACACACTCGCGCGGCAGAATCGCGAAAAGTCCCCGGTGTTCTCCGCGCAGGGAGTTCCCCGCGCAGGGAGTTCCTAGCGGGCCACGCGCTCTCGCCTGACCACCCGCGCCGAGCTGCGGGCTGTCGGGGTACAGACGCCCGCGCGCGCAGGTGCATTCGCTCCAGGTGCGGCCGGCTCGGGGCGGGAACAGCTGCAGCCGAGGCGGGGGCGGGGAGGGGGTACAGAGGAGAGGCAGAAAGGAGGGAAGAGGAGGAGGAGGAGGAGAAGGGAGGAGAAAGGGGAAAGGAAGAAAGAAGGAGAGCAGGAGGGCGAGGAGCGGGGGGAGCGGGGAGGAGGGCGCGGGGAGGAGGCAGCGGGGAGGAGCGTGCAGGGAGGAGGCAGCCGCGCTGGGAGGAGTCTGCACACTTTCAGTGCCAGGGCATTGTGGGAAGCAGCCATGGTCTAAGCCGGGCGCCTCACCTGTCAGCCGCACCGGCTCCAGCGCTCGCCTCTCGCCCTCGCTTCTCCAGCGCTCCTTGCTCGCAAGGCGGGGGAGGCGGCGGCCCAGCCACGATGGTGAGTGCGGGGGAACCGCCGGCCCGGGTAGGCGGTGGGGGCGCTCGCGCTCCGGGGAGGCACCTGGGGCGTCCGGGCCGGGCGCGCGGCCGGGTGGGGGTGCGGGCCGAGTCCCGCCTGGCCACCCGAACCGTGCGTCCCTGTGGCCCCGCTGCCCCAGACGGTGCGGACGCGCCAGGATCGCTTGCCCGGGATTCCTGCGGCAACGCGGCGCCGCGGCGCCGCGGCTCCATTCATTCATTCGATCCGCCTTAGCCGAGTGCTTAGTCTGTGCCGGGCTCGGTGCTGGGCGCTGGGGATGTCGCGGGGGACCAGGAGGAGCCCCTGTTCTCCAGGAAGCTTACCTTCCAGGAGGGGGATGCGGAGGGAGGGACACGTCCAATATACAAGTAAAATGAAGAGAACTTCTAAAGTAAGAAGCGCTGTAAAGTCTCAAATACAACCGGGTGGAGTGGCAACTTTTGATTTGGCAAAGCCTCTTCAAGGACATGACATTCTAGCTGCTGGAGGTCCTGGAGGGGCGCTACAGGTGGATTAGAGAGAGCAAAGCGGAGGGGAGAAGGCCTTGTTTGTGGCAGGAGAGGTGGGCTTCTGCCAGGTGAGGCGGGTTTTTATAGGCCAAAATAAGGAGTTTGGTTTTGGTTCCAACTGAGTAGGGGAAACCTCGGGGACGTTTTAGCAAGAAAACTGACCTTACCCGTTGTGCACTTTTGTTTTTTTGAGACTGATCTCGCTCTGTCGCCCAGGCTGAAGTGCAGTGGTGTGGTCTCGGCTCTGCCTCCCGGGTTCAAGCGATTCTCCTGCCTCAGCCTCCCGAGTAACGGGGATTACAGGCGTGTGCCACCACACCCAGCTAATTTTTGTATTTTTAGTAGAGACGGGGTTTCACCATGTTGGCCAGGCTGGTCTCGAACTCCTGACCTCAGGTGATCCGCCTGCCTCGGCCTCCCAAAGTGTAGGGATTACAGGGGTGAGCCACTGCACCCGGCATGGTGTGCAGTTTGGCTGTGGTTGGAGAATGGACTGGGGTGTGTAAGGGCAGGGGATAGGGGGTCAGGTTGGAAGCTGAGGCCGGCCGCAGCCCTGCTGATGAGAGATCTGGTGACCTGCACTTGGGTGGAAGCGATAGCTCAGGCTCCTCTTGCTCTTGCCTGCTGTTTAGGGGCAGCCTTTTAAGAGTGTGGTGGTCTGAACGTCACTAGTCCCACTTCCCCAAGTGTGTTACCACTTCCCAAATCCGCAGAAGGGAAGTGACCTGCACCCTGTGGGCCCACCGGAGGCAGGAGTGGGTGGGCCACGTGGGCTAAGAAAGTTGATCAACAAAGAGAGCCGGGGAGTGCTGAGCACCTGGCCAGCAAGACCGCAGTTGCTGGTTTCTGTTAAAGGTTTGGCTGCACACACTAGCGGCATCATTTTTGTCTGTTGAGGGTTCCTTGTAAATACAGCGTGATGCAAAAACAATGCTGTAAATAATGGAGCAGGTTTCTTGGCTTGCTCAAGTTTCCCAAGGAACAAGGTGACAGATGCCCAGTCCACCAGTGTAATTTGCCTAACAGAGGCTGGAATAAGGCCCTGCGTTTCTGAGTCATCAAAGGCTGCTTTTGTGCTGAGGAATGGGCCAAGGTTTGGTCTATAAGGAAAAGCTGCTCCTCTGGACAATACCTGTGGTGGAGTTTTATTTTTTCTTGCTGGTGTCATATGTGTGATGAGTTGATCAGAAATGTGGGAAGTTTCTCCAGCTTTTCTACCAGTTTTTGCTAAATGGGAAACATTATTATTATTTTTTTTTCTTCGAGACGGAATCTTGCTCTGTCACCCAGGCTGAAGTGCAGTGGCATGATCTTGGCTCACTGCAACCTCCATCTCCCGAGTTCAAGCAATTCTCCTGCCTCAGCCTCCTAAGTAGCTGGGATTACAGGCGCCCGCCACCACGCCTAGCTAATTTTTGTATTTTTAGTAGAGACGGGGTTTTGCCATGTTGGCCAGGCTGGTCTCAAACTCCTGACCTCGTGATCCACCTGCATCGGCCTCCCAAAGTGCTGGCATTACAGGCATGAGCCACCGCACCTGGCGGGGAAACATTAATGTTATTGGGCATTTGTGATAAGACAAGCAGGATGTCCTGCTCTTTATATTCACGATCTCATTCAATCCTTGCAACAAACAATTGAGGTTAAATCTGTTATGCTCATTGCATTTTAGCTACTCTGAGCTATTCTAGCAGTATGGCCTTGGACAATTCCTTGACCTCTCTGTCTCAGTTTGCCCATTTGAAAAATGGAGATAATATCTCCTAACTCATAAGGCAGAGGTTCTGAAAGTGTGACCTGGGTACCCCCAGCAGTCCCCAAGACTTTTACTGGAGGTCTGCAAGGTCAAAACTATTTTCATAATAATACTAAGATATTAATTTTCCCATTTCATTCTCATTCTCACAAGACTACAGTGAAGTTTTCTTGTGTCTACATAAGCTGAGATAGTACAACAGATTGAACACAGATGCAGATAGGAAAGTCCAACTGTCTTTGATAAGCCCAGACATTAAGGAGATTTGCAAAATTGTAAAACAGTGCCATGCTTTTCACTAATTTTTTTTTTGCTTTGGAAAAATATTGTTATTGGTCATAAAAATGTTATTTATGTTTAATGTGTAATAGGTTTACTATTGTTTTTTCTTTTTATTTATTTATTTTTGAGACAGGGTCTCTGTGTCGCCCAAGCTGAGTGCAGTGGTGTGATCACAGCTCACAGCAGCCTCAACCTCCTAGGCTCCAGCAACCCTCCTACCTCAGCTTCTTGAGTAGCTGGGACTGTAGGCATGTCCCACCATGCCCAGCTATTTATTTATTTATTTATTTTGAGACAAGGCTTGTTCTATCACCCAGAGTAGAGTGCAGTAGCATGAACATGGCTTACTGCAGCCTCAACCCAGTGGACTCAAGGCATCCTCCTACCTCAGCCTTCCATGTAGCTGGGACCACAGGTGTGTGCCATCATGCCCAGGTAATTTTTTGATTTTTGTATAAATGAGGTCTTACTTTGTTGCCTAGGCTGGTCTTGAACTCCTGAACTCATGTAATATTCCCACCTTGTCCTCCCAAAGTGCTGAGATTATAGGCATGAACAATTGGGCCCAGTGGAATTTTTTACTTTTTGTAGAAATGAAGCCTACCTATGTTGCCCAAGTCGTATTATTTTAAAATATGTTAATATCTATTTTTTCATTTTAATTTCAAATACAATAAATATCAGTGGATATAACCCACATAAACAAAAAGGTCTTTGGGATTGGCAGGCGGATCACCTGAAGTCAGGAATTTGAGACCAGCCTGATCAACATGGAGAAACACTGTCTCTACTAAAAATACAAAATTAGCTGGGTGTGGTGGCGCATGCCTATAATCCCAGCTACTTGGGAGGCTGAGGCAGGAGAATCGCTTGAACCCGTGAGGTGGAGGTTGTGGTGAGCCAAGATCGTGCCATTGCACTCCAGCCTGGGCAACAAGAACAAAACTCCATCTCAAATAAATAAATAAATAAATAAATAAATAAATAAATAAATAAAAAGAGTGTAAAGGCATCCAAAAAGTTTCATAATCACTGTCCCGGAGTTTAACAGGTACCATAAGTGAATGCGTGTGAAGGCGCTTCAAACAGCTTTGCCATTGTAAATGCTCAGTAACCATCACCTCTCCTCTGTTATTACCTTCAAGTTGTAAGAAAGAATTGGCGGCCCTCGCTAGTGCCCAGCTGCTCTGAGACCTTTGTTGAGGCTCACTGTGTAACTCCCTGTCTTTCCTGCTGCTTCATTCCTGACTTTTGCTGACTTTTATGCTAGGAAACTGGTAGATGCTTACTGGCAGATCTAGGCACCTAGTACTTTACACACAGAAAATGGTTCTTGATTCCATGGTGCCAGTGACCCTGGTTTCTGGCACAGAGATTTCATATCTGGTGCATGTTGGGACTGTGTTTGTATCTGGATCACACTGTTTGAAGCAACTGTGTACTCCATCTCACCTTTTAGAAATCTCTACCTTGGAAAACAGTGTTAGGGCTATTGCACTTCAGGAATCCCACGAGCTGAGCCCAGTGTGTTTAAAAAGGCTTATGGGGCAGAATGTACTGTTGAATGGTTGGCAATGAAGGAGGATTATGTTGTTTATGTATGTATGTATGTATGTATGTATGTATGTATGTATGTATTTTGCCTTTAACAAGATAGCTGTGGGGATGTATACAGTGACATTTGAAATGCTTTGGGGGTACTTTTAATAAAAGCACAAGTGGACTTTGATGTATGTAGTCCATGTGCTTCTGAAAAGTTGAGGTGACACAAAACCACATTGTGAACAAAACAGTAGAGCCACCCATTGAAAGAAACTCAAATGTTGATCCCTTTGGAAACATGAATAACCGTCTTTTTGTGTTGCAAATTCCGTTCTCATAATGTATGTTATTTATGTAAAGTAGGATAGATTTATGCTAAAAAAAAATCAAGGATTTTTTTTGGGTGTACGATTTAAAATCTGACTTGAGAGAATTTACCAAACAGAACTGGAAAGCCATTTCTTATTCAGAAGATATTTAAGTTTGAAATAGTAGGAGTACACCCTTCTCCTAAAAAAAAAAAAAAAAAAGAAAAAAGAAAAAAAATTCCTTTGTTCATTTTAATCTCAGGGAGTTGTTGAGGGTGAGGGTGGAAAAACCGAACTATGAACCTGTAGGTCCTGCCACGCCCCCTTCCCCTTCTGTATCAATTTTATGTTCTGAAGCTTGAATGAATTGTAATAAGCATGTAATGATTTTGGCAATTTAAGTTCCAGTTTGAGGGTGAAGCGGTCTATTACACTAATGAGTGCTTTCCTCCTCGGAGACTTGGTCTAGGCTGCTGGCCAGCAGTTAGTGTAAGATCGAGGGCTTTGGGATCAGGGGAGAAATGACCCTTTGTGGTGTTCAGTTGTCCCAAGAGGGCTCTCCTCCACTGGCCCTTCCCACAGGTCTCCCAAAAACACCAGTGAGACTTGTATTTACTCCTCACCAGGATTGTTACTACCGAGTTTCTATCACTCGTTTTGTTTGTTTGTTTGTTTGTGGTGAGTATTGTCAGCTGCTGATAACTTTTGTGTGGCATTTTGCCAACAACAGCTGTAAGGAAGCAGCACACTGTGTATTTGCTGAACGGTGTTGTCAATGTCTGCCCTTTTGGGTCCCGTGAATTATTTCATTTTAAGACATAATGATAAAATTACTCCCCTTTCCAACACACACACACACACACACACACACACACACACACACACACACACACAGAGAGAAAACTCCTTTAATAATCCCCAGAATAAGTCCTTTTTTTGATTTTTTTTTTTTTGAGACGGAGTCTTACTCTGTCTCCCAGGCTGGAGTGCAGTGGCACGATCTCTGCTCACTGCAAGCGCTGCCTCCCGGGTTCACGCCATTCTCCTGCCTCAGCCTCCTGAGTAGCTGGGACTACAGGCTCCCGCCACCATGCCCAGCTAATTTTTTTGTATTTTTAATGGAGATGGGGTTTCACCGTGTTAGCCAGGATGGTCTTGATCTCCTGACCTCGTGATCTGCCCGCCTCAGCCTCCCAAAGTGCTGGGATTACAGGCATGAGCCACCGTGCCCGGCCAACAGAACAAGTACTTCTTGATGTCTTCATGAATTGTCCTTTTGATATTGTTTTGTTGTTACGATAGCCAGTGTTTCTCCCAGAGACCTGAAACTTCACTGTGGTTCTGTGGTTCATTTCTTCCCTGGGGCCTGTCTTTTTCTCTCTCAGAGTCTCCCTTTCTGGTATACCTAGTTTTCCCCGATACTTTCTCTGTTTAACCTGAAGTATCCAGGAAAACTCCCTTTAAACCATTTGAAGCTCCCCCATAATCTATGACATGAAAGAATGTACACAAATGTCAGAGGCAAATGCTCCTAAATTCTCTCAGTGGCATATGAAACTATCCAGCCAGCACCCTGACTAAGGAAATGTATTTCTTGACCGGGCACGGTGGCTCACGCCTGTAATCTTAACACTTTGGGAGGCCAAGGTGTGTGGATTGCTTGAGTCTGGAAGTTCGAGACCAGCCCAGGCAACATGGCGAAACCCCATCTCTAGAAAAAATACAGAAAGTATTAGCTGGGCGTGGTAGTGCACCCATGTAGTCCCAGCTATTTGAGAGGCTGAGATGAGAGGATCACCTGAGCCCAGGAAGTCAAGGCTGCAGTGAGCCATGATTGTGCCACTGCACTCCAGCCTTGGTGACAGAGTGAGATCCTATCTCCAAAAGAGAAAGGGGCCAGGGTTGGAGGCTCATGCCAGCACTTTGGGAGGCTGAGGAGGGAGGATTGCTTGAGCCCAGGAGTTTGAGACCAGTGAGACTCAGTCTCTATTAAAAAGAAAAAAAAATGTATTTCTTGTATCGCTGCTAGCAATAAGGTAAATTAAAAATCTTAACAATGAAAAGGGGATACTGAAAATCATTCAAGTTAGAAATAGAATGTTATCGACAATCATGAGGAAACTGGCCTCTGCCAACATCCCTCTTCTAAAAACTTTCCTACAGGCATCTCTGGGCTCTGAAATTCCTGGCTCTCAGTAGCTTCTGAAACTTTAGTCTTTCAGTGCGATGGGGCATGGACCTAGTACAGTCAGTTAAGAATAAGTGCACAAGAGATTCTGTATTTAATGTCCTTGTTGGATCTTCTCTAACAGGATTTTCTGGGCTGGTAAGAAATGATTGGTGTGGGTTGAAGCTCAGTGGACACTGAAATGCTACAGGAGACTTCCTTCCACACTGGGTATATCAAAGATGAGGAATGAAGGCATGGTTTGCAAACTGGGGTGCCCATACCTTCTGCGTACTCATCCTTGTAGACAGGGGTTGTCAAGGGATAAATTTGACTCATCCCTGGAGTATTGTTCAGAATGATAATTTTTTTTTTTTTTTTTTTGAGAGAGAGTCTCACTCTGTCACCCAGGCTGGAGTGCAGTGGCGTAATCTCGGCTCACTGCAACCTCTGCCTCCCAGGTTCAAGCAATTCTCCTGCCTCAGTCTCCTGAGTAGCTGGGACTACAGGTGCATGCCAACACGCCCGGCTAATTTTTGTATTTTTGGTAGAGATAGGGTTTCACTATGTTGGCCAGGCTGGTCTTGAACTCCTGACCTCAAGTGATCTGCCTGCCTCGGCCTCCCAAAGTGCTAGGATTATAGGTGTGATCCACAGCGCCCAGCCGAGAAAATATTTTTGTATTAACACACTAATATATTTGGCTCCCGGATGCAAAATTCATACATACAAACCCTAAGACATATATTGTTTATGGCTTGCAGCTTAGGCTACCCTCCTGGTCTCATGAGGCCACCTGCCTTTCCTGCTGTTACAGTTATTTGGATAGAAAATTTGGAGAGACAATTTACTAAAGCAGGGGACAGTGAACTTTCTCCGTAAAAGGCCAGATAGTAAATATTTTAGGCTTTGTGGACCCTACAGTCTTTCAGTATTCCTCAACTCTTCTGTTGTAGAGTGAAAGTGCCACGGACAAGACACAAATGGATGGAGCTGTGTTTTTTTGTTTTTTTTTTGTTTTTTTTTGAGATGGAGTCTCACTCTGTTGCCCAGGCTGGAGCACAGTGGTGTGATCTCAGCTCACTGCAACCTCTGCCTCCTGGGTTCAAGTGATACTCCTGCCTCAGTCTCCCAAGTAGCTGGGATTACAGGTGCCCACCACCTTACCCAGCTAATTTTTAACTTTTTTTTGAGATGGAGTTTCATTCTTGTTGCCCAGGCTGGAGTGCAATGGTGTGATCTTGGCTTATCACAACCTCTGCTTCCTGGGTTCAAGTGATTCTCCTGCCTCAGCCTCCTGAGAGACAAGGTTTCTCCATGTTGGTCAGACTGGTCTCGAACTCCCGACCTCAAGTGATCTCCCCCGCCTTGGCCTCCCAAGCTAATTTTTGTATTTTTAGTAGAGATAGGGTTTTGCCACGTTGGCCAGGCTAGTCTTGAACTCCTGACCTCAGGTGATCCTCCCGCCTTGGTCTCCCAAAGTGTTGGGATTATAGACATGAGCCACTGTGCCTGGCTGGAGCTGTGTTTTAATAAAACTTTATTTACAACAACAGGCAGAAGGCCAGATTTGGCCTGTAAGTCATGGCTTATTGACCCATTTTCTAGGGCAGCTTCCACTAACTCATCATAGGTATATTGGACAAATAATTTGGATGCCTGCCCCATGACAGGCAGGACTGGCTACCTAATTTGCAGTGCCCAGTGCAAAATGAAAATGCAGGGTCCTGGCTGGGTGCAGTGGCTCATGCCTGTAATCCCAGCACTTTGGGAGGCCAAGGCTGGTGGATCACCACGTCAGGAGTTCAAGACCAGCTTGGCCAAGATGGTGAAGCCCCATCTGTACTAAAAATACAAAAACTAGCTGGGTGCAGTGGCAGGCGCCTGTAATCCCAGCTAGTCGGGAGGCTGAGAATCGCTTGAACCCGGAGGGTGGAGGTTGCAGTGAGCCGAGATCGCGCCACTGCACTCCAGCCTGGGTGACAGAGTGAGACTCAGTCTCAAAAAAATAAAATAAAAATAAAATGTAGGATCCCTTTTTCAAAGTTTACCAGGAATTTCAAGATAGTGACAGCAGAGCATTAAACCAAGTTTTGGGTCCTTCTGAATGCAGGGCTTCTCCATGTAATGACCCTGTGTCCACAGAAACCAGCCATGGGTCTGGGCCTCAGAGAGTGTGTTGAACAAGCCAGAAGCCACCTGCTTGCACGGAGCTCACATTCTTGGTGAGGAGTTCTCTCAACTCTGTAAATATTTTGGATCAATCACACAGGAGAAGAATTTGATATTAAGCATTCTTGAGTCATCTCAGTTTTATTTCCTGGGAAGTTGCAGGTGGGCCATGTGGGGACCCAGATGTGGCACATGGGGTAGGGGGCAGTGTTGGCCTTGACAAAAAATTAGCTGGGCATGGTGGTGCACGCCTATAACCCCGGTTACTCGGGAGGCTGAGGCAAGAGAATCGCTTGAGCCTGGGAGGCAGAGGTTGCAGTGAGCCGAGATTGTGCCACTGCACTCCAGCCTGGGCAACAGAGTGAGAGTCTGTCTCAAAAAAAAAAAAAAAAAAAGAGAGAGAGGAGAATGTGGTGAGGGGAATGACCCCAGGGCCCTGTGTGAGCGCTTTGATCTTAGATACTTGGTTCATCCCATTTCATGAGATCACCTGAGCGTGGAATAAGACTGCTTGGTTCAATCAGCACAGGGCCTGGCACCTGGAACATATTTCATAAATGCTAGCCAGGGCTATTTCTTTTTCTTTTCTTCTTCTTCTTTTTTTTTTTTTTTTTTTTTTTTTTTTTTTTTTTAGATGAAGTCTTGCTCTTGTACCCCAGGCTGGAGTGCAATGACACGATCTTGGCTCACTGCAACCTCTACCTCCTGGGTTCAAGCAATTCTCCTGCCTCAGCCTCCTGAGTAGCTGAGATTATAGGCACCTGCTACCACACCCAGCTAATTTTTGTATTTTAAGTAGGACGTGATTTCACCATGTTGGCCAGGCTGGTCCTGAACTCCTGACCTCAGGTGATCAGCCCGCCTTGGCCTCCCAAAGTGATGGGATTACAGTGCCCAGCCTAGCCAGGGCTATTTCTAAGAGAAATGGGAAAAGCTAATGAAAATACTTTAGATTTTTTTTTTTCCTCTGAGAAATTTATTTAAACTGATGAAATAAACAAAATCGGCCGGGCATAGTGGCTCATGCCTATAATCTCAGCACTTTGGGAGGGTGAGGTGGGTAGATCACTTGAGATCAGGAGTTCGAGACCAGCCAGGCCAACATGGTAAAGCCCCGTTTCTACTGAAAATAAAAAAAAATGTAGCTGGGTGTGGTGGCAAACCCCTGTAATCCCAGTTACTTCGGAGGTTGAGGCAGGAGAATAGCTTGAACCTAGGAGGTGGAGGTTGCAGTGAACTGAGATCGTGCCACTGCACTCCAACCTGGGCGACAAAGTGAGACTCTATCTCAAAACAAAACAAAATTATGGACTGCAGATATTGGGGAGGTAGGGGAAGGTAAGGGTTACAGTAATATCACATTTTTTTTTAAAGTATGATTCAGAAGTCTGTATAGAACTTTTTAATTTTGTTGTATAAACAAGTACTTACCTTCAGTTTCATTACTAAGAAGTCATGTCTTCAGTTCTAAGTCCACTACATAAGAGAGTCCCGCCTTTCAAAGTCCATTCCGTCTCACGATAATCTAGTCTACATCAACCATCTTTGCAAAAACTATGGGGGAAGGGCAAGACTTGAATATACAATAAGGCAGATTGGTCTCTCAGATGAATGCTTGAAGTTTGTTAGTGGTAAACTTTGAAAGGGTATGATGGATATACCATTGCCCGCCTCTTACAAAATTTTGCTTGTAACTGAAGTCATCTTTGTCAAGGTATAAAAGGCCCTGGGGATAGATTTTTAATGAGTGTTGAGTAGGAAGAAAATGAAAGTTCTTAATAACCATTAAGTGGTCATTACCATGCAGGGTGTTGAGTTTAGCATAGTAAGCATAGCCTCTTGAGCAAAGTTCAAAAAAAGCATCTCAAAATTAGCTGGGCGTGGTGGTGCTCGCCTGTATTCCCAGCTACTTGGGAGACTGAGGTGGAAAGATTGCTTGAATCTGGAAGGCAGAGGTTGCAGTGAGCCGAGATTGTGCCCCTGAACTCCAGCCTGGATGACAGAGTGAGACCCTGTCTTAAAAAAACAAAAACAAAAAAGCATCTCTATGAAATATGAATAGAGTCCTAAGTTATTAATTTTGTTTTGTTTTGTTTCTGAGACGGAGTCTCTCTCTGTCACCCAAGCTGAAGTGCAGTGGTGCAATCTCTGCTCACTGCGACCCCTGCCTCCCGGGTTCAAGCGATTCTCATGCCTCAGCCTCTCAATTAGCTGGGATTACGGGCGCACACCACTATGCTCAGCTAATTTTTGTATTTTTAGTAGAGATGGGGTTTCACCATGTTGGCCAGGCTGGTCTCGAACTCCTGACCTCAAGTGATCTGCCCGCCTTGGCCTCCCAAATTGTTGGGATTACAGGCATAAGCCACCATACCTGCCGCAAGTTATTAATGTTTTATTCAACTTCAGAGTCGTACTGAAATTTCCTGGAATTTCTGCCCCCTATTTCCAGTCTTTTTCTCCTTGGATGACTTGAAACACAACACAGGACTAGTCTGATTCTCAAAGGACTCCAGGAGAAATTCAATCAGCATATTTACTATAGGAAAAAATTAAACAACTGACAGGTGTTGTGGATATATTCAAAGTTGATTACTCTGTCAGGGAAAAATGATGAATGGAAAAATAATACTGTTTCAGGGTATTTCTCACCTGTTCATCTGTGTGTTCTTTTTGAGACAGAGTCTTGCTCTGCCATCCAGGCTGGAGTGCAGTGGCACAATCTCGGCTCACTGCAACCTCTGGTCCCAGGTTCAAGTGATCCCCCCACCTTAGCCTCCCAAGTAGCTGGGGTTACAGGTGCCCGCCACCACACCTGACTAATTTTTGTCTTTTGAGTAGAGATGGGGTTTCCCCATGTTGGCCAGGCTGGTCTCAAACTCCTGACCTCAGGTGATCCACCCACCTCGGCCTCCCAAAGTGCTGGGATGACAGGCCTGAGCCACCATGGCCGGCAATCTTTGTGTTCTTAACTGCAGTGGTTATTATTAATAGGAAAAAAAACCCCACAAATATAAGATCTGTTTCTTGATTACAAGATACTTGTCATGTTTTTGGGCAAAATTTTTTACATGCATAGCAAATCTAGAGTGGAAAATTAAGCTCTGAAGTATGTTGTTAAATTATATAATTGCCACAGGAATTCAGTGGGGAGGAGATGGGAGAGACAGGCCTGGGGCTGAGCCTGGAAGGGTGGGATGACCCCGCCTTCAGCTCTTCAGAAAACAGTGTGTGTATGAGTGACTGGATGTGTGTGTGAGAGGGAAGGGGTCAGTGAGTAGAATAAAGAAAGGGAATAATTATTAAGGAAATAGAAGTGCTGGAGGAGAACTGGGTGAAGGTCGACCATGAGGAACTGTTTTCTTTTCTTTTTTTTTTGAGACGGAGTCTCCCTCTGTCACCCAGGCTGGAGTGCAGTGGCGCGATCTCAGCTCACTGCAAGCTCCGCCTCCCGGGTTCACGCCATTCTCCTATCTCAGCCTCAGGAGTAGCTGGGACTACAGGCGCCCGCCACCACGCCCGGCTAATTTTTTGTATTTTTTTTTAGTAGAGATGGGGTTTCACCGTGTTAGCCAGGATGGTCTAGATCTCCTGACCTCGTGCTCCGCCCGCCTCAGCCTCCCAAAGTGCTGTGATTACAGGCGTGAGCCACCGAGCCCGGCCGAGGAACTGTTTTCTTATTGACACTTCCATCTCCACCCTTTCTTCCCAGCTCTGCCCCTCCGGGTAATCCCACTAACGAATTATGTATCCAGTATTATTGGAGTGACATTTCTCACGTGTGAATTTTTCACATAACTAAAAAACAAACCTAAAAAAAAGTTAGAGTTAAAAAAATAGTAATACCTTCCTTTTAGGCCAGTTGCGGTGGCTTACGCCTGCAATCCCAGCACTTTGGGAGGCCGTGACGGGTGGATCATTTGATGTCAGGAGTTGAGACCAGCCTGGCCAAATGGTGAAACCCTATCTCTCCTGAAAATATAGAAATTAGCTGCGCATGTGGCAGGCGCCTGTAATCCCAGCCACTCCGGAGGCTGAGGCAGGAGAATCACTTGGACCTGGGAGGGGGAGGTTACAATGAGCCGAGATAGCGCCACTGCACTTCAGCCTGGGCGACAGAGCAAGATTCTCAAAAAAAAACCCCACCTGCCTTTTGCATTTGGAGAAATGAGTCAAAAGTAGCTTGTGGCTTATCCAAAGTCAGGCGGTGCCTCAGCCACTCAACCGCATGGCTTAGGGGATGACCTTACCTTACCTTCCACACAAGGTGTAATGCTGTTGAAATTGCAGGTGTATTTAGAAGTCTCTGTGTATGTCTTTTGTCTCTGAGTGGATTATCTCATGTATCATTTTTGGATATTTTTGTGTATCTTTAAAAAACCATCTATAGCTGGGCCCAGTAGCTCACATCTATAATCCCCGCACTTTGGGAGGCTGAGGCAGGCTGATTGCATGAGCCCAAAAGTTCGAGGCCAGCCTGGGCAATATGGCAAAACCCCATCTTTACTAAAAAAAATACAAAAGTTAGCTGGGTGTCTGGGTGTGGTGATGCATGCCTGTAGTCCCAGCTACTCAGGAGGCTCAGGTGGGAAGATCAATTGAGCCCTGGAAATTGAGGCTGCAGTGAGCCATGATCACACCACTGCGCTCTAGTGCAAGATCCCATTTCAAAAAACAAACAAAAACAACGACAAACCGTCTACTATTTCCCTCTACACCCCTATATGTCTGCCCCCAGGCTTTCTTCCTCTGCCACTTTAATGTGTGCTTTGAGAAGGGAAGTTTATTTTTTAAATCTGTTTTTAAAAACTGACACATAAAAATTGTATAAATTTACACCGTACAACAAGCTGTTTTGATATGTATACACATTGCAAAATGGTTAAATCAAGCTAATTAGAATATGTGTTACCTCACATATTTGTAATTGTGTGTGTGTGTGATGAGAACACATAAAATATACTCTTAGTAATTTTCAAGTATATAATACATTGTTTTTAACTATAGTCACCATGTTGTACCATAGAGCTCTTGAATTTACTGCTGTTGTCTAACTGAAAGTTTGTATCCTTCAACCAATATCTCCTCAATTTCTTCTCTGTCCCCCCAGCTCCTGGTAACCACTATTCTACTCTCTCTCTGCTTCTATGACTTCATCTTTCTTTGATTTCACATTTAAGTGTGATCATATGGTACTTTTTCTGTGCTTGGCTTGTCTCACTTAATATAATGTCTTTCAGGTTCATCCATGTTCTCACAAATGACAGGGTTTTCTGCTTTCTAAAGGCCAAATAGTATTCCATTGTGTATATATACCACAATTTCTGTAACCATCCACTGACGGACATTTAGGTTGATTCTATAGCTTGGGCCATTGTGAAGAGTGAGGCAATGAACCTGGGATTGCAGGTATCTCCTCCAAATGCTGATTTCATATCCCTTGGGTATATACTCAGTAGTGGGATTGCTGGATCATATGTGAGTTCTATTTTTAATATTTTTGGGGGGCCTTGATACTGTTTTCTATAATAGCTGTACTAATTTACATTCCCACCAACAGTGTACCAAGGTCTCTTTTCTCCAACCTTGCTAACACTTATTATCTTTCATCTTTTTGATAGTAGCCTTTCTAACAGGTGTGAGGTGGTATTTCACTGTGGCTCTTAATTTGCATTTCCAGATGATTAGTGATGCTGAGCATTTTTTTCCCCATATACTGGTTGGCCATCTGTATATCTTTTTTTCAAGAAATGTCTATGTAGGTTCTTTGCCCATTTTTTTTCAGTTGGGTTGTTTTTTTGCTATTGAGTTGTTTGAGTTCCTTATGTATTTTGTACATTAACCCCTTACTGGATTTATGGATTGTAAATATTTTCTCCCATTTCATAGGTTGTGTCTTCACTCTGTTGGTTGTTTTCTCTGCTGTGCAGAAGCTTTTTAGTTTGATGTAATAGAGGAGTTTATTTTATTTTATTGTACTTTTATTTTTACTTTATTTATTTTTTTGAGATGGAGTTTTGCTCTTATTGCCCAGGCTGGAGTGCAATGGCGCGATCTCGGCTCACTGCAACCTCCGCCTCCCAGGTTAAAGCGATTCTCCTGCCTCAGCCTCCTGAGTAGCTGGGATTACAGGAATGCACCACCATGCCCGGCTAATTTTGTATTTTTAGTAGAGATGAGGTTTCTCCATGTTGGTAAGGTTGGTCTCAAACTCCTGACCTCAGGTGATCCACCCACCTCAGCCTCCCAAAGTGCTGGGATTACAGGCATTAGCCATCGTGCCTGGCCTATTTTTAATTTTTTTTTTTAAGACAGGATCTTACTGTGTCACTCAGGCTGGAGTGCAGTGGAGTGATCATGGCTCACCACAGCCTGCGCTCAAGCAATCCTCTTGTCTCAGCCTCCCGAGTAGCTGGGACTACAGGTCGTGACACCATGCCCAGCTCATTTTTTCTATTTTTTTTGTAGAGACAAGGTCTCACTATATTGCCCAGGCTGGTCTTGAACTCCTAGGCTCAAGCAGTCCTCCAATCTCAGCCTCCCAAAGTGCTGGGATTATAGGCGTGAACCACTGTGCCTGGCCAGGAGTTGATTTTAATAGCAGCTTGAGACAATCACCATTAGAAAGGCAGAAGAGCATATTGCTTGGAAGGATTGCTGGACTGGACGATGAGGGGACTTCGTTTCTATACTCAGCTGTGCCGATAACTGCGACCTCCCGACAATATCTAGCTTCTCTGGGGCTTGTCTTTGGTTGTCAAATGAGAACTTGGGCTTGAGATACAATCTTGAAAACTCTTTCTGGCTCTCAGTCTGTTATTGGCTACAAGAAAATAATAATATGTCTCTATGAACATAACGTACGTTATTTTCCAAGTATGTCAGAATCAAAAGCAAGGCTGGCCTGATGCTCAGTTGTTAAGCATATGTCCTTGTGTTGCTGTTGCCCAGGAGCCAGGCTCATCCAGGTGTGGCTGGAAGATGGGGGTTTTCGTGTCCATAGCTGGCTGGAGGGGCCAACAGCCATGCACATAGGGGGCACGTGGCTGCATTGCTCACGAATCTTGCATTGCTCACGAAATCTCTGTGTGTCTAGCTGCTATAGTAAGTGCAGTTTTGGCTTCAATGAGATCAAGTGGAGAAGCAGCACAGCACTACTATTTTGCTTTAGGCATATATTTATTGAATACCTACCAGAATTGGGACATTATTAAGAGATAAAAAGTTAACAAAACTGGCTGGGTGTGGTGGCTTAAGCCTGTGATCCCAGCACTTTGGGAGGCCGAGGCAGGTGGATCATGAGGTCAGGAGTTCAAGACCAGCCTGGCCAACATAGTGAAACTCCATCTCTACTAAAAATACAAAAAATTAGCTGGGTGTGGTGGCGGGTGCCTGTAATCCCAGCTATTCAGGAGGCTAAGGCAGGAAAATCGCTTGAATCTGGGAGGTGGAGGTTGCAGTGAGCTGAGATGGTGCTACTGCACACTCCAGCCTGGGCGACAGTGTGAGACTCTGCCATAGATAGATAGATAGATAAATAGATAGATAAATAAAGTTAACAAAACTGATTATGCTTCTGCTCCAGGGAGGGAAGGCATCCATACCTAGAGCAGCTTGGATGTCATTCTAAATAGAGGGTTTCTCTCAAGAGCATGGAAGATGAATGTATGGTTGGGAGGCTCACGGTGTATAGGGAAGTATGTGTTTTGAGAGGGCCCTGAAAGTATGTTAGAGACTTGGGTTAGTGAGAAGTGTATTTCAGGCATGATGGGGAAGGAGGAGCTGGGGCAGTGAGACTGGTTCCAGCAAGGTGTGTTTCAGGGTTTGCAAAGCAGATTGGTTTGGCTGCCCATGAGAATGAGTTTGGGAAACAGACATATACTCCCAAAACGTCAGCAATCTAGTTCCCGAGAAAAAGTGGAGTCATATGGTGGAGGATGTTGATTTGCAAAGGAAATTTTCTCCTTATCATTTGTCTGGAGGGCAGTCCAGGAAGGTCTGGCTTGTTTTTTTTTTTTTTTTCTCCTAGTTTGGAATCACTGAATCATCATTTCCTAGGTATATAGAATATGAATAAAGTAATAGGTGCTGCTTGGGACAAACATTGAAACTTAAATTCTCCTTTCTGTGATTTTTTTTTTGGATGATAGGGATAGTATGTACACATATAGATGTTACTGATTTAGAGTATTAAAGTGAAGTTTAAAGTTTTATGTTCATTTTCTTATATATAAGATGAGTTAAACAGGCACACCCCGTGCCTCAGAAAAACTTGAACTCATCTTTGCCTTCGACATTTTGAAAAAAAATATTCTGGCAATAAATATTTATTGAACAGCTATATGTCAGTCGATGCATATTACATTCCAAGCCATTAAGTATATTTAAGAATAAAACATTTTAAAACGTAATGGACCTAAATGCGAAAACTTCAACTCTGGTCCCTTATGTAAATCACTGGGAAAAAGACCTTTATCTTACATCAATTGCAAGATAAATGTCTTTCAGTCTGAGAAAAAAAACCTTTTAAAAGTGAGCTTCCTTGAAATAATAGACTTGTCTGATTTATTAGTAAAATTGATATCAAAGTGCCTTTAAATCACAATAGAAAGGAATTCTGGAGCAATTAGTTTAGCAAACATTATGCCAATAAAATTTGCATTGTTGCAAACTCTTTTACACATAAATCATTTTCAGGGTCAAAATATTTTAAAGGCCACACGAAATCTAGCAAGTGTTACATTAAGATTTTTTTTTTTAACATAACTAGCTTTTAAATCCCATTTATCCTGAACTCATTTTTTATAACCAGTGAATATAATAGTATTTTATCAGTAAAAGTTCAAAAAGCAGAAAATATAAGGTAACTAACTTTGCAATAATCACTGTGTTTATAGCAAATGTTTGTAACATGAGTGCTTCTATAATATACTACTAATTTAGAATTATATTCTGTACTATAATCTTGACTATGGAAACTAAGAATTTAGGACCTTGAGCAAAAATGGCCAAAAAGGATGCAAAATTCTTTTTTTGGTTAACTGTGAAATTAGATAATCACAAAGATAGGACTTTAATTTTTTTTTTTTTTTACACAAGGCATCTTGAAGCAGTATTTTTGTAACACCCTTGAAAGATATATAATTAAATGTCAATTTTATTGCCAACTGCCAGTTATTTATGGACTTTATAGTTTATTTCTGTAGCTACACATTGCTAAAATTGGGTTAGATTTCTGCATTTTAAAAGAACGAATTAAAATATTTGGCAAGTGGAAGAAGTGAGCAAACAGAGTGTGCTTTTTCTCCAATGAGTGATGTAAAGAAAGGTTATTTCCAGCAAAAGGACCTGAAAGTATCTGTTGCATTCTCCCTCAAAAAAGCTTTATGCAGTTCAGCTACTTGGCAGGTATGATTAAAAATAAACAAAAAGCGAGTGTTTGAAATCAAAGATGTTAAATCTCTCTGCACATAGCTGATTGCTATGACACCAAAACAGTCCAGGGCTGGGCGTGGTTTTGGCACTCACTGTACTACTTTCATGTAGGGAGATGGAAGTCACCATGTAGAGAACAAATGCCATATTTATTTCACATGCACCCTCAGTCACATCACATTATAAGTGTAGAAAAAGGCCCTGAAAAAATATGTAGTGGGATTTGAGCATGAAGACTGGCTATTAGGTAATTAGCCCTACAATTACTTTATTGGCAATTAAAATAGTATCAAATTATTTCCCCATGCCTGAAGCTTGAATCTATAATCATTAAGTGATGTCATCTTTAAAGCAGCCAGTGGTCCTTCAGGATTTCTGGTGTAAGAACAACTTTGAAAATTTGGCCTGGTGCAGTGGCTCATGCCTGTAATCCCAGCACTTTGGGAGGCCAAGGTGGGCGGATCACTTGAGGTCAGGAGTTTGAGACCAGCCTGGCCAACATGGTGAGACCCCGTCTCTACTAAGAAATACAAAAATTATCTGGGTGTGGTGGCGCATGCCTGTAATCCCAGCTAGTCAGGAGGCTGAGGCAGGAGAATAGCTTGAACCCAGGAGGCGGAGGTTGCAATGAGTTGAGATTGCACCACTGCATTCCTGCCTGGGTGACAGAGCAAGATGCCATCTCAAAAAAAAAAGAAAATTTGCTAACGTTTCTGGGTCTTTTCCCAAGAACATTGCTTATAACTGCAAAATTTTTCATATGCTTCCAGGATGCCTACAGACACTCCTTTTCCTTCCACATTATCTTGGAACCTTGGACATTTTTTTTTTTTGAGATGGAGTCTCACTCTCCCTCTGTTGCCCAGGCTGGAGTGCAGTGGCTCGATCTCGGCTCACTGCAACCTCTGCCTCCTGGACTCAAGCGATTCTCCTGCCTCAGCCTCCCAAGTAGCTGGGACTACAGGTGCATACCATGATGCCCAGCTTATTTTTATATTTTTAGTAGAGACTGGGTTTTGCCATATTGCCCAGCCTGGGCTCAAACTCTTAAGCTCAAGAGATCCACCTACTTTGGCCTCCAAAAGTGCTGTGATTACAAGAGTGAATGAATGTGCCCAGCTGGACATTTTTTATAGAAGTATAGAATCCAAGCTGCATTTGATACCTACCCTGCCACCTATATTTTGATAATTCTGGGAAAGTCTTTCAACTGCCAACAACTTAATCTTTTTTGTCTTCAATATGACACATTGCCTAGATTTGTGGATTAAACAATATAATGTATATAAAAGTGCCCAGCATCACACCTGCCATGCAGTGGGTCATTTTTATTGATGAATGTAATTGTCGTGTAGAATACCATGTTCTTATTATTTGGTCATCATATTTGTCTTTTTTTGGAAAAAGGTCTCCTGGGAAGTTAGATGATGATCAGAAAATTTCTTGGGAGAGCTTAGAATCAGAGTAGTAAGAGTTAGTGGGCCAAATAGTCTCTGATGTTCTTCAGCTCATAGCTGTTGTGTCTATCTCCATTCCAGTTAAATAAATCAACAGCGGATACTCAGAGAAGCCAAACAGGGCATCTTTCCCCAGAGATGTGGTCCCAAACTCTTCCAAATAGTTTTCTTTTCTTTTTTTTTTTTTTTTTGAGACGGAGTCTGTCTCTGTCACCTAGGCTGGAGTGCAATGGTGCGATCTCGGCTCACTGCAACCTCCACCTCCCGGGTTCAAGCAATTCTCCTGCCTCAGCCTCCCGAGTAGTTGGGATTACAGGCATGTGCCACCATGCCTGGCTAATTTTGTATTTTTAGTAGAGACGGGGTTTCTCCATGTTGGTCAGGCTTGTCTCGAACTCCCGACCTCAGGTGATCCGCCCACCTTGGCCTCCCAAAGTTCTGGGATTATAGGCATGAGCTACCACACCCAGCCCCCAAATTGTTTTCTTTTTCCAGGACTCTAAGCAGACCATTGCTGTTAACACATCTTTCTTCAGGCAGACCCTGGAGCCAGGTTGACTTTTGGTTGTCATCCAGCCATGTCTTACTAACATTACGTTGTGGTGATGTTGACTGGACCACCTCTCATACGGAGGCCTAATTTTATTGCCTACAGGCTATTGTATTTTATTGAGACAGAGTTGTCTCGCTTTGTTGTCGAGGCTGGAGTGCAGTGGCACTAGCTCGGCTCACTGCAACCTCCGTCTCCCAGGTTCAAGTGATTCTCCTGCCTCAGCCTCCTGCGTAGCTGGGATTACAGGTATGCATCACCACACCTAGCTAATGTTTGTATTTTTAGTAAAGACAGGGTTTCAATATGGCTAGGCTGGTTTCGAACTCCTGACCTCAGGTGATCCACTCGCCTTGGCCTCCCAAAGTGCTGGGATTACAGGAATGAGCCACTGCACCTAGACTGGGCTATTTTATTTTAATTGGCAAGTTATGGGGGATTGTCTGTCATCTTTATAAGCAGTCTGTAGTATGTTGACTCTGGTGTTATGGATCTATTTAACATAGAGTCAAAAGCCTCATATTGGTAAACAGCAGTCCCACTGACACTGCACATATGTGAAAACGGCATTTGATTGCAGGGAGGATGGAGGCATGGATGCTGGGACAACCTCAGGCTTTAGTGTCAGACTGATCTTATTAGAATCTCTCCCTGCCACTTACTAGCCTTTGGGCTCAGTCATTGACATAGGTATTATGGGACCCTATCCACGGTCTCCTGTGAATACTTGCTATCTGTTCCTTGCTGTTGGTTCTCGTGATTGTTAAGGTTTGTGGCTACTCACATTTCATGCTTCTCTTAGCAAAGCTACGTGTTCATGGCCCGGAAA
Source organism: Homo sapiens (assembly GCF_000001405.40). Taxonomy (NCBI): domain Eukaryota; kingdom Metazoa; phylum Chordata; class Mammalia; order Primates; family Hominidae; genus Homo; species Homo sapiens. The sequence goes on along the minus strand of NC_000002.12, from coordinate 223,816,419 downwards.
CCTGGCTTTGCTTAAAAAGACCGTTTGATCTCTTCGTTTGTTTTTGGCAAGTGACCAGTTGAAGTAGTTTTTTTTTTTTCAGAAGCATGGGGGAGGAAGGAAGGAATAATTGCCCACTATCTGTCATAGCGGTTTATCATCAAATAAATTATATTGCATTCCTCTTTTAACCAATTAACCCAACTGGTGATAAAGTAGTACGGTAAGTCCTCACTTAACACTGTTGATATGTTCTTAGAAACTGTGTCTTTAAGCAAAATGACACGCTGTATGCCCGTGGAACTTGAAGAAAGGAACTTGACTTTCTATTTTTAAGAGGTCTTCCTTTAGTGTCCAGGCTGGAGCGCAGTGGCATGATCACGGCTCACTGCAGCCTCAGCCTCCCAGGCTCAAATGATCCTCCCACTTCAGCCTCCTGAGTAGCTGGGACCACAGGCATATGCCACCATACCCAGATAATTTTTGTATTTTTTGTACAGATGTGGTTTCACTGTGTTGCCCAGGCTGGTCTCGAACTCCTGGGCTCAAGCTGTCTTCCTCCCTTAGCCTCCCGTAGTGCTAGTATTAGAGACCTGAGCCACTGCCTGTCCCTGACTCTTGTTTCTATCAATTAGCCTGTGGCAAAATTAGTTTTGTTACATAGTATGTTGTTTTGCTTAAAGTTGCAGTTTTCAAGAATCTATTGCTGAAGTTAAGTGAGGGCTTAAAAACTGTATTATATTCTGTGGAATACAGAGTACTGTATGCATAAGAACAGTTTATATGCTTGGATTATTTGCTGTGGAATTAAAACACTTTTATATTTATTAGGAAACTAAGACTGATTACCTTAGTTTTTCAGGGTTCACAAGTTTGGTTGGCTTTACAAATCTATGCATGCATTCATTTTAGGTTGGTTAGTACCGCAGTCCTCAGGAATTTGAAGGTGGCTCGTAAACTTGGGAGGGAAAGTGATTTTTGTTTTGAGAGTTGGGTCAGACCCTAAAGAATCATTACTTAGGGCTGACTGGAATTAATTAACCTGATCTTTCTGCTTTCCTTGGATTGCATCCAAAATCAACCCTGGTTGGTTTCTGCCAGCATTAGCTCCTTCAAAGTCTGCCTCTCAAAGATGTGTCATAGACTACAGCCCATGACTAAAATTTACCAAGCAAGGAGAACTGATGACTGTGTTCTTGGTTTGATGCCAAAAAGTACTCAAAGATTTTTCCAACATGGTTTATGGCACATTGACATTTATTTTCAGAATCAGTGGTATTGTTTTGCTAACTCTGTCACCCTATTGGTAAAATCAATCGAAAGTCTAAGTCAAATACTAAATCACATTTATTTAAAATAAAGATTGGGGCCAGGTGCACTGGCTCATGCCTATAATCCCAGCACTTTGGGAGGCCAAGGCAGGAAAATTGCTTGAGCCCAGGAGTTCAAGACCAGCCTGGCAACATAGTGAGACACCCCTTTCTACAGATAAAAGAATTAGCCCGGAGTGATAGTGTGTACCTGTGGTCCCAGCTACTTGGGAGGCTAAGGCAGGAGGATCTCCTGAGCCCAGGAGGTTGAGGCTGCAGTGAGCTGTGATCGTGCCATTGTACACCAGCCTGGGTGACAGAGTAAGACCCTGTTTCAAATTAAAGAAAAATAAATAAACATTGAGTCTTAGTTCTTATTGTCAGCCTGAAATCTCCTGTATAGTCTTAGAACGCCTGTCATATTTTTTAGTTTAATGTGCAAACCTCATTTTGATTGAAGTGTAACTAAGTAGTTTCTATATTTGAAATGAGAATGTTTTGTAAATAGTGGATGTTCATGTGACCAGTGAGAATTTCGTTTGTGAAGTTTGTTAGGGTCTTTGGAAAACTAGCCCCATGTTCAAATCCCTGATTACTTTGTCCTGGAGGGCCAGGAATGGTCTAAATGTTACCTTTCAAGTACATTTGATTTCAGAATTAGGTGATGCCTGAGAAGCAGAAAGGCCAACCCCTTGTCATTTTTGCCGCTTTATTTAACTTCTTGTAGTGGACATGGTCTTTGCTGAGGCTGCCGGCTATGAACTAGATGGGGCAGAACAGAACGTGAAAGGCAGAGAACAGCCACGTCCCATTGTTAACACAGAAAACAAAGAACAGAGTGTGAGATACCTAGTGATGCCAGCCGTATCCACTGAGGCCTCTTCCCACTGTTTTTTCTCTTACTTGCTTCTTGAAGTCTTTCTCCCAGAGTCACAGAAGGTTAGGGCCACTCAGGGTTGGAAAGCTCCTGCCACTTCCATTTTCGGAAGCCACTGGTATGTTAAAAAATGAAGGTAGTGTGGAAACAAGGTTATAAATATTGGGGCACATCTGACGCTAGTTGGTGGCACATTTTAAAGGCTTGTGCTTAACAAGTTAATGAATGTGTCATTTATAAAATACTGGGTACTTTCATTTTGCCTTCTGCAGAATGTTTTAAGGATTTGTAAAGATGCATGGGTCCACTCACTGTGCATGCCAGGAGCTTAAGCTTGGAATAGGACATGTGCTTATTGATGTATAAAGGACGTCTCTGTCTTTTGGCCTCATTGGGGTTTCTCTGTGACAGCCTAAATAAGGCCATGATTCTAAGCATGGGACCCTTTGTGGATGTGAGGGCTGCCCCTCCCTTCTTACCTCTTTCACTCAAGGAACTACCTTCTATTCTGAGGATGATTTGTTTGTCTTTGCTATCCCATACACTGGTGTTCAACTTTTAGAAAATGTCTTATGAAGGGATAGAGGGGCTGTGTCAGAGTGTATTTAGCTCAGCTATGTTCTCCAAACAGGGCTATAGTTGGTAAAAATATTCAGAGTTGGGGATCTGCTGCCAGCCTGCCTGGCTTCTAAGCCCAGTTCTACCACTTATAGCTGTGTGACCTTGGGCAAATTACTTAATCTCTCTGATCCTCAGTTACCACATTTTAAAAGATGGAAAATAATTGTTATCCTCCTCATGTGTTTGTTGTGGGGATTAAATGAGGTAAAATACTTAGCATAAGACGTGACATGTAGTAAATGATATTCCAAATAATGTACAAAAGCAGTAAATTAATATTATTTGTCACGGAGAGGCTGAACACCATCTCCAGGCGTAAATTTCAAAAGGCACGTTTTGAAAGTCATAGGAAAATTGCTCACTAAGGTTTCAAAATGGCATATGTGGGCCAGGCATGGTGGCTCACTCCTGTACTCCCAGCACTTTGGGAGGCTGAGTGGGGTAGATCACTTGAGGTTAGGAGTTTGAGACCAGCCTGGCCAACATGGCAAAAACTTTTCTCTACTGAAAATACAAAAATTTTTATTGTAAAATACAAAAGCTGGGCGTGGTGGCACACGGCTATAATCCTAGCTACTTGGGAGGCTGAGGCAGGAGAATCACTGGAGTCTGGGAGGTGGAAGCTGTAGTGAGCTGAGATCATGCCACCTCACTCCAGCCTGGGCGACAGAACAGGACTCTATCTCAAATTAAAAAAAAAACAAAAAACCCCACACAAAATGGCAACATGAAACAATAATAGAAGAAAAGTGATTTTTGATTGTTTTTATTGACAATTTTGAGTTCCTTACTCATTTTTGTAACTTCACTGCACATTCCTGATTTACTCCTTCTCTCTCCCTCTACTACTGAACAGGAAGATGTGGCACTCAAAGGCAGTGGTTTTTCAGGCCAGGCTTTATGGAATCCCTGAATACCTTCCAAATTCTCTTAAATCAGAGTAGCTCAAATTTTACATTTTATTCTTCATAATTAAGTTTTATTTTTCAGAACTAAAGTTTCCGTGTTTAGAAAAAAATCCCCAAAACAAAAAAGCCACTTCTCTAAGAGCAAGGAGTTGGAAAGGGAACCAAAATTTACTGCTCTGACGTTTTATAAAGGCTCACATGCTGGCTGGGCACGGTGGCTCACACCTGTAATCCCAGCACTTTGGGAGGCCAATGCGGGCTGATCACCTGAAGTCAGGAGTTCAAGACCAGCCTGGCTAACATGGCAAAACCCCATCTCTACTAAAAATACAAAAATTAGCCAGGCGTGGTGGCGCGTGCCTATAATCCCAGCTACTCGGGAGGCTGAGACAGGAAAATCACTTGAACCGAGGAGGTGGAGGTTGCAGTGAGCTGAGATTGCACCACTGCACTCCAGCCTGGACCATGGAGTAAGACTCCATCTCAAAACAAAACAAAAACAAAAAACAAACAAACAAAAAGGCTTACATGCCTGCATGCATAAATGGAAGAAGATCTGGGTCAATAAATGTGATATTTGTGTTATTCTATAATATTTGGCTTCTGAGAAGTATGTAAAACAAATGCTTTGTGACTACTGACCTGAGAATCCCTCTCTGGATTCCAATATTTTGAAGAATATATGGTTATCATTGCCTTGTGGATAAAGGCATAGCGTCAGATAGTTAAAGTTGAACCTTGGGAATCATCTCACGTTAATCTCCCTAGAGATGCTGGTCAACTTACATAAACATGTAGAACTGATTCTTGGCAAAATCTGGGCTTCTGACCACAGTTTATGCCACTGTGCCAGATTGTTTCCTATGGCCATTATTTTATCAGCTCAATAGCAAACAGGCAGAGAATAAGCAGGCCTTAAGACAATTATAGGATACCTAAAACCTACCAAATCACATATTCTGTTTTCTACAGTGTGTGTCCAAGAGTCCCCAAGACATAAATACAACTCCCAAGTCTCAAATAGCTGTTGAATCAGAATGCCCCCAGCATCAATAGTTGTATTAGATGGAAATGTTAAAAATGGGGCCCAAAACAACCTGATGAAAAAATGGGCAAAGGGCTTAATAGATATTTCTTTTTTTCTTTTTTTTTTTTTGAAATGGAGTCTCACTGTGTCACCCAGGCTGGAGTGCAGTGGCATGATCTCTGCTCACTTCAACCTCCACCCACCGGGTTCAAGCGATTCTCCTGCCTCAGCCTCCTGAGTAGCTGGGATGACAGGTGCTCACCACCACACCCAACTAATTTTTTGTATTTTTAGTAGAGAAGGGGTTTTGCCATGTTGGCCAGGCTGGTCTTGAACTCCTGAACTCAGGTGATCTGCCCACCTCAGCCTCCAAAAGTGTTGGGATTACAGGCATGAGCCACCGTGCCTGGCCAGATATTTCACTAAAAATACAAAAAATTAGCCAGGTGTAGTGGTGGGCGCCTGTAATCTCAGGTACTTGGGAGGCTGAGGCAGGAGAATCGCTTGAACCCAGCGGGCAGAGGTTGCAGTGAGCCAAGATAATGCCACTGCACTCCAGCCTGGGCAACAGAGCAAGACTCTGTCTCAAGAAAAAAAAAAAGGTGAAGATGGTAAATTTCTCAGACTTCACCACTCTACAGTTCATTCATGTAACCAAAACCACTTGTAATTCAAAAGCTATTGAAATAAAAAAAATGGGAAATTTCATGTTATGTATATTTTATCACAAAAAATTTTTAAAAATTTGAAAATTAAAAAAAGGAGCCAAAATTTAAACCATAATAAAAAGATGATGCACTTCTTAAAAGAATGTTACAGTAAATGAGTCTGTAAGAGAGGAATCTTTTAATACCATAATGATTTATTATAATATAAATAATAACTACCTACTTTATTAGGAGTTTTCCATTCATCACAACGTATTTGTTGAACATTTTCTGCATAGTATTTTTTTTTTGAAGTGGGACAGCACATCTTTGCATTTAGGTATGTAGACTTTTTTTGTGTTGTTTCTAGAAAGGAAATAGTACTGCTTCCCTGGGCCAGGTGCAAACTGAAGAGTAATATATTTAGAAAATTAGATTACAAGGCTGGGCACTGAGGCTCACGCCTGTAATCTCAGCACTTTGGGAGGACAAGGTGGGTGGATTGCTTGAGTTCAGGAGTTTGAGACCAGCCTGGGCAACATGGCAAAACCCTGTCTCTACAAAAAATATAAACATTAGCTTGGTGTGGTGGCGCATGCCTGTAGTCCCAGCTACTTGGGAGGCTGAGGTGGGAGGCTCGAGCCCAGGAGGTTGAGGCTATAGTGAGTGGTGATTGTGCCACTGCACTCCAGCCTAGGTGATAGATGGAGACCCTGTCTCAAAAAAAGAAAAAGAAAATTACAAAAGAGAGAGGGGTGGGTGTGGGATCAGGTGTCTTTTTATTTTCCCCTGTCATATATTAAGCCACTTAGTCTAAATTTTCACTGGGTCAGCCGTGTTTTGCTTTTGTCAGAAGACAACTGTGTTTGAGGTCAGGATCCCCAGATTCTTGTCCTGAACAGTTTAATAAGCCACTTAACTTTGAGTAGAGGCTTCTCCCCATAACTGTGAGGGACAAACATCATTGCCCCATGGAGCTCATATTGTAGAGTGTAGAATAATGGCAATACATAAAAAGTAAAATAGGCCGGGCACGGTGGCTCAACCTGGAATCCCAGCACTTTGGGAGGCCGAGGCGGGTGGATCACGAGGTCAGGAGTTTGAGACCAGCCTCACCAATATGGTGAAACCCTGTCTCTGCTAAAAATACAAAAATTAGCTGGGCGTGGTGGCGTGTGTCTGTATTCCCAGCTGCTCAGGAGGCTGAGGCAGGAGAATCGCTTGAACCTGGGAGGCAGAGGTTACAGTGAACTGAGATCGCGCCACTGCATTCCAGCCTGGGCGACAGAGCAAGACTCTATCTCAAAAAAAAAAAAAATAAATAAAGGTGAAACGGTGCATTTTATATAGGGTGGTCAGGGTAGGCCTTACTAAGTAAGAAGGAGTTTTTGTTTTTGTTTTTGTTTTGAAACGGAGTCTCACTCTGTCCCCCAGGCTGGAGTGCAGTGGCGCGATCTCGACTCACTGCAACCTCCACTTCCCGGGTTCAAGCAATTCTCTGCCTCAGCCTCCCGAGTAGCTGGGATTACAGGCACCTGCCACCATGCCCGGCTAACTTTTGTATTTTTAGTAGAGACGGGGTTTCACCATATTGGTCAGGCTGGTCGCGAACTCCTGACCTCAAGTGATCTGCCCGCCTTGGCCTCCCGAAGTGCTGGGATTATAGGTGTGAGCCACCATGCCCAGCCAGAAGTGGGGTTTTGAACAGATTCAATGGGGGTAAGGGAGGGGCCCATGAGATATCTGGGGGAAGTGTTCTGAGCAGAAGGCATAGCTGGTGCAAAGACCCTGTGGTCCAGTGAGCGAAGGGAAGAGTAGATGATTTCAGAGGTCGTGAGGGGGCATGTTGAGTATGGCCTTGCAGGCCATGGTGAGGATTTGGCTCTTTCCTGGAGAGAAGTTTTGTGCAGGGGAGTGACCTGCTCTGACCAAAGACAAATCTAACTATTATATTAATAACAGATTGTAAGGGAGCAATTGTTGAAGAAATTGTTATAATGTTCTTAATGCGGTCTCCTCAAACTTCCCCAGCCAGTCCATTTTTATTTATTTTTTTTAGACGGGGTCTCCCTGTGTCATCCAGGCTGTAGTGGCGTGGTACAAACACAGCTCACTGCAGCCTCAACCTCCTGGGTTCAAGTGATCCTCCTGCCTCAGCCTCCCAGTAGCTGGGACCACAGGCATGTTCCTCCACACCCAGCTAATTCTGTGGAGATGGGGTTTCGCCATGTTGCCCAGGCTGGTCTTGAACTCCTGGGCTCAAGCGATCCACCTGCCTCAGCTTCTCAAATTGCTGGAATTACAGGCGTGAGCTTCTGTGCCCAGCCAAGCCTATTAAATTTTATTGAAAAACAAAGTATTGAGTACTCTGAAGGAAACTGAGTATTTATAAGGAAATTTAGTTGCCAGATTGTTTTCTAGTGCATTAGTCTAGTGTGTTCTAGTCAATATGCTACAGAGAATCAAAAATTAGAGGTCTGTTTAGGTCTGCCTAATGCAAAGATGGGTCATTTAAAATTAGGAATGATACATTCTGCAACTTTCTAACATAAAAGTGATTGGAAAGAGTCCTTTCTTCTGCAGTGTTTCAGGTAATTTATGGATTGACCAAAAAAATACCATCCCCACCCTAACATGTAGCATTGGATTCAATCCCCATTACTTAGCCTAGAGTTCTAAGCCTGTCAGAAGGGAGGGGCCCTCGCAGAGGAGTGGGGCAGTTCTCTGCAGCGCAGCTTCTCTGGGCCTGCCGAGTTAATGTTGCCTCATGTCTGCCAATGATGTTGTTGAGCAGGATAGGGTTCTCGTTGAACCTTGAAGCTCAGTGCTGACCATATCACCTCCTTCTGCTCTGGGGCCTTACTTCACCATTTAGGAAGAACTTATACCAGCTCTGTTCACTGTTTGTATAAATCCATTTTTGTACTGCTATAAAGAAATACCTGACAGCCTGGCCAACATGGTGAAATCTTGTCTCTACAAAAAATACAAAAATTAGCTGGGCGTGGTGATCTGTGCCTGGAGTCCCAGCTACTGAGGAGGCTGAGGTGGGAGGATCACTTGAATCCGGGAGGTGGAGGTTGCAGTGAGCCAAGATCGCACCACTGCATGATCACACCTCTGTCACTGCCTGGGTGACAGAGTGAGACCTTGTCTCCAAAAAAAAAAAAAAAAAAAAAAAAAGAAAAGAAATGCCTGAGACTAGGTAATTCATAAAAAAAAAAAGAGGCTCAATTGGCTCATAGTTCTGCAGGCTATACAGGAAGCATGCTCGACTTCTAGGGAGGTCTCAGGAAACTTAAAATCATGATAAGGTGAATGGAGAGCCAGACATCTTATGTGGGGGAGCAGGAACAAGAGGGGAGAGGTTCCACACACTTTTAAAACAACCAGATCTCGTGATAACTTCCTCACTTACTATCGCAAGAACAGCACCAGAAGGATGATGCTAACTCATTTATGAGAATTCAGCCCCCATGATTCAGTCACCTCCTACCAGGCCACCTCTGACACTGGGGATTTCAGTTGAACATGAGATTTGGGTGGGGACACAGATCCAAACCTTATCACTCTGATTAAAAGAATGCTTGCAAATACTGGGCTCTTTCTCAACCCAAACCCAGTATCAACAAAGCCCTATTTTATTGAGTGGAGTGTGTTGAGGTGATGTCCCTGAATAATATCTATTTCTAGCTGTCCAGAATTCCAGAAAGCCCAGTTCTTCCCTTCCTGTATTGGAGTAGCTACTGTATTTTGTATTTTTCTCTCTGTCTCTCTCTTTTTTGAGACAGGGTCTTACTCTGTCACCCAGGCTGGAGTGCAGTAGCATGATCATGGCTGACTGCAACCTCTATCTCCCAGGCTCAAGCGATCTTCCTGCCTCAGCCTCCTGAGTAGCTGGGACTACAGGTGTGCACCACCATGCCTGTCTAAATTTTTGTATTTTTAATAGAGATGGGGTTTCGCCATGTTGCCCAGGTTGATCTCAAACTCCTAGGCTCAAGCAATCCTCCCACCTTGGCCTCCCAAAGGGTGGAATTACAGAGGTGAGCCATTGTGCCCAGCCTATTTTGTATTTCTCTAGCAATCTTTAATTAAATTTTAAAAAATTATGACAGTAATGCATAATTATTGTAGAAAATTTAGAAAAAAAACAGAAATGTAGAAAAAACCACCTGAAATTATGCTCTGGGAGAGCCATTGCAATGTTGTTTATTCTATTAATTTTCTTCTTAAGATGTTATAAAGATAAACATGAACAAGGCTGAAATAATTAGGACCTCAAAAAGAAAGTTTATGATCTCACTTTCTCACACACACACACACAGGTATATGTTTTTATCTATAAGAATGTATACATATTCTAAATATTGAAAGTATAAAGGTAACTTCTGACTGTAAGAAAATAAAAGGACAATCTAAATTATGTCATATACAGCTAAAATGACATAAAAATAATCCTTTGTTGGCCAGGTGCGGTGGCTCATGCCTGTAATCCCAGCACTTTGGGAGGCTGAGGTGGGCAGATCACGAGGTCAGGAGATCGAGACCATCCTGGCTAACATGGTGAAACCCTGTCTCTACTAAAAATATGAAAAAATTAGCCGGGCGTGGTGGCGAGCGCCTGTAGTCCCACCTACTCGAGAGGTTGAGGCAGGAGAATGGTGTGAACCCGGGAGGCGGAGCTTGCAGTGAGCTGAGATCCCACCACTGCACTCCAGCCTGGGTGACAGAGTGGGACTCCATCTCAAAAAAAAAAAAAAAAAAAAAAAATTCCTTTGTTTATATAAAAAAGTGAAATGTGACCATTCCTTTCACATGGCATGCATTTGCATTTCCTGACGTGATTACCAGGAGGTGTTATTTGGGCTTGGTGCTTTCAACAGTGAAAACGTGGTCATCTACTGCACTGGAACTTGTCTAGTTTCTTTTTGACTTGACAAGGCTGCCTGCCAGAGAGGTATGCAGTTTTTCTTGTGTTTGACCCAAGTTTGGCGTTATATTTATTTTTCTAGAAGTTGAGAGTCTGATGTTCTTTTTAGTTCTCTTTCTCTTTGTAATTTGGTAAAACGTTTTCTTAGTGGAGTGCCAACTCCTGTGACATTTTTGCTTCTGCAGTTGGCCAATTAGTGTTAGGAATGGAGGTTTCTGGTATACTCAGCCTAGTGAAGGCACAGAACATATTCAAATTTAACCTCAGAATAATAATTATTTGTAAAAGTTCTGAGAAAATTATAATTATGTATAATACATGGGTAAAAAAGAATAAAGCAAAAGGAAAAAATAACCAAACTCACTGAAACTTCAAAGCAAAGCAGTTTGAGGATCAACCTTTAAGAAATGCCAGCTATTTCAAAACACGTTAAGACGTATAAGAAGTTAGACATAGTTCTGAACTATAATAAGGCTTTAGCACTTATTTGTTAAAGTAAATTAGAATGGTGTTGGATAAATATATAAAGTACCTGGTGGATGATTTAGCAGAATAAATTTTGAGGCTAAATTTTATCTTGACATCAGAAGTGTAGCATTGCATGTTATAATTGAAAGGCAGGAAACATAATCTTCAGAAGTATTTTGGGAAATTGTACATAACAATTTTTTTTTTGAGATGGAGTTTCGCTTCTGTCACCAGGCTGGAGTGTAATGGTGCGATCTTGGCTCACTGCAACCCCTGCCTCCCTGTTTCAAGCGATTCTCCTGCCTCTGGCTCCCGAGTAGCCAGGATTACAGGTGCCCGCTACCATGCCCAGCTAATTTTTGTTTCTTTTTTTAGTAGAGATGGAGTTTCATCATGTTGGCCAGGCTGCTCTCAAACTCCTGACCTCAGGTGATCCACCCACTTCAGCCCCTCAAAGTGCTCGGATTAGAGGCGTGAGCCTCGGCATCTGGCCCATAACATGCTAAAGCTGCAGTGGTCACTATTTCATTCTTCCTAAGCCCGCTGATGAGTTTTTTAAGGCTTCTGCCTAATGCTGTCTTTTTCTTTGCTGTGCTATTCTGAGGCAACTTCATTTCTGCTGTTGTTTCTCTAATAAATATTTTCTTACAGGTTATTTTCATTTGACTCACGGTTGTATGTGTGTAAGTTTTAAGCCTAAATCATTTTTATTGTTAGTTTAAGGTGTTTTTCAACCAACTAGAACCAGATCTGCCAATTCCCTGTAACACTGCTGCAAAATTCAGTCTTTTCCTAAATGTAGATATTTGAACTGGACGCCCAAACATAATTTGCAGATTTTACCATTAATATCCTTACTAAAAACACTCTCCTGCCTTTCATTTGATCTAGAAGATTCTAGTAATTTCTAGAAACCTCTTTTTTTTTTTTTTGAAACAGTCTCTGTCACTCAGGCTGGAGTGCAGTGGCATGAACATGGCTCACTGCAACCTCCACGCCACCATAACCTCTGCCTCCTAAAATCAAGCCATCCTCCTGCCTTAGACTCCTGAGTAGCTGAGACTATAGGCATGTGCCACCATGCCTGGCCTAATTTATTTAAAAAAGTTTTTTTGTAGATATAGAGTCTCACTATATTGCCCAGGTTGGTCTTGAACTCCTGGGTTAAAATGATCCTCCCACCTCAGCCTCCCAAGGTGCTGGGATTACAGGCATGAGCCACCATACTGGGCTGATCCTCATCTTTTCTATCTTCCTGTCATTATAATCAATGACCTGGAAAACTAGAAGAAAGGAAATTCTGGCATTGGCAAAGCAAGTGTGCTTACTTGAGGGTGCATTGTGAAATTAATTAGTGGGTACATCCCCAGGTTGGCAGCAAAGATCTGTAGCTGCTACTTTGGAGGGTGTGGGATCTGTGCTCAGCCACTGCCTGGCTGGTGGCTTCTGTCTTGCTGGAGCCAGGGGTAGGACCTAAATTTAAGAGCACGAAACTAGCCATCAATTGGGAGGTTCACATGTCTAGCTTTACCTGACTCTCATTCACACTCATTTTTTTCTTTGGAAAAGGAGCATTGTTCAGCCTGTGAAATTAGAGATGCAGGGTAGGGTGGATTGTATAATTCAACATTCTACTTAAGTTTGAATAAAGTCATCCTTGCACTTTACATTTGTGCTGTCCACTTCACCTTTCAAAGGTCAGGAAAATTGCACTCATTATTAAGTACCTTTTGGAATTGATACTCTCATCTATTTTTTTTTTTTTTTTTTGAGACGGAGTCTCGCTCTGTCACCCAGGCTGGAGTGCAGTGGCGCGATCTCGGCTCACTGCAAGCTCTGCCTCCCAGGTTCACACCATTCTCCTGCCTCAGCCTCCCGAGTAGCTGGGACCACAGGCTCCCGCCACCACTCCCGGCTAATTTTTTCTATTTTTTAGTAGAGACTGGGTTTCATGGTGTTAGTCAGGATGGTCTAGATCTCCTGACTTCATGATTCGCCCACCTCAGCCTCCCAAGATACTTCCATCTTTATAGTTCCTCTGCCTTGTTTTAGTGACTTCAAATTTCCTACATTATTTTCTAAACTCAGGTGTACAATTTTCATCACAAAGGCATTACATGACCAGCCATCCTGGGACTTTTAAGAACAATTTTCGTTGAGTACATCACCTTTACCACCATCCTAAGTGCCATGCTGTTAGGAAAAAACCAATGAGTTGTTGCAAGAAGCAAAAAGCAATTACATATGGAATTTTGAGCAGTAACATTTAGTAACACTAAAATTGTGCCATGAAATTGATAGCATTTTGCATACCATTTTAGCTCCTCTTGACTCATCTTGCATATAAGTTAAAAAATTAATTGGCTGTATTTAAGTTTGAATAAAGCTTTAACTTTCTGAAAGAGTGAATTTATAAGAAAATTTATGACCTGCTTGAATATGGAAGATCTTGGAGCTGGGGTGGATTGCCTTCATGAAGTAGAAGTAATTTACAAGAAGAAAAACAACACTTCTTACTCAGTTGTTGGCAGATATATTTATGTTTGTTTACATCTGATAACATCATAAAAATTTAAACTTGGCTTTCAACAGGGTTCAAGCAGTCATAGGAAAAGGTTGGTCTGTACTATCAACCATACTGAAATTTTCATTGCTAGAAATGTTCAGATTTTAACACAATTAAGTTAATTGTAGTAATGGAAAAACAATCTTACTTTGGTTCTACCATATATTGATTTATGTAGCCCAGGATATAGATTTATTGCAGTTTCACTACAGAAAATGGTTGGTTGTTCAAAAAATATTCCCAGATTATTTAGTTTCCAGAAAGTTACATTTTTTTTGAGAACTGTGAACCATGGGGTAGATCAAAACTCCAGAGAAAATGCCCCTTCCTGAAACCACTGATGAGACTGGTAACAATTTATTTCACACTGTGATCCAACATGTTTCAGAGTAAATGAAAGTGAAGTACACTATTAAGAGTTGGGCTTTGGTGCGTTTGGGATTTGTGCGGTGATTTGTTAAAGTTGTTTAAGAGCTCTTGGCCAGGAGTGGTGGCTCACACCTGTAATCACAGCACTTTGGGAGGCTGAGGTGGCCGGATCACCTGAGGTCAGGAGTTCGAGACCAGCCTGGCCAACATGGTGAAACCCTGCCTCTACTAAAAATACAAAAAAATTAGCTGGGTATGCTGGCAGGTGCCTATAATCCCAGCTACTCGGGAGGTTGAGGCAGGAGAATTGCTTGAACCAGGGAGGTGGATGCTGCAGTGAGCCAAGATCACACCACTGCACTCCAGCCTGGGCAAAACAGTGAGACTCTGTCTCCAAAAAAAAAAAATAAAATAAAACTGGATGCTTTCTTAATAAGGAAGAAAGCCCAGCAGATAGTGACTGTACCTTCCTCCCCTCCTTCCTTACCATCCTCCCATCTCATTTCTCTTAGAAACAGGGATTTCCCTGCCAATACAAGGTCTGTTTAGTTATCTTAAAATCTCAAAGGAAGTAATGGCTCCTCCTCTCAATAACGTTCCAGACCCTCAGTAGAGATATACAAACAATCTTTTCTAAGTTCCTCATCACTCTCTAGGAAGAGATAAGAGCCCACGTTTGATCAAGCTAAACTAGTTAGATGGCCTCAGATATCTTTTGCAAAATGTTGACAGTTCAAAAACTTTACTTAGAGCTTTTTCTACCTATTTTATTGTCACTTCTGTGATAAATGTAATACTAGTGACACAGAATGACTCAGTACTAGTGTCATTATTGTCGTCAGTTGAATTTTTATTTCTTCTTAGTCTCTGTAAGCCTAGGCCTTTTGGCCTCTCTGCTTGTTTTTATGGTGGTCACAGAAACCGTTAGTATTAGATGGGGCAGAGGGAGCTTTAAGTGTTACTCTCTCATGGGCCGGGTGCAGTGGCTCACGCCTGTAATCCCAGCACTTTGGGAGGCCGAGGCGGGCAGACCACTTGGAGTCAGGAGTTCGAGACCAGCCTGGCCAACATGGTGAAACCCCACTCTACTGAAAATACAAAAATTAGCCAGGCTTGTTGGTGGGTGCCTGTAATCCCAGCTACACGGGAGGCTGAGGCACGAGAATTGCTTGATCCCAGCAGGTGGAGATTGCAGCGCCACTGCACTCCAGCCTGGACAATAGAGTGAGGCACTGTCTCAAAAAAAGAAAAAAGAGAGCTACCTTCTCATTATATGGGTGGTTCAATATCATAGTGACTTTAAAAGTGGGCAAGGCCAGTCTAACTGGTGCCAGCGTATATCTCTTTGCTTTCTGCTCAAGGAGGCAATGTTGCATTGCTGTTAAGAGAATGGGCTCTGGAATCAAAGCCCAGCTCTGAAACCTTCTAGCTCGTCGATCTGGAACAAGGTACTTAACTTTTTTAAGCCCTAGAGTCCTTATCAAGTGGGAATAATAATAGTATCTACTTCTCATGGTTATGAGGAAGATTAAATGAAGTACTGTGTGTAATGTGCTTCTTCCATGGTGTCTGACGCATGCCCTACATATGTCAACCATCGACTGTTATACATAGGTCTCTGGTATTAGCAAAAGACTTCTCTGGTTATAATTATTTGCATAACTGGAAAAAATGAACAGTAGGGGTTTTAGCTTTGGTGGATGAGAAAAAGTGTCAGATGCTAAGTGCAAATAGCCTTGGGCTGGGAATGTGGAGATCATCTTAATTCTGCCTCAAACTGTACCACTGAAGGTATAATCACCAGGTCTCTGGGCCTTGATTTCTTCAGTTTTCTTTCTTCCCTATTTGTATACTTTTATTTCCCTTTCTTGTCCTATTGCATTAGCTAGGACTAGTATGATATTGAAAAGCAGTAATGAGAGAGTTCATCCCTGCCTTGTTCCTGACCTGAAAGGGAAAGCTTCTAGTATATCATCATTAAGTATAATGTTAATTGTAGTTTTTTGTAAATGTTCTTTATCAAGTTGGGGGCATTCCTCTCTCTTCCTAGTTTGCTAAGAAGTTTTATCATGAATTGATGTTCAGTTTTCTCAAATGCTTTTTCTGTATCTGTTGATATAATCATGTGATTTTTCTTTTTTAGCCTGTTGGTGTGATAAATTATATTAATTGATTTTTTTTTTAAAGAGACAGGGTCTTGCTCTGTCACCAGACTGAAGTGCAGTGGCCTGATCATAGCTCATTGCAGCCTTGAACTCAGGCTTAAGTGACCCTCCCACCTCAGCCTCCTGAGTATGTAGTACTACAAGTGTGCGTCACCATGCCTGGCTATTTATTTATTTTCTGTAAGGATGGGTTCTCGATATGTTGCTCAGGCTGGTCTCAAACTCCTGACCTCAAGTGATCCTTTTGCCTCAGCCTCCTGAAGCTCTGGGATTACAGATATGAGCCATCATACTTGGACTACATTGATTGATTTTTTTTCTTTTTTTTTTTTTTTTAGACGCAATCTCGCTTTGTTGCCCAGGCTGGAGTGCAGTGGTACGATCTCAGCTCACTGCAGCCTCCGCCTCCTGGGTTGAAGCAATTCATTTGTCTCAGCATCCCGAGTAGCTGGGATTAGAGGTGTGTGCCACCATGCCTGGCTAATTTTCGTATTTATAGTAGAGATGGGGTTTTGCCACATTGATCAGGCTGGTCTCGAACTCCTGACCTCAAGTGATCCGCCCTCCTTGCCCCACTTCGGGAAGTGCTGGGATTACAGGTGTGAGCCACCACACCTGGCCATACATTAATTGATTTTTGAATGCTGATCTGGCTTTGCATTCTGGGATAAATCCCACTTGCTTGTAGTGTGTAATTCTATTTATATATTATTGGATTTGAATTGCTAATATTTTGTTGAAGATTTTTTTCACCTAGGTTCATGAGAAGATTTCTTCAGTTTTAGGATGAGAAGTGTTGTACCTAATCAGCTTTATTGTCCTTTCTAATGCTAGAATTTTGTGAGTCTAGGAATGAGTTATTATTTCATTTTAAATACCTCACTGTGGTAGCTACTAAATAAATATTTGCTAAGTTGAATGGAATCTGCTGACTTTATCTTTGGAATGTAGATGATCTGGTTTTATAATATGGAATTGTAATGAGATAGAAAACAACAGTGATGATTTTTGAGATTAAAAATAAAAGGCATAAAATTCAAAGCCAGAGATATATGGTGGATTGCTTTGCTAAGCTGCCATAAGGAAGTACCATGAGCTGGGTGGCCTAAACACTGACATTTATCATCTCATAGTTCTGGAGGCTAGAAGCCTGGCAAGAATGGTTTCTTCTAGGAACTCTCAAGAGAGAATGGGTTGCTTGCCTTTCTCCTGGCTTGCGGTGGTTTAAGGGCAGTCTTTGGTGCACCTTTGCTTCAGTTGCATTACCCCAATCTCTGCCTTCACCTTCATGTGGTGTTTGTGTGTGTGTGTGTGTGTGTGTGTGTGTGTGTGTGTGTGTGTCTAGGCCCGAATTTCCCTTTTATATGAGTCCACCAGTGACAATGAACTAGGGGCCCACCCTACTCTAGTATGACCTCATCTTAACAAGTTACATCTGCAATGTCTATTTCTTATCTCCCTCTCTCTCTTTTTATTTTGAAATGGAGTTTCACTCTTGTTGCCCAGGCTGGAGTGCAGTGGCGCAATCTCGCTCCATGCAACCTCCGCCTCCTGGGTTCAAGTGATTCTCCTGTCTCAGCCTCCTGAGTAGGTGAGATTACAGGTACCAGCTACCACACCCAGCTAATTTTTGTATTTTTAGTAGAGATGGGGCTGCACCACGTTGGCCAGGCTGGTCTCAAACTCCGGACCTCAGGTGATCTGCCCACCTTGGCCTCCCAAAGTGCTAGGATTATAGGCATGAGCCACTGCACCCAGCTGCAACATCTATGTCCAAATAAAGTTGAATTCTGAAGTACTGGGGGGTTAGGACTGTAACATATGAATTTAGGGGACACAATTCAATTCATAGCAAGTGGATTATTCTGTCCTTTCAGTGTAACTACCTGTCTATCCTTCCTTCCTTCTTTTCTTCCATTAAATTTTACTGTGCCATACAGGTGGATGGATAACAGACAGACAATTTTATGAGGAATTGTCTTTATAGAGAGAATGTTCACATTTCACGTAAGTGGCTACTTAATAATTCATAGCAGTTAACCTTTTATTCTGCAGGTTACTTGTAGCTGGCATGGACTTAATACATGTCAACAGTTTGTTTCTGTGTTATTCCATTTTTTTCCCCTTATTGTTGTTCCTCTTATCCTGTTCTTCCTAGCTCTGTTCTGCCCCCTCAGATCCACTTAATTTGCCTTTCCCTGAACATTTCACAGTAGCTAGTTCTGCCACCAGATGGTGTGCAAGGATTAGGAAAATAATTGAAATATGTTGGCCAGTGTCTTTTCAACATTTTATTTCAGGAAAAAGGCTGACATGACAGGCCTACCTGAGATTCTGAGATTGACAGCAGGCCAAAAATGACATTCTGAGATTGTGGAGATTTAAATTTTTTATGTAAATTTTCCTCTCATTTATCATGGAAACCTGAGCTGGCAATCTTGAGGGGAAAAAAAACCTATGACATTTGATGTATATATGTAAATGAGAGACTTTGACCTCAGAATAGATTTGACAGTAATATTCGGCTGAGATATAGAAGCGAGGTTCTTGGGTCAGAGGACCACTTCCTCAAATAGGTAGTCTCAGAAGCCACAGAAAGGAGAAATCTCTTGAGCCAAGCAAAGCTGTAGAGTGTTAGTGCGATGAGGGACTCCAGCTATCATCTGATTCAGCAGCCTCAAATGAGGCCTGCAGCCAAACAGAGCTTGCAGACCACATCCACACACAGTGTGCTTTGTTTAGCTTGAACAAGGTTTTATTTTATTTTATTTTATTTATTTTTTTGAGACGGAGTTTTGCTCTTTGGCCCAGGCTGGAGTGAAGAGGTACGATCTCAGCTCACTGCAACCCCTGCCCCCCGGGTTCAAGTGATTCTTCTGCCTCAGCCTCCCAGGTAGTTGAGATTGTAGGCACCTGCCTATAACCATGGCCGGCTAATTTTTGTATTTTTAGTAGAAACGGGGTTGTGCCATGTTGGCCAGGCTGGTCTCGAACTCCTGATCTCAGGTGACCCACCTGCCTCAGCCTCCCAAAGTGCTGGGATTACAGGCGTGAGCTGTGTCAGCCTGAACAAGGTTTTATTATTATTAATTGACAACGTTAAGACAACTCCAATATTTCACCTAATCATCCAGATTTCAGGCTTTTGGGAAAAAAATCTGAAGACTTAGCAACAGTGATTGACATGTTTTTCTTGGCCACACTTGACTATGGCAGAGCTGTGGCTGCGGCTTTCGTTGGAGCTTGTGATTCATAGTTGCTGCTCTCTCCTCCACCCCCTATTGTATGATGCTGATCTTTACCCTTATTTAATATGTTACCTGCCTCTGCCAAGCCTGTGAAAGGCATTTGGATATGAAGACATGAGGTCTGGAGAGAGAGACGAGGGAAGTTGGTTCAGGCCACACCTGCCTTCCGATCCCCACTAACTGGTGCTATGACTGTGCGTAGAAACTGGTGGGAAAAGAGTGAAAGTGATTCACCTTAGAGGAGTAATGCAGTACAATTAAGGAATCAGCAGGGAAGGTGAAAACTCAAAATTCAAAATTCTGCTGCTGCCACTCAATGATAGAAAAAGTCGTTAGAGGGCCAGGCGCCGTGGCTCATGCCTGTAATCCCAGCACTTTGGGAGGCCGAGGTCGGTGGATCACCTGAGGTCAGGAGTTCAAGATCAGCCTGGCCAACGTGGTGAAGCCCAGTTTCTACTAAAACTACAAAAATTAGCTGGGCGCAGTGGCGGGCACCTGTAATCCCAGCTGCTTGGGAGGCTGAGGCGGGAGAATCGCTTGAACCTAGGACGTGGAGGATGCAGTGAGCTGAGATTGCGCCACTGCACTCTAGCCTAGGTGACAAGAATGAAACTCCATCTCGAGAAAAGAAAAAGGATGCTAGAAGAATACACACCCATAAGTGAAAAAATGGGGAACCCTGAAGTAAACACCTTACAGGGAACTTGAATAAATACATGATCAGAAGACCATTGGTCAGTGGTCAAGAGAAAAAGAAAGGAACTCCAGATTACTCATCTCTAAGTATATCCCTGCTGTTTCTGGGATAAACTTATTATTTAAATAATAATAATGGAAAGGTGACTGATGAGACCAGGCGATTAAGGAGACAAGGTAAGTAAGTCAGCTAGACAGCAAATAGTTTGTTGTTTCCCAAGAATGTCCTTCTGGGGTACCTGTGAAATGGCTGTCAGAGGCTCTTCCCATCAGAACATGGAAACTGTTAGTGAAATAAATAATGGGGTAGTAATGGGATGATTCTGAATGGGGAAGCAGAGATTGTTTTTGCCTGCCTTGATGAAGATAAATGGGAGTATAAATGTGAGGGGCTGGCCCCTGGATAATTTATTTTATATTAATTAATTTTTTTGAGATGGAGTCTCTCTGTGTTGCCCAGGCTGGAGTGCAATGATGCGATCTTGGCTCACTGCATCCTCCACCTCCTGGGTTCAAGCGATTCTCCTGCCTCAGCCTCCCGAGTAGCTGGGATTACAGATGCCTGCCACCGCGTCTGGCTAATTTTTGTATTTTTAGTAGAGAAGGGCTTTCGCCATGTTGGCCAGGCTGATCTCGATCTCTTGACCTCAGGTGATCTGCCCACCTCGGCCACCCAAAGTGCTGGGATTACAGGCGTGAGCCACCGTGACTGGCCTGGGTAATTTATTAATGATTACAGACATTTACTGAATGCTCATTCTTTGCTGGACTCTACACTATAGAGGTTGACATATGTAATATCATTTTGTTCTCCCAGCATCACTGAGGTCCTTATCATTGTTTTTCCTATTTTGTTGATAAGGAGACTACAAAGATCAGGTAACTTTTTCACATCGACTTAGCTCATAAATGACAGAGCCGGGATTTAAATACAAGCTCTCAAGCTACTGATTACCAAAGTTTTCCCACTTAACAATCAAGCTATTCCACTGCCTCCTGGCGCCTCCTGGCCCCTTCTGCCTGGCCTAGTGATAAATGCCCAGCAGGCCCTGGATGAAATCCGGAACAGTGATTGAGTTACACCATTTTGGCTGGATGGCATGCAGCAAGCTTGAAAAAGCTAACATTTAAATTTGTGGAATGTAACATTTGTTTCAAAGGGTCGCTAAATTAGAAGACTGGCAGATGTCAGTGAATCTTCATCCTAAGAACATGTGTAAAAAGTGTCTGGGAAACTTCCGTCTGGCAAATCTTATTTCTACCCAGAGCATGCTGGTAAAATCTATACTAAGGATACATTACAAAAGGCTTCAGCAGATGGCCTTTATAAATTTTTAAAATTTTTTTTTAATTTTTGAGATGGAGTTTCTCTCTTGTTGCCCAGGCTGGAGTGCAGTGCCTCAATCTCGGCTCATCGCAACCTCTACCTCCTGGGTTCAAGCAATTCTCCTGCCTCAGCCTCCTGAGTAGCTGGGATTACAGGCATGTGCCACCACGCCCGGCTAATTTTGTATTTGTAGTAGAGATGGGGTTTCTCCATATTGGTCAGCCTGGTCTCCAACTCCTGACCTCAGGTTATCCGCCCACCTTGGAAGTGTTGGGATTATGGGCGTGAGCCACTGCGCCTGGCCTGCAGATGGCCTTTTTAGGGAGAAGGCAGCTTGGCTTCTGGAAGAGGGAACTGGATTTGGCTGGAGTCCTTTGAGAAGGTGAATATGCCATGCTGCTGAAGAAACAGTGAACGTCCCTCCTTTCCACTTTTCAGAAAGCCCCTCGGATGGGGGTTCAGACGCAAGGGAGAGGGGTTGAGAGGGAGTAGCCTTGGAAAGATAGTCTTGTGGCTTTCAGATGCGCTTAGAGGAAGGACGTCAGGATAATTGTTTTAAGGGCTCATCCTGACATTCAAAGGTAAACCATGGAGCCCTGGAGGAATGAGTGCTCCGACAAGTCGTGTGTAACATTTTTATAATTGATCTAGCAGAAAGAAGAGGGCAGCTGGGTCTCTCGGTTTGCAGATGCTATTAGATACTTCTTACCAGAGAACTGTTAAACCTGTCAGGATAAGCTGCCAGAAGATGTGGCAAATACAAGTGCTAGTTGAGTTTATTGTATCTGGAGAAAAGTAACACAAGTTGTAAGTTTCTGATACCCAATAAAACCCTGGGCTTTTTAAAGGAAGGCTTTCTCAAGAAAACCATAGGAGGGTCTGACTCCTGGATAATTTATTTTGTTTTATATTTTATTGTTTTTTTTGACACAGAGTCTCTCTGTGTCGCCCAGACTGGAGTGCAGTGGCGCAATAGTGTTAGTGTTATAGGGGTTAGTTATAGGCGTTAGTGTTCTCTAACCCCTATAGAAAAGCCAAAGCAATTCTCCACCCAGAATATTAATAGAGGGCTAGTTGCTATTTCTCAAAATTTAACAGTTCCACCAATATGTGAGTCCCCATTCTGAGCAAGAAATGGAGTTAGACATGATTCAGGAAGAAAAATGCAAAATGATAAGGGAATTAAGAAACCTATTGTAGGAAAAAAAACCCAAGAGGTGAAACCTCTTTAATCCAAAGGTGATAGCTGAGGAGCATATGTAGTAACTTACTAAAACACAAAGGATAAACACAGAATCAGCAAAAACTATCAATCCTTTCTCTTTAAAAATTGTAGGCTGGGCACAGTGGCTCACACCTGTAATCCCAGCACTTTGGGAGGCCAAGGCAGGAGGATCACCTGAGGTCAGGAGTTCGAGACGAGCCTGGCCAGCATGGTGAACCGTCTCAAAACAAAAACAAACAAAAAAAAAACGTATTAGGTGGTGGTGGGAAAAGGGGAGATGTTGGTCAAAGGGTACGAAGTTTTAGATTGAATAGGTTCTGGGGATTTAATAGACATCTTGGTGACTATATTAATAATAATGTATTATATACTTGAGCATGCTGCACAGATCATCCCATCACCTAGGTATTAAGCCCAGCATCCCTTAGCTATTCTTCCTGATGCTCTTCCTCCTTAGCTATTCTTCCTGATGCTCTCCCTCCTCCTACCCTCCACTCCCCACTGTTCCCCCCAATGTGTCCATGTGTTCTCATCATTCAGCTCCCACTTCTAAGTGAGAACATGCAGTACTTGGTTTTTTGTTTCTGCGTTCGTTTGCTGAGGATAATGGCTTCCAGCTCCATCTATGTCCCTGCAAAGGACATAATCTCATTCCTTTTTATGGCTGCATAGTATTCCATGTTGTGTATGTACCACATCTTCTTAGTGCAGTCTATCATTGATAGGCATTTAGGTTGATTCCATGTCTTTGCTATTGTGAATGGTGCTGCAATGAATGTACACAGGCATGTGTCTTTATAATAGAATGATTTATATTCCTTTGGGTATATACCCAGTAATGGAGTTGCTCAGTCAATTGGCGTTTCTGCCTGTAGGTCTTTGAGGGATTGCGACACTGTCTTCCACAATGTTTGAACTAATTTACACTTCCACCAACAGTGTAAAAGCGTTCCTTTTTCTTCACAACCTCATCAGCATCTGTTGGTTTTTTACTTTTAATAATGGCCATTCTGACTGGTGTGAGATGGTATCTTCTTGTGGTTTTGATTTGCTTTTCTCTAATGATTAGTGATGCTGAGCTTTTTTTTCATGTTTGTTGGCTACATGTATGTCTTCTTTTGACAAGTATCTGTTCTTGTCCTTTGCCTACTTTAATGGGTTTGTTTGTTTGTTTGTTTTCTTGTAAATTTGTTTAAGTTCCTTGTAGATGCTGGATATTAGACCTTTGTCAGATGACTAGATTGCAGAAATTTTCTCTCATTCTGTAGGATGTCTGTCTACTCTGATGACAGTTTCGTTTGCTCTGCAGAAACTTTAGTTTAAGTAGATCCCATTTGTCAATTTTTGCTTTTATTGCAATTGCTTTTGGCATTTTTGTCATGAAATCTGCTCGTGACTATGTCCTGAATGGTATTGCCTAGCTTTTCTTCTATGGTTTCTATAGTTTTGGTTTTACATTTAAGTATTTAATCCATCTTGAGTTGATTTTTTATATGGTATAAGGAAGGAGCCCAGTTTCAATCTTCTGCGTGTGGCTAGTCAGTTCTCCCAGCACCATTTATTAAATAGGGAATCCTTTTAATAAATGATTATTTTTATTTATTTAATAAAATAAGCAAAAAATTGCTTATTTTTGTCAGGTTTGTTGAAGATCAGATGGTTGTAGGTGTGAGGTCTTATTTCTGAGTTTTCTATTCTGTTCCATGGTCAACGTGTCTGTTCTTGTACCAGTACCATGCTGTTTTGGTTATTATAGCCTTGTAGCATAGTTTGAAGCAGTATAGTAGCCTCAAAGTAGTAGCCTTGTAGTATAGTTTGGGTAGCATAATGCCTCCAGCATTGTTCTTTTTGCTTAGGATTGTCTTGGCTATTCAGGCTCTTTTCTGGTTCCATATGAATTTTAAAATAGTTTTTTCTAATTCTGTGAATAATGTCAATGGTAGTTTAATGGGAATGGCATTGAATCTGTACATTGCTTTGTGCAATATGGTCATTTTCAGATATTGATTCTTTCTGTCCATGAGAATGGAATGTTTTTCCATTTGTTTGTGTCATCTCTGATTTCTTTGAGCAGTGGTTTTTGTTAGCTGTATTCCTAGGTATTTTATTCCTTTTGTGGCAATTGTGAATGGGAATTTGTTCATGATTTGGCCCTTGGCTTGCCTGTTGTTCACCAACAACAGGCTAGTGATTTTTGCACATTCATTTTGTATCCTGAGACTTTGCTGAAGTTGCTTATTAGCTTAATATGCTTTTGGGCTGAGATGATAAGATTTTCTAGATATAGGATCATGTCATTTGCAAACAAAGATAGTTTGACTTCCTCTCTTCCTATCTGAATACTTTTATTTCTTTCTCTTGCTTGATTGCCCTGGCCAGAACTTCCAATACTATGTGGAATAAGAGTAGTGAAAGAGGGCATCCTTATCTTGTGCTGGTTTTCAAGAGGAATGCTTCCAGCTTTTGCCCATTCAGCATGATATTGGCTGTGGTTTTGTCACAAATGGCCTTATTATTTTGAGCTATGTTCCTTCAATATCTAGTTTATTGAGAGTTTTTAACATGAAGGGATGTTGAATTTTATCAAAGGGCTTTTCTGCATCTATTGAGATAATCATGTGGTTTTTGTCTTCATTTCTGTTTATGTGATGAATCACATTTATTGATCTGTGTATGTTGAACCAACCTTGCATCCTGGGGATGAAGCCAACTTGATCATGGTGGATAAGCTTTTTGATGTGCTGCTGGATTTGGTTCACCAGTATTTTGTTAAGGATTTTTGCATCGATGTTCATCGAGGATATTGTCCTGATGTGTTTTTGTTGTTGTTGTTGTTGTGTCTCTGCCAGGTTTTGGTATCAGGATGATGCTGGCCTCATGAATGAGTTAGGGAGAAGTCCCTCCTTTTCAATGTTTTGGAATATTTTCAGTAGGAATGGTCCCAGCTCTTCTTTGTACCTCTGGTAGAATTCAGCTGTGAATCCATCTGATCCTGGGCTTTTCTTGGTTGGTAGGTTGTTTGTTACTGTCTCAACTTCACAACAAGTTATTGGTCTATTGGTCTATTCAGGGATCCAATTTCTTTCTTGTTCAGTCTTGGGAGGGTGTATGTGTCCAGGAATTTATCCATCTCTTCTAGATTTTCTAGTTTATGTGCATAGAGGTGTTTTTGTATTCTCTGATGGTTAGTTGTATTTCTGTGGGGTCAGTGATGATATCCCTCTTATCATTTCTGGTTGTGATTATTTGAATCTTGAAAGTAGATCTTAAATGTTGTCACAACACACACACACAGATTTTTAACTATGTGAGGTGATGGATATGCTAATTAGCTTGATTGTGGTAATCACTTTATAACATATGTGTGTAAAAATCACATTTTATACCATAAATATATACTATCTTTCAGGACATATATTAAAGTGTATTACTCTACCTACAGGCCAGTAGACTAATGACATCCTTATTCTATGAACCTGTACAGGTTGAAAAAAAACTACATTAGGTAAAATCAAACGATTACTGGGCGCAGTGGCTCACGCCTGTAATCTCAGCACTTTGGGAGGCCGAGGCACGTGAATCACTGAGGTCAGGAGTTTGAGACCAGCCTGGCTAACATGGCGAAACCCCATCTCTGCTAAAAATACAAAAAAAATTAGCCAGGCATGGTGACAGGTGCCTGTAATCCCAGCTACTCAGGAGGCTGAGGTAGGAGAATTGCTTGAACCCAGGAAACAAAGGTTGCAGTGAGCTGAGATCATGCCACTGCACTCCAGCCTGGGCAACAGAGCAAGACTCTTTCTCAAAAAAAAAAAAAAAAGACTGGAGGCAATTTCTTTTCTTTGTATTTTTAGTCTTTGCATGTGTCAAAATGTCATGTCTCTTGATGGATAATTTGGCTGGATGTAGACATCTTGTCTTTCATCATCTGCAGGTTCTGGTTTCTGATCCATTGCATGTAAACTGTCTTCCTGGAATCTCAGGCTGCTCTCTTTGTCCTGGTTGTTCTGAAGTTTCGTGTTGATGGGCTTCTAAAATTCATTGTGCTGCACACTTGATGGGCTTTTCAAAATCTGAAGTCTCATCTACTTAGTTCTTGAAAAAATTTCGAATTCTTTCTTTGATATTTTCTTCCTCTCCATTATCTCTGCTTCATCTTTCTTGATATCATTACACCTTCTTGTTTGATTGCATTTGATTGCCTTTTTTTTTTTTTTTGATAGAGTCTTGTACTATCACCGAGGCTGGAGTGGAGTGGCATGATCTCGGCTCACGGCAACCTCTGCCTCCCGGGCTTAAGCGATCCTCCTACCTCAGCCTCCTGAGTAGCTGGGACCATAGGCATGTGCCACCACGCCTGGCTTTTTTTTTTTTTTTTTGAGACAGGGTTTTGTCATGTTGACCCAGGCTGGCCTTGAACTCCTGGTCTTGAGTGATCCACCCACCTTGGCCTCCCAAAGTGCCAGGATTGTAGGCATGAGTCACCACACCCAGCACTCCCTCTATAGTTTTATATTTTCCATTAATTTTCCATCTATTAAAAATTATTTTTGAAGGATGGGATCTTGCTATAAGGCTGGCCTTGAACTCCTGGGCTCAAGTGATCCTCCTGCTTCAGCCTCTGGAGTAGCTGGGACTACAAGCATTCCACTGCGCCCAGCTTACATCTATTTTTTTGGGGGGGGTCCAGTTTATTGGAGATTCCTTTGATTTTATTTTGGTTATCATAGTTTTTAACTTTTAAGAACTTTTTCTTATCTCTTTTTTAAAAAGGAAACTCTGTTATTTGTTTTATTGACATAGGAACTTCATCTTTTAACCATCTCTGAGTATACTCTGTGTGTGTGTATGTGTGTATGTGTGTGTAGCAATTTGTTCAGCTCTGTGATTTGTTACTGTATCCAGTGTTTTTTTTTTCCTATTTGTTCTTTTCTGTCTCTTTCTTGGCACAGGCTATTTTCAAATGCCTGGGACTCTTGTCCTCTACTCATAGTTAGAAGCAGGGTGCTTAAAATGCTGACAGGCAGTTCTGAGGGCATAGACAGGTTGACTGGAGGCTTCATTGTTAGTACCTAAAGGTCTTTTCTCTGTCATTTAGTGTCTTCAGGGAAGAATCATTCAGTCTCTTGAATTAAGAGATGGGTTTTTCTGTATGACAAAGCTAGAGATGGAAGTTCAGAAACCTTACATACATAGCTTTTCAGGCTCTGAATTAGGTTTAGGATCCAGGAGGGTGGCAGGCATCTGCAAATATCTCTTCTTCTTCTTCTTCTTTTTTTTTTTTTTTTTTTAGACAGAGTCTTGCTCTGTCACCCAGGCTGGAGTGCAGTGGCACAATCTTGGCTCACTGCAACCTCTGCCTCCCAGGTTCAAGCAGTTCTCCTGCCTCAGCCTCCCAAGTAGCTGGGATTACAGGCATGTGCCACCACGCCCAGCTAATTTTTTTTTTTTTTTTTGTATTTTTAGTAGAGACAGGGTTTCACCATGTTAGCCAGGATGGTCTCGATCTCCTGAACTTGTGATCCACCCACCTCAGCCTCCCAAAGTGCTGGGATTACAGGCGTGAGCCACCGCGCCCAGCCCCAGCTAATTTTTGTAGTTTTAGTAGAGTCAGGGTGTCACCATGTTGGCCAGACTGGTCTTGAATTCCTGACCTCAGGTGATGTGCCCGCCTCGGTCTCCCAGAGTGCTGGGATTACAGGCGTGAGCCACCACGCCCGGCCAAATATCTCTTCTTAAGGGCGAAAATGATG
Source organism: Homo sapiens (assembly GCF_000001405.40). Lineage (NCBI taxonomy): Eukaryota > Metazoa > Chordata > Mammalia > Primates > Hominidae > Homo > Homo sapiens. The sequence continues at coordinate 223,788,300 of NC_000002.12, read as the reverse complement.
TAAGTCCTCTGAGTGGTGATGTAAGCCTTAAGTATATAAGAACTGTGGCAGTCCAGCCTGGCGCAGTGGCTCATGCCTGTAATCCCAGCACTTTGGGAAGCCCAGGTGGGTGGATCACTTGAGGTCAGGAGTTTGGGACCAGCCTGGCCAACATGGTGAAACTCTATCTCTACTAAAAATACAAAAATGAGCCAGGCATGGTGGCACATGTCTATAATCCCAGCTACTCAGGAGGCTGAGGCACAGCATGAGGATCACTTGAACCTGGGCGAGCCGAGATCACACCACTGCGCTCCAGCCTGGATGACAGAGTGAGACCCCATCCCAAAAAAAAGAACTGTGGCATTTACATTGGAGCTTCTCAGATTAGGTAATACCCTGCTTTGTGTGGACAGTGTCAGCAGCCCCTGCTTGGGAGGTTACTGACTCTGGGGGCCGGAGCAAGCTGTGCTAAGAGGTTCTCCAACTGCATGGAGTTCCTAAATTTCTGTACCCTTGGATGAAGCAATTGGAAACTTATCGTATGGTGTAGTTTGTGTGTGTGTGTGTGTTGCATATGCATGTGCGTTTTCACTTAGCTGTAGTCTCTAGAAATCTGCATGTGGCACATGTCAGTTACTCGATAGGGAGACTTTCAACCACTCTCCCTGCTTTCAGAACTCTGCCTTATCCCTTGTCTTCTAGGGACATGGTGCCCCCAAGTATTGCTCTCAGGCATTCTATGGGGAGACCTATCTGGTTTCTCTTGGGAATTCACCCTTTCAGTGACAAATTCCCCTATTTTGCTAAATCTTTCATCTCATTTCTGTCTCTGTCTTCCAAAGTTTGTTTGAAGATTTCTGTCAACCTTCTTAACTCAAGAACACCTTTCTCTCTTAAATGAAGACATATGGCTTTGCACACTCTGAAGGGTTGAGACCCAGGAGTGTTGCAGATGTCTATAAATATTTCTTCTTGTATTCATCCATTCTTGCATTGCTGTAAAGAAATACCCGAGACTGGGTAATTTATAAAGAAAACAGGTTTAATTGGCCCATGGTTCTGAAGGCTGTATAGAAAGCATAGTGGCTTCTGCTTCTGGGGAGGCCTCAGGAAACTTACAATCATGGTTGAAGGCGAAGGGGAAGCAGTACCTCACATGGCTGAAGCAGGAAGAAGAGAGAGGGGGCAGCTGCCACACAGTTTTAAACAACCAGATCTCACAATAACTCACTCACTGACTCTCATGAGAACAGCATCAAGGAGATGGCGCTAACTCATTCATGAGAACTCCAGACCCTGATGATCCAGTCACCTCCTACTAGGCCCCATCTCCAACACTGGGGATTACAATTTGACACGAGTTTAGTGGGGACACAGATCCAAACCATATCACTTCTTTTTTTTTTGTTTTTTTGAGACAGGGTCTCACTTTGTCACCCAGGCTGGAGGGCAGTGGCATGATCTCAGCTCACTGCAGCCTCCACCTCCTGGGTTCAAGTGATCCTCCTGCCTTAGTCCCCCAAGTAGTTGGGACTGCAATTGTGTGCCACCATGCCTGGCTAATTTTTGTATCTTTTTTAGAGATTATGGGGTTTCACCATGTTGCCCAGACTGGTTTTGAACTCTTGAGCTCAAGCGATCTGCTCACCTTGGCCTCCCAAAGTGTGAGCCACCACACCTGACCTTCTCCTTCTTCTTTTTTTTTTAATTTAATAACTTTTTTTTTGTAGAGACACACGGTCTCACTATGTTGCCCAGGCTAGTCTTGAATTCCTGGCCTCAAGCAATCTTCCTGTCTCAGCTTCCCAAAGTGCTGGGGTTACATGCAGGAGTCACCATCCCTGGATTGTTTTATTATGTTGATTACGATCTACTAAGTTTGTTTTATAACCCACTGGATCGCACCTGCTGTAAAAACAATGCTCTAGTTAATGTGAATGAAACCTAAACTGTAGGTTCGCACTTTCTTGCCCTTTCACTTTCTTCAGTTTATTGCCAGAATGAAATGACATTGCTTTGAAATTAAAGAAAAATAGTTATTAGGGCTCCTCCATCTTAACAAGGCAACGATGATCATTTTGTAATGATCCTTACCTATGATTGTTTTCGCTATGCATATGTAATTGTCATCTTAGTTGTGTAGCTAGGAGATACTTCGGTTACACAGTTCTTACATTTCTTAAGACTTAATTTTTTTAGAGCAGTGTTAAGTTCACAACAAAATTGAGTGGAAGGTATGAGATCTCTCATATACCTCCTGCCCCAACACATGTAGAGTCTCTCCCATTATCAACGTCCCCTACCAGAGTAGTACACCTGCTGCAACTGATGAGCCTATACTGACTCCTCTCTGTAATTAATTTATTTTTTGTTTTGTAATTTCAACTATATTTTAGATTCAGGGAGTACAGGTGTGAGTTTGTTACATGTAGAATTCATTGTTGGTGTTGGACATTCTATCAGTTTGGACAAATTTATAATGACACGGATCCACCATTATAGTATCATACTGACTATTTGCACTCCCCTAAAATCCTCTGTCCTCCACCTATTCATCCCTCCCCAACACACTGCCACAGCCACTGGCAGCCACACAGTCTGCCATTCTTTTTGCCATTACTGCAGGGTCACCTGAGTAATGTGCCATCTCTTTGAGCTAAAGTTTTATTTGTTGAAAGAACTTTGGCATTTACTTAGTATTAGACCTTCAGATAGAATGTTGATGGATTTTTATTGAACTCACTGATATTCTTTTTATTAAGCATTTTTTTCTAATTATAGAATCATACATATGAATTTTGGAAAATCCAGACAAGTACAAAGAAGAAAATAACATTTATAATTCCACTGTTGTAAGATAACCACTATAACAATTTAGTGTATTTCTTTCATGTAATCTTTTTTTGCAAGAATAGTTTTACATTTTTCTTATACTACACACACAATATAATCTTTTTATTTTTGTTTTTATTTTTTGAGATGGAGTTTCGGTCTTATTGCCCAGGCTGGAGTGCAATGGTGTGATCTTGGCTCACTGCAGCCTCCACCTCCTGGGTTCAAGCAATTCTCCTGTCTCAGCCTCCCGAGTGGCTGGGATTACAGGCGTCCACCACCACGCCCGGCTAATTTTTTGTATTTTTAGTAGAGATGGAGATTTGCCATGTTGGCCAGGCTGATCTTGAACTCCTGACCTCAGGTGATCTGCCCGCCTCGGCCTCCCAAAGTGCTGGCATTACAGGTCTAAGCGCACCTGGCCATCTTTTTTAAACAACATTGTATCATAAGCATTCTTACTTTGTTGAAACTATTTAGTAAATATCATTTAAACTCTATTATTGGATCTTTAGGCATTGTTAGTTTTATTGTTTTTGTATGCTAATATAAAGAACTGTAGTAAACATCTAATGCCTCAATATTTGTCTGCATTTTAGGGCACATTCTTAAGAAATATTTTATTTATTTTTTAATTATTATTATTTTTTGGTAGAGATGCAGTCTCCCTATGTTGCCCAAGCTGGTCTTGAACTCCTGGGCTCAAGTGATCTTCCCACCTCGGACTCACAAAGTGTTGTGATTACAAGCATGAGCCACTATACCTGGTCAAAGACAGATTTTAAAAGCAGAATTACTGAAACCAAAGATATGGGCACTTATAGGACTCTTGACACTTACTGCTGAGTCACTTTTCAGGAGAGTTGGAGGTCTGGGGGTGGGTGGTTGTTTTTTAAAGATGAGAGAGACTTGGGTTATTCAGCATTTGCAGGTGAGGAGCCCCAGAAGAGGGGGCACAGCCTGGTAGTGTGGGAGTGACGATGCCGTGCTCTCAAAGAGGTAGGTGAGGGTTGAAAGCCAGCACATGAGAAGTGTTGTGCTCTCTGATGCAGGAAGAAAATACATCGTGTTGGGGGGTGGGTGTGACAAGTCTGTGCACACAGGTATGCAGGTTGGGAGGAGCCAAGGGAGTCCCCAGCATGGCTTTTATCCTCTCCTCAGAGTCAGGGAGTGAGGATGGAGACTGGGAATATGGGGGCATGGTGGTGATATGAAATGACCCACGTGGGGGATCAAAGGGAAAGGTGCTTGGAAATCCTTTGTATTGAGAGGTACGTGGAGGGTCTCCGAGTACTACTGGAGATTCAGCTGAGCTTGGTCATCAGACCTTAACGGTGGCACCAATTTGCAAAGCCCTCTTTGATTTTTCTCAGGGGTGCCTGGAGACCTTCATATAAAAGCAAAGATGAGAGTGGATGGGTGCTGATCGGGTTTGGGAATTTGCAGAGTGGCTGTAGAGGTGGGAAAAAGGGCTGAGGAAGTAAGGATCAGAGCAGTGGCGTTAAGGGATGGGTCATCATCTGGGCCACCGGAGGAGGGCCTGTCGGGTTGGTTGAACCTGTGTTAGAGCACAGATTGCTGTAAATAAGGTGGTAATAGCCCCTAAACATACTGTAACAGGCTTCAGAACCATGGGCCAATCACAGCCTGAGTATTTGTCTGAGCAGCTCAGGTCCTGAGATACGAGCTAGTCCGGAAAGGCTGGTGTTTGGAATGTGACAATACTGGGGACAGGTAAGGGTCCTGGATGTCTCTCTTCTTGGAAGCTGGCTGTGGGTCCATTTCATGGATCCAGGTCAAGAGCAGGGAGATGTGAACCAAAGCTGCTACTGGAAGCCTTCAGGGTTCCTCTTCACCTAGAAGGAAGATGCGGACACCGGCCAGGGCGCAGACTCAGCAGACTGGTGCTGCTGCGCTTCGTGCTTCCCTCGGAGGACTAACAGTGTCCCCAGAACATGCTTCAGAAAGAGATTAGAAAACGCCCATAGAAGTTTGCGTTCTGAGTCTAAATAAGAATTTGGGACTGTGCCCAATTAGACCAAGGATTGCTCTAGTAGGCACTCTGAGGACAAAGAAAGCTGGAATCACCTGATGTCTTTGGGTTTGAAGGATAATCTGTTAACAAGTGAGACCTCTCAAAATGGCGGCTGGCAGAAGTTGCCCCTTTGGAGGTGGGGATGGAGGTCTTGGTGGAACCAGGTGCCCACCTGGTTCCAAGCATTTGGGCCAAGTGTAAGAAGTCACCACGCCTCCCTGGATGTTACAGCTGTTGCTGAAGTTGGTGTCTCCTGGGAGAGTCCCTCCATTGTTCCTTTTGTCCCAACAATATTATTGAAAGGGAATGCTAGAGTGTTGTTTTCTGAAGTCAGATGAACTTGTTTATGACATCAACTTGCATTTAAGTTGGCTCTTGGCAAATATTGAAAAAGTCTTCCCATGCCTTTTTTTTCCTACTCTCAAGCGAATATTAATCAAAAATGGTATTTTTTATTAACCTTTTGAAGAGTATTATTCAAATGTGCCCTGAATGACTAAACTGATAAATTGTATAAAATTAATTGCTGGAGGTGATGAACTCTTGTGAATCATTACAATTCATTCTGCCAGTTTGTTCCAGCTACCTCATTAAATCTGGAGAGGTGACAGACACGACAACACAAGCTCAGTTCTCAAGCAGAGCAGAACGTGAGGGGGCTAAATCTTCCAACACTGCCTCATGCAATGCAATTATTGGATAAGCTTGAATCTATTTGTTGCTGTTTTTGAGTTTGGAATGCATATTTGCATTTCATATGGGCTTAATGGATGTATTCTTTTCCTGATCATCCTTTCTCCTTGAATTTGTTGTTAGAATGAAACATTGCTCTTTGTTCGTTGTTCTGCATTGTTGATTCTTGTTTAAGAAGGCAGACACCTGATCCTGAGATAAGTTTGACCTGCAGACCAACTAGAAAAGCATCCACTATTAATCCCAGCAATAGTTACACCTCTCAATAAAACTTCCAACGTTGATCTAGGTGCCCTCGATTAAAAGTAACGTTTAGCCTATGGAGAATTCCCAGAGGATACTCAACAATGATGATTATGAGATCTGAAAATAGAACCAATAAACAGAAGACATAAAACTGGGTTTATTTTGTCTGGAAGGAAAAGGCTAAAAGAAGACTTAAAGGCGGCCAGGCACAGTGGCTTACACCTGTAATCCCAGCACTTTGGGAGGCTGAGGTGGGCCAATCACGTGAGGTCAGGAGTTCAAGACCAGCCTGGCCAACATGGTGAAACCCCATCTCTACTAAAAATACAAAAATTAGCTGGGCTTGGTGATGGACGCCTGTAATCCCAGCTACTCCAGGGGGCTGAGGCAGGAGAATCACTTGAGCCTAGGAAGTAGAGGTTGCAGTAAGCCAAGATGGCGCCACTGCCCTCCAGCCTGGGTGGCAGAGTGAGACTCTGTCTAAAAAAAAAAAAAAAAAAAGACTTAAAGCCTATCTCCAAATCAGTGAAGTTAGTTATTCTTCCAAAGATACTTGATACATTCTCTTTTTATATAATCTATGGATAAAATCAGGGAAAACTGGTTTAAATTATAACAAGAGATTTAGGTTAGGTGGAGGAAGAAAAATTTCTAGCAGGAAATGCAAGAGAATACCAGGCAAATGTGTGGACTTCATTTTCCCAGTAAAAATGGAACTGTTCACTAGGCATTGGATTGAATAATCTTACGCACCGTGATGATGCAATGCTGAGCCCTATTCTTTGTGTTCCTATAACCATTCTATTTTATGCTCGTAGAGTGTCAGTCACTTTTATGATCTCTTCTTGGAAGCAAAAATACCCTTCTGAATAGAATTCTCAGAAGGTAGTGTTTGATTATTGAATTTGATTATTATTATTATTATTTATTGTTATTTTAAATAGATATGGGGTCTTGCTATGTTTCCCAGGCTACTCTCAAACTCCTGGGCTCAAGCAATCCTCCTTCCTCAGCCTTCCAAAGTGCCAGGATTACAAGCGTGAGCCACCACACCTGGCCAAGATTATTGAATTGTTTATACCTGTGTTATAGTGAAACAGATACTAAAAAAAAAAATGCTGTGTTAAAATTCCAGACTGAAGGTGATTTTTTTTAAAGCTGCTGATGAGGAGGGTTTTTAAATTGGTTTCTCATCACCTGTGATGTCTTGGGCCTCATATCATTATTATAACGGATGTTTCTTTTCTAAGAAGATTACCTATTCACTATTCACAATAGAAAGTGAATAGAAAGACATGGAATCAACCTCCGTGCCCATCAATGGTGGAATGGATAAAGAAAACATGGTAATATACATATATACCATGGAATACTACACAGCATAAAAAAGAACAAAATCATGTCCTCTGCAGCAACACGGATGCAGCTGGAGGCCGTTATCCTAAGGGAATTAACACAGGAACAGAAAACCAAATATTGCATGTTCTCACAAGCGGGAGCTAAACACTGGATACTTACAAACATAAAGATGGCAGCAATACACACTGGGGACTACTAGATGGGGAAGAAAGGGAGTGGGGCAAGGGCTGAGAAACTAACTTAAGTACTATACTCAGTGCCTGATTGACAGGTTCAGTTGTACCTGAAACCTCAGCATCATGCAATATACCCATGTAAGAAAAGCACACATATACTCCTGAATCTAACACAGAAATTGAAATTATGAAAAAAGTAATTTGTAGTTACCAGAAAAAAAAAAAAGATGAACTATTAAGAACCTCAAGCTGGGCATGGTGGTTCATGCCTGTAATCACAACACTCTGGGAGACGGAGGTGGGAGGATCGCTTGAGCCTAGGAGTTCGAGACCAGTCTGGGCAACATAGGGAGACCTCGTTTCTACAACAAAATTTAAAAAGTATTAGCTGGGCATGGTGGCACACACCTGTAATCCCAGAACTTTGGGAGGCCAAGGTGGGGGGAATCACTTGAGCCTGGGAGGCTGAAGCTGCAGTGAGCTATGATCATGCCACTGCCCTCCAAAAGAAGACCTCATGTTCTGTAGGCTTGAGTTTGAGACCAGTCTGGGCAGCATAGGGAGACCTCGTCTCTACAAAACACACACACACACACACACACACACACACACACACACACTCTCTCTCTCTCTCTCTCTCTCTCTCTCTCTCTCTCTCTCTCTCTCTCTATATATATATATATATATATATATATATATATTAGCCAGGCATGGTGGTGCACACCTGTGGTTCCAGCTACCAGGGAGGCTGAGGTGGGAGGATCGCCTAAGTCTGGGAGGTTGAAGCCGCAGTGAGCCACTGCACTCCAAAAGAAGACCTCAAATTCTGTAGGCTGGGGCCAGGGGGTGGTGGTGAGGCAGCCGGGGGAGGTGGTTAGTGGAAGATCTGAGTAAAAAGCATGGTTTCATTGGACCCTCAGATATCGCCACCTAGTGGGTTGTAATGATTTATGTCGTGGCATTTTAGGCCTCAGCCTTTTCAATAGAGTTGAATCTTTTTGTTTTTTTTTGAGACGGAGTTTCGCTCTTGTTGCCCAGGCTGGAGTGCAGTGGCACAATCTTGGCTCACTGCAACCTCTGCCTCCTGGATTCAAGTGATTCTCCTGCCTCAGCCTCCTGAGTAGCTGGGACTACAAGCATGCACCACCACACGTGGCTAATTTTGTATTTTTATTAGAGACGGGGTTTCTCCATGTTGGTCAGGCTGGTCTTGAACTCCTGACCTCAGGTGATCCACCCACCTCGGCCTCCCAAAGTGCTGGGATTACAGGCGTGAGCCACCACACCTGGCCGAAAGTTGAATCTTTTATCTGTAAAACGTTTTCTTAAAATCTAATAATTTTTTGTTCCTGGTATATATAATTTCCTTCATGACACAACTGAAACAATGCACTTTATTTTTTAAAAACAAAACAAAACTGAACAAAATAAATTATGATTCTAAACCTGATCTTCTGATACCGTGGATTGAGAAAACTTAATTCTCATAAAATAAAGATTAGGCCATCTGACAATTCCCAAAAATTAAATATACCATAACTTCAAGGTTTTTAAAAATTTCTTTTTTAAAAAACATTCTAACAGAGCCTTTAAAAATTTAGAGATGGGGTCTCACTATGTTGCCGAGGCTTGTCTCAAACCCTTGGGCTCAAGTGATTATCCCGCCTTGGCCTCCCAAAGTGCTGGGATTACAGGTGTGAGCCACCAAATACTGTACCTTCCAAGGTTTTCAAGTAAATTTCCAGATGTTCTAATGTCTTCTGCTTATTTAAATCTTTTAAAATTCATTACCATTATTTCAAATACACATTTCAGAACTTATTTGAAAATAAAATCAGGTTGCTTCCTAGTGTAGCCAATATACTGTCTAAATTGTTAAGAGTCTATGGTGATGCCAAAGACAATTGTAACTTGAGATGGTTGATTCTAAAGCTCTCAGCCAAGTAGCGTGCAAAATGGAGAAAAGAGCTTACATTTAAGGCTGGATGTTGTGGCTTATGCCAGCAATCCCAGCATTTTGGGAGGCTGAGGTGGGCGGATCGTCTGAGACTAGGAGTTTGAGACCAGCCTGTCCAACATGGTGAAACCCTGTCTTTACTAAAAACACAGCAAAATTAGCTGAGCATGGTGGCGTGCATGTGTAATCTCAGCTACTTGGGAGGCTGAAGCATGAGAATCGTTTGAACCTGGGAGGGGGAGGTTGCAGTGAGCTGAGATCATGCCACTGAACTCCAGCCTGGGTCAGAAAGCAAGACTCTGTCTCAAAAGAAAAAAAAAAAGCTTACATTTAAGACAGCTTCTCATTTTCTCGTTCCCCTTGCTTCAGCCTCACTTCCTTTCCTTGTCCCCTTTATTTCTATATTATCATTATGTTTCTATAGTTAAATATTGGTGCCGGAATATAATTTTTAAAGTAAATCCTTCTGTTGTTCTTAACACTTTTTTTTTGTCTTGTAAAGGAAGAAATTAATGTTTTAAAAACAGAAGTACTACTACTTTCTTGATTATTTTTCCCTATGTGTGTTTATAACACTTAAAAAGAATTACAATAAAGCCAGGTGTGGTGACTCATGCCTGTAATCCCAGCACTTTGGGAGGCTGAGGTGGGGCGATCACCTGAGGTCAGGAGTTCGAGACCAGCCTGGCCAACATGGTGAATCCCCGTCTCTACTAAAAATAAAAGAATTAGCCGGGCATGGAGGTGGGCACCTGTAATTCCAGCTACTTGGGAGGCTGTTGCAGGAGAATCGCTTGAACCCAGGAGGTGGAGGTCCCAGTGAGCTGAGACCGCGCCACTGCACTCCAGCCTGGGCAGCAGAGCGACACTCCTTCTCAAAAAAACAAACAAACAAACAAACAAAAAAAACAAAAAAAAACTTATTTTTCTCCTATAATAAAAGTAAGCTATATTTGTGGTATACACATTTCTTTTTTCTCTGATGGGTTAAATATAATTTGTCAGATGAGATAGTTTTCATGCTGGTAAGAATTTTTTCATCCGTTCAGAATTATCTTTCTGTGTAAATCCATCATTGAATTTCAGTGTCTTTGCAGAACGGCAGAGTGACTTGGTTGATCAGGTTCTGTTTTTTGTGTCCTTTGTTCTAGATACATTTCATATTGCTCTTCAGTCGACAAGGGAAATTACGGCTACAGAAATGGTACATCACTCTCCCTGATAAAGAGAGGAAGAAGATCACCCGGGAAATTGTTCAGATTATTCTCTCCCGTGGTCACAGGACAAGCAGTTTTGTTGACTGGAAGGAGCTAAAACTTGTTTATAAAAGGTGTGAGTAACTTTTTGAGAGCTCAATTTCTCAGTCTTACTTTGGTTTGTTCTAATCCTGAACATTTTAGATTGCTATACCAATTCCATCATTTACTGAAATCTTTGAAGGCTGGGGCCCAGATATTTGTACCAATAGACTAACTAGAAAAGAACTCTCATTTTATTGAAAGAAATTCTAGGTGCCAGGATGGATTCTAGGTAAATAAACTACACCTTGATAGTGCACGCATGCATTCAAGAAAAGTGGTATGAACACCTGTTACATTCCTGGCATTGTTCTTTTTTAATTTGTTGGAGGCGGAATCTTGCTCTGTCACCCAGGCTGGAGTGCAGTGGCGTGATCTTGGCTCACTGCAACTTCCACCTCCTGGGTTCAAGCGATTCTCTTGCCTCAGCCTCCTGAGTAGCTAGGATTGCAGGCATCTGCCACTATGCCTGACTAATTTTTGTATTTTAAGAGAGACGGGGTTTCACCATGTTGGCCAGGCTGGTCTCAAACTCCTGTGCTCAGGTGATCCACCTGCCTTGGCCTCCCAAAGTGCTGGGATTACAGGCGTGAGCCATCATGTCCGGCCATTCCTGGCATTGTTCTAATGGCTGTGATACATCATTGAACAAGACAGATGACATTCCTGCTGTCATGTAGTATACATATTTATTAAGTAACCAAATACAATATTTTCACTTAGTAACAAGTGCTTTGGAAAAACTGGAGGTTAGTATGACAGAGAGATGGGGATGTGTTCAGTGGGGCAGCTCTTATTATGCCTGTTACTTGAATTTGTAATGAGTACATTGAGGACATGAAGAGTTTAAGTAGTCAGTTCCCAGTCACAGTAATTGAGTGTTAATTGGTAGAGCCAGGATTCAAATCTAGATCTTTTTGGCTTTAAAGCCTGTATATTGTTTTTACCATATCTGCTTGCCATGGCAAGACCATACTAGAAAGGACCCTCAATTTATAGATGAGATAACTAAGCCTGAGAGGTAACATAATTTTGCCCTTGGAGACCCAGGTAATTGATGCCTAAGCCAGGAACAGAACACAGCTGACCTGACCCTGCATCCAACACCCTACTGCAACTCCCGGAAGGAGTTATGATCCTTAGATATGCTCTTGCAAAGGGTGTTTATAAAGCTCGTTGGGAAAAACAGAGGCAACCTTCACAGATTGATATTCAATGGAGTAAATTACCAGCAAGTGCCTGCAAAGCTCCTTCTGCTGGGCCCAAGGTTGGAGTTTGACAAATTGAGGAGGGAGGCTCACACAGAATGACTGAAGCCCATTGTGAAGTGGGAGGGTGGGGAGCGTGGGCTCCTGACAGCACTGGTCAGGGCTTTCTATTTTACAAAAAACAATTGACAAGCTGGAGAGGGGTGTGAAGACACCCTGATTACCAAGAGCGAAAGGATACTGTCCTCCTGATAATAGCTCTTCAAGGTAAAATTTTGTTGAGAGTCTTTCATGCGTAATTAATGGAAGTAATCCAACCCCCACAGAATTTTCATATATTCTGATTTATATTTCAGGAGGCTATTGGGGGTGATGAATAATGATTTCATTCTTGGATGAGGAGAGGCTCGGCGGGGGAGGAGGTGACTGCATATTCGTGGGAAAAACTGTCTCCAGGTTGCTTAATGTATTGTCATATTTTGCTTTTGTTATTTTTCATTTCAAGGTATGCTAGTTTATATTTTTGCTGTGCAATAGAAAATCAGGACAATGAGCTCTTGACGCTAGAGATTGTGCATCGTTACGTGGAGCTGCTGGACAAATATTTTGGAAATGTAAGTGTTGTCCTTGTCGGTTAGGATTAGCTACAGTCCCCATCTCAGCTCTTACTTCAGTTCTGTCTCTGGTCACATCCCTTCTCTCTGTCACATCTAAAATATGAATTGAACTTGAACCGAAGATCACCTTAGTCCCCCTAAGATTAGAATACAAGATTTTTCTCCCTACCTATAATTCTTAGTAAATGAAAGACCCAAAGCTTTCCTTTTTTCTTTTTAAATAGATATGGAGTCCTGCTATGTTGCCCAGGTGGGTCTTGAACTCTTGGCCTCAAGCAATTCTCCCACCTCAGCTTCCCAAAGAGCTAGGATTATAGGCATGAGCTACCGTGCCCAGCCACCCAAAGCTTTCAAGAGGTGGATGTATCTTTATCTTCATACCACAAATACACCAGAGACCTTATTTCAGTGAACCAGAATTTAACTGTGAAGGATTTCTTGATATTCTGTTCTTTATTCTTCATTGGCTTTGTCGTCTCTTTTCTGTTTTGACTTTTTATCCTTTCTCTGGCTTTTTTTCTAAGCTATAAGTATTCTTAATTATTTATGCATAAGAAAAATAGCAACAAACAAAAAACCCAAATCCTTTTCCTTCACATTGCTATGCAATAATCTTTTTGCATTTTCTGCCAAGTGATGTACTATGCTAGGTGCTCCAGTCCTCAGAACTCATTCACTCGGCAGTGCTTACAGCATGGGTCCATCTTTACTCTGCAGGGAAATCAGCAAGTTACCATTGAACCCTCCTGCGGGTTGACACCAGCGATTCCTCTTGAGTCTTCACCTGCTTTCACCTGCTTCTCGCTGCAGCACTGGACCCTTGCTCACCATGACGCTTTCTTTAAATTCGCCCTTCTTGATTTTGCCATGACATTGATTTCTGAAGCGCCTCCTTGGTTTCTTCCACTCAGCTCCCTTCCTCTGCCCAGCCCTAAATGCCCTCATCTCTTCCTAACTCTGTGTGTACTGACGCTCTGTCCTGGAAATCCCTTACTAAGTGACTCTTCTTCCCCTTGTTGGTGACAGTCTTCACTGGGCTTCTCATGGCCCAGAACCAAACTCATCTACTGAAAATCCGTTCTGTCTTGTGATTGGAATTTGTTATGTTCCAGGATCCTTCAGTGCAAAAGGACGCAGCTTGTTTTGTCTTTTCCTATGCTTTACCAGAATCTGCCTCTGTCTATTCAAATTGGGCTGACATTCATTTCCTTCTTTCCACTCTCACTAATATAGGTTCACTTGGGATTTCAATTTTGCTTTTCTCTTAAACATCTTACCTGGCTTTTTATGCCTCTGAGCTTTTCTCTGTTCGCCCTCTTGCCCTATTAGTTACCATCTTCCTTAAAAAAACCAGATATAGGTGTGGCATTCCTTCACAGCCACTTTCCATCATGTACAATAAATAAAATCAACCCCCCCAGCCTGTTGTTTAACCTTTCAAAGCATGGATCCCTGACCACTCCTCCATCCTTGATACACTACCCTTATTTATTTATTTATTTATTTATTTATTTATTTATTTATTATTTATTGAGACGGAGTTTTGTTCTTGTTGCCCAGGCTGGAGTGCAATGGCACGATCTCTGCTCACTGCAACCTCTGCCTCCCGAGTTCAAGCGATCTTCCTGCCTCAGCCTCCTGAGTAGCTAGGTTTACGGGCCCCCGCCACCATGCCCGGCTCATTTTTATATTTTTATTAGAGATGGGGTTTCACCATGTTGGCCAGGCTAGTCTTGAACTCCTGACCTCGGGCGATCCGCCTGCCTTGGCCTCCCAACGTGCTGGGATTACAGGCATGAGCCACTGCCTCCAGCCTACATTTCCCTTTTTATATACCTGACAGTTCTCCAGCAACAAGAAATGACCTTGGAGTGTCCCTAACTGGCACCCGATTTGCTTGACCACCAAATTGCAATTCTCTTGAGACCAGTGCTTTGTGACTCATTTTATCCCCCCACCGCTTAACTTGTAACCAGCTGTGGGCCAGACTTGATAGCAAATGTTCCAAAAACATTTAATCCATTTCACAGTTTCAAGAAATAAATCATTGGATTTGGAAAATGTTTTCTTCTCATAATACCCTCTTCCCTATTCCCTTACTCACTGAAGTTTTTGTTAAGTGTTAGGATAATTTGCTTCCAGCAGAGTTTTTTTTTGTTCTTGTTGTTATTCTCTTTAATGGAATGAGCAGTATTTGCAATATTGAACACGTTTTATCAGATTTGTTGCAACACTTTTCATAAGGATGAACACTGGAAAGATTTCTGAAAGAATTTTTCCTCCCTCCCTTTTTTCCCCCTTGTAAATGATGTTGTTAAGACCTAAAATGTTGCTTCAGGGATTTCAGGTTGTTGGTCAGTATATAACAGCAATAAGACAACTAGACCATCTTTTCTTTCTCCTCTTGGTATACCAAGTTTATTTTCATTTTTTTAAGGAGAAATTTGCAAATGTATAATAACATGTTTTCAAACATATTATTTAATACTTTCTACTATTCAAATGAATTCTCACATTTTTGTACTTTCCTTTGAAATAAACTACAGACTTGGCCTTTTGCAAGAGCCTGAAGAAGTTTCCTTGAGGTCTGGGCATTCCCGTAACCTGCCTTCTCTTTCTCATTTCTGAACTCCGGCTTGACCTGTTGTATTTTCCTAGATTAAACCAACTGTGATAATGTGAATTGGGGCTGAATTTTGATCTCAATCTATCTGACCAAATTTCAGCCAGATATCTCAGGGCATTATGCTTCTCAAGAGAACTTGAGTGACCTTCACCAATGCTAAACCCAGTTAAAGTACAAAGAGAGTCAGAATGAATTCCCATTTCTCTAACATTAATTTCCCATTCTATTTTGGTATACCTTTGGAAGCTCTGTCTTTGTCATGTACCAAAATTTAATTTATTAAAAAATTCAATGAATCTTTCATTAAGCTAAGAGCAGCTAAGAGCAATTCAAGGCTATATGCCCAGTAGAAGTTCGGTTCTTGTTAATTAACAGTGATGAGCAAAGACTTCCAGTACTGATTCTCATTGACATAATCTCAGCAATAAAATATTTCTCTTTGATTTTCTTTTCCTCCCATATTAATACTAAAGCTTTCCTTGAATTCTGCCCTTATATAATGTTATCTAGGGGAAAACTTGGTACTGAGCTTCTCTTATAACACTGGAAAATATTATCTGCTGAAGACAGACGGATCAAAATCTCTGGCTACTAATTTAAGTTATGTATTTTTTTTTAGCACTTTTCAATTCCAAGGAGATTTACGAGGATTAACTAGTTAATCTTCCGATCTTCAGTAAGTAGCATTAACCTCAATTTATAGAGGCTCAGAGGAAATGCCTCAAAGTCTCATGCCAGATAAGAGTCTGAGGATTTAGATACCTGCCATATTTCTGCATTACAGACTACAGTGTGAATTTTTACTGGTGCCTCAGTGTGTGAGGATGTTGATCTCCCAGAGAGCTTTTGAATTTGATGTAGGGAGTTTTTTGTTTGTTTGTTTTTTGCTGTCAGGGGAAGAGCACTATGGGTCCCCCGGATGCTGGTGTAGGCTCACTCTCTCACCAATTCAAGGATTTGGGGCCTGTCATGTGTCTCCGTTTTGCAGATGAGAAAAATGACCCTCAAAAAGGTTAAGAGAAGTGTTTACTTTGCTAACCTTATAGGGCTGCTGGGAGGGGCAAAGAGATGGCGTGATAGCAATACTTAATAAACTATTAATTGCTATATAGTTGTACATTGCATTATAATTATTCTTGTTTTATTTTATTTATTTATTTTTTTGAGACGGAGTCTCGCTCTTGTTGCCCAGGCTGGAATGCAGTGGCGCGGTCTCGGCTCACTGCACCTTCCGCCTCCCGGGTTCAAGCGATTCTCCTACCTCAGCCTCCCTAGTAGCTGGGATTACAGGCATGTGCCACCATGCCTGGCTAATTTTTGTATTTTTGGTAGAGATGGGTTTTTGCCATGTTGGCCAGGCTGGTCTCAAACTCCTGGCCTCAGGTGATCCACCCACCTCGGCCTCCTAAAGTGTTGGGATTACAGGCGTGAGCCACTGTGCCCGGCCTATTCTTATTTTATATATAGCTTTATGGTAGTTATATAGTTTACTATTATTTGAAGCATTTGCTGCATGTAACTTGAAACTTTTTGTATTTACTTTAGAGCATCATTTAATAAGTACATGTGCTTCTTAGATTCTGTCCAAAAGGATTCAGTTGGTGAAATGCCAGAAATAATCTCACTGCACCATGAATTCTGCTGTAAGAAAAGAACCTTAAGCCAAATTACAGAAGAGCACAAGGCTAGGACATTGAAGATAAAGTTAAATGATAGTTTCTACCATTTGAAAGCTTTATTCAGAATCTAGATACACGAGAAAATAAATAAAGAGGCTCATGTTTATTAACATGGTGAGGGAGCAAGAAGCCGGGGTATTTGCATAATTAGAAGGAGTGGAATCACTTGAGCATCAAGTACATATTTTTGTTGTATTGGGACAACCTCAAGGTGGAATTTATTATTTTATTTTATTTTATTTTGTTTCTTTTTCCCGAGACAGAGTCTTACTCCGTTGCCCAGGTTGGGGTGCAGTGGTGCAGTCTTGGCTCACTGCAACCTCTGCTTCCTGGGTTCAAACGATTCTCCTGCCTCAGCCTCCCGAGTAGCTGGGATTACAGGCGTGTGCCACCATGCCTGGCTAATTTTTTGTATGTTTAGTAGAGACAGGGTCTCACCATGTTGCCCAGTCTGGTCTCGAACTCTTGACCTCAAATGATCAGCCCGCCTCAGCCCCCCCAAAGTGCTGGGATTACAGGCATAAGTAATTAGGCAGTAGCTTCAGAAACCTGACTTGGGACTGGGAACGGTGGCTCATGCCTGTAATCCCAGCACTTTGGGAGGCCAAGGTGGGGGGGATCACTTAAGGTCAGGAGTTCAAGACCAGCCTGGCCAACATGGTGAATCCCTGTCTCTACTAAAAATAAAAATAAAAAAATTAGCCAGGCATGGTGGCATATGCCTGTAATCGCAGCTACTTGGGAGGCTGAGGCGGTAGAATAGTTTGAACCCAGGAGGCAGGGGTTGCAGCAAGCTGAGATGATTCCACTGCACTCCAGCCTGGGTGACGGAGTAAGACTGTTTCCAAAAAAAAAAAAAAAAAAATGAACTGGTCTAAGGGTCTTCCTGGATATTTTCTCTCATTCTCAGATGGCAGTAGACTCAAAGAATAACTATAGGGTAGCACTTTTGTGTTGCTGTATGTGAAATAGTTGCTCAGTTGTAACATTCTCTGTAATGCCTATGGAACTTGCATATACATTTCTCTTCAGAGCTACAGATAGTAACTGTATATCAAGGGGTGTGTGTGTGTGTGTGTGTGTGTGTGTGTGTGTATTGTCTCTCTAACTCTGAATACCACCTTACCTTACCCTTATCCCTTGAAACTAGTACAGTAAATTAATTGCCCCATGGCTGCTGGAGGACCCAGACCTGGGGACGTGTCAAAGTGGGGTATAAGAAGTTCCTGGAGAATTTTCATTAGTATCTGTCAGGTTCACTTTGCAGGAGTTTAATTGCTGGTTTCTCCTAATGAGGCTCCTGTCTGTCTTGGATTCCTGGTCTACGCCTGCCTTGAACTCCGAGGTTCCTCAGCTTGCTACTATAACTCCTGACTTCTGCCTTTTCTGACCTCTGGTAACTGCTTTCTTCTCATACCTTCTTTCATGTACATGGATGTCTAATCTATTGTGATTTCTTTTTGTTTCTTTCTATTGTTTAAAACTGCAAAAATGATGCATATTTTTACATGTCCCTCTAAACATATACGGTTTTTAAAAATAGGATCGCGGCCGGGCGCGATGGCTCACGCCTGTAATCCCAGCACTTTGGGAGGCCGAGGCGGGTGGATCACGAGGTCAGGAGATCGAGACCATCCTGGCTAACACAGTGAAACCCCGTCTCTACTAAAAATACAAAAAATTAGCCGGGCGAGGTAGCGGGCGCCTGTAGTCCCAGCTACTCGGGAGGCTGAGGCAGGAGAATGGCGTGAACCCCGGGGGGCGGAGCCTTCAGTGAGCCGAGATCGCGCCACTGCACTCCAGCCTGGGCGACAGGGAGACTCCGTCTCAAAAAAAAAAAAAAAAAAAAAAAAAAATGGGATTGCATTCTGCATATTATTCTGCAACTTTCTTTTTTTTCCTCCTTACAAGTCTATCTTAGAGCTCTTGCCATATTTGTGCATGTAAATCTACCTTATTCTTTTCAGCTTCTACATAGCTGAAACATATACAACAGCAGGGAAAGGAGACAGTATCTGTGACACCGAAAGAATCATTCAAATTTCTAAGACAAATATTACAATAGAAAAAAACAAAGTCTTTAAGAAGCAATTTGTAGACAAGGCAAGAAATGGAAAGGGCCAGTGCATATCTAATAAGATGTACAGTCTCACTAATAAGCAGGGAAATGCAAGTTTAATTAATATTCATCCGAAAATTTAGAGACTATCCATTGCTGGAGATGGCATAAATAGGTAATCACTCCTACTGTTAGTGAAACTTTTAAGTTTTATAGACTACTTTGGAGGACCACATTTTAGTATTTATCAATTTTAAATATACAAATCCTTTGACCCAAAATTCCCCAAGGAATTTATTCCTACACTATACTCAAATTAGTATACAATACACAACAAAAATTATGGCAGCATCATTTAGAATAAAAACTGGAAACAGCCCAAAGTCTGCCCATATCCATAAAGGAACTGCTTAAATAAACTGTGATATACCCCCAGTATGCCATGGTAATTCTGTATGGAAGTTGGATTCATTTGGATCTGTTGACTTAAACCATGTTCCTTGTGAAGTTTGCTAGTTTATTGACCTAACTTGTAAGTATATGGAGGAATTTGCTAAAATATTGACATCTATTTCATGCAAAGTTATAGCATTCAGTACAACCATAGAATTGTATCTGGGATGCCATTAATCTCTAGCATATTAGAAACAAGGCCTATATTTATTTATTTTTATTTTTTGAGAAGGAGTCTTGCTCTGTCACCCAGGCTGGAGTGCAGTGGCATGATTTTGGCTCACTGCAACCTCTGCCTCCTGGGTTCAAGTGATTCTTCTGCCTCACCTTCCTGAGTAGCTGGGATTACAGTCGTGCACCATCATGCCTGGCTAATTTTTGTATTTTTAGTAAAGACAAGGTTTCACCATGTTGGCCAGGCTGGTCTTGAACTCTTGACCTCAAGTGATCTGCCTGCCTCAGCCTCCCAAAGTGCTGGGATTACAGACGTGAGCCACCATGCCCAGACAAGGCCTCTACTTAAACTTGCTCATTCATTTATCTTACAAGCATTTTTTGTGTCTTACAATGTGCCAGAAACCAGGGATATAAAGATAATGAAGACAAAGTTTCTGCCCTGAACTCACAGTACGGGGGAGTGATTAGTAATCAATAAGCAGAAACTAGTGCACAGAAGATGTAAGTGAGAACCCACAGGAAGTGATGTGAAATCTGAATGGGGAAAAGGGGATGTGGGGAATCGCCACATGCCTGACTTTTGAATTTGGCCTTGAAAAAATGAGCTTGGTTTTGCCAGCAGGAGAATAAAGAAAAGGACATTTGGGGACACAATTCAAGAATTGTTGGAATGTGCAGAAAGCAAAGGCACAAAACACCGTGACATTGTGAGTTTGTGGCATGTGTGTCAGATGCATGGATGAGAACTGGCACGGGAAATCAGACAGCAGGGCCCAGGCTGGTAAAGATTCCTATATGCCTTTGTCCTGAAGACCTTACACTGGAGAGGCACAAGATCAGCATTTTAGCTAAGCATTAGTGGTCAATGGCCCTGAGCAGGCACAACCGCCACCTGGAAGGTCATTGCAGTGGCCTGATGGAGAAGTGCTGTAGGCCTGAGCAGCAGCTGTGAAAGCAGAGAAGACAGGAAGGGTAGGGACTTATTTAGACAATAGAATCAGTAGAAACTGATGACCAAATCCAGAGGGATGAGATCAAGGAGGGAGAGGAATGAGTGGGGAAGGGGAAGTATGTTGGTTGAACTCTAGAATGAATTAGATGGAGAAATTAGAAAGAGATTGCAACTACTAAGCAAAATAGGGACTAAAGGAAAAAGAATAATCTTGATATCAGCTTGGGACATAGTGACATGGATTGAGGAATAGGTAGGTAAAGATGTCTAGTTAGTGGGTGAGAATATTGGACTAGTGGCCCAGAGGGAGATCAGGGCTAGTCATCTAGGTTTGTTGAGCTACCTGCATGCTAGACACAGCTGTAGAGAGTCAGCAAGATTGTCCAGGAGAATATGCATTTTGCAAAGAGAAGAGGCTCCCTTGAGGAACATGAATATTCAAGCAGAAGATGGATGGCTAGAATATAAGCAACATGCAGTAGAGATGTTTGTCTGTTCTGTTGACTGATATGTGCTAGGCACACCTTAAATACTTCTTAAACAAATGCAGGGTAGGAGGGAGATAAATTATCCAAGGAGTCTGAGAAGGAATTATCAGAGATAGACAAGAAAAACAGGCATTAAGTGGTATTGCCAAAATCAGGGGAGCAAGGGAGAAGAGATTTTCAAGGAAGAGAGATTGGTGAAGAGTACCACATGTGGCTGAGAGGTAAACGTTGGGGAGGTCTGGAGACTTTCTTTCTTTTTTTTTTCTCCTCCCTTTTTCTAAAATTACACTTTAAGTTCTGGGATACATGCACAGAATGTGCAGGTTTGTTACATAGGTATTTATGTGCCATGGTGGTTTGCTGCACTCATCAACCTGCCATCTACATTAGGTATTTTGCCCCCCACCCCCCAACACACTCCGGTGTGTGATGTTCCCCTCCCTGTGTCCATGTGTTCTCATTGTTCAACTCCTACTTATGAGTGAGAACATGCCGTGTTTGGTTTTCTATTCTTGTAGTAGTTTGCTGAGAATGATGGTTTCCATCTTCATCTGTGTCCCTGCAAAGGACATGAACTCATCTTTTTTTATGGCTGCATAGTATTCCATGGTGTATATGTCCCACATTTTATTTATCCAGTCTATCATTGATGGGCATTTGGGTTGGTTCCAAGTCTTTGCTACTGTGAACAGTGCTGCAACAAACATACATGTGCATGTGTCTTTATAGTAGAATGATTTATAATCCTTTGGTATATACCCAGTAATGGGATTGCCGGGTCAAATGGTATTTCTGGCTCTAGATCCTTGAGGAATCACCACACTGTCTTCCACAATGGTTGAACTAATTTACACTCCCACCAACAGTGTAAAAGCATTCCTATTTCTCCACATCCTCTCCAGCATCTGTTGTTTCCTGACTTTTTAATGATCGCCATTCTAACTGGCATGAGATGGTATCTCATTGTAGTTTTTGATTTGCATTTTTCTAATGACTAGTGACAAAAGCTAAAATAGACAAATGGGATCCAATTAAACTAAAGAGCTTCTGCACAGCAAAAGAAAGTATCATCAGAGTGAACAGGCAACCAACAGAATGGGAGAAAACTTTTGCAATCTATCCATCTGACAAAGGGCTAATATCCAGAATCTACAAAGAACTTAAACAAATGTACAAGAAAAAAAACAACCCCATCAAAAAGTGGGCGAAGGATATGAACAGACGCTTCTCAAAAGAAGACATTTATGCAGTCTGGAGACTCAATGAGCAGAGTTTCAGGAGAACAGCTTCAGTTGGGTGGGTGGGGTATGGTATGGAAAGAGAAGGTGTCAGTGAGTAGAGGAATAAGTAGGGAGTAAGACAGCAAGGATGGTGTGTGAGTACGGGAAATGAGCTTTATTTGGATGATGGGAGTGATCTTGCCATACTTGCTACACTTAAATAAACACCAAAATCTATCAGACTCTGCTTTGATCCGCGCCAGGGATTCTGGATGTGAAATCCCGCAGTCCGGCGGCCTCAGCATCACCTGGGAACCTGTTAAAAGTGCAGATTCTCAGTTCTCATCTAGACCTCCTGAGTCATAAACTCTGGGGGTGGGCTGTAGCACCAGTGTGTTTTAATGAGCCTTTGGAATGAGTTTGAGAACCACTGGCTGTGACATAATTTTGAGAAAAATTAGCACAGTTGAGCTAATTTTCCTCTGAAGAATTAGTTTCTGAGAGAGTTCTAAAGCTAGAAGCCAAGATTTACAGAGCAGAGAGCAGGAGAAACAAAGCTCTGCCCTCCTTCCTGGAATGCAGCTGGGGCTCAGTTTTCTTGGTGCAGATAGGAAGAGGAGCCGAGTGGCCTCATTCCCTTACTGAGCCTCAAATTTCCTGTTGTAACACAAAACATTATTATCTAAGGATGTGCTTTGCTTTAATAGAATGTAGCATTCCATTTATTAAAGGCCTGACATTCCCTGTTCTTTTTTTCTGTCCTTAAAATGCCATCTGATATTTTTATTTTTGGTACGCCACATGAGTGCAAACTGAAAAAGCTCGAGATTCGGGCAGATGTTTCCCCTGATACAACTGCAAGTTTATCAAAACGTTTGTTTTTGTCCCACCAGGTCTGTGAGCTGGATATTATCTTTAATTTTGAAAAGGCTTATTTCATCCTGGACGAGTTTATAATAGGTGGGGAAATTCAGGAAACATCCAAGAAAATTGCTGTCAAAGCCATTGAAGACTCTGATATGTTACAGGAGGTCAGTACGGTTTCCCAAACCATGGGAGAAAGATGATGATGATGATGATGATGGTGTTAATAATTATAATATTAACCAGACTTACTGAGTACTTACTCTGTGCTGGGTACAGTTTCTAAACTATTTATATGTATTAGCTTATTTAATCCTCACAACAACTCGAAAAAGTAGGTGGTATTGTTACTCCCACTTTACAGATGAGTAAACTGAGACACCAAGAGGTTAAATGACCTGCTCAATTTCACACAGGAAGTGTGGAATTCCTCTATTCCACTAGGAAGTGTGGCATAGAGATTTGAACCCAGGCAATTGGGCTTTAGAGTCTTTGCTCTTCACATTTGGATGAGCTTTGGAGTGCAAGAGTCCTTCACTGCCAAAAAGGTATCAAATACTTAGTGCTATTCTTTTCAAGAATAATTTTATGAGATGTATAAAAAGACTTTCATTAAAATACCTATGCTTCCCTGGGAAAGGAGAATAGCAGTACATTGTTATTTTGTTTGCCAGAGATATTAAAGCTTTATTATTGAGCATGGCATTTATCATTTTAATTAAAATTTCTTACACCTTTTGGGAAGGCTGTATGTGTGCTCCTGCTTGCATAAAGAAATTGGGAACACTGTGGTTTGCTTGCCAAGGTATAAATGGGCCCAGAAGCATCCATTTTGTACTGCCCTGGACTCTGGGATTTCTATATAAAATAAAGTGGGAATGTTCTTTTAGAAGCCGCACAGATTTGCATCATACCTCCTCAGGGAACTTACCTACATCAGCCCCTCCATTCCTCCCAGGACACTGTGAGAAAGAGCACTTCACCCCACTGACCTCTGCCCTCCCAAATGAGATGCTCTGAGGGGCTGGGTTCCATCCCAGACCTGCCACCCCTAGATTCTTCTTCCCACAGCCTCAGTGGGTCTTCCCATCTTCCTATTTTCAAATAAGTAGGTCAAGAGGATCCAGAGCATTGTAAAGCACCTTTTTAAAATCAGCATTTGGCCGGATGCGGTGGCTCACTCCTGTAATCCCAGCACTTTGGGAGGCCGAGGCAGGCAGATCACTTGAGGCTAGGAGTTCAAGACCAGCCTGGCCAATGTGGTGAAACCCCATCTCTACTAACAACACAAAAATTAGCCGGGCATGGGGATGTGTGCCTGTAATCCCAGCTACTTGGGAGGCTGAGGCAGTAGAACCACTGGAACCCGGGAGGCGGAGGTTGCAGTGAGCTGAGATAGCACCACAGCACCACCTGGGTGACAGAGCGAGACTCCATCTCAAAATAAATAAATAAATAAATAAGTAAAACTGGCATTAAAGCTACTTTTTTCCTGCTATTTGGAAGAGGGTGATTAAATTAACAAAACACCATTAGGTGTGAATTCCCAGCAACTGTTTTGGTGCATCTTTAGGCTGATTACTTGCTCCTGCCCAGCCAGAGCATCAGTCCTCTGGTGAATGGATGTGGAGGAAAACATCTATTTGAGTGGGTGCCGTAAGCAGCTGCGTGTGCCTATTAGAAGGCCAATGCATTCATTACCAGAGGTGTCTGACCTCAAAAAGTGCATCTAAACTCTCTGATGTTGATTTGGCTGTCTCCAAATGCCACAGGGAGGAAAACTTTACAAGGTATTTGAGAAATCAGTGGTTTGGAAATTTCACAAAACAGTGTTTCATAAAATACTCTGGGAGTTGGGGGCAGGTGGAGGGGGTGGAGGTTTTTTTTTAACTTCAGGACCTCAGGGTCCTGACTGTGGAGTCTCCTTACAGGAGAAACAGAGTTTTTAACGGAGTCTTTGGCACTTCAGTAATTAAAGCTGAATTGGGGGCCAAGACACACCTGGGTTAATTTGAAATCCTCTCAAATTAGGAAATGTTTTAAAAAGGTTGTCATAAATCTGGTGTTGCTGGTTCCATTTAAATCTAGGAAGTAAGTGTTTCAAGAGTGAGCTCTTTCACAATTAAATGCTAATTGGTGAATGAGTGGAGGGGCTTGATGGGTAGGTCTCAGGGGACCTTGCATTTAGCCCTGGTGTCCCTATGGTGAGCAGGCAATGTCATGGCCACCCTCTCAGTCTCTTCTGTTGCGCTAACAACACTTGCCAAATACAGAGAGTGTTATTAGTGTTCTCTTGGGCTCTGGTATTCAGTGAAGTCAGTAAATATTCTGGGGAGCTTGTTGAAGAATTGACTTTGCATATCTTGCCTGCTTAAGAGGTTTCAACTGGATAGGAGCCAGTAGTATACTTGCATAAAGGAAAATAATTACTGCTTTTTTTTTTTTCCTGTCCTTTGGACCCAATCATATATTTGTAGTTACTGAAGGTTAAGGGAGGCCTTTGTGACATTGCTTTAGCTGTGAGAACAGCTGTCAATCTTCAGTAGCCCCTAAGACTTTTCTCTAGCTCCTACTTAATAACAGTTTCTTAGAATAATAACTTTTAAAAAGCTACACCTGCCTGCGGATTTAGTAAGAAGACATAGCCTCAAATCTCCAAATGCTCAAAGCTTATTCTGAGCGTGTGGTGGCTAGATGTTGATAAGAGGAAAAGAAAGGAACTGTTTACTTGGTTGGGAATACTTATTTGGGGGTAACAACAATGTGGACAATGGCACAAAGTTATTAGAAGGAAAATTAAACCCTCTGTCTGGGCGTGGTGGCTCACGTCTGTAAGCCCAACACTTTGGGAGGCCGAGGTGGGCGGATCACTTGAGGCCACGAGTTCGAGGCCAGCCTAGCCAACATGGCAAAATCCCATCCCTACTAAAAATACAAAAATTAGCCAGGTGTGGTGGTACACATCTGTAACCCCAGCTACTTGGGAGGCTGAGGCAGGAGATTTGCTTGAACCCAGAAGGCAGAGATTGCAGTGAGCCGAGATTCCACCACTGCACTCCAGCCTGGGTGACAGAGCAAGACTCCATCTCAAAAAAAAAAAAAAAAAAAAAATTGCTGGGCACAATGGCTCATGCCTATAATCCCAGCACTTTGGGCCGAGGCAGGTGGATCACGAGGTCAGGTGTTCAAGACCAGCCTGGCCAAGATGGTGAAACTCCGTCTCTACTAAAAATACAAAAATTAGCCAGGTGCAGTGGTGGGCTCCTGTAATCCCAGCTACTCAGGAGGCTGAGGCAGGAGAATCGCTTGAACCCAGGGGGCGGAGGTTGCAGTGAGCCGAGATCATGCCACTGCACTCTAGCCTGGGCGGCAGAGTGAGACTCTGTCTCAAAAAAGAAAAGAAAATGAAACTCTCAAAGGCGATAGTGGTCATTAACCACAGGACTTGCAATAGGTAGGAGCGACAAACAGTAGATATTTTACCCCAACTAACAGCCTGCCAAGAAGGGAGGCTCAAGGCCAGATGCGATGGCTCATGCCTGTATTCCCAGCACTTTGGGAGTCCCAGGCAGGAAGACTGCTTAAGTCAAGAGTTTGAGATCAGCCTAGGCAACATAGTGAGAACCTTGTCTCTACAGAAAAATGATAAAATTAGCCAGGTGTGGTGGTGTGCACCTGTAATCCCAGCTACTCAGAAGGCTGATGCGGAAGGACCGCTTGAGCCCAGGAGTTTTGAGACCAGCCTAGGCAACATAGTGAGAACCTTGTCTCTACAAAAAGTAATAAAATTAGCCAGGCATGGTGGTGTACACCTGTAATTCCAGCTACTCGGAAGGCTAAGGTGAAAGGATCACTTGAGCCCGAGAGGTCAAGGCTGCAGTGAGCGGTAATCGCACCACTGCACTTCAGCCTGGGTGACAGAGTGAGACCCTGTCTCAAAAAAAAGAAGGGGAGGGTCAGATTGTATCTCATGAGCAATAGGATTCTATGTGCCCTCGTGTGGATGCAGGCGAAACTGCTAGGTGCACCCTAACACTGTCACCCTTAAAAGCGTAAACCATGTTAACAGCTAGGCCAAACCACAATGCAGTAGGAAGTCATAACATACACTGTGCTATATGCATAAGAAACACAGCAGAGCTAGATGTATCCAGAAGAGGACCCAAGATACAGACTCCAGCTCCTGTCTTGAGAAGGTAAGAGCAACTAAGGTTCTGCCAGCTCTAAAAGTCTGCCCCAAACCTTTAAAGTGGCAAGCTCAAGAAAATGCCAACTTTTACCTTATTGGTTTACATAGCTTGAGTAACCAGCCTGGCTCGGCTCAGACAGGGCAGCCAGTGTGGTGTTTAGCAGACTGAGTCATCTGGTGATGTGAGCAGTGCCAATGACTAGAGGCCACTGAACCACAAAGACAGGAAAGTGTCAACTCCAGGCCCCTCCCGAGGCTACAGGCAGGGCCTAGCAATGCTCTCATCTGGTCATGGGTTTTTGTCCACTTTGCAAAAATAAGATATTTTAACTGCAAAAAGTACGTAGCCATACAATATAATATATGATAGAGGAGTGTCAAGCAATTAATTCGTGAAAATAACATGCAACCATTTTTTATTTTGTGATATTTGTCATCTTCAAAATTCACAATCTGTGGTCGTTTCTTTTCTCATTCTAAGTACACTTTATACCTGATTTTGTATTTGTAACTTTGTATTCCCATGTAAATGGTGTAAACTCTAGATTCCATAAAACCAGCATGGCCCAATGGCCTGTATGATCCCTCTGCTAAGTTAAAAGACCCCACGGGCAGCATCTGTAGAGGGGTAGATGGGTATGGGGCTGTCTTGGCCAATGCCCACTTAGGAGGTGAGAGCTTTGTTGAGTAAATGTGGATGACTGAATACAAATGTTTTCTGGCAGAACTCTGGAATTCTAGATAGAGTTGGTGAAAACCAGTTAGAAAACCTCTTTTGAAGGTAAGGGCAGATTTCTAGCCCTAGTATCTCCTGAGCAATCTTGCTCGGCCAGTAGCCTTGGTATCTTCAGCCCATGTCAGTCAGCGTATTTCCTGGCAGGTTCACATGAATCATATACCCTGGAGTTTAAGCTTAAGAACAAGTTGAACTTGGATTGCTAAATGAGCAGATCGTGACTCAAACGAAAGAGGCAGGTGATTTTTTGTCCTCTCGAGCTTTCTTATTGATTCAACTTGGGGCCCTGGTGTGACACAAATATATATGTTTAAAGTAGGAGAGTGTGCAAGAGAAAGCCCATCTGTCTTGCATGGTATAGAACCTGGAACATCACTGTTAACTTTGAACTCTACCTGTAATTGTGAGTCTGTTCAAACATTTTTTTTTAAATGCTGAAAAAAAATATTATGGCTTTGGGGCATGTTAGCAAACTTAGTAACTGATGGACAGTATGAAAAGAATGAGATCATGTCCTTTGCAGGGACGTGGATGGAGCTGGAGGCCATCATTCTGAGCAAACTAGTGCAGGGACAGAAAACCAAATGCCACATGTTCTCACTTAAAAGTGGGAGCTAAATGATGAGAACACACGGACACATAGAAGGGAACAACACACACTGGAGCCTTTCAGAGGGTGGAGGGTGGGAGGAGGGAGAGGATCAGGAAAAATGACTCATGGGTCCTAGGCTTAATACCTGGATGATGAAATCATCTGTATAACAAATCCCCATGATACACGTTTACCTCTATAACAAACCTGCACATGTATCTCTGAACTTAAAAGTTAAAAAGAAACATAATTTGTATACTTTGGGAGGAAGCCTTTGAAAACATATGGCAGAAACTATACATTTTTTCCTGTGAACCTTGTAGAGAAGTAAAGAAATTCTTAAGAATTTTGGTCTGTTTATCTTTTTTGTCTTGACAATATGTATAATAAAGATGCTCTGCACAATATAGGTAACGATACATATGTTATACAGACGTAATTCAGAATTCTCTAATACACGTACCTGGATGTGGTCCTCCTGATCATTTTAGCAAACGTGTTTATCTTAAGTCAACAGTGATATCTTGGCAACTTTGCTTTAGCATTTCAATCTCTCTCTCTCTCTCTTTTTTTTTTTTGTTTTTGAGACGGAGTCTCACTCTGTCACCCAGGCTGGAGTGCAGTGGTGCAATCTTGGCTCACTTCAACCTCCGCCTCCCGGTTCAAGCAATTCTCCTGCCTCAGCTTCCCGAGTAGCTGGGAATACAGGTGCATGCCACCACACTCGGGTAATTTTTGTATTTTTCATCGAGATGGGGTTTTGTCATGTTGGCCAGGCTGGCCTCAGGTGATCTGCCCACCTCAGCCTCCCAAAGTGCTGGTATTACAGGCGTGAGCACCACACTGGCCAAGCATTTCTCTTATCAGACATTCACTTTATGATCAAGCTTAACTTTTTCTCAGTTGAAAGTTACTTAATTCCAGCCCCATATGGATGTGTATACAAATTATACTCAAACTTTGATTAGAATGCAAAGATTTTATATCCATGTATCCTTTTGACAACTTGTTTTCAACAATGGCAAATAAATAAAAGAATGCAGAAGATTTCACAGTCTGCGGAAGGCTGTGACTTAAAGGGAAAATTGTTCTAATTTATTGTTCGCTTTCAGACAATGGAAGAATACATGAACAAGCCTACATTTTAACTGGAAATCTACTTGAAGACTCCAGCACTACATGTTATGAAGCTGTAAATAAGCAACGCCTCCCATCCGGTTTTTTGATGGAGCCTCAGGCACCATGCCAAAAATAATTTAAAGGGATTCTTTGTTAACTAACAAAGTTAAAGTTGTTTAACATATTTATAATTACTATGTGTCTGTATTATTAAAAAAAATTATGTGTCTGTGTTATACTGTATAGGTACTTGTAGCTCTAAATGTTTAAAGTAACTACCACCTAACCCAACAGACAATATTTGTAATGTATTAACTCCATGTTATGTTTTTAAGCTGGTTTAGATACATTAGCTGCAATTTTTTTTGCATTTGACACAATATTGTAATAATCCATGATTTTGAATGTAAAGTATATATGATGTCATTAATACTTTTTCTAAATGTTTAGTTTTCTAAATTGTATAATAATTCAAAATTATGTTAATAGTGCAGAGTTTATATGTAATGCTAGACATTTTTCATACACTTAATAGTACTGTAACTGCAATTCACATACAAAATGTCTGATTTTAATGTGCTGAATTCATTTATTTTTTTTAGAATTGGGATTATGAAAATAACCAAAGAGTATAGAACTTAATAAGTGTTTTTGATGCCTTAGAAGCTGCTATCTTGACTGAGGTTTTAATTTATCTTTTAATTGAATATAAGGGACATTCCAATAAGGTTTTCTATGAACTATATATTTATTAAGGTTTATAGAGACCTAGAGATACAGCATCTATGACTTCCTTTATTATTCTAAAATAGTATGATAAGAATTAATAGCAATAATAATTATTGCTACTATTTTTTAAAATTCACGTTCCAAGCACTCTTAGATGCTGGAAATTTCATTTCAAATATGTTTTAATGTATCTCTAATGCATTTGAAGACTTATTACATGGCTTACTTAGAGCATTTAAGATTATCACAGCCTATATGGTAGATTCCTTTCCTTCTTTTTTCTTTTCTTACCCTTTCCTCCCCAAAGAAAAGATTTGCTGCTGACCATTATTACTGTAAGTATATCACATTTGTGCTTCCTGGAATGAAAATTCTGTATAACCAGGTCCTAACAGTGATCAGACATATTACAGGGAAATAGCTTGTAGGCCGGGAGTGGTGGCTTACACCTGTAATCCCAGCACTTTGGGAGGCCGAGGCAGGTGGATCACTTGAGGTCAGGAGTTCGAGAGCAGCCTGGCCAATATGATGAAACCCCATCTCTACTAAAAATACAAAAATTAGGCCGGGTACAGTGGCTCATGCCTATAATTCCAGCACTTTGGGAGGCAGAGGTGGGCGGATCACAAGGTCAAGAGATCAAGACCATCCTCGCCAACAAGGTGAAACCCCACCTCTATTAAAAATACAAAAATTAGCCGGGAGTGGTGGTGCGTGCCTGTAGTCCCAGCTACTTGGGAGGCTGAGGCAGGAGAATCGCTTGAACCTGGGAGGCAGAAGTTGCAGTGAGCTGAGATTGTGCCACTGCACTCCAGCCTGGGCGACAGAGCGAGACTTCGTCTCAAACAAACAAAAAAATTAGCCGGGCATGGTGGCAGGTGCCTGTAATCCCAGCTACTCAGGGGGCTGAGGCAGGGGAATGGCTTGAACCCAGGAGGCAGAGGTTGCAGTGAGCCAAGGTCATACCAGTGCACTCCAGGCGGGTGACAGAGCAAGACTGCGTCTCAAGAAAAAAAAAAAAAAAAAGAAAAAGTAAAAGCTTGTAGTATTCTGTCTTGCTGCCTGCTATTTGATGTTTTACCTGTGCATTTTCAATGTTAGCTTTGAGGTCTGGTATCATTCATATTAGAGTGGTTTGGGACCTCCAGTGATTTCCTAGAAGAGTGTGTTTCCTGTTGGATTCTTTAGGAGATCCCATCTGGTAGATTTTTAGAGAACTCGATGGAAAAATGTTCTCTTTAGTTCATCTCAGCAGACATATTTAGGGAAAACAGCAAAGCAAGCAGGAGAACAAAGGGAAAAATTCACCAATTCCTCAATATAACCATTGTTCAAAGGAAATAACTCAGATTAGCATATAAAATAATCATTAGGCTTTTACTATCCAATATTTCTTCAGGTTACCATGTAATTACAATTATGGCATCAGCTTGAAGTTTATCATGTATGATTGACCACTGTGTTTACTTTAGCTAACCTTCAGTTTTGTGGTTTAACTTTTTAATGTGTTAGAATTTTTTCTTTCTTTTTTTCTTTCTTTCTTTCTTTTCTTTCTTTCTTTCTTTTCCTTCCTTTCTTCCTTCCTTCTTCTCTCTCTCTCCTTCCCTCCCTTCCTTCCTTCCCTTCCTCCCTCCCTCCTTTCTTTCTTTCTTTTTCTCTTTTCTTTTCTTTTCTTTCTTTTCTTTCCTCGCTTCTTGTCACCCAGGCCAGAGTGCAATGGTGTGATCTCAGGTCACTGCAGCCTCCGTCTCCTGGGTTCAAACGATTCTCCTGCCTCAGCCTCCCGAGTAGCTGGGATTATAGGCATGCGCCACCACGCCTGGCTAATTTTGTATTTTTGGTAGAGTTGGGATTTCTCCATGTTGGTCAGGCTGGTCTTGAACGCCGACCTCAGGTGATCCGCCCGCCTTGGCCTTCCAAAGTGCTGGAATTACAGGCATGAGCCGCTGCACCCGGCCAAATTCTTTATTTTTCAATACAATTTTGTAAAGATGGACCTCATGTAAATCCATCATAGTTTTTCCGGTTCTTTTGAAATTTGTCACCATATTTGGATAAAGGTATCTCTTGAACCTCATTCAAATATACTACACATGTTCTGGATAATTCCATATTAGACACTTTAGTTATGGACAGGGCTTCTCAGACTTCAATCAGTGTCACACATAGAAAGTAAATATATCTCTTCTGGGCAAGGTGGCTCACGCCTGTAATCCCAGCACTTTGGGAGGTCAAGGCGGCAGATCACCTGAGGTCAGGAGTTCGAGACCAGCCTGGCCAACATGGTGAAACCCTGTCTCTACTAAAAATTCAAAAATTAGCCAAGTGTGGTGGCACATGCTTGTAGTGCCAGCTACTCAGGAGGCTGAGGCAGGAGAATCGCTTGAACCCGGGAGGCAGAGGTTGCAGTGAGCTGAGATCACGCCACTGTACTCCAGCCCGGGTGACAGAGTGAGACCCTGTCTCAAAAAAAAAAAAAAAAAAATGAAAGTAAGTAAACATATCTATATGGCACAGTGGGGTAAATTTGAGGGATTTTAGGGACATCTTCCATGGGCCTAGGCTAAAATAGTCATTGTGTTTTCTTTATATTATATAATTACTATAAAACTACCAAGAGAAAGACAGTAAATGTTAAATTTCTATAAAACTTCCAAAATAAAATGTTTTAACATGTTTTAATGAGGAACTTGGTGTGTTTTCATGAATACACTTTTTTTTAAGTCAGATTTTATGTTTGAAATTGCTACTCATAATTCCTGGTGATGTCTCTTTAATATGACCTCTTTATTTTCTTGGTACCTACCAACAAGAAGCAACTTCAAAAGTAAGTGGTAGCAAATGGGAGAAGAGTATTTATTGCTTTTGCTCCTACTGACTTTTCTCATCATTCACCTACATTTTGGTAATCTGATCTCTTTACACGTAATTAATGATGTGATCATTTTTTAAATCTAGTGACAGCTCCTTTTCTTTCATTAACAAATGTAAAGTTGACAATTTTTGTGATAAAGCAAATGGATTTTTGATTCAAACTTTTTTTTCCATATCAAACCTCCTAAAATAATGATAAAGCTTTAGTCAAATGTATTGTTCTAATCTTTTTTGAGACAGAGTCTCACTCTGTTGCCCAGGCTGGAGTACAGTGGTGTGATCTCAGCTCACTGCAACCTCCACCTCTGGGTTCAAGTGATTGTTGTGTCTCAGTCTCACGAGTAGCTGGGATTACAGGTATGCGCCACGTGCCTGGCTAATTTTTGTGTTTTTGGTAGAGACGGGGTTTCACCATGTTGGCCAGACTGGTATTGAACTCCTGACCTCAAATGATCTGCCCACCTCGACCTCCCAAAATGCTGGGATTACAGGCGTGAGCCACTGCGCTCAGCCAGCGTCTTCTTTAGAATTCATGTTATAATACCTACGAAACATCATTGGTGAACTGTGTTTAATTTCACCTTTCTAAGTTATAATCAATACATTTTACTGGTAAATTTTACCTGATAATGTACTTATTCACAATGGTCCCTGAAAATTTTTGATTAAGTTCATTCAGATGCTGAGGAATATGAGCAAAGCAAGCCAATAAATATTCTCCAATAATTTGCAAAGGACAACCATTAATTTTTTTTTAATTCTTATTTTAACTCTTGACACAAGTTTACCAGTAGACCATGTACTTTGGTATTAAGCAGAAATCATCTATTTTGTCACATATTGCTAAAAACAGAAAGGTCTGTAACATCTAGGGCTGCCTTTTTTTTTTTGAGTCAAGGTCTGGCTCTGTTGACCAGGCTGGCGAGCACTGGCATGATCATGGCTCACTTCAACCTTGAACTCCTGGTCTTAAGGGATCCTCTCACCACAGCCTCCCAAATAGCTGAGACTACAGGAATGCACTGCCATGCCTGGCTAATTTTTAAACTTTTTTTAGAGAAGTGGGGGAAGAGGGGCGTTCTCCCTGAGTTCCCAGGCTGATCTCGAACTCCTGGGCTCAAGCGATCCTCCCACCTTGGCCTCCCAAAGTATTGGGACTACAGGCATAAGCCACCATGCCTGACCTTCTCAGGCTTTATTAGACTCACCTTCTGATAGAACCATTTAATGTGGAATTCAGCCCTACACAAGAACTTTCGATAAGTTCTTCATGAATAAGCTCACGCATTAACTGAATCTCAGCATTTTTTCCTTGCATCTGTGCTATCACATAACTTATGCAGTGTTTCCATTATATTTAACTTATTTAAGTGTTCATTTACTATTTTGCTTACTAGTTTGTTTTGCAGCTTTACAGAATAAATAATGTTTTAAGCATTTCTCTTCAGGGTTTCACAGTTACTAACAAGTATCAATTAACCTGAGATGATCTATTTACAATGTAACCATTCTGGATTAGAATTATTTTCGTGTCTTTGCATGTTCTGTATCCAGTGATAATATTATTCAAAAGTGGCACTTTTTCTCTTTCCTTTGGAAAATGATGAAAATTTCCACACAGATTGGTAAAATGAGCAGTTCTGCAATTGTGTGAGTTACATGAGGTTTTGCTATTGTTAGCTGACTTCATAACCAGCTTTATGAGGTATACTTGATATTGTTATAACATTTTTTTAAAAATTAAAAAATAGAGATGAGCTCTCACTGTGTTGCCCAGGCTGGTCTTGAACTGGGCTCAAGTAATCCTCCTATCTCAGCCTCCCAAAGTGCTGGGATTACAGGCGTCAGCCACCACACCCAGTCTACTATAACTTCTAGGAAACTTTGTTTCTTATATTATACTTTCCTTTCTTTAAACCTTTATTTAATCTTGTGTGTAAAATGCTTGCTTAGTAGAAAGATGCCAGTATAATTTACTTGATTCTATTGCTTTACTTGATAACATTTTGAAGAGAAGAAGACATTTAGGCTGAAGAAAAGGGAGAATTACGGTCCAGGCGCAGTGGCTCACGCCTGTAATCCCAGCACTTTGGGAGGCCGAGGCGGGTGGATCACAAGGTCAGGAGTTCGAGACCAGCCTGGCCAACATGGTGAAACCCTGTCTCTACTAAAAAAAAAAAAAATACAAAAATTAGCCAGATGTGGTGGCAGGTGCCTGTAATCCCAGCTACTCTGGAGACTGAGGCAGGAGAATCGTTTGAGCCCCAGAGGCAGAGATTGCAGTGAGCCGAGATCATGCCATTGCACTCTAGCCTAGGCAACAAGAGCAAAACTCCATCTAAAAAAAAAAAAAAAGAAAAGAAAAAGGAGAATTATGAAGAACTTGGTTCCACAAGTAAGATAGTCCTCATACTGCATCAGTAGTGACTTAAACTTTTTTAAAACTTTTATTTTTTGTGGGGGGATCTGTTGAATTTGGGAAGCCTCCAGTTTTAATAAAATTTTTTTATTATGGTGGAAACATGTCTGTAAAACTTAGGACTATAGAAATGCAAAGAATAAAGAACTGAGGGAGTTACACACATTTGTAGTCAGAAATTAAGTTCAAAAAATAATTTAGGTCATTTGCATTTTTTAGTATGCAAAATAAATGGAAAAATTAAAGTGCAATAAAAATATAATTTGGGAAATGAATGCAGTAAAATTGAAAACATTGAAATATTATAATTTAATAAAATAAACTTCAAAAAATGTATGAAAATATAAGTATCTTTACTTATATAGGATTAAATATATTTCTGATAATCTGTCCTCTATAATGAATTGGTTTAATTATGTTTTTCTGTTTTTAGAAATGGGCATCTTTTTATTTCTGGAAACAACTTTTTAATGAGATTTTATCAAACATTAGACTATGACTAATTATAATATTCAAAGCCAATACCAAAACGATGGATAAATAAATGAATAAAACAAGGCACATTAATAGAAAAAAATGAATGAAATCAATTACGGGTTCTACTTGAAACACCTAATCTCATTATAATAGCAATAATAAAACAATTTGTACATACTTTATTAGTCGAACATTTATTAAAAATATAAGAGCATAGAGCAAATTAATTTGGAAGAAAATTTAAATCTTTTACATACAAATACCCTCAAGAATAATAAATCATGGAGTATTAATAAAATTAAACCAGCTGATAATTTTAGAAAGTGCTTCATGCACAGAGACTTTTATTCAAGTCCTCTTTGCTTTCTGCTAGTGCTTTTTTTTTTTTCTTGAAATGGGATGGGATCTCACTCTGTCACCCAGGCTGGAGTGCAGTAGCACGATAGCAGCGCACTGCAACCTGGACCTCCTGGGCTCAAGCAATCCTCTCACCGCAGCCTCCTGAGTAGCTGGGGCTACAGGTGTGTGCCACCATACTTGGCTAATTAAAAAAAAAAAACTATTGTAGACAAAGTGTCTCACTATGTTGCCCAGGCTGGTCTCAAACTTCTGGGCTTAACTGATCCTCCTGCCTCAGCCTCCCAAAAAGTTCTGGGATTACAGGTCTGAGCCATCTTGCCTGGCTATCAGTGCCTTTTATATTCAAAATATTTTGAGCCAAAATACATAAATACTGAATTTAGGAATTTTTCTGAGACAGCCATCCAAATACTATTTAAATATTATTTCAACTCGTGTGAACTTTTGGATCAATAAAAATAATGATTTGATTTTTTTATCTCTATACATGATTTTCAACTATCAGTCTCTCAGAGTAAACAAGTGGTCCATAGTACACTGGTTGTGATGTTCTGAACCATATTACTGAGTATCATATTTATGTTTAGAGAGTCAAAGTGGAGTAGGAATTGAGGACCTTCGTGCTGGTCCTGGCTGTGCCACTGACAAGGCTCTTGGACTTGCTCTTTGGAATGGATGGAATGTTAGAATCAGATGAGATCATACAGTGGTCTAATTCACTCAATATATAGAAGAGGGAAGAATAATCATTGCTGTAACATTTATGTTTTGACCAAGTGCCAGTGGTAGTCATTTGTTTAATTAAACTTTGTCTTGATCAAAGGTGTTACCCCATGAGAATATTTGATGAGTCTGGTATGAAATACAATCCTAATGACATTCAAGCATGTTTTTCACCCTTTTAAATGATACAAGTGAAGAATATTGAGTGCTCTTTAAATGAAAGATGCCATTATAAGAGTAGATAGAACCACTCCTGGAGTAAAAGGGGAATTACAAGTTTGTATTGGCCGGGAGCAGTGGCTCATGCCTGTAATCCCATCACTTTGGGAGGCTGAGGTGGGCGGAAATTACCTGAGGTCAGGAGTTTGAGACCAGCCTGGCCAACATGGCAAAACCCCGTCTCTACTAAACAATACAAAAATTAGCCGAGCATGGTGGTTCACACCTGTAGTCCTAGCCACTTGGGAGGCTGAGGCAGGAGAATTGCTTGAACCGGGGAGGTGGAGGTTGCAGTGAGCCAAGATGGTGCCACTGCACTCCAGCCTGGGTGACAGAGTGAGACTCCATCTCAAAATAAAATAAAATAAAAAATAAATAAATAAAAACAAGTTTGCATTGTCGAGTTTTGGAGGAGGGACTTCTCATATGTTTCAGAAGGAAAGGAGAGAACAGAG
Source organism: Homo sapiens (assembly GCF_000001405.40). Classification (NCBI taxonomy): domain Eukaryota; kingdom Metazoa; phylum Chordata; class Mammalia; order Primates; family Hominidae; genus Homo; species Homo sapiens. Next base: position 223,750,487 of record NC_000002.12, on the reverse strand, counting down.
GAAGAATACATTTTTTGCTGGTCTTGAATTTGCAGCCTCTCTTGAAGGTTGGTTCATTCATGGTGGAATTATGGCCAGTGGAATGTGGGTTGAAGTAACCCATGCCCACTGCAGGTCTGGCTCACAAAACTCTCCCATATGAGACCTCCATTCTTTGTTTACAGCTAAACAAAAAGACTCCAGGACCCAGAGAAGGCAGAGCCATGAGATGGGAGGAATCTGTAAAAAGGCTGTCAGGAAAGCCAACCAACTAGGACAGCCAAACTGGACTAATATATGCAACAGAAGTCAACCTCTATTGTGTTACGCCACTGCACTGGGGTTGTTACAGCATTGAGCATGCCCCAATGCACAAAAAAACTGTGCGCTACCATCAGGAGGATCAGGATATATGAAATCAAGTTTATTTACAGAAAGTGCACAAATAAAGCACCCTTTAGAGATAACACAAGCGACTATCTGGAAAAGGGTGGATAATAAGCATGATTGGGAAAGCAGGCTTCTAAGAAATAGATACCAAAATGTAGAAGTAGAAAGATTGTGATGTTGCCATTCACACATCATGTCAGTTTTGTAGAGGCACAAATTGGGTCCCACGGGTTATCCTGCACCTGCGTACAAATTTTGTTTGACTGTCACTGTATAAAAAAATTGAATCAATCATGTTATTTCACATACAGTCTTTTGTTTTTCTTGGAAAATTTTAAGAGCTGGCAATATTGACCCTGCACTTCTATATGGCAAGAATCAGCTGGAGCTAGAGGGTTGCACTGCTGTTTCCCACAGCCCCCACCTCTGCACCTGCCCACTTCTCTGGGCATTTTCTTTTCTTTCTTTTTTTTTGAGACAGGAGTCTCACTCTGTTACCCAGGCTGGAGTGCAGTGGTGTCATCTTGGCTCACTGCAACCTCTGCCTCCCGGGTTCAAATGTTTCTTGTGCCTCAGCCTCCCAAGTAGCTGGGATTACAGGTACGTGTCACCACTCCTGGCTAATTTTTGTATTTTTAGTAGAGATGGGGTTTCACCATGTTGGCCAGGCTGGTCTTGAACTCCTGACCTCAGGTGATCAGTCTTTCTCAGCCTCACAAAGTGCTGGGATTACAGGCATGAGCTACCATGCCTGGCCCCCTGGGCATTTTCATTTGACCCCTATGCTAGATTTTTACCCTGCTTCTGTGGTTGCAGGTGCAGCCCCTTAGTTTGCCTTTTGAGACCCTCCATGATCTGAGTGCTTCTGTACTTTTAAATCACATACCCACCCTCCTTCACAGTTCCTTCAGGTTGATGTATGATTCTCTTCTTGTTGGCTGTTGCTTGTTCTGTTCATTCCTTTTACCTAAATGTTGTTTGCTCCATTTCCCTATATCCAGATTCTTTAACACCCAACTCACGTACTACTGTCTTCCTGAATCCTCTCTCATTCCATTCTTTCTCCCTTCTCTGAAATCCCTTTGCATTAAATCTATGCCTCACAAGGTACTTAATTTATCACTTTTAATGTTATATTGCAGATATTTAAATATAAATTACCTGGACATAAAAAGTCCAGGATGAGTGGGAGGGCTGTGTGTGTGTGTGTGTATGTGTGTGTTAGAGAGAAATAAATAACTTTTCTGAGTCTCCTAATGGTCTATTGATATCTTACATACATTGACACAATTTCTCATAGCTACTAGATTAGAGTCTAAAACCTCTCCTTTAAAAAGATGTATTTTTCTTTTTTATTTTTTTTGAGACAGGATCTCACTCTGTCATCAAGGCAGGGGTGCGGTGGTGTGATCTTGGCTCACTGCAACCTCTGCCTCCCAGGCTCAAGTGATTCTCCCACCTTTGCCTCTGGAGCTGGGACTACAAGCACATGCCACCATGCCCAGCCAATTTTTGTATTTTTTGTAAAGAGGGGTTTGTTTGTTTTTTTCTGGCTGGGTGCAGTGGTTCAAACCTGTAATCCCAGCACTTTGGGAGGCCGAGGTGGGTGGATCACCTGAAGCCAGGAGTTCGAGAGCAGCCTGGCCAACATGGTGCATGGTCTTTACTAAAAATACAAAAAATTAGCCAGGCATGGTGGCAGGTACCTGTAATCCTAGCTACTTGGGAGGCTGAGGCAGGAGAATCGCTTGAACCCAGGAGATGGAGGTTGGAGTGAGCAGAGATCGCACCATTGCACTCCAGCCTGGGCAACAAGAGCGAAACTCCATCTCAAAAAAAAAAAAAAAAAAAACAGAAAGTTTTTTTTCCATGTTGCCAAGACTGGTCTCGAACTCCTGAACTCAAGTGATCCTCCCACCTCAGCCTCCCAAAGTGCTGGGATTACAGGCATGAGCCACTGTGCCCGGCCAAAAGGTACATTTCTTTTAATACTGCCAAACTAGAAGATTTTTGAAGAATCACAAGAAGTTCTTGAATCTAGTAAGTTGTATGATCATTTCTAGAGTATATCATCAAATAGTTTATTTTTAATCAAGAGAGTTTTTACTGTCTCTTATGTTGTCTTGAATCCAGAAGTAACATTAAAATATTGTACTTCTGAAGCATGATAGGATTCCAACATTTCAGGTGACAGGTGACACTCTACTGTCCAGGACCTTTTCTGTTCTGTCTACTACTGGGTCCCTACCACCCATAGCAGTGCCTGGCACACAGTAAGATATCAGTAACTGCTGAAAGTTGAGGAACATGGTGATTACTTGGTTGCTGCTGTTCTTGTGATAGAATGATCAAAATTAAAACTGAGCACTTAGCAGTGGCACCATGAGGATGTGTTTTCTTTCTTGGGAAATAAAAATAAGAAGTTTGGAAGCAGAAGTTAAACTGCCACATTTCCAAGCCAGCCTTCATTCAATACCATTCACGTGCATGACACACCAAGCTTTTATGTTGAAGCTATTCATCTGGGTGGGGAGCCCATTGCCAAGACTTGCCGGCATAATGAAAAAGAACCTGATGGCTTGTTGATGTGATTGTACAAGGAGGAACAGGCTTTTCAAAACTATGATTCAAGTCTACCCAAATATGTGCACTTTTTGTATTTTTAAATGTGTCATGTGGATTATGATTTTAGTGCAAGATTATGATAGGGGATCACTTATTAAGATTAGAAAACTTTTTGATTATTATTATTTCCAAGTCATGAAGTAGAAAGCAGTGGCATGCTGATTTCGCTCTGTCTCTTCAGTCTTCCTTTTGCCCTTTGCTACAAAAATGTGTTGACTTTCTCTTTAGATACCATGTGAGATCTGTGTAAATGCAAGTGATGTGAAGATAAAGCCTAGGAAGGTGTATCTGTAAACAAAAATGGAAAAATACCCTTAAAGAAGCTTAACTGTAGCTGAAAGTGATAGTTACCAGGAGAATGATTGACTACCAAGTATATTGTATACTAGACCTAGGTAATACATTATTCATAAGGGACAGGAAAAGTAGTTTCCCTCCTTTCCTCCCTCCCTTCCTTTTCCTTTTCCTTCCTTCCTTCCTTCCTTCCTTCCTTCCTCCCTCCCTCCCTTCCTTCCTTCCTTCCTTCCTCCCTTCCTTCCTTCCTTCCTCATTTAGAACAGATGAGCAAGTGAGGAAGAACAGATAATAGTAAAAGAATGATATTTCATGTTGATAAATGTAAAGATTCCCTATATGTTTGATTCACACACTTTGTGCTCTTGTTTATATATGGAAATGTAGTGAAACAAGAATTTAGAGTGAACAATGCAAAAAAGGGCTGAGAGCCAAGTTAAGGCCCTTTATACAGTATTGACTTCTCTCAATTGTTCTTTTTTTTTTTTTTCCTTTTGAGATGGAGTCTTGCTCTGTTGCTCAGACTGGAGTGTGGAGTACAGTGGCGTGATCTCAGCTCACTGCACCCTCTGCCTCCCGGGTTCAAGTGATTCTCCTGCCTCAGCCTCCTGAGTAGCTGAGACTATAGGCATTGACAACGACACCCAGCTAATTTTTGTATTTTTAGTAGAGACGAGGTTTCACCCTGTGGGCCAGGCTGGTTTTGAACTCCTGACCTCAAGTGATCTGCCTGCCTCGGCCTCTCAAAGTGCTAGGATTACAGGCATGAGCCACTGCACTCAGCCATCAATTGTTCTTAATAATTGCCTTTTAGTGACAAAGGCAAATTATAGGCTGTAGAAAATTAGGCTTAGTGATAAAGGGTCCATGTTATAACCAAGTGTTTCCTTTGGAAGTGTATACTATGGGAGTGGCTCCTTCACTTGCTCCCAATAAAAATCACACTGCAAAAACTAACACTTAGAAAAATAAAACTCCACAGAAAATTGCTTGGGAAATCACACTAAACAGAAAATTGATTGTATATTTAGTAAAAATTGCAAATATTAATATTTAGAAAAATAAAACTGAACAGAAAATTGATTGGGAAATCATAGTGGCATCTCTCTCTCTCTCTCTTACTCTTTCTTTCTCTCTCCTCCTTGTCCTTAGAGAAAGCAGAATATTCAAATCAGGACTGCTGCCTGTGGGCAGTCTGCCCTATACCAGGGCTTCCCAATCCATTTGCTATGCTATGTGGTGTGACATGAATGCAGTGCAGGTGACCTGAAGGTATTGATCCTTTGTCCCCAGAGGAGCCTTTTTTCTTTTCCAAAGGAAATGTACCAAAAATAGGATTATTTTCTATGAGTACCATGACATAAAAAGGTTGGGATGCTGTGCCATAAACTACTTTCTAACAACTAGCCTTACAAACTTGACCCTATGCAGAAGATTTAGAAAAGTAATCGGATTAATATGACAGTCCAAATGCACTGAGCTGTCGTGCATGTCCTGAGCCCTCCACCTGGAATATCCTACCTTTTTGTCTCCTGCCTTGGGAATGCCCCACTCACTGCTGACCTGGTAACTTTTGGTCACCATCCAGGGCTCAGCTCAGTGCCAGCTCCTGTGAAACTATCCCCATGACTCCCTTCCCCAGCATTAATGGATTTTATTGGGTACCACAGGAGCAGAGAACACCGTGGCTCCTATATATGTGAACCTACATGGACAACAGGCCATTTCTCCCTCAAAAGTGAGCTTCTGCAAGGCAGAGGCTGTGAGCTTATGTTGCTATTCAGATGGATTACTTAATGTTTATTACATCAATGCTTTTGTCACACTTTCAAATTCACAAGGAAGGAAGTGCATTCAAACCATAGCCATGGGTTTCCTACCCACCACATCCCCACATCCCCCTGGATACATTTAACTGTAGAGTCAGGGTCCTGCTGTTTCTTTTGGTCCTTGATTTATTCATTTATTTATTTTTTTGAGATGGAGTCTTGCTCTGTAGCCCAGGCTGGAGTGCAGTGGTGCCATCTTGGCTCACTGCAACCTCCGCCGCCTGGGTTCAAGCAATTCTCCTGCCTTAGCTTCCCAAGTAGCTGGGATTACAGGCATGCACCACCACACTCAGCTAATTTTTTATATTTTTGGTAGAGACAGGGTTTCACCATGTTGACCAGGCTGGTCTTGAACTCCTGACCTCAAGTGATCTGCCCGCCTTGGCCTCCCAAAGTGCAGGGATTACAGATGTGATTAACCATGCCCAGCCTTCCTTGATATTGTTGATAGAGCCATTTGAGGAGATTTGTTTTTCTTTGCTGACAACCTGTACCGGAAACGGTTAACTCTGCATGTCTAGGTTGCTCAAGCTCTGCACATTTAAAAACTTGCCTCCAGAACTGGCTGGCTCTTGAGACATAACGTCTGAGCCCCTGGAATGTTTTGCCTGATAAGAGTGTTCTGCATACCCCAGCCTTGGGCCATGCTGTGTCAGTGTGACCAGATAGGTTGATCCTAGCTTTGTGATTTATGCCAAACACTGTCTTTGCTCTGGGTGAGGGGGCTGGAGTCTGGGTAGCTGAGGTCAGTCACATGGGTGCTGCATGCCTAGGTAACTGGTGTCTAGGTAAAACCAAAAGACACCGATGTTTGGTGAGCTTCCCTGGTTGGCAAAACTTTGCATATGTTGCCACATGTTGTTGCTGGGAGAATTAAATGCATCCTCCTGTGACACCACTGAAGGGAAGCTAGAAGCTTATGCCTGGCTTCTCCTGGACGTCCCCCCATGTGCCTTTTCCCTTTTCCTCATTCTAATTTATATGCTTTCACTGCAATAAACTGTAACTGTGACTATAATGGCTTCAGAATCCTGTAAGTCCTTCTAGGGAATCATCGAGCCTGAGGGTGGTATTGGGGACCCCCGACACAACCCAATTCAGATGCTATTGTTCAGTAGTTTGGTATGTGAAAACAATTATGGAGGCCAGGCACGGTGTCTCACGCCTGTTATCCCAGCACTTTGGGAGGCCGAGGTGGGCAGATCACCTGAGGTCAGGAGTTGGAGACCAGCCTCCAACTCCTGAGACCAGGAGTTGGAGGTCAGGAGTTGGAGATCACCTGGCCAACATGGTGAATCCCCGTCTCTACTAAAAATACAAAAAATTAACCAGGCATGGTGGTGCATACCTGTAATCCCAGCTACTCGGGAGGCTGAGGCAGGAGAATCGGTTGAACCGGGGAGGAGGAGGTTGCAGTGAGCAGAGATCACACCATTGTACTCCAGCCTGAACAACAAGAGTGAAACTCCATCTTAATCAAAAAAAAAAAAAAAAGAAAACAGTTTGGGTACCAGGAAGGGGACAGTTGGAGGGAAAGTCTGGGAAGGTGTTTTGGGGGCAGAGTGCAGTGGGGTCTGTGAGAAGGTCAGGCCTTCTCAATTTCCTGGGATTATGTGGTGAGAGCCAGAGTTGACATGGCTGAGTAAAAGCTCTCAGCCAATATTTGAAATTAGTACATTTCAGGCTTTGTTTCTTCTCATTCAAAACGTATCTCCATATTCCCAGGGGAAGGGGACAGTAAGCAAAGGGTTAGTATGTATGACTGGCAATTTTGCCGATTTGAAGGTTCTAACTGCCCAGGGCAGCTTGCCCATCAGCCTTGCTAGGACTGCCCTGCTGGAAGCAGGGACCATAGACTTGCATGGGACTGGTGAGAGGCAGGCAGGCTTGCCCAGCCTTGTTGGCTGCTTAGCCTTTCAAGGCCGTGGGAATTGCTTTACAGAGGCCATTTAACAACATTTCAAAATTAGCACCTAGAATCCCTTAGTTAATTGATAAGGTGGGTTTTGGACCTGAAGTGTTGGGGTTCATGACCTGACTCTGTCCCCTGCCAGCCGTGTGGCTTCTGGCAGGTAATTTCTCCCTGCCTCGGTTTCCTCATCTGTGCTCAGGACAGGGTCTGGCACCTGGTAAGTGCTCAACAAATGTTAGCTGCTGTTCTTGGTTTCTCTTCTGGATCTCTCTGATAAGCAGCAAAAGCGCTATCCTAACCCTATTGTAGGGAAGAGGTTTTATGTTGCCTAAAATAGCTTCATTGAAGAAAAAGGCCCAGAACTGGGGCACCATTTTGTAAGCTGGTTATAGAAATTGCACTTCAAGGCCAGCCACAGTGGCTCATGCCTGTAATCCCAGCACTTTGAGAGGCCATGGCAGACTGATCACTTGAGGCCAGGAGCTTGAGACCAGCCTGGTCAACGTGGCTCTACTAAAAATACAAATTTAGCTGGGGTGGGGGATAGAGGGGAATGGAGAGCATGGGGAGGATGGGGGGTATAGGGGGGTTGGTGCATGTCTGTAATCCCAGTTGCTCAGGAGGCTGAGGCATGAGAATCGCTTGAAACCAGGAGGCAGAAGTTGCAGTGAGCTGAGATCTCACCACTGCACTCCAGCCTGGGAGACAGAGCGAGACTGTCTCACAAAAAATAATAATAATAAAAAAAAGACATTGCACTTCAATACCATTTATTACATAGTATATTCAAAGGAGAGGGTTTCTTTCTGTAAATAAGTTGGGGTGTGTTTCCCTGGTGGTCTTCCTCCCCCACTTCCCCGTAGGCTCTATCTTGACTCCCTTCCGCTGCTTTCAGCTGGGAAGGACAAATTCTTGCTTCACCAAACAAAGCAAGTATAAGGCTAATATCATCCCTGATGCCAAATGGACAAATCTGACAAAATAGGAACTAAATCATAGACAAATTCTTAGGTTTAAGATAATCTCTTCTTTTGACATATTCAGAATAACCCCAAAATAAGGCTCATTTTTGTCCAGGTTCAGAAGGCCACAGACCAACTGTGATCCCTGAAACAGAGTAGTCCAAGTGTGCTGAGAGTCTGATGTGACCTGGCTACCTTATAAGATATAGCTAGCCGGTCCCTCCACAAGACAGCAAACAAGGCATAATATGGTATTTTATTTCTCTGGGGCCATGGACTCCATTTTCAAACTCTTAAAAGATTAAGCAATATTGGAATGTTTAAAGAAATGAATAAAAATCCCTAGCAAAATTTCTTTGTCTTTAACAAAAATTCAAATGGTATTCAGAAAAAATGAAAAGTAAACATAATATCCAATATTGGATGACACAGGTAAACAGCATACATTGCGGAAGAAGAATTTGTGTGTGTAAAAAACATTATAATGATCATGCCTGTTTCCCCAGGAATTATGAGACTCTAACTCAGGGATCTGCAAATTATGGTCCTTGGACCAAATCCAACCTGTGGACTATTTTTGTATGGCCAGCCAGGAAGGTAAGAATGGTCTTTACATTTTCAAAAGGTTATTAAAAGAGGAAAGAGAGGAGGAGGAAGGGGAGGAGGGAGGGAGAGGTATAAGAGAAACTCCTGTGTGTTCAATGCAGATGTTGAATAAACTGTACATTTGAAACTTGTTGATATTCTGCCTTAAATGGAAAGAACTTCGCTTAAAGGAAGAGGCCCTTATAGCTCCTGATACCTGTGCTCTTGCTTTTAGGACACTTATAGCAGGGAGGTGACACCAGGGTCATACCGTCTAGCCCAGGATACTATTTTCTCCCCTCTTGAGGAAGCTTCTCCATTTCCTGGAAGCCTGCAGCACCCCTTCTTCCACATTCTGCAGAGCATGGTATGGATACGAGGCATTCTTATGCTCTTTAATTGATTTATATGTCTTTCTGAAATCAAGTACTATAACGTATTGATACGGTGGGAGGGGGGTCAGGGAAGTGCTGGGTAGAAAAGGGCAGGGTTACTGGCGAGGGCTCCACCCTCAGGCCTGTGCCCACGGACCTAAGTGAGAACAGGCACTCCTGTTTTTTTGTGCCCAAATGTTTCATTTTCCAAGACCACTCTGGCCTGCCACACCCCATTCCTGTGCCCATATAAACCTGCAACCTTAGCGGGCACACATACAAGTGGTTGAACATCCAGAGAAGCAGAGGAACACACCAGCAGACACCAGCAGACCAGCAATGTTGGAACACGTGGCAGAGAAACAGAGAAGGGGAGTTGGCCAGGGGCAGTCAGAGGAAAGTCCAGCTGCTGGGTGGCCTGACTCCAGGGGAAGACCACCTTCCCACTCCATCCCCACTTCCCACTCCCCACCCATCTCACTGACAGCCACATCCACCACTGAATAAAACCTAGCACTCATCCTTCAAGCCCATGTGTGATCCAATTTTTCCAGTATACTGGGCAAGAACTTGGGATACAGAAAGCTGTCACACTGGCCGTCTGCCCTCTTGATAAGGCAGAGTGTCTAATTGAGCTGATTAACACAGGCTGTCTGCAGACAGCAAAGCTGAAAGAGCACACTGTGACACACACCCACTTGGGCTTTGGAAGTTGCAGGCACCCACTCCTAGACGCTGCTGTGGCGCTGGAGCCCGAAGGTGCCCCCATGGGCTCTGTACCTGCCCATCTGCACACTCCCTCTAAGGGTTTGAGCAGCAGGGTGGCTGAAGGAGTGAGCCACACCCCTGTCAAACGTCCTCTGAGGGTGGTAAGAGAACTCTCCCATTTCAGCATGTTCCATAGATCTCATTGCGTGTGACTTTTGTGGTTATTTCTGTAGAAGTCTGGCTTCAGAGTCTTGGGCAGGAATATAATCAGGGATATATTATGTTGCATTGAAAAACATCAGACATAGCTTTCATTGTTTGCCCCACTGCTTGTTGTTTTAGTGTTTCCAATGCAGAAGAACTTGAGAGGAATTTCCAAACCCAGGCCCAATGCCTAGCGATTTCTTTGGGATGAAGCACAGTACAGCTAAGATAAAAATCAGATCTATCCCCTCTGTTGCTGTAAACCCCACAGTGGTCTCTGTTGCCCATGGGATAATGTCCACTCTTCTTGTTGTGGAACCAGATATATATATATCTGGTATAAATAAAACCAGATATATACACACACACATATATATATATGGTATAAATTAAATTAAATTAAAAAAATATATATTTTAACTTAATTTAAAGTTCCAGGATACCTGTGCAAGACATGCAAGTTGGTTACATAGGTAAACGTGTGCCATGGTGTTTTGCTGCACCTGTCAACCCATCACCTAGGTATTAAGCCCCACATGCATTAGCTATTTATCCTGATGCTCTCCCTCCCCACCCCCGCTCAGCGGCCCCAGTGGGTGTTGTTCTCCTCCCTGTGTCCATGTGTTCTCATTAAGAACTAGGTCTTTTCATGCTTTCTCCTTCCTTTCTGATCCCAGTACCCCACATCCAGCTGTGTCCCTAACATAGGATGTGTTTTCTTCTTTCTGCATTTTTGTATGTTTGAGCTTGTACATCACCTCCTCAGAGAGCTGTTCCTTGATCACCCCAGTTCAGTAGCAATCTGTCTCCCCACTGTCACTGTCTTGCCCATAACCCTGTTTTATTTTCTTTATAACACTTACTTTATTTGAAATTATTCCATTGGTTTGTTTTGTTGCTTACCTATTTGTTCATGTATTCATGCATTTATTGCATTTGTCTTCTCCCTCTCTATAATGTGTACTTTTTGAGGGCAGAAACTCCATATCTGCAGTAGCTAGAACCCT